>NC_000018.10:21536206-22161206 GCF_000001405.40 Homo sapiens | reverse complement strand
ACATAAAATGGTAAAAATATTACTTTCTACAAACATTAATCACGAACTAATGACTTGGGTCCCCTTTCCTGCATGTACGTCCATCAGGGCCCCAGAAAGACCACTAGCATGTGGCTGATCTGGCTCTTTGGTTTCTGTCAGGTTAAATACAAACTTACACATTAATCTAAATACTACACCAGTGGGCTAAACAAAAGGGATGATCCATTTCCAAAGGCTGAACAGTTAACTTAGAGTCAAATTTTCAAACCACTGAAATGTCTTCTGATAGAAGATGCTATCTAAATTGTTTATTCTTTGCCTGCGAATATAAGCCCACTCAACCATAGAACGCTGACCAAAAGCAATCACTGAGGATGGACGCCCTTATTCTCAATGATTACTCTAAAGGGACTTCATACTTACCAAATAAGCAATTCTTTTGCATGAGCTAATGTTTTCATTTATCTTGAACTATCAGAGTTTTCTGACTAAGGTACACATTTTAGGTGGCAGCAGTTTAAGTAGGTATTTTTTTTTAATCACTATTCTAAGTCTATGGACTAAGAAAGGTATGATTCCCCTCCCCCCCCTTTAATGTTCATGTCCTACAGAGAGCCAAATTGTCATAATACCTAAGGGGAAAATTGTATTAACCTATTAGGGAAGGAAGCAGAGTAGTTGCCTACCTTCTTCAGAAGGGATTTTTATTTTTAATCTATCCACTCAAGAGACACCCTTTAGAGTATATTACAATGTTGCTTTTTCCTGGCCATAATAATATTCACCCCTACAGAGGTGGATAAAGATAGAAACCTGACTTAATGGATATCAAATAACTTTTTCTGGCTACTCTTAAGCTAGATTACTGCTGTTTATAATACCACAAATTAAAGATATGCAATTATCCAACAAAAAAAGTGTGACTATTATACCATTTTTAAAGATTGACTACCAGTGCCCAGCAAACTCTAGCCAAAAACCACAGTGTGGATCCACAAAGCTGTCAACCTTTACATTTCAGTCATCTTTCTGTCCAGAGCTCAGCATGCTTTGGGCAGAAGTGCAAAAGGCTAGGTGCATGGGGAAAAGTCTATCCAGTGTAACTGCTGCAGCAGCTGGCTGCACCTCTGCACCTGGAGCTAGATTAAGCACCAGTTATGGAGGCATGGGTTCAAATCCCAGATATGCATCTTGCTGTTTCTCTTTAGTTGTGTGATCTTGGGCATGTTCCTTAATATCTCTACTCCTGGTCAGGCACGGTGGCTCACGCCTGTAATGCCAGCACTTTCGGAGGCCAAGGCAGGTGGATCACCTGAGGTCAGGAGTTCGAGACCTCTGTGGCCAACATGGTGAAACCCCGTCTGTACTAAAAATTCAAAAATTAGCCGGAGGAGGCTAATTCTTATCTCTCAGGAGGCTGAGACATAAGAATCACTTGAACCCGGGAGGTGGAGGTTGCAGTGAGCTGAGATTGCGCCACTGCACTCCAGCCTGGGCAACAGAGCAAGACCCTTCTCAAAAAAAATATATATATATGATTTTCATGAAGATTAAATGAATTAATATTTATAAAATGCTTAGAAGAGTGTTTGGCTCACCATACAGGGTTTTTGAGATGTTTGATAAATAAGCAAAAACACAAACTTCTATTTCAGGCCACTTTTTAAGGGGAAGAGAGGAGGTACCAAGGCCTCAAAGAAGTGAGGTAGGAGGGTGATCAAAACTAAAAAGAAAAGACGAGAAAAAGCTTTCAAGAATATCAGACATTTCCTATAGGGAATTATTTGCAATCATCAACTCACCCTGTCTGTCCCTAGGTGATAGTGCAAGTAAGTTTGTGTTTGTTTTATTTGGTCAAACTCCTTGATCCTGCTGAGACAAACACTATGGTGGGTACTAGGGAAGCAAAGATGCTTGACAATGCCCTGCCCTCAAGCTGCTCCCAGATAAGCAGGAGAGACAGACAAGATTACAGAAAATCGTCACACCAGGTGGCAAGTGCCACTGTAGAGAGAAATCAGGGGACTGTTGGAGTGCAACCAGAGAAGGCTTCCTGGAGCAGTCGTAAAACTCACCTGACTGAGTTTTGAGAAATGACTTAATCAGACAAGGTTTAGGAAGTGAGAAGCAGCAAAGATAATTAACTGGAGCCTTAGTGTGAAGTGCCAGCAAGAAAGCAGAGAGGTTGGCAGGATTCTAATGCAGCCAAAGATCTTTTAACTATAAAATTATACTAAAAATGTAGATGCAAAAATATGCCTTTTAGAACAAAAGATAAGGAGTGTCAATGAGAAAGAAATGATCAAACCTCCAAGTGTATTCACTGGAAAATTGACCTCAAGGATGAAAACCTCTTCAGACAGAGAGATCACTGTTGCATGCTATGAGGGCCAAGTCATGACTGAATCTGCTAAAGTAAATTGTAATTAGATTTGGGGCATTAAAGTGGAACCCAAAATAATAAAATTAGGCTGGAACACTAGAATGTCAGCTCAAAACGGCCGGGCACGGTGGCTCACGCCTGTAATCCCAGCACTCTGGGAGGCCGAGGCAGGCTGATCATGAGGTCAGGAGATCGAGACCATCCTGGCTAGCATGGTGAAACCCCATCTCTACTAAAAATACAAAAAATTAGTCAGGCGTGGTGACAGGCACCTGTGGTCCCAGCTGCTCGGGAGGCTGAGGCAGGAGAATGGCGTGAACCCGGGAGGCGGAGGTTGCAGTGAGCCGAGATCGTGCCACTGCACTCCAGCCTGGGCGACAGAGCGAGACTCCGTCTCTAAAAAAAATAAAAATAAAAAAGAATGTAAGCTCAAGAAAACTGGAATTTTTGTCTGTTCTGTTCATCACAGTTTCCCCAGAGCCCAGAACAGAGCCTGGCCCATAGCAGGCATGTCATACGTATTTGTTGAATGAATGGTACATGAAAATATATAGCACACTCCCCATAACCTTGCCACTCACTTCTCTGATGTTGAGACATGATATCACCAGCCTCGTTGATATGCCATCAAATAGTAATTCCCACTCACCAGCATCACAACCTATTGCCACATCCCAGGGCATTGTTGATTGCTTTCACTTACAATAATACCCTCACTGTCTTTGGGCCTGTGGCACACTCTCCCCAGGCCCTGGCAACCTTTTACTTAGACTGCTGTAGGTCTCTTGGGAAGCAGGTGCTTGAGGGCTGTCCCCTCACATTGGAACTGTAAATGAATTCTCTAACTGGCATCAGACTTTCTACTCACTATTTAATAGTCTTCATTCTCTACTTTCAAAATCCTGGCACCTGCACCTCACTTGACCCTCCTTCCTGTCCCACCTATGGCTTCTCTTCTCCCTCAAGCCTTCTCTCACGCACTGCTCTAGGGCTGAATAGAAATTCAAGCTCCCAGCTGGGCACAATGGCTCACGCCTGTAATCCCAGCACTTTGGGAGGCCGAGGCAGGTGGATCCCCTGAGGTCAGGAGTTCAAGACCAGCCTGGCAAACATGGCGAAACCCTCTCTTTCTAAAAATGTAAAAATTAGCAGGGCGTGGTGGCACACGCCTGTAATCCCAGCTACTCAGGAGGCTGAGGCAGGAGAATCGCTTGAACCCAGGGGTGGAGGTTGCAGTGAGCCGAGATCGCACCACTTCACTCCAGCCTGGGTGAAAGAGCAAAACTCCATCTCAAAAAAAAAAAAAAAGAAAAAGAAAGAAATTCAGCCTTCCTCCTTTCCTATTCCACCAGTCCCTGAGATTCTACCTCCTCCACGAGATCTCGCCTGACAATTTAGAAGAGGAACAGTGGGTTTTGTTCGTACATAATCACCTCATGTCCCTGGCACCAATACTCATGAATAGTCCAGAACCAATTTAACTTCGACATACAAGAGGTCTCCCAGCTTTAAGTGCTAGTTATGTTTCTGAAGAGTTGTGGGCATGTAGCATTTTTGAAATCCAAATTATTCAAGGCCACCCTGAGTGAAGAAAAAAAAATCAAATCACTTTCTGGTTGATTTACACTACAGCTTTTAATTCTTCATTTCAAACTAGTTATAAATTAGCAGTAACTTCCAATGTTTATAGTTTGCTTCTCTGTTCTCTATTGACTCTCCTTTAAGACTATAATTTTTTTTTTTTTTTTTTTGAGATGGGGTCTTGCTCTGTCACCCAGGCTGGAGTGCAATGGTGGGATCTCGGCTCAATGAAACCCCTGCCTCCCGGGTTCAAACGATTCTCATGCCTCAGTCTCCAGAGTAGCTGGGATTACAAGCATGCACCTCCCTGCCTGGCTAATTTTTTTTTGTATTTTTAGTAGAAACGAGGTTTCACCATGTTGCCCAAGTTGGTCTTGAATTCCTGACCTCAGGTGATCCGTCCGCCTTGGCCTCCCAAACTGCTGGGATTACAGGTGTGAGCCACTGTGCCAGGGCAAGCCTATAATGATTTTTAAATAAATAAGTTCATAGTTAATGCACTGGGAAGTATAGTTTTTACTTTCAGCTCTTTAAATTAATCACCTATATATTTTTATATATTTGTAGCAGAGGCTGCTCTCTGCCCTCTAATATTTGCTCTCCTTTTTATTTTATTTTTTGGGATGGAGTCTCGCTCTGTCACAGACCTGAGTACTGTGGCATGATGTCAGCTCAGTGCAACCTCTGCCTCCTGGGTTGAAGCGATTCTTCTGCCTCAGCCTCCTGAGTAGCTGGGATTCAAGGTGCCCACCACCACGCCCAGCTAATTTTTGTATTTTTAGTAGAGACAGGGTTTCACCATGTTGACCATGGCTGGTCTCGATCTCCTGACCTTGTGATTCACCCGCCTCGGCCTCTCAAAGTGCTGGGATTACAGGCATAAGCCACCATGCCCGGCCCCTCCTTTTTATACAGGAAAAGATGTTTTAGCTCTATCAGTTGTTGCCCAGCTAAAAACTACATTTCTCAGATTTTTTTGCAATTAAGGGGGGCTAAGAGACCAGGTTCTAGACAGTGGGATGTGAGATAGAATTGTAACTTCTGGGCCAGGTGCGGTGGCTCACGACTGCAATCCCAGCACTTTGGGAGGCCGAGGCCAGTGGATCACTTGAAGCCAGGAGTTCGATATCAGCCTGGCCAACATGAAGAAACCTGTCTCTACTAAAAATACAAAAATTAGCTGCGCATGGTGGCATGCACCTGTAATCCCAGCTACTCCAGAGGCTGAGGCACGAGAATCACTTGAAACTGGGAAGCGGAGATTGCAGTGAGCTGAAATCATACCACTGCACTCTAGCCTGGGTGACGGAGTGAGACTCTTGCCTCCAAAAAAATAAATAAATAAATAAATAACTTCTGGGTCATTCTCTTAAAAGCAAAGAAACATGCTTTTCCTCTAACCTTTGCTCAAACTACTGGCTAGAATTTAGACGTGATGGCAGGCACTGGATCAGCCACAATGAGACAGAAGCCACATATTGCACAAAGTTGCAGTAGAGGGTGTCAGTCTGTGACATCATAGAGCTTTAGAAAAAGATCACTTAGTCTCAGACTGTTCCATGAAAGATAAATAACTTTAACTTGTTTAAGTCACTGTAATTTTGGTATTTATCTTTGCAGCCAAAACATATACTTATAAATATGTACACTTATAAGGGTATATCTAATATATATGTGTGTGGGCTATGAGAATACTGAAACAAAACCCAGTGCGGGTATTATCCAGCTTAAGAAATAAAACATTATCAATATCGGCTAGGCATGGTGGCTCACGCCTACAATCCTAGCACTTTGAGAGGCCACGGCAGGCAGATGGCTTGAGCTCGGGAGTTCAAGACCAGCCTGGGCAACATAGCAAGACCCCTTCTCTATTTCAGAAACTTTTAAAATAATAATAATAATTTTAAAAAGACATTATCAATATCTCCGAAGCCCTTGTGTTAACCTCTTTGGTCATTTCCCCCTTGCTATCTCCACAGCCAGCAGCAATCAATACTATGAAGGTTTTTGCAAATAGGTAGCTCAGATTTCTGATAGGCAGCACCTGGCACCGGGCCCTGTGCACATCAGCATTTAGCAAGGGTTAGTTCTGATGGAGATGGTAATATTACTGTGGTCTCTTGAGGTTTCAGGCTGCCCTTCAGTCCAGGGCTCAGAACCTCCCAGGCTCCCCAGGAGATACTCTTGCTGCTCCTGCACAGAATCCCTGGTGCCTTGCATTCCATTGCTGGGTGCCTCCTCCTGGATCTCTGCTGGCCAGAGTTTCCTTCACCCACACAGTGGATGGTATGTCTGCCTTCACCAATGGCACTCCCCGCTGGCTCCCTGGGCAAAGCAAAAAATGAGAAACTGTATCATCCATTGTTGACAGTCTCTTCCTTGGAGTAACTGCATAGGAGAGTTTAAAATATCTATATATCCACAGATCCACAAAATTATCTACATATATCTATAGTCAGCTATTAGCTTACCAAGTTGTTAAGACGTAGAACATGATCAGTCAGTGTCTACTGAGTGAATTCATGGTCCTATGATTGAGATTGAGGGAAGCTTTGAAGATTACTAATGTTAATAAGAGTTAATATTGGACTAGCACATGCCTCGTACCAGGCATTGTGCTGAGAGCTTTTGCGTTTTGTCTTCCTAACTCTATAAGGTAGGTACACATTTTACAGGGGAGGCACAGAGAGGCTAAGAAAATTCCCCAAGGTCACTCAGCTCGTTAAATGACAGAGATTAACTTCAAATACAAGCAACCTGGTTCTAGAGTCCAGGTACTGTCATATCTTTTATGCCTAAGACTTTCAAAGTCATGCTATGGATTCTTCTTTTTCATCCAATCCATCTGTTAAATCTAGGATTTTCCTTGCAGCAATGAGAGGCTTTAGAGACCAATCTCTCAAAATAGGGACTAGGACAAGATCAATTTCCTCTTCTTGCCACTACTCAGAGAGCAGCTAGTATTAAAATTATTTACTGCAAGGACAACTTAAAATAATCTCTTTATAAATGTGATTCCCGGCCCCCAACATACTGGCCTTGTTCCAGAAAGTCCAACTCACAAGTCTGACTCTCAATTCAAAAGAGCCCCATTCATGCACTCTCTGACAAATTTATCAGCAATTTTGTAAAAACAAAAAATAATACCTAAGTGTATATATATACATTCGTATGCACACATACATTTATATATATGTATACACATACGTACATGCATGCAATTGATTGTTATTATTAATGATAGCTATGTGCTATAAAGTTACCACAAACACTCAATTGGTGGGTACTGAGCCATTGCCCCCAGGGGAAATAAAGGGTTAAGTTTCTATGAGCCTCTGGTCACAATGTTTTCATCAACCTTGTTTTATGTGTGTTTCTGTTTAAAGACACCTTATTTCATATGTAGTGTTGATTCATTAACATTGAATTCACAGCCAATAGCACCGTAACTCATGCCTGAATGAAGCTTCTCTAACACATATATTTTCTGGGTAAGGCACATTATAGCTTTCTTGCACTTAGGAACACTAGACAGCACTTTCATACTATGCTCAGAGGCCATTTCAAATGGCAAAATCACCAACAAAAGGCACAAAAATGTGAAAAACGTGGCACTACAGAGACTTTGAAAGGACACTTGTTTACAGTATGAGCGCTGAAACAAGGCAGAACATAGTCCTGTTCAACCTCAGCTGGGAACAAGCATGTTGAACAACTCAGATTTTTTACTGCTCTGTACATATCTGAGAATGACCAGGAAAGCACCATGAGTATTGATTTAGGGATTACCAATAAACATTATTGAGTATGCAAATTTGCAAATATCAAATCTGCCAATAATGAGGATCACATCTATTTAGTCTCTCTGCCCTTTTTAAATAATCTATGATAGACTGGGCATGGTGGCTCATGCCTATAATCCCAGCACTTCAGGAGGGCGAGGTGGGCAGATCACGAGGTCAGGAGTTCGAGACCAGCCTGGCCAATATGGTGAAACCTCGTCTCTACTAAAAATGCTAAAATTAGCTGGGCGTGGTGGCACACGCCTGTAGTCCCAGCTACTCGGGAGGCTGAGGCAGAAGAATCGCTTGAACCCAGGAGGCGGAGGTTGCAGTGAGCCAAGATTGCGCCACTGCACTCCAGCCTGGGCGACAGAGGGAGACTTCGTCTCAATAATAGTAACAATAATAATAATTTATGATAACCAAAATGTGGGATCAGCATTAGACAGTGATTCCATGATGTCAAACCTTCTGATTTAAAAGTGAAAACAGGCCGGGTACAGTGGTCATGCCTGTAATTCCAGCACTTTGGGAGGCTGAGGCGGATGGATCACTTGAAGTCAGGAGTTCGAGACCAGCCTGGCCAACATGGTGAAACCCCATCCCTACTAAAAATACAAAAATTAGCAGGGCCTGGTGACAGGCGCCTGTAATCCCAGATACTCGGGAGGCTGAGGCAGAAGAATCACTTGAACCTGGGAGGCAGAGGTTGCAGAGCTGAGATCGCACCACTGCACTCCATCCTGGGTGACAGAAGAGACTCTATCTTAAAAATAATAATAAAACATAAAAGTGAAACATTTTATCTGCCTTCCAATGTGCTGTCTACACAATGACAAATGTGCCAATAATTTCAAATATGGAAATGTTCCTCTGCATACCTAGGAACAGTACTAATAGCAGCTAACATCTCCCCAGTGCTTTCTGTGAGCCAAGCTCTCCATGTGGATTGTCTCAATGTAATTCCCATAACAGCACTGCAAGGTGGGCACTGTTACTATCTGAGGGTGAAATGAAGAAAGTGAGACCTGAAGAGTTCAGAGGCTTAACCACAGAGCTGGTCACTCCAGTTCTCCAGCCCACGTGACCGCCTGACCAGCCCGAGAGGACCATCTCTTCATTATTCTATCTCTTCACTTTATGGGTGAGGGAACAGAAGCGGGGAACTAGCCAAGTGCTGAAAACCAGTCATACAATTGGGGTAAGACTCAGACATTCCACTCATCATTGCTGCGCCATTTGCTCCCTGAGTCTGTGAGATCTAAGGAGGGCCGATTACGTCTCGTTCATCTTTTTATTCCCCTCGACGCAGTGTCCAGCACACAGAAATCAGTAAATGCTGGTTGAACAAGTTGTTGCTCAAGGTTTTAGATAATTCTCCAAGCCCAAAGCATACATTCCAGCATTATCCATAGCATACCATTCCACACTAAAGACAATGATCTCTTTAGATGGCTTTTTACATTTCAACTTTTTTTTCTCTCACATCCTCCTAAATAGAATTCTAAGTCAGAAAGTTTGAACATCAGTTTTTGGGAGGATTCCATATTGAATAGAGTTGATGATCAAATGATATCTTTGGAGTCATTTTCTGATCCAATTATCCAAATATAAACAAATCCTTACTGTAGCCTGTGGAAATTTTCTAATCCCAGGCATTGTACAATTGGTTCTTAAAGGGGCTATTATTGTAAGGGTATTATTGCATTGGGCATTGTTCCTTTTCTTCTCAGACTTTGAATTTTTATAAACTTTATATTTCACAACATTCCACTCCTTCAACTTCAACTCCAATTCTAGACCCCCAAAGTCAAAATATACTCCACATTTTTTCTCTGAATTCAGCCACATATTGGTTGTGTTTAGAATTCTGAATTGGCCAATAATTTATTAAGCCTCTTAAAACAACTGCTGAGGCAAGAGTTTGAGACCAGCCTCAGCAACATAGGGAGACTTCATCTTTCCAAAAAATAAAAAAAGCCAGGTGTGGTGGCGCATGCCTGTGGTCCCAGCTCCTCAGGAGGCTGAGGTGGGAGGATGCTTAAGTCTTGGAGGTCAAGGCTGCAGTGTGTCATGATTGCACCACTGCACTCCAGCCTGGGCAGCAAAGTGAGATCCTGCCTCAAAAAAATAAAAATAGTGGGAAGCTGAGGTGGGTGGATCACTTGAGGTCAGGAGTTGGAGACCAGCCTGGATAAGATGGTGAAATCCCGTCTCTACTAAAAATACAAAAATTAGCCAGGCATGGTGGTGCGCACCTGTTATCCCAGCTACTTGGGAGGCTGAGGCAGAATTGTTTGAACCTGGGAGGCAGAGGTTGCAGTGAGCTGAGATTGCACCACTGCACTCCAGTGTGGGTAACAGAGCGAGACTCCATCTCAAAATAATAATAATAGGCCGGGCGCAGTGTCTCACACCTGTAATCCTAGCACTTTGGGAGGCCAAGGCAGGTTGATTGCCTGAGCTCAGGAGTTGGAGACCAGCCTGGGCAACATGGTGAAACCCTATCTCTACTAAAATACAAAAAAAAAAAAAAAAATTAGCTGGGCATGCTGGCATGCGCCTGTAGTCCCAGCTACTTGGGAGACTGGGCAAGAGAATGATTTGAACCCGGGAGGTGGAAGTTGCAGTGAGCTGAGATGGTGCCACTGCACTCCATGCACTCCAGCCTGGCAACACAGCGAGACTCAGTCTCAAAAAATATATATAATAATAATAATAATAATTAAAGAATTAATGGCTAATAGTACAAATCACCATGAATTTATTAAACACCAACAATGTCTTCAGCACCCTGAATGTAAAACATAGGCATACCTTCCATTTTCAGGACCCAACTCATTCTCCTCTTTTGTTTTCATCATTCTAATATTAAGGAACAGATTTCAGTCTTGAGAGTGAGCAACTTCCTTTTGCCATTAGGTATAATATAAAGAAACAGAATGACGACTGGCACATGCCAAAACAAAAACAAACAAACAAAAAGATAAAGTCACATCAAAAAAAGAGAGAAAAGAGTACACAAGAAATAAGGGTCACTGTGAAGGGCTCATTCAAATAAAATGTCAAGGTTTTCCTTTTTGTTGATCTCAATTTAAGAATACCATCACTTGGCCAGGCACGGTGGCTTATGCCTGTAATCCCAGCACTTTGGGAGGCCAAGGCGGGCGGATCACGAGGTCAGGAGATCGAGACCATCCTGGCTAACATGGTGAAACCCTGTCTCTACTAAAATACAAAAAAAAAAAAATTAGCAGGGCATAGTGGCACGTGCCTGTAGTCCCAGCTCCTCAGGAGGCTGAGGCAGGAGAATCACTTGAACCTGGGAGGCGGAGGTTGCAGTGAGCCAAGATCATGACACGGTACTCCAGCCTGGCGACAGAGTGAGAATCTGTCTCAAAAAATAAAAAATAATAAAAGGAATACCGTCACTTACATTTTCCACTGCTTTGTTCAGCATGGACTAGGGGGCCGGGGCAATGCATAGTGTGAGAACTAGAACGGGTAACCTACTTGAGGAAAATCAGTCATCGTCCTTACCAGTGTTCCTCCCTTCCTGGAAGCTGCCAGTACAGGGAAACAAGGACAAGACTGCCAAGCAAACTAAGTTTAAGCACACTTCACGTAAGACATAAGGCAGTAATTTTACAAGAATACTGGGCTCGGTGTAGTGGCTCATGCCTGTAATCTCAACACTTTGGGAGGCTGAGGGGGGAAGATTGCTTAAGTCCAGGAGTTTGAGACCAGCCTGGGCAACACGACAAAACCCCCTCTCTATTAAAAAAAAAAAAAAGAAAGAAAGAAAGAGAAGGTAGGTGAGGTTGCTGCCCTACAGAATCCTTTTTAAAAATTTGTCACCATCAGATATTCTACCTAATGGATGCACCCCAAATAGATCCATAGCAGAGACTCAGCAGAGACTCACATCAGGTCCCCTGTCCTTCTGTTCCACAACACCAAGAGCAAACATCAGTATCATCCTTTCTCTTATTTGCTTCATATCTCTCTCCCCACCTTTTTTTTAAGACGGAGTCTCGCTCTGTCACCCAGGCTGGAGTGCAGTGGCGCGTTCTTGGCTTACTGCAACCTCTGCCTCCTGGGTTCAAGCAATTCTCATGCCTCAGCCTACTGAGTAGCTGTGATTACAGGTGCACACCACCATGCCTGGCTAATTTTTTGTATTTTTAGTAGAGATGGGGTTTCGCCATGTTGGCCGGGCTTGTCTTGAACTCTTTATCTTATGTGATCCGCTTGCCTTGGCCTCCCAAAGTGCTGGGAGTACAGGCATGAGCCACTGTGCCCAGACTTACTTGCTTCATCTCTGACACAGACACAAGGACTGTGGGCTGGAAATGAGGAGGAAATAAAGGAATTGTCTCTCACTTCCTCCCCTGCCATGCACCAAATCAGGGGCCCACTGAAGAGGCATTATTCCTGGATATAATCCTAAGGCAGTCATTCTGAGGAGAGAAGCAGCATCCAAACAGCTGTTCTTTTGCCAAAGAACAACTGTCAGGCCACAGCAGAGGGGGCCCAGTGAGACTTATTGGTGGGTGACCATACACTGAGAAGTAAGAGAACAGAGAATGGGAATGATGTAGAAGGAAGATCTCTTCCAATCTGAACCCTCAGAGACTCAAGGAAAATGAGATCCATTGACTTCTTTTGAATGGAGATATAGAGGAACGCCCAAGAAAAAGCCATGAAATGGGCCAGATGGTCTTTGGGCCCCTGCTCCCATACCCAGAGTTGTGTACCCAATAGGGACTTTCAGTAGGGTACCCCAGATTCAGTCTTTCCTTCCTCTCTGTCTCAGCACTCACCTCCAAACAGGTGGCCATCAGGCTGGTCTCAGCTAGCGTGCCACTGGGAGGTAATGGGTTAAAAAACTTTTTTTTTTTCCAGTGGACACTCTGTGTAGCACAGTTTCTTAAAAGAGTGATTGGTAGAATTTCAGACTTCTTGGTGTGGTCTAATGGGAGAGAGGTTTTAGAGGAGTCTCTTAGAAACATTTAATTCCTGCCAGGTAGACAATCACTGACCACACCTACAGGTAAAATAGGTTTTACCCAATTATGACTACAGACACGGATCTTTTTATTTCAAGGCACTCTCTGTGCTTCCTAGACCACTTATTTTTCAATCTATAACTTAAATATTGAACCAAAGTATTATGAACCACTGCATTTTTGTGTTGAAATTACCTCAAGAAGGCCAATGTCTCTACTCTTAGAAAAAGTCCCTACTTTGTCTAACACATGGATGGAGAAGGAGGAAATTACTATTTGCTTTTGCTTAGAAATGTGAGCCTGTTTGGATTTCTCAGGTTTCCATAAAAACTCACAAATCAAAATAATAAGTTTGCTGCAACAAATAGGGTATTTTGTTTATAAATATTTAGTGGCAAGATGTGAGTGCTAGAATTTCAAAAATAGTTAAAATAATGGTGGTAAATCCTCAACTGCTGTGAAAACAAACAAGATACAGCTTGCTGAGCAGAGAGTGAACAATCTTCAAGTGCCATGTTATTCAAGAATGCTGCCCTATTTCAGCCATTCCATTTAACTGACTTAAAATGAACTGGTAACAAAGATTCATAGAATGTTAAACTTGGAAGATACCTTAAACTTCATTTAATATGACACCCTCACAGGAAACCTGAGACCCACAGAGCCCTGACAATTTCATTTGTAAGTTGCTTATATGGAACTTGTAACAGATTTCTCCATAGAAATAATATGATACCAGCCTGGGCAACATGGCAAAACCCATCTCTACAAAAAACACAAAAATCAGTCAGGCATGGTGGTGTGCACCTGTGGTCCCCAGCTACTCAGGAGGCCGAGGCAGGAGGATGGCTTGAGCTTGGGAGGTTGAGACTGAAGTGAGCTGTGATTGTGCCACTGTATTTCACCCTGGGAGACACAGGGAGACCCTGTTTGAAAGAAAAAAGAAAGAGAGAGAGAGAAAAGAAAAAAAAGAGAGAAAGAGAAGGGAGGGAGGGAGGAATGAAGGAAGGAGGGAAGGAAGGAAGGAGAGAAAGAGAGAGGGAGAGAAGGAGGGAGGGAGAAAGGAAGGATTGGGAGGGAGGGAGGAAGAGAGGGAGGGAGAGAAGGGAGGGAAGGCGGGAAGGCAGGAAGGCAGGGATAAATGATGGTTAGAGCCTCAAATACTGCCCTTCTCCTCCTCATTGTACAATGTTGTATACTTGAACTGCATTGTTTTCTACTATTGTTAACTGCAAGGGTATACATTTAATCTACATTCTAGGTGCATGTGAGCAATTCACTACCATTCATAACATCATGTCAGAGGGAAAACATGGCCCCCAGAGATGGGTGTATGGAGGCACCTCCAACCCTCAGTAAAAGGCTAGAATGTTTTTGGTTCCAAGAAACAGAATATCTTCTCTAACTGGGTTAACAATAAGGACATTTATGTGTTCATGTAACTGGAAGTTCAGAGCAGAATTGGCTTTAGAGTCACCTTAACCAGGACCTCCTGCCACATTTCTCTGCCACTCCCTTCCATGTGCCTCTCTCATTCTTTGGACTTCATCTTTAAGTTGGTTTTCTCTGGTGGCAAAAGGAACACGATGGTTCCTGCACATCCTGGCAGGCAGATGAAGGGAGGACTGTCACAGGATCCCAAGCAGGAGTCTTGAGATACACCTTGACTGGACCCTGTAAGTCACATGCCCACTCCTGAACAATGGCCTTCAGTGGTACATGGAATGAGCTGATTGGTTTAGCCAACCAAGTATGAGGTTGAGATCTTCTTTTCCCCAAGTACATGGGTGACGATGTAAACTAAAGTAAAAATGTGAGTTCGTTGAGATGGGTGAAGGGGAGAATGGATAGATAACTCACCATGTCCACTAACCTGTCTCTCCCCATAGTCCCCATCCCCAACCACTACGGGGAGGTATTGGGTGGCAGATCTGAGGAAGCTAGATTATCCCGGGCAGGCACATGGGTGTGGGGAGCAGAGAAGAAAATGGAAGGATTCTACTTCTGTTCACCCTACCCTAGAGTACACTCTACCCTCACCCTCTAGAAGCCCCAGATCACAGACACCCACCCTCTGTCTCAAATCCCAGCTACGTAGACTTTCACTCCAGTTTAAAACTTTAGGATCTGCCACCACCACCAGAAAGAAAAATATCAATAGAAACATACATTTTTTCTGCATAATTTAGAAGCGTCTATGTGTCTTCTGTCTTCCTCTCAACTCTACTTCCTTGCCAAAGAGAAATATAGCAGCCCTAGAAACATAACTCATTCTGGCCCGGTGTGGTGGTTCATGCCTGTAATCCCAGTACTTTGGGAGGTCAAGGTGGGTGGATCACCTGAGGTTGGGCATTCAAAACCAGCCTGACCAACATGGAGAAACCCCGTCCCTACCAAAAGTACAAAATTAGCCAGGCATGGTGGCGCATGCCTATAATCCCAGCTACTTGGGAGGCTGAGGCAGGAGAATCACTTGAACCCAGGAGGCGACAGCTGTGGTGAGCCGAGATCATGCCACTGCACTCCAGCCTGGGCAACACAGCAAGACTCCGTCTCAAAAAAAAAAAAAAAAGGAAGTGTCCCCAACTGTCTACAGAATATCCTTCTCTTTTTAGTTTATGATGGTCACAGTGTTCATTTAGGAGCCATGAAGCTATAGAAGGTAATAAATAGGATTGTGATTAGAAAATAAGCTGGAATTAGATGCGTGACAATCAATAACAACATGAAAGTAAAATAAAGGGTTAATTACTCGGCCTTTTCAGTACAATTGTCCTACATAGAGTGCGTTCAGTCTCACTCATGCTGTGCTCCTAAAATCCCAATTTCTAAAATGGTGGTTTCCCACTGAGTGACTGGCTCAGAGCCTAGGACTCTATCTCTAGAAGTTTCCACAGGGTTCCACGTAGAACAGCCTTTACTTGACTGAAAGCCTGGAAATAAATTGTCTTGTTAAGGGTTAAATTTAAAACAGTTGAGCTATTCTCTTGCGATAATAATACTATTTTAGTGTTTGTAATGGTTTACAGTCATTTTAAATGCTAACTAACTGAAGGGATGTGTATGTGCTGTATCGAGGGGCTGAAGTGAAACTCAGTGCCTGTGGTAGGCCCTAAGTGAACTTTCCATTCTAACATCTGGTCTACCAGTCTCTGCGGTGAATGAAATACCAGTATCTGAGGTAAAATACACAGCAGAAAAAGACAGCTGTCAGAATAGAATATTCTTTATAAGAATGGCAAATAATTTTTGAAAGCTTTGGCTTTTATTGAATATTATTGTTGAAAATTAAGTTTTTGTTTCAGAATGAAACAAATACATTCCTCAGAGTAGAAATGAATGTTACCTTTTTTAAAGTGATTTTTTTAAATGGATTTCTCTCCCAAATATTTGCTCCTTTTAACTAACATGATTTTATATTTTGTTTTTGTTTGAAACAGGGTCTTGCTCTGTCACCCAGGCTGAGTGCAGTGGCACAATCTCAGCTCGTTGCCGCCTCGACCTCCTGGGCTCAAGCAATCCTCCAACTTCAGCCTCCCGAGTAGCTGGGACTATCGGGCGTGCACTCTCATGCCCAGCTCATTTTTGTGTTTTTTGTAGAGATAGGGTTTCGCCATGTTGCCCAGGCTGGTTTTGAACTCCTGGATGCAAGTGATCCTCCTGCCTAGAGCCTCTCAAAGTGCTGGGATTCCAGGTGTGAGCCACTGCTCCCGTCCGATTATTTATTTATTTATTTGAGACAGAGTTTATCTCTTGTTGCTCAGGGTGGAGTGCAATGGCACAATGGCACAATCTTGGCTCACTGCAACCTCTGCCTCCTGGGTTCAGGCGATTCTTCTGCCTCAGACTCCTGAGTAGCTAGGATTACAGGTGCACGCCACCATGCCCAGCTAATTTTTGTATTTTTAGTAGAGATGGGGTTTCATCATGTTAGCCAAGCTGGTCTCGAACTCCTGACCTCAGGTGATCCACCTGTCTCGGCCTCCCAAAGTGCTGGGATTACAGACGTAAGCCACCGCGCCCAGCCGATTTTATCTTTTGTGAAGAAAAAATCATTTTAAATTTGGAGTTAAGAATAAAGTGACAATAATCAGCATAATGATATTAACCATGTTGTGTTATTAATAGCTCAATTTCAGGTATTGATTCTTGGGACCACGAACTTCTACTTTGGCATGGCCTAATGCTTCTTGCCTCTCTCTCACAAGCTTTTTCAAAAAGGACCAATGCTTTCTGGCTAATGCTGTCTGCTATTTAAATTGAGCTTTCAAGGCATGTTTTCCAAATAAGTACTCACCTGTGATTGACTTGACCCTTCACAGGGATTGAGACTGGAGGAAAACAAATGTTCACTGTAAGTGGAACATGCTGGAAGCTGTTTAAATGGAAGGGGCTGTTTCTAACCCTTCAGTTTCCCAAGAAGTTAAATGCTGACCATTTGAAACTGTCAGTGTTTCAAATATATGGGCACTAGCAAGTGGGCTTAAATGGATATAATCTTTTTGTAAAGTAACTTGATAATCAGCTATAGTAGAGAGTTTATTGCGTAACGTTACAACATTATTTCCAGGGGTGACAACTCGTACAGAATGTAGATGTTCCACAACATAAGAATGGTTAATTATGGCACACCCACACAACGGGTCATCCTATTGCCATTAAAAACATGTCTTTGAAGAATGTTTAATGAATGAGAAAATGCTCATCTTTCTGACATAATCATCTCTATGGCCAGTAAGATAATGGACAGCTTTGTTTTCTCTGTTTTGTATGTGTGACTTTCTCTATTTTACAAGTTTCTTTAATGAGCATATATTGTTATTTGAAATAAAAAAAAAATTGCAGGAATTCAGGAAGGCCCAGGCTGGGTCCTCGCCCTGGGTGTGAAGTCAGTCTGGCTGTCAGTGGGTCAGCAGGTCGGTCAGCAAATATTTATCCAGTGCCTACTTTGTGCCAGGCACAGAGACAAACACTGGAAACACAAATGACTTAAAAATAAAACCAAGCAGGCTGGGTGTGGTGGTTCACTCCTGTAATCCTAGCACTTTGGGAGGCCAAGGTGGGTGGATCACTTGAGGTGGATCACCTGGTTTGAGATGAGCCTGGCCAACCTGGCAAAACCCCGTCTCTACTAAAAATACAAAAATTAGCCAGGCGTGGTGGTGCGTGCCTGTGGTCCCAGCTACTTGGGAGGCTGAGGCACAAGAATTGCTTGAAGCCGGGAGGTGGAGGTTGCAATGAGCCGAGATTGCGTCACTGCACTCCAGCCTGAGCAACAGAGCAAGACTCTGTCTCAAAAAATAAAATAAAATATAAAACAAAACAACAAACAAGAAGGGTTCACTGAGGCACTCAGAATTCAAAATGAGTCTTGATGGTGTATCTAAGGTGAATGTTTGCAGTCCTCCTTAGGCTGGAATCCTAAGGAAAAGAAGCTAGCCTGAAAACAAATGTCTTAATAACTTTAAAAATGCAAGATATCAATCACCAGGATGTACAAATAATCTAAAAATGTTTTCTCCTACATGTCACTTTAGAAAATACAAAAAGATAAATGACAAGAAAACAAGATAATGTAAAAGATGAATTTAGAAAAAAACAGCTGATCGACATTTTTAAATGGGACTATGCTATGAGAGTTGCTGTTCACACTGATGTGAGACATTGTCCAATTTTAAGGTAAATACTTTCCTCCAGTTTTGTGTTTGTATTCTTTGAAGAGTGGAGATCCTGCTATATATGGGAATGCTAATTAACCAGAACCTCATCACTATTCTGGATAAATGGAAGATTCTGTGTTCAGAATTTAAAGTTGTTGTTAAGAATTCAGCTTGAGGTAAAGATAATTTTTGTAATTTATGTCTGTAAGAAGCTTCTATGTAAATAACTGTTATTGTTGTTTGCAAATAGTAGATTGGATTATAATGGCTGAAAATGTACATAATAATTAGCCAAAAGAATGGTAATCTTTTTTTTTGAGACGACGTTTTACTCTTGTTGCCCAGGCTGGAGTGCAATGGTGCAATCTCAGCTCACTGCAACCTCCGCCTCCCAGGCTCAAGCAATTCTCCTGCCTCAGCCTTCCTGATTAGCTGGAATTACAGGCATGTGCCACCACACCTGGCTAATTTTGTATTTTTAGTAGAGACGGGGTTTCTCCATGTTGGACAGGTTGGTTTCGAACTCCCGACCTCAGGTAATCCACCCACCTGGACCTCCCAAAGTGTTGGGATTACAGGTGTGAGCCACCGCGCCCAGCCTAAGAATGGTAATCTTATTGATAATGATTTTATTTAAGAGCAAATATACCAAAGGTGTCAAATGAGGGGGAAAAACTGAAATAAAAAACAAAAAGAGCAAGCAAGTAGCCAAGCATGGTGGCTCATGCCTATTGTCCCAGCTACTGGGGAGGCTGAGGCAGAAAGATCACTTGAGCCCAGGAGTTCAAGGTTACAGTGAGCTACAATTGCACCGCTATACCCCAGCCTGAGCAACAGAACAAGACCCTATCTCTAAAAATAAAAATTAAAAATGATAATTGTTTTAAAAGCAAATGTCTTTTCTTGAAGATGTATCGTGTTATCTGTATAATAGAAGTAATATAATTTTGAGAGAGGTCCTAGATAAGAACTAAAAATCTCTGGGCACTGGAAACTAGTTCTAGCTGTGCCCCTATCTGATCTGAGACAGTGTATCTATATCTCAGGTTTTCATTTTTCTCATCTGTAGAACTGATTCCTTGGCAGAATTGTCTGTACCTAGCTGAGGAAGACAGAAATTCACGCATTAATGCAGATACATGAAGATGTCCTTCATCTTGGTGTGTGTGCCGGGCAGCTCACCTTTTGTGGTTTCTCTGTGTTTTCATAACAGGAACAGCACAGAATAAGTGATAGATTACTATTCTTTTATTTTGCTTTAACTAAAGGAACATTTAGGCCTATTTAGATTAAGGATAAAGCTTGTCAAGTTAAATTACTACTAATAAACATGGAATAATGAAACTAGAAAACTACCATCTGGAAAACACCACAGTAACAATTGGTTCCGAGATGACTCATCAATGAAAGCTAGGCAGTCACATTATGATGAGAAACAATATTTTTACATAGTCACAAAGCAGGTCCCTAGAATACTTACTGAGGAAACAATCCTAAGTTTACAGTGGAGAAATCTGACAGATACCCACTTAACCAGGCGATTAAAGTTAACGTTGCTTGTCATGGGACAGACCTATATCACATGCCTCCTGAGACGTTCTGAGAAGAACCCAACGCCATTGCAGTGGCATGAAAATTCCATAAGGAAATATGAGACAATCCAAAACGCAGGCCATTCTATAAATAATGGACTAGTACCTTTCAAAAGCATCAAGACTTTGAAAAGACAAGGAAAGATTGAGGGACTGTTCCAGATTAAAGGAGACTGAGGAGACATGACAGCTAATGCAACCTGGGGTCTCCGGTTGGATTCTGGGCCAGAAAAAGGAGACAGTGGGACGGTTGCTGAAATTTGAATCAGGTCTGTAGATTTGATAAGAGTATGTTTTAAACTTAATTTCCTGATTTTGATAATTATAATATGGTAAGGCAAAATATTCACTTTGGGGGATTCTGAGTGAAGATTATACCTGTATTCTTCGTACAGATTTCGTATTTTTTATGCATACTCGAACAAAAACCATGTAGGATAGGCAACGATACAGAAATTTCTTAAAATTATTTTTGTGAAAGTGATACTCAGAGGAAACAACAGAAATCTGACTAAATGTAACATACATCAGAGCATCTCACAAGATCCCCCTTAAAAAGAATTAGAGAAGATAATTTGAGAAGTGGCTTGCATTTCTCTTTGCCAAACACAGAATCTCAGTACTGGAAGAAACCTTAAAGAGAATACTGAAAAGAAAGAAACCAGCCACAGCCTTACCATCCAACCATAGAGTAATAATTCTTTAGGGTTCACCCATTCCATAGACCTATACAACCATTAAAGTTTCTACTTATGAGACATCGTGTAGCAAAATGGGAAAATGTTTTTACTATAATTTCATTTATTTAAAAATCAGGATACAAGGTATATGTACACTTTCTGGCAGGGCTTGGTGGCTCACGCCTGTAATCCTAGCACTTTGGGAGGCCAAGGTGGGCAGATTGGCTGAGCTCAGGGGTTTGTGACCAGTCTGGCAACAAAAATATAAAAAAATAGCTAGGGATGGGGGCACATGTAATCCCAGCTACTTGAGAGGCTGAGGCAGGAGAATTGCTTGAACCCAGGAGGCAGAGGTTGCAGTGAGCCGAGATTGCGCCACTGCACTACAGCCTGGGCAACAGAGTGAGACTCCATCTCCAAAACAAAAACAAAAACAAAGCATGGGTACACTTTCTAAATCCAACTATTTAAAATATACACACATGAAGAAAGACAAAGGAAATACATGATGAATTTGGTTAAGGTGGTGAGATTGTAGGAGTTTTTTTCTTTTTCTATTTCTATTTTCCGAATTTCCTATGATATTTTAAATTTCAAGTGTTTTCATAAAGAAAAATAAAAGTCTTCCCAATTTTGAGCCAAAATTTTCAACCTTATTCCATATAACTACCTCTTACCTCCACCCCCTCCACCATGGGTATCTGGGGACTTCCACATACACCAGCCTCACCCACCCACGGGGCCCCTTTCCATGGGGGCAGCCAACCTTCCTAGGTTCTTGCTGCCCTAACTTGATAGGAGACTAGTCCTGAGGAAGCCCCTGAGCTGTGTAGCTTTAATATCACTGAGTTAGCCCAAAGCCTACCAGGCATTGTCTAGGTGCCTCTTTTTCATTTTTCTTCCTCCCCTGGGGTGCAGTTTCACTCCCCTGCGTGGCTGCTACTCTAACATCCTGCCTGGGCCTTGCCAGTACTCCTCCTCTTCTCAGGGGCTGAATCCTATTCCCCTTGTAAACAGTTTGCCCGGGCCGCTGTAACAAAGACCACAGATGGAGAGGCTTAATAACACTAATGTATTGTCTCACTGTTCTGGAGGCTGGAAGTCCACGTTCATAGTATCAACAGGGCTTGTTCCTTCTGAGGGCTGTGAAGGGACCTCTGTTCCAGGCCTCTCTCCTTGCCTTATAAATGTTCATCTTCTCCCTCTGTCTCTTCACATTGTTTCTCCTCTATGTGTGTATCTCTGTCCAATTTCCCTCGTTTAATAAGGACGCTCATCATTGGATTAGGACCCCCCTAGCCCAGTATTCCTCATCTTGACTTGAATATATTTACAAAGACCTTATTTCCAAATAAGGTCACATTCTGAGGTACTGGGAGTTAGGACTTCAACTTATGAATTTGGTTGGGATGGGGACACAATTCCATTCATATCCCCAGGTACCAATGGAGCTTTGCTCCAAGAGAGATAGACCACCCAGCTGGGCTCAGTGACTCATGCCTATAATCCCAGCACTTTGGGAGGCCAAGGCAGGTGGATCACCTAAGGTCAGGAGTTTGAGACCAGCCTGACCAACATGGAGAAACCCTGTCTCTACTAAAAATACGAAATTAGCCAGGCGTGGTGGTGCATGCCTGTAATCCCAGCTACTTGGGAGGCTGAGGCAGGCGAATCACTTGAACCCGGGAGACAGAGGTTGCCGTGAGCCAAGATTGCACCATTGCACTACAGCCTGGGCAACAACAGCGAAACTCCATTTCAAAAAAAAAAAAGAGAGAGAGAGATAGACCACCCAAGGGCATCAAGGTGCCTCTGGCTTGACACTTCCTAGATGCTCCTACTGTTGAATTTTTATCAGAGTCCTTTGAACAGCCTCATGATCCTTGGCTACAGGTGGTTATTAATCTGGCTGGAGGGTTGTGCCCACAGGCAAGACATGAGTGTGTCTGTCCATCATAAGGAATCTGTTTGTTACATGCACTCGTATGCTTATAGCAGCACTATTCACAATGGCGAAGATATGGAATCAACCTAAGTGTCCATCAACAGGGATAAAGAAAACATGGTATATGTACACAATAGAATACTATTCAGCCATAAAAAAGAATGAAATCATGTATTTTGCAGCAACATGGATGGAACTGCGGTCATTATCTTAAGTGAAACCAGTCAGACCCAGAAAGACAAATATCACATGTTCTCACTCATAAGTGGGAACTAAAAATTGTGTACCCCAGAGGAAGAGAGTGGAATGATCCACAATGGAGAAGTAGAAGGGTGAGAGGATGGGAAACAGGGTGGATGATGAGAAATTACTTAATGGATACTATGCATGTTGTTTGGGTGTTGGATACCCTAAAAGCCCTGATCTGAGCTCTCTGAAGTGTAAGCATATCACAAAATTGCGCTTGTACCCCATAAACTTATACAAATTAAAAAAAAGGGGGGGGGGCCAAGCGTAGTGTCCCACGCCTGTAATCCCAGCACTTCAGGAGGCAGAGGCAGGCAGATCACTTGAGGTCAGGAGTTTGAGACCAGCTTGGCCAACATGGTAAAATCCCATCTTTACTAAATATACAAAAATTAGCCAGGCATGGTGGCAGGCGCCTATAATCCCAGTTACTCAGGAGGCTAAGGCAGAAGAATCGCTTAAACCTGGGAGGTGGAGGTTGCAGTGAGCCAAGATTGTGCCATTGTACTCCAGTCTGGGCAACAGAGAAAGAATGCGTCTAAAAAAAATAAAATAAAGAATCTATTGGCCTTATCACATGAATTTTGACATTACATTTGTCAGTGAGAAAAGGAAGTATTCTTAGATTCCCTATATTTCAATTGTTTCACATTTTTAATAGTTATAAAAACATTTTACTTTTTTTTTTTTTTTGAGACAGAGTCTCAGTTTGTCACCCAGGCTGGAGTGCAGTGGCATGATCTCTGCTCACTGCAACCTCCACCTCCCGGGTTCAAGCCGGGTTCAAGTGATTCTCCTGCCTCAGACTTCTGAGTAGCTGGGACTACAGAGGAGTGCCACCACGCCTGGCTAATTTTTTTGTATTTTTAGTAGAGACAGCGTTTTGCCATGTTGCCCAGGCTGGTCTCAAACTCCAGAGTTCAGGTGATCCACCTGCCTCAACCTCCCAAAGTGCTAGAATTACAGGCGTAAGCCTCTGCACCCAGCCATTTTTTATCAATGATGACTATTGAGAATTTCAAGAGATCATTTTGTAAAAGTCTTTGTCAAGAAGTATACATGGCCATTTCAAGTATAAAAATTGATATAAAAATTTATGAAATCACTCATATTTCTCATTAAAGTTTTTCAAGGGATTTTCTTTGAATGTCTTATACAAATTTTATATTTAATATTTTCCCTATTTTTTCTCTGGTCAAACGGTATGTAGTAATTGCTTTATTTTATTTTATTTGAGACAGTCTTGCTCTATTGCCAGACTAGTGTGCAGTGGCACAATCACAGTTCACTGCAGCCTTGACCTCCCCAGACTCAAGTGATCCTCCCACCTCAGCCTCCCGAGTAGCTGAGACTACAGGCACGTGCCACCACACCAGGCTAACGTTTGTAATTTTTTTGTACAGACAGTTTTGCCATGTTGCCCAGTCTCGTCTCAAACTCCTGGATTCAAACAATCCACCTGCCTTGGCCTCCCAAAGTGCTGGGATTACAGGTGTGAGCCACTGTGCCCAGTCATTAATGCTCTAACATTAAATCTCCTTTTAAATATTCGTCTTTATGCTCTTCAATGGGCTTCCACTTAGTTTCTCTACAACACACACCAATCTCCTTCACCACCTCATGGCTATGCTTCTTTTAAATAGGATGTAAATGTGATTTCATAACTGAATGTCAGGCTCAGGTCCTATCCTATAAGGTTTCAATGAGATCATGTTTTACTGCCTGATGTTATAATCCCCACTTTGCCCTGTTTGTTACGTATGCCCTGTGTGTTTGTATATAGACGTCTAAAACCTCACTATTGTTTCTGGCCTCCTTCCAGCTGTTTTCTCATGTGAATCACTAGGCTCCTCCCGCTTCACTATTCTCCATTCTGCATTGTGCCTATTACTCTTCAGAGTGGCTGGGATCACACGTTTACCTGCCATTTTCCTCCCTTTCTCTTACTCTTTTCAAGCTCCATGTAGAAATTAGTATTTATACACTAAACTGCTGGGTTAATCATTATTTCCCAATTTTGTGAGATGCTGTCCATCCCAAACCAAAAGGCCATCATTTTAATAGCATAACTACTCAGAATCAGGATCCATAAATCCAAATTCAGTAACAAAACATCTTGATGGCCTGCCAGTCATGTCTCAGACCTTCCCTCTTTCAGACTTACAAATGTCGGTAGTGATATGCAAAGAAAATAACCAACTGGGCTCCCAAGTCCTAAACTTCATAAACTCTTAGAAATGCCTCCTTTCTTTTCTGATGAAGCCATTCATCCCCACAGAAGGAAGGGTGAACATTTTTCAAAGTCCTAGGTATTATCTTCAAGCAAACCATCCTTCTGAACACTCATCTCGGTCAATCCATTGTTCGATCAATTCTTCCTCCCCAAACGTTTCTTGAATCCATCCCATCTCTATCTCTGCTGCATTGGCTTCATTGAAGCTCTTATTATGTTCTGCTGGAAACATTAAGATGACCTCTTGTACAGGTCTCTGTCTCAGCTTAGTCTCCATAGTGCCAGGAGAGTTATTGCCTGATGCTTCTCAAAAACTGTAAGTAGCTGGCTGGGCGCCATGGCTCACTCCTATAATCCCAGCACTTTGGGAGGCTGAGGCAGGTGGATCACCTGAGGTCAGGAGTTCAAAACCAGCCTGGCCAACATAGTGAAACCCCGTCTCTACTAAAAATACAAAAATTAGCCAGGCATGGTGGCACGCAGCGTCTGCAGTCCCAGCTACTTGGGAGGCTGAGGCAGGAGAATCACTTGAGCCAGGGAGGCGGAGGTTGCAGTGAGCTGAGATCACGCCACTGCACTCCAGCCTAGGTGACAGAGCAAGACTCTGTCTCAAAAATAAATAAATAAATAAATACTGTAAGTAGCTCTCATTACTGCACAGCAAAATGCAACACTTTTGATCGTATGGTCCCAACCCCCTTTTCTGGCCTTATTCTCCATTTTGTGCCAATATTCTTGTGCAAAGAGCAACCTGAAATTCCCAAGTGTCTTATACACTTCTGCACCTGGGGCCTTTCCCAATCCTCTATTAGAGGATCCATTCTTTCAGAGAACTCCTCTGATTCTCCCCTTTACCCATACCTTGCCAAAGTTAATTCTCCTTCCTCTAGTTCCTCTTTTAGCTCACCTACTGTATTTCTGCTGCCAGGTAGACAAGGACTACATGATAATCTTTTGTTTTTTTTTTTTTTTTGAGATGGAATTTCGCTCTCGTCGCCTAGGCTGGAGTGCAGTGGCGTGATCTTGACTCACTGCAACCCCCGCCTCATGGGTTCAAGCGATTCTCCTGCCTCGGCCTCCCAAGTAGCTGGGATTACAATGCCTGCCACCATGCCTGGATAATTTTTGTATTTTTAGTAGAGATGGGGTTTCACCATGTTGGCCAGGCTGCTCTCGAGCTCCTGACCTCAAGTGATCCACCGGCCTCAGCCTCCCAAAGTGCTGGGATTACAGGCATGAGCCACCATGCCTGGCCCATAATATTTTTCCAATCTTCCCCTAGCACTTGACTTGGAGTCCGGTACATGATAAGTGCTCAAACTGTTAAATTTTCAAAAATTTTTTAGCTACTTGACCTTATATTGTTGCTTAAAATCAGCCACAGAAGAAGTATCTACAATTTACATGATGGAAATTGACAAACACTACAATAGGGACTTTGGGGACCATGGGAAAAGAGCGCTTTTCTGAAAAATTTACTAGCACTTAGTTGGACACAGTGCCTCATGCCAATAATCCCAGAACTTGGGAGGCCAAGTTAGGAGGATAAATTGAGGCCAAGAGTTGGAGACCAGCCTAGGCAACATAGTGAGACCCCATCTTGACAAAAAAAAAATTTTTTTTTAATCAGCTTGGCATAGTGGTGCACACCTATGGCCCCAGCTATTCCGGAGGCTGAGGTTAGGAGGATCACTTGGGCCTGGGAGGTCAAGGCTATAGTGATAGATGATCACGCCACTGCGCTCCAGGCTAGGTGACAGAGAAAGACCCTGCCTCAAAAAAAGAAAAAAAAAATTTACCAGCACGCCACTGATTATGTAAGTAATGCATGACTATAATCAAAGTCAACTGCTTTTTTCAGTATCCCCCACACCCAATCCCAATCTCTTCCCCAGAATTGAACACCTTGGTATGATATTCGAGACTCCTTTTTACACATTTTATGTATTATATCATTTCACAAATGTAAAGCCTGCTAATTCATTGCCTCTGATCCATGAAGCCTTCTCAGGCCTCTCCTGCTGTCACTCTTGTGACTTTCCTCTGACCTTCAGCATCAACTAAGTCATTGCTAACTCTTGTGTGCCTTGTGTTTAAGATTTTAAGTTGTTTGGAGAAAGATAACATTCATCTTTTTGTTTGTTTGTTTCCTTTGAGATGGAGGCTCCCTCTGACGCCCAGGGTGGAGTGCAGTGGCGTGATCTTGGCTCACTGCAACCTCTGCCTCCTGGGTTCAAGTGATTCTCCTGCCTCAGCCTCCCAAGTAGCTGAGACTACAGGCATGCACCACCACACTCGGCTAATTTTTGTATTTTTAGTAGAGACAGGGTTTCGCCATGTTGGCCAGGCTGGTCTTGAACTCCTGATCTCAAGTGATCTGCCCACCACAGCCTCCCAAAGTGCTGGGATTATAGGCGTGAGCCACCACCCCACCAACATTCATATTTAAATGTTTCTATGTCACACAGAACAGACCTTCAAAAATGTCAATAATTTAATTCTATTTAAATTGTTGTTTGTTTGGTTGGTTGGTTGGTTTTTGGTTTCATTTTGTTTTGTTTTATTTTGTATTCTTGAGACAGAGTTTCGCTCTGTCTCCCAGGCTGAAGTACACTGGTGAGACCTCGGCTCACTGCAATCTACGCCTTCTGGGTTCAAGTGACTGTCCTGTCTCAACCTCCCAAGTAGCTGGGATTACAGGCTTGTACCTCCACGCCCGGCTGTTTTGTATTTTTAGTAGATACCGGATTTCACCATGTTGGCCAGGCTGGTCTTGAACCCCTGGTCTCAAGTGATCCACCCCTCTCCGTCTCCCAAAGTACTGGGTTTACAGGCATGAGCCACTGCGCCCAGCCAAAAATGTCAATAATGTAATTCTTTGGTCCAAAATCTGCTTGCAATCATCCATTGCCATCTGAATATACCATTAGACATGGAAGTAGACAAAAAATCATAAGCACATTTGGGTTTTTTCCCTTATTTTTTACATAAAGGGCAACTTCAGTTTTCTCAAGGTACTGCAGTGCCACAGTCAGGAATAAAAGTTAGCATGTCTTTAAGGAGGTAAAGCCTCCATCTCTTCCTATTTCACTCTGCTGCCCTGAAACCACAGAGAATGAGAGAGAAACTTCATGAGAACCTTTGTGCTCTCAGAAAGTATTCTAATGCTAAGAGAGCACTCTAATGCCCTTCCCTGTGGGCATGGAGCATGCCATCTGACCGCTGAAACCACTGCTGTGCCCAGCAAGACACCGATGCAGCCTGAGGGCCAAAGTGGGACCCCAAGTTTGGTTTACAGGCCCACATGTCAGATGTGGGAAAAATGATCCTATCTCACAGTTCACCCAGTGTAGGTGAATTTCTTTATAACCTCAGAAGCAAAAAGAGTGGGGGTTCTGCCAGCAATCTCTGCCCTCTCTGCCACAGCCCCTTCTGAAGTGAGACCACCACAGTATCTTATCTGAAGAACTCCAAGGAAAAGGCAATAGTCTATTTACACAAATTAAGCCAGCTAAACCAGCTCTTTCTACAGTAAGATGATAAAATTTAGATATCTGAGGAGAGGTCATAGAGGTCACAGCTTTCAGTTCTTATGAGTTGTTTTCTTAAGGGTTAAATGAAAAAGTTAAAGCAAATATTGTTATGCATGGGAGAGCTTAGCCTTCTTGACCACAGTATGAGAACACCTCAGCAATGAGAAGTTACGGCCAAGGCCACCCTGTACCATCAATCTCTTCAGAGCCTTTTGGAAAAACTGAGAGATGCTGCTCTCCTTGGAAGGCAAACGAGTTCTGCATATTTTCATAGGTCTTCCTTACTTTCTTTCTTTTTTTTTTTTTTTTTTTTTGAGACAGAGTCTCGCTCTATCACCCAGGCTGGAGTGCAATGGTGTGATCTCGGCTCACTGCCACCTCCACTTCCTGTGTTCAAGTAATTCTCCTGCCTCAGACTCCCGAGTAGCTAGGATTACAGTTGCCCACCATGATGCCCGGCTAATTTTTGTATTTTTAGTAGAGATGGAGTTTCACCATGTTGGCCAGGCTGGTCTTGAACTCCTGATCTCAGGTGATCCCCTCCCCTCGGCCTCCCAAAGTGCTGGAATTACAGGTGTGAGTCACCACACCCAGCCAAGGTCTTCCTTACATTTCAAACGTCATCCTTGCTTCTTTTCAAATAAGTAAAGAGGGTTGATTCCCTTTCACTCAAAATGGAGCTGTTGGCCAGGCTCAGTGGGTCACGCCTATAATCTCAGCACTTTGGGAGGCCAAGGCAGGAATCTGCCTTGAGGCCAGGAATTCGAGACCAGCCTGGCCAATATGGTGAAGCCCCTGTAACTACTAAAAATACAAAAATTAGCCAGGCGTGGTGGCAGTTGCCTGTAATCCCAGCTACTTGGGAGGCTGAGGCAGGAGAATCCCTTGAACCCGGGAGGCAGAGGTTGTAGTGAGCCAAGATCACGCCACTGCACTCCAGCCTGGGCAACACAGCAAGACTCTGTCAAAAAAAAAAAAAAAAAAAAAAAAAACCTGAGTTGTAACAATTCAGGGTGATTATATGCAAGGCTCGCTTCTCCTGGATTCCAGGAAGTGGGAAGCAAGTTATTGCTAAAAGACAGAGGCCCCAAGATCTCAATAAAGCCAACATGTGCATTCCAGGTACCACACCTGACATGTCCATGCTGAGTGACCCCAAGATCCCTGAGTCACCTTACATAATTCAACAGCCCTTACTCTTCAAGCAAGATCCCAACAGCCACCAGACCTGGCAAACATTTTATTTTTCTTTCCTGAAGAAGCATAGGAAAAGATTTTTGGCCTAAGCTTTTAGAGTGGTCAGCTTCACTGTCGCCTAGAGCCAGCATTGTGAACCTACTGTCCCTACTCATAGCCATGATGCTCCTACTGAACCCCATGTCCCTGAGGCCTCCTGTGACCAGAGCTAGAACTTTCTGAATTGAGCTGCCATTTTCCAAATCTATCAGGGCTTGCCAAATCCCTACGCCTTCACCCACGCTGCACTTGAGCCCACAGTCTGCCTCTCTGGAATACTACCGTCACTAGAGACATTCTCTAATGTCCAATCAGAAAGTGACTCCTCTCCATTTATTCCTACAGTTCTTTATGCCTGCAGTAACAAAATATTACCAGGCCATACTATAGGTTTTTGTTTTATGGTCTCCTTTTTCTGATAAGCCTGAGCAAGTCTGTGCTCAGGAACCAAGACTCACTTCCTTTTGTGCACCCAAAGGCTATCACAGCACCTAGCATGGAGTGGGTGCTCAAATGCCAGTTGAAAGAACTGGTGAGTTTTAGGTGAAGGATATCATGGTGTCCAGGGTGCTATTCTCTCAACTTTTATGTAGGCTTGGAATTTTTCAAAGGTGAGTGTTGTATGAAAGGAGAGACTTGTTAGCACTCCCCTTGACAAGGATGGAAGAGGCCCTCAGGCCTGACAACTAACATGAAGTTAACACATTTCCACCTATTTTGTGGCATCTAAAGCATCATTTTTAAGCTGGATGTGGTGGCTTATGCCTGTAATCCTAGCACTTTGGGAGACCAAGGTGGGAGGATTGCTTGAGGCCAGGAGTGCAAGGCCAACCTGGCCAACATGCTAAGAACCCATCTCTCTCTCTCTCTTTTTTTGTTTGTTTCTTTGTTTGTTTTTTAAAAAGAAAAAAAGACATAGAAAAAAGATGAGAGGCTGAGCATGGTGGCTCACATCTGTAACTCCAGCACTTTGAGAGGCCGAGGTGGGAGCATCACTTGAAGCCAGGAGTTCACATCAGTCTGGGCAACAGAGGGAGACCCTGTCTCAGGAGAAAGAAAAGGAAAGAAAGAAAGAAAGAAAGAAAGAAAGAAAGAAAGAAAGAAAGAAAGAAAGAAAGAGAGAGAGAGAGAGAGAGGGAGGGAGGGAGGGAGGGAGGGAGGGAGGGAGGGAGGGAGGGAGGGAGGAAGGAAGGAAGGAAGGAAAGGAAGGAAGGGAAAGAAAGAAAGAAAAGAAAAAGAAAGAAAGAAAGAAAGAAAGGAAGAAAGAAAGAGAAAGGAGAAAGGAAGGGAAGGGGAGAAAGGAAGGAAGAAAGGAAGAGAGAGAAAGAAAGGGAAGGGAAAGGGGAAGGGGAAGGGGAGGCAAGGGAAGGGAAGGGAAGAGGGAGGGAGGGAGGAAGGAAGGGGAAAAAAGTGACGAAGAAAGATGAATTGAAAGGAGGTCCCTAGAGTTCTGTGTCACAGCACTTAGGATGTTCAATCTGATGAGCTCAGTCCTTCCCCCAGGGCAGCAGTCCTACTGGAAAGCCCCATGGAAAGGGGTTCTGTCTGCATGTGAGTGTGCATTGGAAGGGGTAGGGCAGGATTACTGGAATACAATATCCCAGCTTCTGGGAGGAGGAAAGGGGTTGCTCCTGAGCCTTGGGTCTGCTCTCTGCACACATGCCTGCCAGCACATCTGCCCAAGGAAGCCTTGAATTAGTATGTTGGAGAGCAAAAATCTGAGATCTAGAACTCTTCCCACTCAATTCCTCAATACACAGCTAGCAGGTGTGCAAATCCTGCCCCTTGGAAGTGGCCACTGGTGATACCACAGCAAGGCATCTGGCTCCATAAGTGGGTCTCTGTAGGTCTCTAAGCCTTATTTTCTCAGGTTGAGACTCTTCTGCCACCAGGCTATGCCTACTAATCCGAGTAAGTCAAGACCTCTCTCCCCTAAATCGTCACCTCTCTTTTGTCAGTGTCAGCAGCCACAGAGGAACCCTCGGGGAATCTTAACACTTACCTTGAGAATTTTTACTTAATAAAACGATTAGCTATCAGCTACTGGGTTCCAACAGCCTGACATCCTGCTAAGCACTAATGTTAATAATAGCATTAGATATTTGTTGAGTGCTATATGTGGTTAGTGCTATCTAAATTTCCTCATGGAATCCTAATATTGATCGTTCCTGAGCAGTGTTATCTCCATTCTACACATAACAAAACTGAGACACAGAGACGCCAAGACTGGTAGAACCAGAATTCAAAGCTACGTCTCTGTCTCCAAAAACTGTGCCCTTTATACATTATGCTCAACTTCTTCTCTTAGGCAATTTAATTTGAAATGGATGAGTAGTTTAAGCTCAAAATATGTTGAAAAGTGGGCAAAATTTAACCTCCTGAAAACGGTGAGGTTTCTGTTCTCTTGAAGAGGCCCACATATTATTCCTTTTCTTCAGCGTTAATACAATCCTAAACAGGTTAGGCCAGTGATGCTGCCCCCCAAACCTCCAGGACCATACAATGCTGCCAATAAAGGGGCTACAGGTAATCCCAGCATGTTTGCCCCCAAAACTCTGGGCATTAAGAATGGCTGGGAGGGGTCAACAATGGGTTTGAGAACAAAATAACTCAAAGTTCAGCACCATAAGATAGGGCAGGGAAAAAATAAATAAATAAAAGATGGCCAGGCAAGGTGGCTCATGCCTATAATCCCAGCACTCTGGGAGGCTGAGGCAGGTAGATTGCTTGAGCCCAGGAGTTCAAGACCAGCCTGGGCAACATGGCAAAACTTGGCCTCTATGAAAAATTAAAAAAAAAAAAATAGCTCAGCATCGTGCCATGCGTCTGTAGTCCCAGCTACTCCAGAGGATTGCTTGAGCCTGGAAGGCAGAGGTTGCAGTGAGCCGTGATTGTACCACTGCACTCCACAGAGTGAGACCCTGTCTCAAGAAAAAAAAAAAGATAACTCAAGGTTTCCTTCTCAGCTCTGACATTTGCTCTATGACATCAACTAAATCACAGTTAAATTTATTGTCCTATTTCTTAGCCCCCGATTTAGCAAATGGCCTTAGCTATACTTGTGTTATATGTTGTGCTAGTCATCTGGAGGATTAAAAATCAGTAATTAATATACAAATATTTTAAAAACTAAAAATAATTGTGTAGATCTTGAAATATGTATACAGACATTATTATATAAGCCACAGGTTATATTAATCTAAAACCTACATTTACATTTATATGTGCACAGCAAGTCATTCAGATAGACATGTGACCGGTTAACAGGGATTTTGTGTGGTTTGGTTCTGGGAATGTTGGCGTTTGTTTCTCTTAGTTTTCTTTTTCTTTTTCTTTTTCTTTTTTTTTTTTTTTTTTTTTGTGATGGGGTCTCACTCTGTCTCCAGGCTGGAGTACAGTGGTGCAATCTCAGCTCACTGCAACCTCTGCCTTCCAGGCTCAAGCAATTCCCCGGTGTAGCTGGGGCTACAGATGCATGCCACCATGCCAGGCTAATTTTTTTTTTTTTAATTTTTTGTAGAGATGAGGTTTTGCCATGTTGACGAGGCTGGTCTCCAACTCCTGATCACAAGTGATCAACCCACCTTGGCTTCCCAAATTGCTGGGATTACAGGCATGAGCCACCAAACCAGGACTTTTTCTCTCACTCTTGCTTACCCAAATAATTTCTTTCAATTTATTTATATTAATTCTAAAGTAAATGGGCTGGGTGCTGTGACTCACACCTATAATCTCAGCACTTTGGGAGGCTGAGGCAGGCAGGTCGCTTGAGGCCAGGAGTTCCAGACCAGCCTGGCCAACATGGCAAAATCCTATCTCTACTAAAAATACAAAAAATTAGCTGGGTGTGGTGGCATGTGCCTGTAATCCCAGCTACTTGGGAGGCTGAGGCGGGAGAATCACTTGGAGGCGGGAGAATCACTTGAACCCGGGAGGCAGAGGTTGCAGTGATGAGCTGAGATTGCGCCATTGCACTCCATCCTGGGCAACAAGAGCGAAACTCCGTCTCAAAAAAAAAAAAAAAAATTTGCATTCATCTCAAAAGGACATAGCCAATTTAAATAAGTCCCTACTTGTCAACAACATGCCCATTTTGTGGAGCACGGTGGCTCCCGCCTTTAATCCTAACACTTTGGGAGGCCGACACAGGTGGATTGCTTGAGCACTCGGATTGCTTGAGCTCCAGAGTTCGAGACCACCCTGGGCAATACGGTGAAACCCCATCTCTACTAAAATACAAAAAGTTAGCCGAGTTTAGTGGCAGGCACCTGTAGACCCAGCTACTCGGGAGGCTGAGGCAGGAGAATCATTTGAACTCTGGAGGCAGAGGTGGCAGCGAGCTGTGATGATGCCACTGCACTCCAGCCTGGGTGACAGAGTAAGAATCTGTCTCAAAAAAAAAAAAGTGCCCATTTCCACATTAAAAGGGATAATAACTACATTGGATTGAAGCACATCAAATATGTTTAAGTCTTTTAAATCATAGTGATACTCAAAACCAAATAAAACTAGTTCACCTGTGGAAATACAAAGGAACCATTATTTTGAAAACTGGTAGAGAAAGCATTTAATCTGCCCTTCCTATATAAACAAGATCTCAGGGCAATTGCAGAGTTGAGGAAGAAGATTTTCTTAATTGAGGTATTCCAGCTCACAAAGGAAGAAGTGATAAAATTCATCACCATTTTGCAAGCCCTAATGAATTCGTCATCTAGGCAATGACCCCCAATGGCTACAAACTTAAAAACACAGACACCTAGACATTATACACCTCCTGAGGGAAGTATATGTGTACATAAGAGATCTTGATTTTTATAAAATCTGAATTTTATCAAGCCTAAAGACCTATCAACTTACAGGAAAAACAGTTCATAGGTGAACATGTACATCAGATATCAGACTATACGGACTCTACAGGGCTAACAACCACTTTCTTCAGCATCATTCACAACAATAAATCTAGACATATTAAATCTAAACTTAAAAAAAAGGAAAAAAGCCCCTCACATTTATAAGAAAATTGGGAAAAGGTGATTGCTGACTGGGTATTTAATGAAATTAAATATATCTTTTTAGGTGTAATCAGAGGGTTTTTTTTTTTCTTTTTTTTTGGGGGGGGGGGGGATGGAGTCTCGCTCTGTCGCCCAGGCTGGAGTGCAGTGGTGTGATCTTGGCTCACTGCAAGCTCCACCTCCCGGGTTCACGCCATTCTCCTGCTTCAGCCTCCCGAGTAGCTGGGACTACAGTTGCCCACCACCACGCCCGGCTAGTTTTTTTGTATTTTTAGTAGAGACGGGGTTTCCCCGTGTTAGCCAGGATGGTCTCGATCTCCTGACCTTGTGATCCACTCACCTCGGCCTCCCAAAGTGCTGGGATTACAGGTATGAGCCACCGTGCCCGGCCCAGAGTTTGTTTTTTAAAAAAGTTCTTATCTTTTAGGATGCATACTGAAATATTTACAAATAATTTTTATTTCTAAGATACAACTGGAAAAAGAAGGTTTGAAATGACTCTTCAAATACCTGGCCAACATAGACTTTTTTTTTTTTTTTTTTTTAACTTAAAGACAGTCTCACTATGTTGCCCAGACTGGACTTGAAGTCCTGGGCATAATCAATCCACCTGCCTCAGCCTCCTGAGCAGCTGGTACTAGTGCATGCCACCACTGGCTTAACAGAGGCATTTTTAAAGTTGGTCAACATTATTTAGGTAATAAACATTCTTGTATGGCTTATAAATCCATTGTGCAGACAAATGCAAACAAGATATTTTCAGCACATGCAGTATTTTTGAAGTATTAATCTCACATTTTTTACAAATTATCAAAGAAACGACAAAACAGTGAAATTTTAGGAAGTAAGCACAATCATACATTACTGGTAGATGCATATATCAGAGCAGCCCCTTAGGAGAGCAATTTGATAATATATATTAAGAGTTAAAAACCTCTATACTCTTTAACACAGTAATTCCACATCTGGAAATAATTTGAACTATAAAAAAATGCACCAAGATATTCATTGCAGCATTTTAGATAATATCCCTAAATTTAAAATAACTCAGTCTTGCAGTAGGAGAGGGTTTACAAATCTTGAATCTACATTACACATCAGAAATTGTATTTATAATGATTTTTAGTAATGTAAAATGTTTTTTATGTTAAATAAAAGGTGATGCAATATTTGTAAAATGTTTGTAACTATATATTTTTACTTATAATATTTAATTTTAATTTTGTTTCACACTTAAAGTCACATATAAAAGAATTGGCGATTTAGAAATGTTGCTTTATCCCCACTCATTTTATGAAAAAAATTTAAGCTCCTCACAAGCATCATGAAAACTGTATCTTCTCTGTTAAATGACATTTTTTAGAGTAGACTTTTCTTGACATTTATACACACAGTATAAAGTCACGGGTTTATTGCTCAATAGGTGAACACAGGCATGTATGCACTACCCAAAAAGGAAATCAAACAATTGTCAACACCCTAAATTCCCCTTAAGTCGTCCCCTTTCCCCTTTCCATCACTACCTACAAAAAGTAACCATTATCCTAACTGTCATCACCGTAAGTTTTGCCTAATTTTGAAGCATATAAATGGAACCATGCACTATGTACCTCTTTGTGTGTGTTATCTTTCGCTTAATGTAATATTTGTGAGATTCATGTACATTGCTGTATTCAACAGTAGTTCCTTCTTCTTGCTGTGTAGTATTTCATTGTATAAATATAGCATATTTATATATTCTGTTGAACATTTTTTTTTTTGAGACAGAATCTTGCTGTGTCACCCAGGCTGGAGTGCAATGGTGCAATCTCAGCTCACCGCAACCTCTGCTTCCCAGGCTCAAGCAATTCTCCTGTCTCAGCCTCCGGATTAGCTGGGATTACAGGTGCATGCCACCATGCCCGGCTAATTTTTTTGTATTTTTAGTAGAGACGGGGTTTCACCATGTTCCCCTGGCTGGTCTCAAACTCCTGAGCTCAGACAATTTACCTGCCTTGGCCTCCCAAAGTGCTAGGACTACAGGCATGAGCCACCATGTCCAGCCTGCTGATGAACATTTTATTGTTTCTAGGTTTTGGCTATTACAAAAAGGTGCTTTAATGAACATTTTTCTATGTGTCTTCTCTTACACAGATTTACACACTTCTGTTGGGTATATGCCTAGGAGAGGAATTGTTGAATGTAAGGTGTGCATGTGTTCATTTTTATTAAATCCTGACTCAAAGTTTTCTGAGGAGCTGTGCCAATTTACACTTTCATGAGATGTATATGAGAGTCCCAGTTGCTCCACATCTTCACCAACACTTGGTGTTGTCAGTCACTATAATTTTTGTCATTCTGGTAGGAGTCTTGTTAGGTATGCTATTGTGGTGTTTTGTTGTTGTTTTGTTTTTTGTTTTTTGTTTTTAGACAGAGTCTCACTCTGTCGCCCAGGCTGGAGTGCAGTGGCAAGATCTTGGCTCACTGCAACCTCCCCCTCCTGGGTTCAAGCAATTCTCCTGCCTCACCCTCCCGAGTAGCTGGGATTACAGGTGTGTGTCACCACACCTGGCTAATTTTTTAAATTTTTGGTAGAGACAGGGTTTCTCCATGTTGACCAGGCTGGTCTTGAACTCCTGACCTCAAGTCATCCGCCTGCCTCGGCCTCCCAAAGTGCTGGGATTACAGGCGTGAGCCACCATGCCCGGCTGCTGCTGTGGTTTTAATTTTCATTTTCCTTATGATTAATGAGGTTGAAAACGTTCATGTGTTTATTGGCCATTTGTGTGTGTGTATGTGTGTATAGATAGATAGATAGATGATAGATAGATAGATAGATAGATAGATAGATAGATAGATAGATAGATGATAGATAGATAGATAGATAGATAGATAGATGATAGATAGATAGATTTTTTTTTTTTTGAGTTGGAGTCTCACTCTGTCACCCAGGCTGGAGTGCAGTGGCATGATCTCAGCTCACTGCAAACTCCACCTTCCAGGCTCAAGTGATTCTCCCGCCTCAGCCTCCCAAGCAGCTGGGATTACAGACATGCACCACCATGCCCGGCTAATTTTTGTATCTTTGTAGAGACAGTGTTTCACCATGTAGGCCAGGCTGGTCTCAAACTCCTGACCTCAAGTAATCCACTCCCCCTTGGCCTCCCAAAGTGCTGGGATTATAGGCGTGAGCCACTGTGCCCAGAATTTGAATATCTTTTGAGCGATGTGCCCATTCATGTCTTTTATACGTTTTTCTCTTTATGTGTTAATCTTTCGAAAAAAAGGTTTTAAGAAATGGGGTCTCCCTATGTTACCAAGGCTGAACTTGAACTCCTGGGCTCAAGCCATCCTTCCACCTTAGTCTCCAAAGTAATTGGAACTGTAGGATACACCACTACCCATGGCTCCTTTTGCATATTTTTCTGTTACTTTGTCTTTTTTTTTAATTTGTAGGAGCTTTTTAATATTCTGAATGCATGTCATTTGTATGATACTTTTTTTATAAATATCTTTTCCCAAGATTATCTGTGTCTTGAATGGGGAAAAGTCGAACACCTTTCCTCTAAGAACTGGAACAAGGAAAGGATGACCACTTTCACATTTTTCCCCATGTTTATTACAGCATGACTGACAATAGCCAAGATATGGAAACAGGCCAGACAGAATGTCTCATGCCTGTGATCCCAACACTTTGGAAGCCCTAGACAGAAGTTCGAGAACAGCTTGGGCAAGATGGTGAGAGCCTGTCTCTAAAAAAATAAAAATAAAAATCAGCCAGGTATAGTGGCACATGCCTGTAGTCCCAACTGCTCAGGAGGCTGAGGTGGATGGACTGCTTGAGCCTGGGAAGTCAAGGCCACAATGAGCTATGATTACACCACTGCACTCCAGCCTGAGACCCCGTCTCAAAAAAACCCCACAAATTAAAAAAAAAAAAAAAGATATGGAAACAACCTAAATATCCATCAACAGATGAACAGATAAAGAAAATATGGAAATTATCCAGGGCATGGTGGTGCATGCCTGTAATCCCAGCTACTTGGGAGACTAAGACAGGAGGATGGCTCAAGCCTAGAAGTTCAAGTCCAGCCTGGGCAACATAGTGAGATCCCATCTCTTAAAAAAACAAAGAAAGAAAATATGGCATATTTACCTGATGGAATATTATTTAGCCTGAAAAAAAAGAGAAGAAAATCTCTTTTTTTCTTTTTTTTTAATTCTTTTATTTTTATTTTTTATAGAAACAGGTCTCACTATGTTGGCTAGGGTGGTCTCGAACTCCTGGCCTCAAGCAATCCTTCTACCTCAGCTTCCCAAAGTGCCGGGATTACAGACATGAACCACCATCCCTGGCCAAAAAATGGAAATCTTGCCATTTGTGACAATAGAGATGAACGTGGACGACATTATGCTAAGTGAAATAAGCGAGCTGCAGAAATACAAATAGTGCATGATTTTACTTATAAATGGAAATTAAATTAGTCAAACTCAAAAACAGACAGTGGAATGGTGGTTGCCATGTGCTGGGGAGAGGGTGAAATGGGACAGTGTTGCTTCAAGTAGTATGAAATTTCAGTTATGCAGGGATCTAATGTACAGCAATGTGACTATGGTTAATAATAGTGTATTATATACTCGAAATTTACTAAGAAGTATCAATAAACAAAATTACAACAAATTTAGTTTAAATATCTCAGTTGTCTTACTTGTGATTCTAGAATCAGTCAGTGCTTCATTCCATAAACTAGAATAAGTGTTCTCTCACTTTCACTATTCTTATTCAAAATAGTACTGAAAGTCTTAAACAAAGCAATCAGACAAGATAAAGAAATAAAAAGCATCCAAATTAGAAAAGAAGTAAGTCAAATTGTCACTCTTTGCAGATTACATGATCTTATATATAGAAAAACCTAGACTCTCTCAAACAACTCTTAGAACTCATAAACGAATTCAGTAAAGTTGCAGGATACAAAGTCAACAGACAAAAAGTAGTAGCATTTCTATATGGCAACAATAAACTAGCTGAAAAAGAAATCAAGAAAGCAATCCTATTTACAATAGCTACAAAAATAAAACTAAATAGCTAGGAATAAATTTAACCAAGAAGGCAAAAAATCTCTACAACAAAAACTGCAAAACACTGATGAAAGAAATTGAAAAGGACACAAACCACTGGAAAGACATCTCATGTTCATAGGTCAGAAAAATTAATATTTCTAAAAGGACCTTATACCCAAAGCAATCTAGAGAGATACAATGCAATCTCTATCAAAATACCAATGACATTCTTCACAGAAATAGAAAAACATCTTAAAATTCACATGGAACCACAAAAGACCCAAATAGCCAAAACAACACAAAGCAAAATAATAAAGTGGGCATGGTGGCTCATGCCTGTAACCCCAGCACATTGGGAGGCTGAGGTGGGAGGATTGCTTGAGCCCAGGAGTTTGAGACCCCCCTGGACAACATGGTGAAACCCCATCACTACTAAAAATACAAAAAATTAGCCAGGTGTGGTGGTGCACACCTGTAATCTCAGCTACTCTGGAGGCTGAGGCAGGAGAATCACTTGAACCTGGGAGGTGGAGTTTGCAGTGAGCCATGATCGCACCCTGCACTCCAACCTGCATGACAAAGAGAGACCCTCTGTCAAACAATTAAAAAAAAAAAAAAAGAATAAAGCTGGAGGCATCACACTATCTGACTTCAAAATACACTACAGAGCTGTAGTAATCAAAGCAGTGTGGTACTGGTATTAAAGACAGACATATAGACCAATGAAACAGGTAGAGAGCCCAGAAATAAGTTAATGTACTTATAGCCAACTGATTTTCAACAAAGGCACCAAGAACATATATTGGAAAATGAATATCTTCTTCAATAAATGGTGCTGAGAAAACTGGATATTCATATGCAGAAAAATAAAACTAGATCCACCTGTCTTTCATCATATACAACATCAACTTTAAATAGATTAAAGCTTAAATGTAAGACCCAAAACCGTAAAGCTATTAGAAGAAAACACAGGGAAAATGCTTCAAGACATTGGTCTAGGCAAAGATTTTATGGCTAAGACTTCAACAGCACAGGCAACAGAAACAAAAATAGACAAATAGGACTATATCAAATTAAAAAGCTTCTGCACAGTAAAAGAAACAACAGAGCAAAGAGACAACCTGTCATATGGGAGAAAATATTTGCAAACTATTCATATGACAAGGGACTAATACCCAAAATATACAAGGAATTCAAACAACTCAATAGCAAAAAAAAAAAAAAAAAAAAAAAACCAGAAAAAAAAAATCCCATTAAAAGGTGGACAAAGATCTGAATAGATATTTCTCAAGAAAAGACATACAAACAGATATGTGAAAAAATATTCAGCATCATTAATCATCAGAGAAATGCAAATCAAAACCACAGATTTTCATCTCAACCCAGTTAGAATGGCTATTATCAAAAAGACAAATAAATGCTGGCGAGGATGTAGAGAAAAGGGAACTCATACACTGTTGGTGGGAATGTAAATTAGTACAGCCTTTATGGGAAACAGTATGGAGGTTTCTCAAAAAACTAAAATTAGAATACCAAATACCATATGATTCAGTAATTCACTACTAGGTATTTATCCGAAGGAAAGGAAATCTGTATGTCAAAGGGATACCTGCACCCTCATATTTATTACAGCACTATTCACAATAGCCAAGATACGGAATCATTCTAATCACCAACAGATGAATGGATAAAGAAAACTTGATATATACACACAATGGAAAACTATTCAGTCATAAAAAATAATAAAATCCTGTCATTTGCAGCAACATGGATGGAACTGAAGATCATTATGTTAAGTAAAATAAGCCAGGTATAGAAAGGCAGATATTACATGCTCTCACTCATATGTGGGAGCTAAAGAAGTTAATCTCATGGAGGTAGAAAGCAGAGTGAGAGACACCAGAGGCTGGAAAGGGTGAGGAACACGGATGAAGACAGATTGGTTAATGGGTACAAACATACAGTTAGATAGAAGGAATAAGTTCTAGTGTTGGATAGCACAGTAAGGTGATTATGTTAATAGTAATTTATTATATATTTCAAAACAGCTAGAAGAGAAGATTTGAGGCCAGGTGTGGTGGCTCATGCCTGTAATCCCAGCTGTTTGGGAGGCTGAGGCGGGCGGATCACCTGAGGTCAGGAATTCAAGACCAGCCTGGCCCCAGCATGGTGAAAGCTCGTCTCTACTAAAAATACAAAAATTAGCCAGGCGTGGTGGCGCACGCCTGTAATCCCAGCTGCTCTGGAGGGTGAGGCTGGAGCATCCCTTGATCCCTTGAACCCGGGATGGGGAGGTTATAGTGAGCTGAGAGCACACCACTGCACTCCATCCTGGGCGACAGATCGAGACTCCATCACAGAAAGAAAAGAAAATATTTCAAAGATTTGAAATGTTCTCAATACAAAAATAATGATAAATGTTTGAGGTGATGGACATCCTAATTGCCCGAATTTGATCACTACTCATTGTATTCATGTATCAAAATAACATGTGTACCCCATAAATATGTACAATTATTATGTATCAGTTTTAAAAAAGAATGTATGTGTCTTACCTTTTCATTCTCCATATTACATCTATATTGGGTTTTGATAATCATTATGTGGAATAAAGACAGCATAAAGAACCTCAAAATATCATTTTTAAAATTTTTTTAAAAATTTCATTTATTTATTTTTATTTTTTAGAGATGGGGGTCGGTCACACTATGTTGCCCAGGCTGGCCTGAGACTCCTAAACTGGAGCAATGCTCCCACCTCAGCCTCCTAGGTAGCTGGGACTATGGGCACACATCACAGTGCTCATTGACGTTTTGATTAGTGGAAATATTTGTGGCATTTCCTCTTATTTTTACTTGTTAATGTTTTCCTAAATTTCGGTCTGTTTGTTTGTTTGTTTTGAGACGGAGTCTTGCTCCATAGTCCAGGCTGCAGTGCAATGGCACAATCTTGGCTCACTGCAACCTCTGCCTCCTGGGTTCAAGTGATTCTCCTGTCTTGGCCTCCCGAGTAGCTAGGATTACAGGCGTGCACCACCACACACGGCTAATTTTTTGTGTTTTCAGTAGAGATGGGATTTCACCATGTTGGCCAGGCTGGTCTCAAACTCCTGACCTTAGATGATCAGCCTGCCTTGGCCTTCCAAAGTGCTAGGATTGCAGGCATGAGCCACCATGCCCAGCCATATTTTCCTAAATTTTAATTTCTCACTATAAAATAATAAAATTACTATTAAAGTAAGTATATTAGATCAATGATTAAACCCTTATATATTAGTGATGATGATAAGTTAGAAGGAAAAAATCCAGGAATCAGATTTGATTTTATCATTTGAAATGAAAGAGTTTCTATGCTCATTATTAGAAAACATAAATTAAGATAGTGTCCCTAAAATTTCACTAGAAAGTGCTCCGGAGATACTACTATAAACTGGAAGAGAGAAGCTTGAAGGAAAGAAGATAGCGTCTCTCTAGGGGGATTGTGGTGCTCCCAACTTCCTCCATTTTCCCTAAAAAAGAGGCCCATGTTGGCATCACTCATGTGACACAATGGTGAGGTGCTTCAGGAAGCCTGGAAGTTACTGTGTCCTTCTTGGGACTAGAAGGAACTAAAGTGAGTGGCAGCTTCAGGACAAGCCAGTGGGTAAGAGCCCTCCTGTGTCAGAACACAGGATCAACCCATTTGTCATCTTCACTATTAGAGCTCTCAGTTGGAGCATGGAACTGTGAGTTTAAAATAATTTAATTGGCCAGGCACAGTGGTTCACACCTGTAATCTCAGCACTTTGGGAGGCCGCGGCGGGTGGATCACTTAAGGTCAGGAGTTCGAGACCAGCCCGGCCAACATAGTGAAAACCCTCTCTACTAAAAATACAAAAATTAGCCGGGCTTGGTGGCAGGTGCCTGTAGTCCCAGCTACTCGAGAGGCTGAGGCAGGAGAATCGCTTGAACCAGGGAAGCAGAGGTTGCAGTGAGCCAAGATCATGCCACTGCACTCCAGCCTGGGCAACACAGCAAGACTCCATCTCAAAATAATAATAATAAGAAGAAAATAATTTAGTTGCTTGATATCTCATCATGTAGGAAAAAATTAAAAATTTTATTTAAAAACAAACAAAAAAGAATTTAGTTGCAACATCTACTTTCACTTTTCTTTCCTGAAATGCATTAGAAAGTCTGATTATTGGCCAGGCGCAGTGGCTTATGCCTGTAATTCCAGCACTTTGGGAGGCCAAGGTGGATGGATCACGAGGTCAGGAGTTCGAGACCAACCTGACCAACATGGTGAAAGCCCGTCTCTACTAAAAATACAAAAATTAGCTAGGCATGGTGGCGTGCATCTATAATCCCAGCTACTTAGGAGGCTGAGGCAGGAGAATCGCTTGAACCCGGGAGGCGGAGGTTGCAGTGAGCCAAGATCACACCACTGCATTCCAGCTCTGGGCAACAGAACGAGACTCTGTCTCAAAAAAAAAAAAAAGAAAAAAGAAAGTCCCATTATTGAGGAGAAAACTAATGGAAATGGAAACTCTCTGGATGTGTGGTGTGCCACCCTCTTCCCTTAGCAGTGATTTCCAATCATGCTCATCTTGTCCGTTTGTGCTTGGACCCAAGGCACAGCTTCCTTCCTGTGCCATACCCAATGGGTATTTTTACTTCTTCTTTGGAATGGAGTTGTTTTGTGGGGACACAATGATTTCCCTAGATTGCTTCATAGCTCTAAGAATGTATCCTTGACCTGGAAAATCTCTTTTTTTTTTTTAATATGACAGTATGACCTAGTGGAGTTTTGCAAACTGTGCTGCCTACTGCTAAGAAATGTAGTAATTCTGTTGTGTTCTATTCCCCACCTTAAACACTTGAAGAGGCTCATGGATTTCCTTACTTAATATTTCTTGCCATCTAAATCTACAGAGTTTCCAGTGTAAAGCAGAGAGCAAGAGATAACTTTGAATGATTCATGAAGATTCTTAAGGCCACCTTTCCTCTGCATCTATGATCACAGTAATACATTTCTCAAAGTTACCATGTTTAAGAGTAAAGTTCAATTTTGTCCCCCAAATGTGTTAATATATCTTTGAAAATATTCTCTCCCTATTTTTTTTTTTTTTTTTTAGAAACAGAGTCTTGCTTTGTCGCCCAGGCTGGAATGCAGTGGTGTATTCACAGCTCACTGCAGCCTTAAACTCCTGGGTTTGAGCACTCTTCGCATCTCAGCTTCCTGAGTAGCTGGGGAAAGTATTCATTTTTGAACTTGGAAAATGTATGAGAAAGGTCCAGATTACCCAGCCCGCAGGAAAGGGCCATTGTCTCTCACATCTCCTAGCAAAACTTCTGATCCTGCCTCACACAGTTAACAGGGTGAATCCTCTACTTAGGAGTGCTGTACAGGGGTTTCAAGAAAACAAACACCTGTGCCTGCACCCGGGTCTCGTCTTCACTCCCCCATCCCAGCCTAGGAGGTGCTGGCCAGGCTCGCCTCTCCTGTTCCCAGAACCAGGAGCAGCTCCCCCCTCCTTTCCTCTCTTCTCCCTCCGCCTGACCAAACCCTTCCTTCCTACCAAAGGACAGACTTTGGAAGCTGGAAAGTCACATGACTGTAGATTATAGTGCCTGCAACCCTTCTATATTCCTTCTAAAGTCCACTCTGAAGTTTGTTATTTTATCTTTGTTTGTTTTGCTTGTTTTTTCTTTCCTTTTTATAATACCTCTGTAAGTGGTTAGAAATCAAACCTTGCCAATAATCGGCTCAGCCAGCCCTAGAGGACAGGGTATAAAACTCTCTTTGTGACTTAAATTGAGATTTTCCTAAATGTTGTACACATGAATGCTGGCAGCAATTATGCTAAATTTTGTCTCTAAGGTTTTACTTTATCACATTACCACCAAAACATCTATCAAACTATAGTTACTTAGAGGGATGACAATAGATATATTTTGGAGTGAAAAAAAAAAAAGAACCCACACAACACAGGAATCCCAAGGACATCAGAAAGAGCGTTCCCCATATATTATCTCTGGGCTATGCCTTCCCATGCAGCGAAAATGCCACTCAAATTAGGCTGTTCAGAAAACTAGAAGTGTAAGAGTTTAAATTCCCTTGTCTTCTTTTACAGACCAACTGTAAAACAAACAACCTGTAGTATCAACAATAAAAAAGTAATTGCTTGAGCTTCTCATTCTCTCAAGACCTAAGTGTTGGCCTGGAATGGTGGCTCATGCCTGCAATCCCAGCACTTTGAGAGGCTGAGGTGGGAGGATCGCTTGAGGGTTCGAGATCAGCCCAGGAAACATGGTGAGACTCCGTCCCTACAAAAAAAATAAAAAAATCAGCTGGGCGTGATGGTGTGTGCCTGTAGTCCCAGCTATTTGGGAGGCCAAGGTAGGTGGATTGCTTGAGCCCAGGAGTTCGAGGCTGCAGTGAGCCATGATTGTGCCACTGCACTCCAGCCTGGGTGACAAAGCAAGAACCTGTCTCAAAGAAAAAAAAAAGAGAGAGAGAGAAAGAAAAAGAAAGAAGGAAAGAAAGCAAGAAAGACAGAGAAAGAGGGAAGGAAGGAAAGAAGAAGGAAGGAGGGAGGGAAGGAAGGAAGGAAGGAAGGAAAGAAAGAAAAAAGAAAGGAGGGAAATACTGGCACCACAGGCCCTGCAGGAAGAATCCCCAGTGCTGCTCCTGGTTTGTCAGAATATCTTCCTGTCATTGGTGTATGTGTCACCAGGTATGCAGGATGCTGAGTTCTGTTTCCAAACACCTTCACCTTCCTTGCTGGGCAGCTTGCAGATAAGGGAGGTGGATAAGATGAGATATGTTTTTTATTTGGGTAAACTCCAATAAAATTAATGAAAGGAAAGAGAGGCCCTGGAGTTTGGCGTCAGAAAGAAATAGTCTGTCAGAATCATCTTTTTCTGTTTCCAGTTCATCAACGGAATGGTAAAATCCCTGAGATTTTGAGCTTTCCAGAGGGTTCTAACAGGCAGAGTTGAGAACCACTGATCTATACCTACCAAATAGGAATCATCCTATTAATAAGGCTTTTATAGATACTTGATGAAAGAGCACTAAAGCGGTCCATATGCCTTGATTTATTCAAATAGCTACTATCTGGAAACTCACTCCCAACCTTTGGGCCACTGTGGTGAAGAGGCAGCTGTCCCAGTGGGGTACTGAGCACCCACCTCCTCCCTTCCCTTGAATGTGTTGAAAGTGGACTCTGGCCAAACGAGGAAAGATGTCTCAGAAAAACACCACCACACCAGGGAGATTAGAAGAAGAGAAGGGCATTTGCCTCCCATCCCTGACCCCCTTGACTGGGGCTGATTATTATGGGATGACACCATGTGTACAGGTTGTAGGTCTTTCACAGAGAACCCATCATTTGGAGCTACAGACTTTTCCCTTTCTAGGTTACTTCCTGAGTGGGGTTTCAGATGACCCACCAGGCAAAGAAACCTCAGGATTTCATTCTCCTTTTTTGGTGTATTTTTTCCTCCTAAGCTTAATGACAAAAGTCCAGATAATTATTGTGATCTTCTGTAGACCCCAGGGAAACCAGGTACTACTTAACCCTGCAGAGAGAATGAGCCACCACGTCCCACAAAGCCACGTGCCCTCTCAGCGCTTCTCTGCTGGAAGCAGCTTCCCCAGCCTCAGGCTGCATGCCCAGAGCGCCCTGGACGGATGACCCAGGGGTGAGGCAGGTCACCCTGGCGCAGGGCCACCTCCAGGGTGTTCATGACAGGCAGGAAACACTGCAGGAATCCGGTCTCTTCACTACTGGGCTCAGCTCTTCACCCACTATCTTTTTATTGTTTAGCTATACTCATAGTTTGTTGTTGTTGTTGTTGTTGTTGTTGCTTGTTGTTTCATTCACTCACCTAAATCAAGGAGGCCCAAATGTTCCAGATAACTCTAGATAACATAAGTGTGGCAGCAGTTCATACACAGTAAGCCATAGCAGAGTGAAGAAAATGCCTCCAGCAGAACAGTCGTGGATCTCAGACAGATGGGGAAATTCCCAACTTATTTATAAAGCAGGTATACACACATACAATACTAAAGATCAGGTAAACACGAGCCTAGAAACCTTCTAATCCTTGGTGGAAATAGAAACTGCTGAAGATATACACCTGAAGAGAAGTTAGTTTGATGCATAATGTTAACCCCAGACATGTATTTAAAAGTATAACAGGCTGGGCGTGGTGGCTCACACCTGTAATCCCAACACTTTGTGTGGCCGAGGCAGGCAGATAATGAGTTCAGGAGTTTGAGACCAGCCTGGCCAACATAGTGAAACCCTGTCTCTACTGAATATACAAAAATCAGCCTGGCGTGGTGGCACCCGCCTGTAATCCCAGCTACGCAGGAGGCTGTGGCAGGAGAATCACTTGAACCTGGGATGCGGAGGTTGTGGTGAGCCGAGATCGCACCACTGCACTCCAGCCTGGGCAACAGAGCAAGACTCTGTATCCAAAAAAAAAAAAAAAAAAGTATAACAAAGGAGGCAGCCATATTTGTTTATAGAAAAATATGCCAAAGCTCTACTTATGTAAAAATGTGTTTTTAAAACAACCAAATATATGTTAAAACTGACAAGTACTTTTATGGCTAAGATCCACATGAATGGACAACATTTCATTATTTCCTTTCCCTGCCTCCTGGGCCTTGCCCATCTCACCTAACGCTGGTGATAGAGTTTTGGATATATACAATGTGATTCACTCAACATTTACTGAGGACCTACATAGGCAATAGTTTTATGCCTTGAAAACAATTTGAGACGTATTCAATTCAACCCCATCTGAGGACATTGAGGGTAGGAGAAATGCCTGTGTCCCCAGGTTCACCCCACAAAATGCTGACGCTTTTGTCAGCATTCTGCCTTGTCAGCAGGGTGATATGAAGGATCACAGACCTCAGAGCCGGGCAGGCCCGTATTCAAATCCTGCTCTATAGTTCACCATCTTCATGCAAATTACTTAAGCCCTCTGAGTCCTGGACTGGACATTTTACATGTGTAAAATGGAGATGAGGCCAGGCACAGTGGCTCATGCCTGTAATCCCAGCACTTTAGGAGGCCAAGGCGGGCAGATCACCTTAAGTCAGGAGTTCAAGACCACCCGGGTCAACATGACGAAACCCCGTCTCTACTAAAAATACAAAAATTAGCCAAAGGTGGTGGCGAGCGGCTATAATCCCGGCTACTCAGGAGGCTGACGCAGGAGAATCGCTTGAACCCAGGAGGTGAAGGTGGCAGTGAGCCAAGATCACACCACTGCACTCCAGCCTGGGCAACAAGAGTGAAACTCCGTCTCAAAAAATAAATTAAATAAATAAAATGGAAGTGAGAAAGCCCACATTTCAGGATTGTTATGAGGCTTAAATAAGATCATTTAAAGTGCTTGACAACTAGTAAATGCTAATAATAAGTGCTTAAGAAATAAAAGTTTCTTCTTTCTTTAGTTTACTTTTTTTTTGAGACAGTCTTGCTCTGTCACATGTATATATACCTGTATATATATATATATATATATATATATATGTATATATATGTATCATGTCATATTATTATTGACAATAATAATATGTCACTATTATGCTTCTCTCCTTGGGTACAGAATCTGCATGTTCAGGACAAGAGGAACAGCAAGATCACATAGGTCCTATAGAGCAGTTATTAACTCTTCTGGGTTTGAACATTTGGCTGTACCCTCCTCTGTGGATAAGGATGGTCGCTGTGTGGGGAAGAATCTGTTTATATATATCCCTCAGATCTAAATTGCCTGGGCAAAAACATTTTCATTTTGCTCCTCTGGTTTCCCATCTTATTTTCACAACCTTCTTGTGGCATATTTTGAAGGTATTCAAGTCAGTTTCCACATAAGATATTTACATATCATCAGAGCATTGCAATGATGTTTTTGTTTTTTAATAAAAAACACATTTATAGATCATTGGCTTATAATTTGAATGCCTTTTTATTAAAAATCAAGATTACACAAGCAATCACTGAGGCTTTGCTCTTGAGCGACTAGGGTTTCTAAGAAATAAGATGAATTATCTAATGCATAGTGAGTCTTTTTCTTATCCTGTCAATTGCACTCAATTTTTCTAGCTAAGAAAGATTTGAAGCCAGGTGTATGCCTATAGCCCCAGCTACTTGAGAGGCTGGGGTGGGAGGATCACTTTAGCCTAGAAATTTGAGGCCATCCTGGGCAACATAGGAAGACCACATCTCAAAAAAATTTTGTCTCGAATTTACACACACATTCACATCTGTCATTTAGATATACTTGTTTGCTTAAAAGCCTTTTAGATCTTTAAAAGCTTAAGATACACCCGCCAAAAGAAGGCACTGCCACTGATGAAGAGGAGCCTGAGGAATGGGAAAGATCTGATGGGGGTGAGAGTAATTCTTCTGAATTGTTAATCCGGGAGGGCACAGCAAACAGTCTCCATTTCCCCTGTGGAGGGAACTCAGGGCCTGCAGCGAGGTGGGAAGGCTCCATCTGAGCCTCAGCAAGAACCTCATTATCGCACAGATGGCTCTCTCACCGCGGGGCTCGTTCAGTCCACTCCGCTGCTGACTGCCTCTTTGGTACCTCCTTCTAATAGGATTGTGACCTCTCCTTTGCAAGTTACTTGGGCAGTTTACAGAATGCAGGAGGTTTACTAGGTGACCTGGAAGTCCTTTCTGCCTTGTCATGCTCTGGGGCAGACCAGAGGAGGTTGGAACTCTCCCCGCCCCCCACCCCCACGTGAGCCACACCCTCAGAGGCTCTGGCTGACTTTGAGCCAGGTTTTCCTGGAGCCAGGACCAGAGACAGAAGGAATATACCAGAGGCTTTACACCCACCTTTGCCTTTATTTTGTTTGTTTATTTATTTATTTATTTTTGAGATGGAGTCTCACTCTGCTGCCAGGCTGGAGTGCAGTGGGGCAATCTCGGCTCACTGCAACCTCCGCCTCCCAGGCTCAAGAAATTTCCGTGCCTCAGCCTCCCGAGTAGTTGGGATTACAGGCATGCAACATCGTGCCCGGCTAAGTTTTGTATTTTTAGTAGAAACGGGGTATTGCCACATTGGCCAGGTTGGTCTCGAACTCCTGACCTCAAATGATCCACCCACCATTGCCTTTAATCTTTACTACACATCAGTGAGGAAAATGCTGTCATTCTCACTGTACAGATAAGGAAACTGAGGCTCAGAGAGCTCAAGGAACTTACCAAGGCTGCAGGGCTCGTTAGTAGAAAAGTCAGGATTCCCACTCTGCCTGTGGACGCTGACACCCTTCTCTCACCCACTCCAGCTCCCTCCATCCAAAGTGTGGAACCGGACCCAGGCTTCTATGACCCATCTCTGTTCTTACTTCAGCAGCTAGAGCCTAAGGTGATGGCAGACTTGCACCTTTACTCTTCCTTCCTCTCTATAGGTAATTCCTGATTGTAATGGTGGCTGACAAAAGGCAAAGTGAATTGAGGAAGATGAAGTATCTGGGTGAAGCCAGAGGTGCTCTTGCCTCAGCCCCTGGGGAGTTTTCATTCTTTCCGTTTCAGGAGGAAGTGAGATGCCTCCAAAGACAGGCAGACATGTGAAGGAGCAGGCCAGCAGCAGGACTGCTCCTTACCGCCTCCAAGTGAGCCCTACTCCCATCTCCCCAGGGTGGGACCACGTGCCCTGGGGCAATGTCCAGCACAGTGGTCAGTCGCCTCAAAGGCCTTCCTCATGGCAGGGCTAATCCCAGCATTTTGGGACCCTGAGGCGAGCAGATCACTTGAGGTCAGGAGTTCAAGACCAGCCTAGCCAAACGGTAAAATCCTGTCTCTGCTAAAAATACAAAAATTAGCCGGGTGTGGTGGCGCGTGCCTGTAATCCCAGCACTGGAAAGGCTGAGCCAGGAAAATAGCTTGAACCCAAGAGGCGGAGGTTGCAGTGGGCCAAGATTGCACCACTGCACTCCAGCCTGGGCGACAGAGTGAGAGTCCGTCTCAAAAAAACATCAGGCCTGCATCAGATCCCACTTACCCATAAGATAGGCGAGTTCTTGACCACAAGCCAAGGGGCAGAACCCCAAGATTCTGGAAGCTCCACAGACCCAGAGCCAATGTCTGGTATCCTCAGAAGAAACCTCTAGAACTTTTTGAAGCTTTGTTCAGGCCACACATGGGGAAACTGGGGCTTGAAGGGGGCCACGAGGAGGAGCAAGCCTGCCAATGTGACTCTGGAAAATTCCCCTTCCCAGGGAGCTCCTGCCCTAATACCCTACAGATGGTGACTTCCCTCCTAGGCCTGCCACAAGAAGACACAGATGGGCAGGATCTCCATAGCTTAAAAACTGAAGGCATGTTCTATGCCTGGCAGGGAACATCGGGAGGAGCCAGGCCTTCCAGGTAGCAAGGAGGATGTTTGTGTGAGGGTCAGTCCCAGCAGCACCATCTGTTGGTGAGCTCACTTTATTAAGGGCATTTCCAGGGAATTAGATGTTTGTTTTAAAAGAAAAGCTGTTCAAGGACACTTGCGCAGGGTTCATCATGTGAGACAGCCACAGGGGAATGGTAGAGGCAGGAACCCCCTACCCCCCAGCTTTCTCTCCACATGGCCTCAAAGAAAGGTGCTGGAGCCATGGACACCAGGGTCTTCTGCAGCCCAGGACTTGGCTTGGGTAGGAGTTAGGCCAGCCAGCACAAGGAAAATCTTTGGAAATGGGCTCAATTAAAGTTTCTGGATTATCTTTCCCCAGCACCCTACATACTCCTCCCTGCTCCCATTTTAAAAATATATAGGCTGGGCATGGTGGCTCACACCTGTAATCCCAGCATTTTGGGAGGCCAAGGCAGGAGGATCACTTCAGCTCAAGAGTTCGAGACCAGCCTGGGTGATATAGTGAGACCTCCCCACCCCCTACAAAAAAATTAGCCAGGTGTGGTGGTAGTGCATGCCTGTAGTCTCAGCTATTCAGGAGGCTAAGGCAAAATCGTTTAAGCCTGGGAGATGGAGGCTGCAGTGAGCTGTGATCATGCCACTGTACTCCAGCCTGGACAACACAGCAAGGCCCTGTCTCTAAAAAAAATCCAAAAAAATTTTTAAAGAGTTTAAAAATTTTAAAAAAGAAAGAAACAGTCATTCAAAAGATTAACTATTACCATACTATGGGTCAAAACATTCCACACAGTGAACTTTCTCTGAAATCCTTTGCCCCAGAAAGGAAGTATTTGGATACACAGCATGTTTCCTCCTAACTTTATCCAAAGAAGAAAATAAGCATTGAAATAGAAGAAGCTTAATTTTGTTAATGTCCTGGGATGTTGATGATAATCCATTCATATTTTTATTAGAGTAACTCTTAATGTTGAAATAGCTTTATAACTAACAGGCTCAGGGCATCTTCATTGTCCAGAGTAATTTCCCTGTGTAGAACTCTCAATGGCTCCCCACTGCCCACAGAAAAAGGCCACGCTCTTTGGCATAGCACATGGTCCTGCCCCAGCCTAAGTTTTGACTCCTCTTTCTACCACAACTGAAGCAGGCCCTGTTCTTTCCTCCATAATCTTGAGAACCATCATCTCATTCCTAGAATTGCCTTCTCCTTTATCTGTCCTCTGACCTCTTATCCCTTAGGATTCTGTTCAAATATTATTAATACCTCTTTTCCTATTAATAATTTATCATGCTTAACCATGTTCATTATTCTCCTCTTTTTTTTTTTTTTTTTTTTTTGAGACAGGATCTCTCTCTGTCGCCCAGGCTAGAGTGCAGTGGCGTGATCTCAGCTCACTGCAACCTCCACCTCCCAGATTCAAGTGATTTTTGTGCCTCAGCCTCCCAAGTAGCTGGGACTACAGGCATGTGTCACTATGCCCGGCTAATTTTTGTATTTTTAATGGAGATTTCACCATGTTGGCCAGGCTGGTCTCGAACTCCTGAACTCAGGTGATCCGTCTGCCCTGGCCTCCCAAAGTGCCAGGATTACAGGCGTAAGCCACTGCTCCTGGCCTATTCTCCCCTCTTTGACTCCACTTTTTAATCAGCATATGTGTCTCATGATGCATTTAATGATTTGTTTGCCCATCTGTCCCTGCCAATATGTTGTGATCTTAACAACCAAGAGCTTGGTGTTTGCTAATACCTCTAGAATCTAGCATTGGATATTGAAAGGACAGTTTAAGCACCACTTTTCTGTAAAATGGGAAAAAATACTACCCGTCAGCATTTTCATGAGATTAATATTATACGCAGAAGGGCCTAGCATACTGCCTAGAATGTAGTACCTATCCATTAGCATCAGTATCCATAATACCAACAATATTCATATTATGTTTGTTAAGTGAATGCTTAAATCTTGCTTTATAAAATTATAGTCACATGGTTATGCAAAAGTATACTTCATTAGATTTGGGCAAAGCTGGCAAGGTAAAAGAAGGCAGTTTGGAGGCTGAGCTGCAGGGTGACTTCTGGAATGACAGCACCTCATTGCTGACTCACTTAGCCCGTCTATGGCTCAGCTTCCAAGACTCTACAAATTAGCCAGTGAGTATTAAACACCAGCCCAGCCCACAAGGTAATCAGATCCAGGAGAGCCAGCTGATAACATTCCTGGAGTTCTATCAAAACACTGAAGGCTTACTATGAGGCAATGACAGTGGTGGATACAAACATAAATCAGGTGTTTTCCTGGCTCTCAGCTCACAGCTTCATGCGGGCAGCAGAGACATATACAAGGGACAACAAGACAAGCTGGAATTTGGCAGATGTTATAGTAGAGATACAAGCAAATACATTGATGGTGCAAAAGAGCACAAGATGAATTTTATTTGAGGGAATGGGAAGCAGGAACGCAGGTTTATTCTGTACCCATGCTGGGCCGGGGGTAGCTCATTTGGTCTTCATAATATGGTGAGATAGAGAATGTTGGCCGGGCATGGGGGCTGATACCTGTAACCCAGCACTTTGGAAGGCTGAGGCAGGAGTATTGCTTAAGCCCAAGGAGTTCAAGACCAGCCTGGGCAACATAGCAGGACCCCATCTCAAAAAAAGAGTGTTAACCTACTTTAGAGATGAGCACCCTAAGGCCCAGAGAGGTGAGATAACTTAGCTAAATCACACTGATAGTACACTAGGCTTCGAATGAAGGCCTTTCTGGTTTTGACGCCAACACTCTTTACTGCACCAGCCTAATCCCCAAGGGAGCTGAAATGGCCACATGGAAGCAGAGCGACCAAGTAGGGAGAATTGAGTGCCCCAGATAGAAGGGATCATGTAGACAAAAATCCAGAGAAGAAGGTTCAAAGATGTGTGAGTGTGTGTGTGTGTTTGTGTATGTGAAAGGGGAGAGTGGAAGGAGGGAGTCATGGCTGGAAAAAAGCCTGACAGACTAGGGCCAGATCACAGAGTACTTTGAGTTTTAGTCCTAAGATTGTTGTCCACTGTTATTTTTTAAATGATGATAATGAAACTATAATAATAATATTATATAGTGCCTTTATTTTTTTTGGTCTTATTGAAGTGTAATTGGCAAATGAAAATTGCATACAGGACCAGGTGCAGTGGTTCACGCCTATAATCTCCGTGCTTTGGAAAGCCAAGGTGGGAGGATTGCATGAGGTCAGGAGTTCAAGACCTGCCTGGGCAACATAACAAGACCCCATCTCTACAAAAAAATTAAAAATTAGCCAGGCATGGTGGCACGCACCTGTACTCCTAGCTGTTTGGGAGGCGGAGGTGGGAGGATTGCTTGAGCCTAGGAATTTGAGGCTGCAGTGAGCTATTATTGCACCACTGCACTCCAGCCTGGGTGACAGTAGAAGACCTTATCTCAAAAACTTTTTTAAAAAAATTGTATACAATTGGCTGGGCACAGTGGCTCACACCTGTAATCCCAACACTTCGGGAGACTGAAGCTGGTGGATCACTTGGGCCCAGAAGTTCAAGACCAGCCTAGCCAATATGGTGAAACCCCATCTCTACAAAAAATACAAAAATTAGCTGGGCATGGTAGAGTGCACCTATAGTCCCAGCTACTTGGGAGGCTTTGAACCTGGAAGGTGGAGGTTGCAGTGCACCAAGATCACGCCACTGCACTCCAGCCTGCGTGACAGAGTGAGACCCTGTCTCAAAAAAAAAAAAAAAAAATTTATACAGTCTTGCATCCATTGAAGTATAGAGTACATTAAATAATAAAAATAAATATTGTATATAGTAGGCCCTCTGTATCCATGGGTTCCACAGTCATAGATTCAACCAACCATAGGTCAAAAACTTTTGGAAAAACATTTATGTTTATATTGAACACGTACAGACTGTTTTTTTTGTCATGATTCCCTAAACAATACAGTATAACTACTATTTACACAGCTCTTACATTGTATTGGGCATTACAAGTAATCTAGAGATGATGTAAAGTATACGGGAGGACCAGCCTGGCCAACATGGTGAAACTCCATCTCTCCCAAAATATACAAAAATTAGCTGGGCCTGGTGGCAGGCTCCTGTAATCCCAGCTACTCTGGAGACTGAGGCAGGAGAATCACTTGAACCTGGGAGATGGAGGTTGCAGTGAGCCAAGATCGCGCCACTGTACTCCAGCCTGGGTGACAGAGTGAGACTCAGTCTCAAAAAAAATAAAATAAAATAAAATAAAATAAAGTACACGGGAGGATGTGCATTGTATATGCAATGACTATACCATTTTATATCACGGACTTGAGCATCTGTGGATTTTGGTATCTTTGGTGGGGGTTGGAGGGTCCTGGAAAAAATCCCCCATAGAAAGCAAGGGACAACTGTATATTTAAGGTGTACAGTGTGACGTTTCAATACACATACACATTGTGAAATGATCACCGCAATCAAGCTAACATATCCTTCACCTCACATGCTTTTTATTTTTATTTTTTGTGGTGAGAACATTTAAGATCTACTACTCTCTCAGAAAATTTCAGGCATATAATCCAGTCTTCTACCTATAGTCACTGTATTGTATCTTAGATCTCCATTACTTATTCATCTTGCTTAGCTGAAACTTTGTGCCCTTTGACCAACATTTCCCCATTTTTCCATCCCCACAGCCCATGGCAACCACCATTCTACTCTGCTTCTATGAGTTGCACGTTTTTGGATTCTACCTACAAGTGAGATCATACGGTATTTGTCTTTCTGTGTCTGGCCTAAGTCACCTCACATACTGTCCTCAAGGCACACCAATGTTATTACAATATAATGCCCTTCTTATGACCAACTTAAGGGTATTTCGTATCTATGATGCCCATTTCCTGCCGACATTTGCCCCAGTTTATGGATCGGATCACTGAGACAAGCACTTGTTTCAGTAACTTGTGCAAAGTCATGACACAAGAGGCAGAGCAGACCCTTAAACACCTGGTCGCTAACAATCTACTGTGCTCTAGACAAAGCTGAAGAAGATGTGGACCCTGAGCCTCAGTTTCCTCATCTGCAAGATGGACATAATACCTACAAGGGTTGTCTCAAAGAGATTTTGCAACTTCACAAGACCGCACGGCGGGGGTGGGGTGGCAGGGAGGGGGGGATCTACTGATAGGGAGATAAGCAAATATTTCCTGTAACCCTGGAAATGTCATTAGGGCCCTTAGCAAAAGAGTTCTAATGTTCAGAGAGACTATCTGGAAGAGAGAAATCTACAACTGAAAGAGGCTGTAATGATGGGCACTCAAGAAAGGAAACCACCACCTTTGCACATCTGAGCCACTAACAATGACTTTAGTTGCTGAATATGCTTCTTAGCTCCTACTAGTAAAGTCTTGTCAAACAGGAAACAGGTTTTTAAGGCAACGGGGTCCCTGTGAGTTCAAACTTCTGCTTTCAAATGTTCTTACAAGATGCACAATTGGCACTGACTTACAGGAAATATTTAATTGGAATCGGAAGGCGCTGGCTCCACGGGCCTGGTTTTATATTGTCTACAGGCTTCTGCTGAAATGATTTTGGTGTGTAAGCACCAGTCCGTCACTTATTTATATTTGCCAAGGGGGAGTAAAACCAAAACATAGCCCAAGGGTGTTTCTGGGGCACAAGTGCAATCTGCACAGGGTTAGGAAAAGAGTGGGGGAGAAAAATTGCCATGCAAAAATTCCTCTTAAAAAGGAGAAGGGCTGGGACTGAACTCAGAGTGACATATTTATGAGCTCAGTATCAGTTGCTTGAGCTGATAAGCACTGGTCATTAAAGGAAGGAAAAGTCACCTTTGTGTATATAAAATATACAAGATTCGTAGTCTGAAAAGACTGAACAGGAAAGCATTGGGTAAATAGCGGATATCCCTTAAAGTATAATGTGAAAATCAAATAACTTCAAGAAGGAAGAATGTAGGTGTTTCTTTGTAAGTGAGAGGTTGAGAAAACGAATGAGTCCTTAATTTGAAATCAACATTAACTGGCCTTCAGCCTTTTGTGGCTCAATTCTGAGAATGTAGGACAAAGAAATGCTTCCTTCCCAAAAAGCCCTTTGGTCCCTCTTTTATGTGTCCCCTGCCTGGACTCCACACTGGCTGAGAGGACAGGTTATAGAGTCAACTGCATGGAGGTCAGGCACTCAGATCTGCCTGTCACTGGCTCGGTGAGATTGGGCAAATTACTTGTTTCTTCAAGTTGTCTTCTTCTTTTTTAAAAAAACTATTTTATGTACATATTTATGTATTTGTTTGTTTGTTTTAGAGATAGAGTCTCACTCTGTCATCCAGGCTGATGTGCAGTAACATGATCATAGCTGACTGCAGCCTCAAACTTCTGGGCTTAATCGATCCTCCCACTTCAGCCTCCCAAGTAGCTGGGACTACAGGGGCATGCCACTGTGCCTGGTTCTCTATTTCTTTATTTGCAAAATATGGATAATAATGGTACTTGTCTCCTGAGATTGTGTGAGGATTACATTGTAAAGTGCACTTCCGCTGCCTGTCCCGGAGCCTGGTCTATAACAAGCATTCTGTAAAGATATGTTCTTTTTATCATTATACCCAAGACCACTGGTCTTCCCAGAGATTTCCAAACCCCAGAGGAGTTTTGCAATTATCCCAACAAAGTGTCAAGGAATGAATTCTTCCAATACCCTCAAAGAGGTTAATTTATTTTAACAACAATATGACAGTCTAGCGCACCTTGGTAGGTGAGGGTGGGAGTGCGGACAGAAGAAGAGCATTTCCTGGAAATCCTATAATGATTTCATTTTCTAATCCCCAAATGACCTTGGTCCATGGGGATGCTGGCCCTCCCTCCCTCACCCCAGGCCTTGGTTTTTTGCAGTCTTCATCTGTAGTGTCATCAGTGGCCCTTAGATTAGGCCTCCCAGGGTAGACAACAATACCCCCCCACCTCCTGTCTCCGTTCAGAGACCACTAACTCTTCCTTATCCCTTATTTCTACTTCCTCTCGGAACCTGCAGGATTCCGGTCTGATAAGCATATCTGCATTAGAAGCCAGACTTTGCATATCTCAGGATCCACCCTCACCCTTGGAATATTCACCTCCATAATCCACTAACTGGCCTGTCCCCATTCGGTCACAATTGTAGGTTCCTGCAAAATGATGGTTTATGACAAGTGTTCTTCCCTCAGGCTAGGTTAGAAAAGATTTTCTCCAGTAGAAAACAGACTAGAAAAATACCTTATTTTTGTAGAATGTTCTACCATGCAGGATAAACTTTTGTTCCTTTGCATCCACCATGTATACTGTTGGACATGCCCCTTCAGGAGCTCCTGCTTGTCAGGGAGCTGGCTGCATGGGTAAAAGTTAAAAGTTGCTCATGGAAGCCTCAATTTTCATTTCTTTTTTTAAAAATTGACATATAAGAGTTGTACTGGCTGGGCACAGTGGTTCACTCCTGTAATCCCAGCACTTTGGGAGGCCAAGGCGGGCCAGCTACTTGAACCCAGGAGTTTGAGACCATCCTGGGTAACATGGTGAAACTCCCTCTCTACAAAAAATTAGCTGAGTGTAGTGGCACACATTTGTGGTCCCAGCTACTTGGGAGGCTGAGGTGGGAGGATCACCTGAGTCTGGGAAGTCAAGGCTGCAGTGAGCTGTGATGACACCACTGCACGCCAGCCTGGCGAAAGAGTGAAGCTCTGGGCTCTGTCTCAAAAAAAAAAAAAAAAAGCACATGGGGGGCACATGTGATATTTTGATACCTGCATACAATGCATAATGAACATATTAAGGCAACTGGTATATCCATCTATCCATCACCTCAAACATTTATCTTTTCATTGTGTTGAGAATTTCCTAAAACCTCATTTTTCAGACTGATTAGAAATAGAAGTGTGGGTGCTCTCTCTCCACTTTTCCCTTCTCAAGCCTCTATGATCTTTTCCTCAGTAAAATACATTCCTAGTTTGATTTTAAGTCATTCCTAATAACCCCTGTCCTGGATTCACCTAAAATGAAAACCTCAGAGACATTGTAACGCCTCTCTCCATCTCACACCTCACAAATCCATCAGCAAATTCGAGTTTGCTTCTATTTATTTTCTGAACCCAACTACTCCTCATCCCTTGCAGCGTTCCTGATCTGGTCAAAGCCACCACTACCTCCTACCTGGTTTTCTGCAAGTCTCCTAACTGGGCTCCTGGCTTCTACTCTGTCCCTCTGGTGTCCATCTCCACACAGCAGCCAGAGTGATCCTTTTAAAACTTAGGTTAGGCCGGGCGCGGTGGCTCACGCCTGTAATCCCAGCACTTTGGGAGGCCAAGGCGGATCACCTGAGGTCAGGAGTTCGAGACCAACCTGGACAACATGGCAAAACCCCGTCTCTAGTAAAAATACAAAAATTAGCCAGGCATGGTGGTGCACTCCTGTAATCCCAGTTACTAGCGAGGCTGAGGCAGGAGAATGGCTTGAACCCAGGAGGTGGAGGTTGCAGTGAGCAGAGATCGTGCCATTGCACTCCAGCCTGAGCAACTAGAGTGAAACTCCATCTCAGAAAAATAAATAAATGAATAAATAAATAAATAAAAGTTAGGTCAGATCATGTCACTTCTCTGCTCAAAACCCTCCAATCCCCCGACCCCATCCTGAGAAAAGGTGCAGCCTCTACAAGGCCTGCAAGAAAAGGCTCTGTACCCTCCAGCCTCTCTCCCCTCATCTGTTGTGCTCCTCCTTGCTCGGTCCTTCTGCAGCCACACTGGTCTCCTCATGGTTCCTCCAATATGCCAAGCATAGCCCTACCCCAGGGCCTTTGCATGTTCTATCTGCCCTGGATGGTTCTGCCCCCAGGTAGCCATATGGCTCACTCCCTCACCTCCTTCAGCTCTTTCTTGGAATCTCACCTTCTTAATGAAGCCTCCTCAGACTGCCATATTTAAAATTGCAGCCCCTGCTCTCATATCCTCTATGTTCATTTCTTTATTTTTCGCCATATCATCTCCACCATTCAGTTGGTATTTAGTTGATCTTTGTTTTGTTGAGTTTAGATTTCATCACACTAGACCTCACTAGACTGTAAGCTCCACCAGGGTAGGGGTTTTGTCTGCTTTGTCCCAGCATCTCCAGTGCTTAGAACAATACCCAGTTCCAGTAGATGCTCTATTACATTTTATATTCAAGCTCAACAGATAAATGAATAAGATGGATGTGCTTCACAACTGAGTCACAGCTGATGTATTCATTCAATCAAGGGAGTAAGAACTGCTTAAATCCCATCTTCCACTGTTTATCAGCTGTATGACCTGTAACAAGACACAACCTCAGAGTCTCAGGTTCTGATGAGTAAAATGAGAATGACAACGGTTCCTACCTCATAAGATTGTGTGGCTAAATAAGTTTATAAAGGCCAGGTGCAGTGGCTCATGCCTGTAACCCCAGCCCTTTGAGAGGCCGAGGCAGGCGGATCACTTGAGGCCAGGAGTTTGAGACCAGCCTGGCCAACATGGTGAAACCCCATCTCTACTAAAAATGCAAAAATTAGCCAGGCGTGGTGGCACACGCCTGTAATACCAGCTACTCAGGAGGCTGAGGCAGGAGAATTGCTTGAATCCAGGAGGCAGAGGTTGCAGTGAGCTGAGATGATGCCACTGCACTCCAGAGTGAGACTCTGTCTTAAAAAAATAAAGTTTTAAAAAGTGCTTTGTCTAGCACTTCGATATGTGTTAGACGCATTGGTTAGTATTATTAGTATTATTGTTTTTGTTATTACTACTGTTGTTGTTATTCTCAGATATCATAATACCCCAAGTAAAACTCTTCAGCCACTGGGTAGAAGAAAAAAGAACATGGAATCGTTTTATAAGCAGCTACCACATAGGAGGGTGGCTGCAACCTAGGAATCTTTTGGATTTCTCATTAGAAGCTGCTGCATTCTAATACTGTAAAGTGCACCATTAATAACTTCCTTAGAGAAGCCAAAAAAGGGCATGGTAGGAAGTAGGAAAATATTTTCCAACCACTGCAGATTACAAAATAGACTCCCTGCATTCATCAAGTGTTTTCTTCCCCCAATGGGGTAATCTCAAGTACATGACACAAGATAAACACAGAGCCATGCTCCATGAAATTTATGAAAGGATGTTGTTTATTTTTATCACATTTATTGGACTTGAAAGATATCCTTTAGTTCTCAAATCAACATCGGCGTGCATGTTTAGTTCTGGGTTGCTGAGTGCTTTAACAAATAACAAAGGTCTGATCTTTCACCTCCTGAAATGCAGGCCACTCACATGCCAGAGGGCAGAGGTCTGAAGATGGTTTGGGTGGTTTTGTGCAGCAGCGATATGTTGAGGTTTTATAGCAGCTTTTTTGGGCAGTTTAAGGCAATCTGAAATTCTGAAAGATTCAGAAAATGGGAGTGGGGCTGGGCACTGTGGCTCATGCCTGTAATCCCAGCACTTTGGGAGGCTGAGGCAGGAGGATTGCTTGAAGTCAGGAGTTGGAGACCAGCCTGGGCAACATAGACAGATTCTCATCTCTGTAAAAAATAAAACAAAATAAATTAGCCAAGCATGGTGGCATGTGCCTGTAGTCCCAGCTACTCAGGAGGCTGACGTGGGAGGATTGCTTGAGCCCAGGAATTTGAGGCTGCAGTGAGCTATGATCACACCACTGCATTCCAGCCTGGGTGACAGAATGAGACCCCGACTCTCAAGAAAGAACGAAAAGAAAGAAAATTGGAGTGGTTATACCTGTCAGGAGAGTCAATCAACTCCAGTTAGGCTATTTGGATCCTCACACAGGCCTCTAATGAATGGTAACAGCTCAGTCCATACTTCAGAGCGATTTGGTGCTCTTGCCACTGCCTGTGCTAGGAGTGTCCAAGAAATAGCCCTCATCACCCCTTCCCTAACTGCCCCCTGACCTCCCCTCAGCCCTTCCCACCACTGCTGTTTTCCTTTCTGGAGAAGTCTGAGGAATGAAGAGGTCAAGGCTAGGATGATGAATGGACAGTCACGCACGTGTTCCCTCCAGCTCTGTGATTCTGCCTGGCAGTGCCAGTGTGTACTCACCCATTTCCCTATCTTGGGGTCCCTCTGCTCTGCTTCTGAGGTAAAAGGGGATCTGGGAATTTGGAGGAAGAAGCCTTCTCCATCTTTTATTCTTTACTATCCTCTTAATATCAAAAGTATCAAAATTATTTTAACTCCAAATAAAAGTAAAATTTGGATCTCTGATATTTTATCATTTTTGGATGAGAGAGAACTGTAAAGAATAAAAGATGGGGAAGTCTTCATGGCCTAACAACCCCTGTCCCCCTTTCATTTCAGAAACAGAGGAGAAGGACCCCGGGACAAGGAAATGCATAAGTGTGCACTGCCAGACAGAATCATGAGAAGTAGATCAATACTCTAGGAGGGCTCAAAATATTCTCCAAATCGTGGGCAGCAAGCATGCTGTGACTAAAGTACTGAGGGCTGAGTGGGGCAGCCCTAGGGACTTGATTTCTGAGGCTTGCCAGCTCAAAGAACTTCCGCTATTAGACAGGTAATTCTATAAGCTCCACACGCATCCCATAACATTTCCAATAAATGTCCTGCCCAAAAGATTTAGTCGAGGGCCAGGCCAGTATCCTCCTCCCTACTCTGCACTAAACACACACACACACACACACACACATGCACACACTGCACCCTCACTAGTATTATTAAGCCTCCCAATCAATTGCATATTCAAAAATCAACCTTGGCTGGGCACGGTGGCTCACATCTATAGTTCTAGCACTTTAGGAGTCCGAAGTAGGAGGATCACTTGAGCCCAGGAGCTTGAGACCAGCCTGGGCTACGTTGAGTGACCTTGTCTCTGCAAAAAATACAAAAATTAGCCGAGTATGATGGCACATGCCTGTAGTCCCAGCTACTTGGGAAGTTGAGGTGGGAGGATCACTCGAGTCCGGGAGTTCAAAGCTACAATGAGCTATGATTGCACCACTGTACTCCAGCCTGGGCAACAGAGTGAGACTCCATCTCAAAACAAACAAACAAACAAACAAAAACTAACCTTTCTGGACACTCACACCACAGTGTTAGTTGACACTGATGCCTATGGTCAGGTCCTCAGGAAAGCTGTTGCTCCCATTAAAATATCAATAGTAGGCAAAATACGCCCAGTCTGTTCCCAGAAAATTTTCCCTCTACAGTGGGATGAGAACCAGTTTCCATTTTTCCTTTTGGGTCACCTGCCCCCCAGTGCCCAGAATGATGAGAGGAGAACCGGTGGCCAGCAGAGAATCCTGAAGCCTGATTCTACCACTCCTTCGGAAGTGAGACCATAGCAAGGTGATAACCAAAGTTGGGAAAAGACACTCTTCATCATTGACCCTTCTAAGAAAAGGCGAGGTCCTTGAATTTTACCTGAAAGAAAAGATCACCCCAGAGGAGGAGGATAGTAAAATAGCATTCTTCACTGGTACAAGGAAGGCTTTCATTCCTCAGTGAAAGATGGTTCATGATTAAAACAACTTTGAAGACTGGTAAAAGGATGCTTGGAACTTCCTGACCAGGCTGAGAACACAATGACTTGAGGAACTATGTGAGGCAGGTTTTCTAACTCTCCCTTTTATTGATTTACTTTTTTGAGACAGAATCTCTCTCTGTCACCCAGGCTGGAGTGCAGTGGCACAATCTTTGCTCACTGCAACCTCCACCTCCCAGGTTCAAGCAATTCTCCTGCCTCAGCCTCCCAAGTAGCTGGGATTATAGGCATGCACCACCACACCCAGCTAATTTTAGGATTTTTAGTAGAGACAGGGTTTCACCATGTTGCCCGGCTGGTCTCGAACTCCTGATCTCAAGCGACCCACCCACCTTGGCCTCCCAAAGTGCTGGGATTACAGGCATGAGCCACTGCGCCCGGCCTCTTTCCCTTTTGTTTTCTAACATTCCTGGGCCCTATAACACTTTTGTTTCTTCTGAGAAGGGGTCTCACTATGTTGTCCAAGTGGGTACCAAACTCCTGGGCTCAAGAGATCTTCCCACCTCAGCCTCCCAAAGTATTGGGATTACAGGCGTGAGCCACTGTGCCTGGCCAGTGGAGCCTGCCACATATGGGGAATGTACCCTGCTGTGCTGCGGGGCGTATTAGACTCATTCAGCTGACTCGTGGTTCCACCTCGGGAAAGTCACTCAGGCGGCTCCAGCCTCAGCTTCCTCAGCTGTAAAACGGAGACACTGGGCTTGATGAGCTTTGAGATCCTTCCCAGTTTCCAAGTTTAGTGATTCTGGAAAGCAATGACTTCCCTGACTACTTTCTATCCTGCAGTAAGAGCATTGGAGTGGTAGCTGGTGTCCTTCTGAATCTAAAAGGTCTTCTCCAGAGTTTCATATCTGCCCATGAGTCAATGCTGAGCAAGAGTCAGTGCTGAGGCCAGGCGCGGTGTTTCACACCTGTAATTCCAGCACTTTGGGAGGCTGAGGCAGGCAGATCACCTGAGGTCAGGAGTTCGAGACCAGCCTGGCCAACATGGTAAAACCCCATCTTTACTAAAAACACAAAAATAAGCCAGGCGTGGTGGTGGTGCACACTTGTAATCCCACCTAACTGGGAGGCTGAGGCAGGAGAATCGCTTGAACCTGGGGTGGGGGCGGAAGTTGCAACGAGCCAGGATTGTGCCATTGCACTTCCAGCCTGGGTGAGAGAACGAGGTTCTGTCTCAAAAAAAAAAAAAAAAAAAAAAGAGTCACTGCTGAGGGGCCCACCCAGGAATCCCTCAGGGACAGAGGGGAACTTCCAGTGTATTCACAACCCCAGCCTGGAATGAGGATCCTGTGAGGTCCCCATGGTATCACTCCTGGTTTTATTAATTACAGAATCCCTGAGATTGGTCCTCCCTTGTCTAATAACTCAGTCATTTAATCACGCACTTGAAAAAAATTCCAAGTTCTTTACCCCAAAGCTGAATGTGAGAAGTAGCTATGGGTCAGAGGCAAAAGAACAAAGGACGCCCTCCCCCAGAGAGGAAATACAGAAAGGATTATCCTTTTTCAAAGGTGAAATAATGAAATGCTTTCCTTCCCCTGGACAGGCAATTTTATCAGGGCTCACTGCAAGGGGAACAAGATGCTACTGTCTTGACTTAATTGGCATAATATCTCCCCCTCCTCCAAATGATCAGTCAGACGGCTGCTAAACGCTTTTTGCTTAAGGATGAAATCCCTTTTGAACATTGCACCTTCCATCTGGCAACCACCCCAGAGCCTTCACAAGGCCTTGCTTTTGCTAACAACTCCCTCCTTCACTGAGCTGCGAGCTGCTGTTTCCAAGGGCTCTGGGGGATTCTCTCTGGCCCTGTTATCTTTGCCCCTCGCCTCCACCCAGCATGGGTATTAGACTTGTCAACAAGGGAGGCAGTCTCTACAAGGGAGGCAGTCCCTAGAAAAGTCATAAACTTGGAAACCAGAGGGAACATCTCTCTGGGTCTTCATGGAGACTCCACAGCTGTATAAAGGGGACCTGGGGGTAGAGACCCACTGGAGGGGAATATTGTGAGGAAAAGCCTAAACTTTTTGTCCCTTGGAGTGGAAGAAAGGGAAGAATTGAGCAATCGGTAAAGAGTTCTGCAGGTCAGAGCTTGCACGACCCGATTGATCTACCTCTTCCTTATTGTTCTTGTCAGACACCGGCCAGCTGTCCCCCCAGCCAACAAAGTCTGGCCGGCTCCACAAGGCAGGGCTGGGTGGGTGGCCACTGCTCTTATCTCCACCACCTTCTGGTGTGGAGAACGTGGAGGCAAGCTATCCAGACATCGTAGCTGCCTGCTTGTCCCTCCGGGAACCTCATTTCCAGAGGAATTTGAGAACAGAGAAACTTAAAAGTGATCTGGGGTGGGCGAAAAGGTGTAATCTCACAAGGAGAACAATAGAAAGTCCAAATGTCAGGCGGACAGATAGCAGAAGACACTTACATACAGAGCCCCATGCTGTTCCCTGCCCAATTCTGAGCTTTCTTGATAACTGAATCGGATGACTAATGGAGCTCCCACCTCACCCGCCCCCAAATCATGCATATTATTGAAGAAGACTCTTAGATCTCAGCTTAGAACTTCAACCCAATAACAAGTTAATAAATTACCAAAGGTCAAATTAAACTTACTCATTAGATACCCACCCATTCCCCACTATTATACCTTTTTCCCACCCATACACCCACACCATTCCATGAAAAAAAGAGAATTTAAATCTCTAGGATTTTTTGTTGTTTGCTTTTTTTAACCAGGACTTTCTGCACCAAAGCTTATCCAACCCAACTTGTCTACAATTGTGTCTCAGTACATGGGTTTCCATAGCCCCATTCCTGGTATGCATGAAACTCACAGAAAAGCCAGGGATCCAAATCACACTATTAAATTTCAACACGAATTACCACCAAAGAGACAACGGGCTTAAATGTCAAGAAACAAGAGGTTCCTAGCTGTTTTCTTCTTGTGGTGTTGGTTTTTTGGAAGGCTAGAAAGTTCAAAAGGACTTCGCCAAAAATAACTATACAAGTGAGAGGATTTCTAACATTATCTTCCCCTTTTTTAACTGGATAGCATCTTTCATTGGAACTGAATTTCAGACCGAGTCTGGTGGCTCACGCCTGTAATCCCAGCACTTTGGGAGGCCAAGGTGGGTGGATCACTTGAGTCCAGGAGTTCAAGACCAGCCTGGCCAACATGGTGAAACCTCATCTCTACTAAAAATACAAAAATTAGCCAGACATGGTGATGCACGCCTGTAATCCCAGCTAGTCGGGAGGCTGAGACAGGAGAATTGCTTGAATCCAGGAGGCGGAGGTTGCAGTGAGCCAAGATCATGCCACTGCACTCCAGCCTGGGTGACAGAGCAAGACTCCGTCTTGTGGGTGGTGGGAGGGTGCGAAGGGGTGAAGAACTGAATTTCACACACAATACTTCATATCTCCAGACACAAAATAAGATCAAAGAAAATTTTTAAATAACTCCAGAAAAGAAGCCAGTTTTCCTCAGTAGGTTGGAAGAATGTGATGAACTTTTATTTTTAAGTTTTAATTCTGGAACATAAGATTCCATCATAAGCTGTCCAGGATAAAAATCAGTGGTGTCGACCTGTGTATAAGTCAGTCTACCATATTGCTGGTGGTTTGGTCTAAAGGGATTATTACAAAAGCTCAAGTGCGTCAAAGAAAGGTTGTATAGAGTCATGCCCATCACAGCTGTCATACTCTTGATTGAAAAGGAGGCCTCATCCCTTGAAGCCTTCTCCAGCCTGTACGAGAATCTCAGAAAGTAGAGTGATGGTGACCTCATTATACGAAGTCCCCTGAACCAAGAATGACCAGCCTAAAGAGGCTTCCTGTTCCCCACCCCAGCACCAGCTAGCCCCCCATCCACATTTCAACGCAGAAACACACAAAGAGGCATCAACAGCCCTTAGGACTTTTGAGAAGCGATACAAAGTTAGAATGGAAATAGGTTTTAGTTGTAAAATACCAGCTTAGAGCTGAGCTTCATTTCATGGGAACCATGTTGTCCTTAGTCTTTCCCTGCTAGCATTCCTGGGGCCGGAGCATGGGGAAGAGTTAGTTTTCCCCGAGCCCAACCCCACTGAGAAAAGTGTTCACATCCATTCCAGACACAGCTCAAGTTGATAAAGCAGAGAAAATATCAAGCCTTCTCTCCTTTGACCACCATGAAGAATCCTCTTTGCAAACCTGTGTCTCTTATGCTCGAGTGTTGGGTATTGACCCATCTGACTAGTTCTCAGGCAGCAGAACTTCTGAGAGAAAAGAAAAAGAGCAGACTTAAGGGCAGAAGTGAAAGGTTTACCTTCAAAACCACAGAGCAAAGCTTCTCGGCCTTTCTGTATTACAATCCCCATTTTGAAAGTTCATTTCGCAGCCCCTCCCACAAAAAAAGATGTTAAAAAAAATTTTTTTTTCCACAAAAAGCACAGCTATTAGATCTGAGAACCAGAACCAGTTGTAAAATGGGGGCCTTAATGTTACCTGATAATAAAAAGGCAAACAGTGATGAGGTCCCCACGGCCACAAGGCTGCTGACTCCCCTTGGAATCATTTCCAGGACGAGGTAGAACAGCCTGCTACTGCTGGTGAGCAAATGAACAACTCAGCTGTTCTAGGCAACTGGTTATCCATTGTCTACCAGACATGGGGATGCTTCCTGATTATTGTCCAAAATTCTGAGTCATTCATATGTATGGGTCTTCCTATTGCCACTTACTTTTCTACTACGAAACAAACAAAAAAATTTCCATATATAATATAATAATATACAATATTAACATAATATGTTTTATATATTATAAGACATATAATATAGCATAATATATATCTTAAATAATATTAAAATATAACATATAATAATATGGTTGTATAGAGTCGTGCCCATCAAAGCTGTCATACTCCTGATTGAAAAGGAAGCCTCATCCCTTGAAACCTTCTCCAGCCTGTATGAGAATCTCAGAAAGTACAGTGATGATGACCTCATTATATGAAGTCCCCTGAACAAAGAATGACTGAGCCTAAAGAGGCTTCCCATATCCCCACAGCACTGTCTAGCCCCCCCATCCACATGCCAGTGCACAAACACACACAACCTGGTTGGCAAGTTCATATATAACATATATTATATGAGATATATATCATATCTTATATTACATGTTATATGTTATATATGATATTATAGATAATTTATATATTAGTAGTATTACTTATATAGATAGGATCTCACTATGTTGCCCAGGCTGTTCTCAGACTCCTGGCCTCAAATGACCCTCCTGCCTCAGCCTCTCAAAGTGCCGGGATTACAGGCATGAGCCACTGTGCCCAGCCTTTTAAAAAAAAAATGTTAAGACCAGCCTGACCAACATGACGAAACCCCATCTCTACTAAAGATACAAAAATTAGTTGGGTGTGGTGGCACATGAGTATAATTCCAGCTACTCAGGAGGCTGAGACAGGAGAATCGCTTGGACCCAGGAGACGGAGGTTGCGGTGAGCCGAGATCACGCCACTGCATTCCAGCCTGGGCAACAGAGCGAGACTCCGTCTCAAAAAAAAAAAAAAATTACAGAGACAGTAGATTTTTATTCTTTTCTTTTCTCTCTCTCTTGCCACCAGCACACTTTTCTAAGACCTAGGACACCTGGTTTATTCTGCTTCCTCTGCTTTTTTTATAAGCTCTGGCCTTGTGGCTGCACAGTCACAACTTGATTCTCCTTCTGCTTTTCCTTATAACAAGGATGTACTAGTTCCCCTAGTAGAGACCTAGAACTACCACTGACCTCTTTCCTCATGAAGTTAACACTTCTATTTGCTCAAACTATCTTCCAGGTTTTTTTTTTTTAATGCTTCTTTTATCATAGAAAATTGACTTATTAATCCTGGACATATTGCTACTGGTATTTAAGTGTTGTTCATCAAAAAAAGAAAAGTGGAGAGGGGGCAGGTGCTAAGAGAAGCTTTAATACCTAAGCACAGATTGCATATCAGCTGGTTTTTCTTCTCTCTAGCCACTGAGGGTTTTAACATCTTATTTCCAAAAATGAGTTCTTAAGAGAGGTTAACAGTAAAGTGTCAAATACTTTTGATGCTACTCTTAGTTGGCAACTTACATAATTAACCAAATATATTAGGAGAGTTTATAGCCAACATTTGTTACTTTGGTTATTTAACCAAAGACAATGGCTCTGGTCAAGATGAGGAGTCCGAGCCTGCAGCCTGGCTCCCTCTCAATTTGCTGTGAATTGGGCAATCCATTTAGCTTAGTAAGGTCTCTGTCTCTTCACGCAAAAACCTACCTTCTGTCTACTTACCCACAATTCAAGGCCATCACAAGATCAATAGAAGAGTGGTTGCAAAGCTGCTTGCAAGAAAGAATGGGAATCATTAATGCACCCATTCAATCAGATGCCATATGGACCTAGCACGTGTGTCAAGGGCCTAGCCCGGCATAAGGATTAGGAGATGGGATGAGACCTGGAGCCTTATTCTGCTTTTATCTATCTACATATCTGCTGCCCCCTCTAGACTATTTCCTGAGGGCAGATATTTTATGCGTTCATTCATTAATTTATTCATTGGCTTTTAACCAGCACTTTGAGAGGCTGAGGTGGGAGGATTGCTTGAACCCAGGAATTGAAGACCAGCCTGGGCAACATAGTGAGACCCCATCTCAAATTTTTTAAAAAAGCATGAGCAATTTACAAAATATTTTGAAATCTCTGGTCCCATTTTACATTGCCACAACCCGTTTTTCACGTGAAGAAATGAAAGCTTCTATAACTCTTCCGTCTGTCAGAGAGAACCGAGGCCCACAGCAGCGGCACATCTTTCCCAAGGTGACCCAGAAGCATAAAATCTGCAGGCCCACATTTCCAGAGAGTTGCTTAGCAACCTCCAATTGTCAAAAAATATATTCTCACAAGACGCATAGAGATAAGAAGGCAGTGTCTGTAAAGCCGCATAAGAGCAATCATGTAAGAGTTGTGGACTAAGCTGGAGATTTCCAGAATCAGCCATGTTCTCATACCCACAGCATCACCACAACCTAGCATGTACCATACGGAGCCAAACAAGGGAGGCTCTTAGTTACTGAGACATGTAAGAGGCACATTTCTCCATGACCCCTGAGGGAATTTATAGCCTGCTAATCCCAGCCCAGAGCATTCTTGGAAATGCCACCTGCTTATGCCAGCATTTCAGAGAAAGGAGCAGTAGGCCACAGCTACTGGTGAGAGAGCCGCAGAGTCATTTAGGGATGAGCGGTGCTGTGGGAACAGCGGGGCCTGCCAGGCACCCCCACACGGGAGGGTAGCTCTGACTGTGCTGTGCATAGGCCATTTATGCCATTTTCTTTGCAGAATCCCAGCCTTCTCCCCTCCTACTACTGCTTTCTGGTTTTCAGAGAAGGAAGAAGTCCCAGAGCAGACTTCTAAGCAGCAGGGGGACCAAAAAACCTCCTCACCGTTCCTTGCTGTTTGGGGAGTCAGTGGCCGCCCCTGCAGGCTGTTTCCCAGGACTTGTATCAATGGCTTCTGTCCAGATTTAGCAATGCCCAATGGTGGGAGATAGGGAGGAAAAGGAGGAACCTTTCTCCCCGCTCCATCACCACTGTAGAGGATGCATCTTGTCCAGGGCTCAAGCTCCTGAGAGATGGACCCACGGCGGTCCCAGCCTCTGCTAGGTGACCCCAGTGCCTACACCCAAGTAGTACAACCTCCTCCTCTGTCCCTCCAGCCTGCGTGGCAGTGGCTTCCTACGGCAGCCAACCTCTCTGTTGTCTCACTGTCCCATTTGGCTTCTCAACCATCCCTTCCCCCACATAACCAGTTCCTGGCATGGCAGCAGTCCCTCTGTTGGAAATACTCAGAGTGGGTCCTGTTTTACTTGGTTGGACAGTGACCCCGGCAGAAATAGTGGATACTATCCCAGTAGCCTTCTTTCCTGTTTTCAGGTCACAGGTCCAAAAGTAGGAAGAAATCAGTCTGGACTGAAAGAAACCACTTTGTGAATAAGGAGACCTCCCAGCGAAAATCAGCAGTGCAGCCGGCCACACGTCCTCCTGACTGGAGTGTTGAAAACAACACGAGGCTGTGGCACACCCTTGCCACGCTGAGCCACCGCACACATGGAGCCTCTTTATAACCTGCCTGCAAGGATTGGGCAACACTTGGCAAGAAACCCTGGAAAAATCAGCTGACTGTATGGAGACTTTCCTCAGCATTCAATGCCACGCAACCACCCCTGAAGTTCCCCTTGGGAAATCACCTTTGGCATCTTCAAAAGTGGCTGGGTCAGAGGTTGTTCAGAAAAAGCTCAATGTGAGCTCATGGAGGAGGCAGGGAGGCAGAGGATGTCAGGGAACCACTCGTGATGGCCAAGTATACTTCAGAGAAAGGAGCCAGGGATGGCCTCCATCAGTCTCTGGCTTTGCAGTCCCAAGAGCAAGACTTCAGAGAAGCAGGCATGGCCCATCCCTGGCCCAGCCACAATGGCTCTGGGCTGCACGACAGGAAGACAAGGGGAGTTCTATTCTGTGACTTCGACTCTCCCAGATTGTGGGGAGCAGCAAGTACAGGATCAAATGAGTTTCCCGTCAAGTAAAGTGCTCTGCTGACTGAAGATGTTTGACGCCAAGGCCCAGAGGGCACATTTGTCAAACTCTCAAAAAAATAGAAACCAGGATCAAAGCAGAAACACTTTCCAAATATAAACATTTGTCACCTACATTTACTTTTGATGTGCCCCATTTTGAATACATTTCTCCTTTATAAAAAGGGCAGCTTAATCTTTCCGTACACACACTCGGGCCCTTCAGACGGAGACCAGGGACAATTTGGGGTGGGGGGGGGGGGAAGTGAGAAAGGAAGTGCCAGCTAGGCGAAGTAAAGGTTTAGAGAAGGAAAAAAATCCCTCCAGAAGAGTGAAATGGGAAGAAAAAAGGAAACCAGCATTTATGGAGGCCCTGGAATTTTATATATTACCTCATATTTTCCCGCAAATTAACTCTGGAAAAAGGGCATCATTATTCTGATTTTGCAAAGCGTTTAAGTTGGTCACGTATCCAAGATAGCCCAAACTTGTAAGAGTACAGTCAGAATTTCCTCCCAGCTGTGTCTGACTCTGAAATCCTTGCTGTCCTCTGTAACAAACAGCCTCATCAGCTAAGAAAGGTAAGTGACCTCAGGTCAGTAGAAAGTCCATAGGGCACCCAGGGTCCAATCACACTCATGGCTATGCATGTTGAAGGTTCTAGAGCTGGAAGACACCTCTGTGGTCCTCAGATCCAGCTTCTCCCTGAGACCAGCTGCCCAATTCCAGAAGCACGGGGCTTTGATTCTACTTTTCTTCTTCTTCGCTTTTATTTTTTGAGGCAGGGTCCAGCTGTGTTGCCCAGGCTGGTGTGCAGTGGCATAATCATAGCTCACTGCAGCCTCAAACTCCTGGGCTCAAGGATCTTCCTGCCTGAGCCTCCTGAGTAGCTGGGACAGCAGGTGCGCACCACCATGCCCAGCTGATTTTGTAGAGATGAGGTCTCCCTATGTTGCTCAGGCTGGTCTCAAACTCCCGGCCTCAAGCAATCCTCCCACCTTGGCCTCCCAAAGTGTTGGAATTACAGGCATGAGCCATCACACCTGGCCTGATACTACTTTTATTTCTATTTATTTATTTATTTATTTAGAGATGGAGTTTTGCTCTTGTTGCCCAGGCTGGAGTGCAGTGGCACGATCTCAGCTCACTGCAACCTCCACCTCCCGGATTCAAGTGATTCTCCTGCCTCAGCCTCCAGAGTAGCTGGGATTATAGGCATGCGCCACCACGCCCAGCTAATTTTATATTTTTAGTAGAGATGGGGTTTCTCCACATTGGTCAGGCTGGTCTCAAACTCCCAACTTCAAGTGATCCACCCGCCTCCATAGTGCTGGGATTACAGTCGTGAGCCACTGCACCTGGCCTTTTATTTTATTATATAAATATAAATTTTTTCGAGACAGAGTCTCCCTCTGTTACCCAGGCTGGAGTGCAGTGGTGCAATCTTGGCTCACTGCAACCTCCACCTCCCAGGTTCAAGCGATTCTCCTCTCTCAGCCTCTCGAGTAGCTGGAATTACAGGCATGCACCACCAGATCCGGCTAATTTTTTGTATTTTTAGTAAAGACAGGGTTCCACTATGTTGGCTAGGCTGGTTTCAAACTCCTGGACTCAAGTGATCTGCCGGCCTCGGCCTCCCAAAGTGCTGGAATTATTGGAGTGAGCCACCGTGCCCAACCCTTACTTTTAAACCACGCAGCTCTGGCACAAGTTTCAACAAAACAGCACAAAAGATCGAGGTCTAGAAAACTAGCGTGTACCTGCCATCTATCTACGGCATGACATGTCCCTCATCTAAAATGCCTTCTCTTTACCTGTCCAAGCCATACTCACTGCTGGAGTCTCAAAGATTACCTTCTGTACAGTCTTTCAGAATATGTCGCACCCTGCCTCCTGACCTCTTTTGAACTCTATTGTCTTCTATGTGTTCCCAAATGGTTTCCATGGATTAGTCCCTATCCTTTAACAGGATTGTAAGTGCCCTGGAGAAATTAGAGCAAAGGGGAGAAATTTCAGCAAGGGATGTGGGCCGTTCTCCTCTCAGAACCAGGCTGTATGTTTGGAAGCCACTGGGGACTGAGCAAAGAGAGTAAGGAAGACGGAGCTGGGGAGGGCTCTGGCCACTCTAAGAGGTCCGTGCAGTTGCTGCCCACAGTGAGTGGCTTCTCCTACTGGCCTAGAAAAGGGAGAAGAGGGGCTGGGCATGGTGGCTCACATCTGTAATCCCAGCACTTTGGGAGGCCGAGGCAGGTGGTTCATGAGGTCAGGAGTTCAAGACCAGCCTGGCCAACATGATGAAACCCCATCTCTACTAAAAATACAAAAATTAGCTGGGTGTGGTGGTGCGTGCCTGTAGTCTCAGCTACTTGGGAGGCTGAGGCAGGAGAATTGCTTGAACCTGGGAGGCAGAGGTTGCAGTGAGCCAAGATCGTGCCACTACACTCCAGCCTGGGCAACAAAGTGAGAAAAAAAGAAGGGGGAGAAAGGGGTGCTAATGTTCTCTATCACAAATCATGAACCCTTGAAAGCCTCACTTCCTAAAAGAAAAACAGACAAAAAATTAGGACCTAGAGGGAGGAAGATGGAGCAGAGTTTGGGAGGGAGCTTCCCTCAACCTGTTACTCTGACAGGCACTGCTTTCTGCTTGTCCCCAGTGTGAAACCCTCCTGCCTTTGCTTCTGCCCAACTGGGAATCAGCCTTCCGATTCACTGAAAGGCCATCCCAGAGAGATTTACACTTCCCTAGCTGATCTATTCCTCTTGATGAGATTGTGAAATTCAGAGTTATAACATGAGGATCAGGTTTAATTTAGGAAATTTGGTCATTGTTGAGCGTGGTAAATCATCTTTCAAGCAAACACACTTACAGCCTTCAAGATAAAGTTCATTCCCCTGTGATGAGGTCGTTTCATGGAATGCCACGAGGTCCCCGGCAGGGTTTCAACGCCATTCAGTTACACTAGGTGAGACAGAGCTGCTTATAGCTGCTGGGATTTATGGGAACGTTGGCACCCAGGTGACGCGTTGGATAATCTTTAACAGAGGAAGACTGGCTGGTGCCTGCTCTTTGTTCCAACTCGACTTTCGTATTTGAGAACCCTTGTGATAGACTTTCTATTCACAGTTGCGTTTTGGGCTGTCACGGGCATGGCCTGGCGTGAGGTGCTGAGCAAACAAAGAACCCCCTGCCTGCATCTCCCTCCTGAAAGCTGGCAAGGCATGGACAGAATTCGCTCTCCACTGTACTATTTTGCAGAGGCAGCAGGGTGCCTTCTCCAACACATGTCATACCATCGCTTATTTTCTCAGGTAAAACATGATACATTTTGAGCTTCGAACACGTTTTACAAGTTTAGCTGCTGGTGTCACACAATGCATCTCTTGTCAAGGGCAGTCCATTTAGGAGGACATAAACTCACATACCCCCCCAAGCCATCACGCCCACATCCCAGGCAACTCGTTTAGACAATTTCTTGAAGATTGTTAACAGAGAAGGACTCAGGAGACAAGAAGTTGTCTTCATAACCAAGGGGAGACATTGGGAAACTGTCTGAGATGCCAAGTTCTTTGATTTGAAAGCTCTGAGTCTTTTTCTCCCCTGCACAAAAAATGCTTTGAGATACACAAAGGATATAACACAACTAGGCACTGAATGGCTAGACCAACCATTATTTTTCACCTGCACTGTACCTAATGCTAACTGTACTTTATCAATGGCCACAACATCCAACATGACTTTCATGCATTGGTTTTTTCCCAATGTGCCTCTGATGAAGATGAAGGTCTAGTCCCCGTGAGGCCAGCACTGGTCAGCACACTTTGATTAAGTTATCCAATTCTATTTGTCATATTAGTTAACCGGAAGTTCCTTGAGAGTGGGGACTGCATGTCTAGTACTACTCTGGCACCCACTCATAGGATGGGCTCAATGACTGCTTCATTAAAAATGATTGATGTGAAAGGCAAGTGCTGACCGGGCGCAGTGGCTTACGCCTGTAATCCCAGCACTTTGGAAGGCCGAGGTGGGTGGATCACCTGAGGTCAGGAGTTCAAGACCAGCCTGGCCAACATGGTGAAACCTCGTTTCTACTAAAAATACAAAAATTTAGCCAGGCATGGTGGTGGGCACCTGTAATCCCAGCTGAGGCTGAGGCAGGAGAATCACTTGAACCCGGGAAGCAGAGGTTGAAATAAGCCGAGATCATGCCACTGCACTCCGGCCTGGGCAACAAAAGTAAAACTCCATCTCAAAAAAAAAAGAAAGAAAGAAAGGCAAGTGTTTTGTTTTGTTTTGTTTTTTACAGATGCAAATGGCCACTGAGCATCACTTCATGCAACAAACATCTCTTAAACACTCACCCTTGGTTAAATACAGGGATGCAGAAATAAATCAGACACAGGCCAGGCGCACTGATTCACGCCTCTAATCCCAGCACTTTGGGAGGCCTAGGCGGGCAGATAACTTGAAGTCAGGAATTCGAGACCAAGCTGACCAACATGGCGAAACCCCATCTCTACTAAAAATACAAAATTTTCTACCAAACTGGTGTACTAATTAAAACCTCCTATGGCCCGGGTGTGGTGGGTTATGCCTGTAATCCCAGCACTTTGGGAGGCCGAGGCTGGCAGATCACCTGAGGTCAGGAGTTTGAGACCAGCCTGGCCAACATGGCAAAACCCCATCTCTACTAAAAATACAAAAATTAGCCGGGCATGGTGGCATGCACCTGTAATCCCAGCTACTCGGGAGGCCGAGGCAAGAGAATTGCTTGAACCCAGGAGGCGGAGGTTACAGTGAGCCGAGATTGAGCCACTGCATTCCAGCCTGGGCAACAGAGTAAAACTCTGTCTAAAAAAATAATAATAATAAATAAAGCCCAAAAACCAACAATAACAACAAAATAAAAACAAACAAATAAATAGGTAAGACCCAATCACTGCCTTCAAGAGCTCTATGGGTTGGGGGGCTGATGGGTGAGCAGCTAGGAAAGAATTGGTGCATTCAGTCCGTGCAAGGAGTAGGGAGCATGGCTGGGCATCCCCTCCCTGGAAGGAGAACGCGGCTGATTGACCACTGGGCCTCCTGGGCCTGCGGTAGCTCACGCTTCTCATAAAGGACACCCCAACAGCGTTAACAACTTCTGAGGCCGGAGCTGGTGCCAGTGGACAGAGCTTGTCAGCAGCCACAGAGCCAAGTGGAGCAGGGAGAAGTCTGACTGTGGAACGGAGCCTGAGCCCGTAGACCTGTGCCTTGCGCACAGAGAAAACTTGCCATTTCGCAGCACCGCCCCACACAACCGCTTGCCAATTGCTTTCCTATGGAGGCGGTGAGACCTTGGGGCAATGCAATGCAATGAACTGAATGCTTGTGTCTCCCCAAAGTTTGTATGTTGAAATCCTAATCCCCAATGTGATGGTATTAGGAAGTGGGACCTTTGGGAGGTGATTTGGTCATGAATGGGATCAGTGCCCTTACAAAAGGGGCCCAGTGGCTGGGAGCAGTGGCTAACGCCTGTAATCGTAGCACTTTGGGAGGCCGAGAGGGGCGGATTGCCTGAGCTCAGGAGCTCGAGACCAACCTGGGCAACACGGTGAAACTCGGTCTGTACTAAAATACAAAAAATCAGCCAGGCGTGGTGGCGGGCGCCTGTAATCCCAGCTGCAGCAGGAGAACCGCTTGAAACCAGAAGGCAGAGGATGCAGTGAGCCCAGGCCGCGCCACCGCACTCCAGCCTGGGTGACAGAGCAAGACTCCCTCTCAACAAAAAAAGAAAAGAAAAGGGGCCCAGAGAGTACTTCCTACCATGTGAGAATCCAGTGAGAAGGCGGCCAGATGTGGGCCAGGAAGCAGGCCCTCCCTAGACCCCGAATCTGCTGGCACCTTGATCTCAGATTTTCCAGTGGCCAGAACTGTGAGAAATAAATTTCTGTAGTTTGTAAGCCACCCAGTGTATGGGATAACTCTGTTAAATCAGCTGAAACTGACTAAGACAAAGGACTAGGGGTTGGGAGCAAAACCTCAAGGCACAGAAACCTCTCAAGGATCAACAAGAGTGAGAACCAGCATAGCCAAAATTCACTAAACATGGAACTAGATGCCCAGGACAATAATGACCTTCCCTGAATAACAGATTTTCTATTGGCAAACTGAAAATCTGTTATTTATTTATTTATTTATTTATTTATTTATTTATTTATTTATTTATTTTGAGATGGAGTTTCGCTCTTGTTGCCCAGTCTGGAATGCAGTGGCGCGATCTCGGCTAACTGCAACCTCCACCTCCCGGATTCAAGCGATTCTCCTGCCTCAGCCTCCAGAGTAGCTGGGATTACAGGCATGCGCCACCACGCCCAGCTAATTTTGTATTTTTAGTAGAGATGGGGTTTCTTCATGTTGGTCAGGCTGGTCTCAAAGAGAATAGAAGTCATTATGGAAGTAACTCAAGGATTTCTTCCCTAGGAAGGTGTTTTTTTTTTCTTTTTTCTTTTTTTTTTTTTTTTTGAGACAGAGTCTCTCTCTGTCACCCAGACTGGAGTGCAGTGGTGCCATCTTGGCTCACTGCAACCTCTGCTTCCTGGGTTGAAGCAATTCTCCTGCCTCAGGCTCCCGAGTAGCTGGGACTACAGGCACCCGCTACCATGCCTGGCCAATTTTTGTATTTTTAGTAGAGACGGGGTTTTGCCATGTTGGCCAGGCTGGTCTCGAATTCCTGACCTCAGGTGATCTGCCAGACTCGGCCTCCCAAAGTGCTGGGATTACAGGCATAAACCACCACACCCGGCCCATAGGAGGTTTTAATTAGGACACCAGTTTGGTAGAAAAATAAGTGTATTTCTTATGTGTCATATAGGACACAGGTGGGTCCTGAAATGTCGTGAGATGAGGCTTCGTGCCTTCTCAAATCATACCTGCCTGGATTCAGTGCTCTTATGTGTAAAATGAAGGATTGAACCAGGTGATCTCTGAGGTTTCACATTTCATCTATTAGCTTCTCTGCCCTGACAAATCATTTCCCCAAAACCCTCTATCAGCAAAGCCCAACACTGGCTTTTCATTCAACCACTATTTATCTTCATCACCAAAGGCCTTTCTCAAAGAAAGAAAACTCCTTAGGAAAGAAAAAGTAAGGAAAAAGAAAAAAGACTCAATAATCTCCTTACCCAGATATTTATTCATCACGATGTCTTAGGTTTAGAGTGATTTTCTTGTTATATTTAGATTACAATCAAACTGTAAAAGAGCTGTTATCTCCCTGTTCCTGCATTTTTTACTTTAAGCTCTGAGACCTTTGTCCTCCTATATTAGAGAAGCTGTAAATACTACAAGGGAATGTTTACATTTTAAAAATCCATTTTCCTGGATCATTTGTAAAAGAAAAAAAAAATCTCTGTACTAACACACCAATTCATCTTGACTTTGTAAAAACCGTTTCCCACAGCAATTACATTTTGCACAAAGCCACCTTCCCTTCAGCAACATTCCGTTTCTCCCAGCTTTTGTTGTAGTTTCACACTATGTCTCTCACTCAATCTTTCATTCTCTTCACCTTGACAAGTCCCTGATAGGGCTGAAAGTGCTATCCAAGTGGCCAAGGAAAAAGACAGGCAGAACTTGCTCTTGTAAACGTGAGACAGACCTTGTGAAAGGTGTGGAGCTTGGGAATTTGTTGTGTTCTGAATTTGAAATCAGTGTTAGTGAGGGATTTCTGTTTAGCCTTTCAGAAAAAATGGGCTTGGGAGTCCTTTCTAAAAGTTAGAAAAATCCTAATCTAGTTCTCAGGAAACCAAATAGCAGCTCTCAGTTGGTCACTGAGAAAGCAAACACCTTGCCAGAAAACCCTTTGATGACCAGCAAAAGGTCAAGAGAAAGACAAGCAGAGGTAATCCACAGGAGATGTCTGGCAAGAGAGTCTGGGGGGATTTCAGCCATCCCCAGAACAGACTTGTGGAGGGCTGCACCCATGCTCCACACGTGCACACGAGTCCAGTGGGGAACACTCCAACGACTCAAATCAGAACATCAGACAATATGGCCAGGCACGGTGACTCATGCCTGTAATCCCAGCACTTCAGAACACCAAGCGGGGATGGATCACCTGAGGTCAGGAGTTCGAGACCAGCCTGGCCAACAGTCAAAACCCCATCTCTACTAAAAATACAAAAATTAGCCGGGCATGGTGGTACATGCCTGTAGTCCCAGCTACTCCAGAGACTGAGGCAGGAGAATCGCTTGAACCCAGGAGGCAGAGATTACAGTGAGCCGAGATTGTGCCACTGCCCTCCAGCCTGGGCAACAGAGCAAGTCTCTGTCAAAAAAAACAAAAACAACAACAACAACAAAAAAAAAAAACAGCCAACGTGTGTTCAGGTAGAGCATTGACCTTGGCAGGAAGAGCCACACACAATTCACATGAGGTGAGTGGAGAGTGGAGGCAGGGCGGTGGCGAAGTCATCGTGATTGGTGACCAAACAACTCAGATCTTCACGTCTGAGGTGGACTCTGGAGAAGATGTTTCTCATCCACTGTAGGCGCCGCTGGAAGGATTTGCAGGGTGGCACTCTGTGTTCTTACTGGAGGTTCCCTTCATTCTGAAGTCACTTCTCAAACTTCTGTAGGTGTTGTGCCTTACAGAGCCTTGATAGGTCAAAATAAATACCATTACCCATATCCAGAAAAAACATGTGTGCAGTTCACACTGCCAAGACCACATTCAACAACACGCAATTCAGTCAACTACATTGTTGCACACAACCATATGAAAAGCACTGTTCTTAGAAAGAAGGGCTTGGGGGGGATAGTAAAAGAAACAAGATTTGGTTGGGCGCGGTGGCTCATACCTGTAATCCCAGCTGTTTTGGAGGCCAAGGCAGGCAGATCACGAGGTCAGGAGATCGAGACCATCCTGGCTAACACAGTGAAACCCCATCTCTACTAAAAATACAAAAAAAATTAGCCGGGCGTGGTGGTGGGTGCCTGTAGTCCCAGCTGCTCGGGAGGCTGAGGCAGGAGAATGGCATGAACCCGGGAGGCAGAGCTTTCAGTGAGCCAAGATCATGCCACTGCATTCCAGCCTGGGCAACAGAGCAAGACTCTGAGAAAGAAAGAGGAAGAAAGAAAGAATGAGAGAGAGAGAGAAGGAAAGAAGGAAAGAAAGAAAGAAAGAAAGAAAGAAAGAAAGAGAGAGAAAGAAAGAAAGAAGGAAGGAAGGAAGGAAAGAAAGAAAAAGAAAGAAAGAAAGAAAGAAAGAAAGAAAGAAAGAAAGAAAGAAAGAAAGAAAGGAAGGAAGGAAGGAAGAAAGAAAGAAAGAAAAATTCATCTCCTCCCCTCATATAAGAACCAAATAATTATAGTAGCATATGGAGTGGCCAGGCGTGGTGGCTCACGCTATAATCCCAGCAGTTTGGGAGGCCGAGGTAGGTGAATCACCTGAGGTCAGGAGCTTGAGACCAGCCTGGCCAACATGGTGAAACCCTGTCTCTACTAAAAATACAAAAATTAGCCAGGCATGGTGGCACGTGCCTGTAGTCCCAGCTACTCGGGAGGCTAAGACGAGAGAATCGCTTGAATCCGGGAGGCAGAAGTTGCAGTGAGCCGAGATTGCACCATTGCACTCAAGGCTGGGCAACAAAAAAGAAACTCTGTCTCAAAAAAAAAAAGAAGAAAAAAAAATAGCATACGGAGTGAGAGGATGGATAAGTGAACCTGGCACATATTTGGTGCTCAATAGATGTTTACTGAGTGAAGAATAATTAAATGGCAAGAAAATAGTTATCTTAGAAGAACAAATGAGAAGGGAATCATTTCTGGCTGGGGACACCCAGGAGTTGACATTTGAATTTGACCTTGAACAGTGGGTAGGATGCTTTTGGTGATGAGAAACCCATTCTAGGTAAGGGAGGAATGCCAGGAAAGAGTAGGGACTTAAGAATGTGCGAGTATGCCGGGCGCGGTGGCTCCTGCCTGTAATCCCAGCACTTTGGGAAGTTGAGGCGGACAGATCATCTGAGTTCAGGAGTTCGAGACCAGCCTGACCAACATGGTGAAACCCCATCTCTCCTAAAAATACAAAATTACCCAGGCGTGGTGGCACATGCCTGTAATCCCAGCTACCTGGGAGGCTGAGGCAGGAGAATCGCCTGAACCTGGGAGGCAAAGGTTGCAGTGAGCCAAGATAGGGCCATTGCACTCTAGCCTGGATGACAGAGCAAAACTCCATCTCAAAAAAATAAAAAAAAAAAAGAATGTGCAAGTTTATAGCAGAAGGGCTGGTGGCCTATTGGGATGGAAAATTTAAAGACAAGCAGTAGGAATCAGTTGGGATTATGACAGGCAGCTTTGGGTTTGAAAAAGGAAGTTCCAGATGTCAAAGCAGTTTAGACTGAGGGGAGGCTTTTAACTTTTTAGGATAACATCTGTAAGTTTCAATATATGGAAAAGATATCTGCACTCCCATCTTTATCGCAGCACTATTCACAATAGCTAAAATATAGAATCAATCTAAGTATCCATCAATGGATGAGTGAATAAAGAAAAGGTGATGTATACACAATGGAATATTATTCAGCAATGAAAAAGAATGAGATCCTGTCATTTGCAGCAACAGGCATGGAACTGGAAGTCACTGTGTTGTGAAATAAGCCAAGCATGGATAAGCAAATATCACATGTTCTCACTCATATTTGGGAGCTAAAAACATAAATCTCATGAAGTTAGAGAATAGACTGGTGGTTACTGGAGGCTGAAAGGGGAGGAGGTGGGGGGATGAAGAGAGGTTGATTAATGGGTACAAATATACAGTTTGATAGAAGAAATAAGACCTGGTGTTTGATAGATCAGTAAGGTGACTATGGTTTACAATAATCTGTTGTATATTTTGAAATAGCTAGAAGGGAATAAAGCAAATGTTTTAGCATAAAGAAAAGTATTCAAGGTGATGAATATCCCAATTACACTGATTTGATCTTTGTGAATTCTATGAATGTATTAAGTTATCATATGTACTCCCCAAAATAGGTACATCTATTATGTATCAATAAAAAAATTTAAAACAAAACTTATGAGGTCCATCAATTGATCAATCTATTTGCAAAGCAGTGTTCAGTTCATGGCTTTTGTATTCTCATCTATGTTGGCCTGAACCACTTCAAGTGCATTCGTAGGCCCACAAAACAATCTTGTAATTAATATTTGAGCCAAACTAGACCTACTGCAGCTGGTGCAGCCCACCTCATGAAGGGTGAATTATCAGGGCAAAAGAGGAAAGGTGCCCAGCATGGAGGAGGAAAGGATGGATTCAACTCCTGGACAACCCAGGAGAATCCAGAAGCAGCTGAGGTTTCCATTGAATTCAATATAACTAATAGTTACTAAGAACAATGCTGTGGTCATTTTGGTCTATGCTATAGACATCCTTCAGAGGCAGACAGTCTACTAGGGGACGTACATCACCAATAACCATAAAGAGCTCCCATGAGGGGCCAGTCTCAGTGGTTCATGTCTGTAATCCCAGGTGTCAGCCTGGGCAACGTGGCAAGACCTCATCTCTACAAAAAAATTTAAAAATTAGCTGGGCATGTTGGCACATGCCTGTAGTCCCAGCTACTTGGGAGGCTGAGGTGGGAGGGTCGCTTGAGCCCAGGAGGTAGACGTTGCAGTGAGCTATAATGGCACCACTGCACTCCAGCCTGGGCAACAGAGCAAGATTCTTTCACAAAACAAACAACAACAACAACAACAAAACCCCGCAAAACTCCCAGATGATTCTACAGCACAGCCTGGGTTGGTAGCTACTTCTATAGAGCAGGAGCTGACTGGGGACTTTTGGGGAGGAATGAGCTGTACCATTTGGAAATTTAGGTCATAGGAGGTGGGCAAGGAGAGGCAGAACCTGCAGAATTGGGGGACACCTAGGAGTTAGCAGGCCTTGGTGCCTGTGATTCAGTCCACAAGTACTGAAGGCCTTGTTCTCCTTAAATGAATCTCCCTGCTGTTTAGGACAGGCAACAAAAAAGAAGCAGTTTTACACATCTTAAACCTAGAGAGAGTCCTATGTTGGGATTGCGTAGGGCATTTCACCACTTTCTCTAATAAATCCTTCCAACCAGCACTCATAGATAATAAGGAGAGTAGAGAGAAGGCAAAGGTTTCATTTTATCTTAGCAAGAGGAGAAATAGCATGAATTAGAGGAAAGCTGGGGAGATGGGTATCTTAAAAAACATTTTTTCCTCTGATCCACCACCCTAGCAACCTTCCACCAACAAATAATACATGACAGAGCATATATCCTCTCTTTGGAGTGGCTGTTAATCAATATTCTAGAGGAACCAGTTAATTTCTCTGATATTAAAGGCCAACCATTCAAATTATATCAGGCTTAACTTGTAAGCCACAGACTGTACAAAGCAGGTAAGTCTCCATTTAGTAAAATGTATTGCGCATCTGTCCTGGGTGCCCCCGCACCATGCTCTAGGGGCTTGAGAACACAGGGCTGAGCAAGTCTTGGCCCTGCTCCCAAGGCCATCCAGTAGAGGAGACAGCTTCTCATGGGATAAGGACTGGGATTGTGGTAGCACACGGTTTTTGGTGGGACACACAGGAGACACATCCCAGCTGGGCCAGGGTGACTAGGTAGCCAGACAAATGGTGGTGGGTGGGCTGGAGGGTCAGGGCTTATTCATTCCAGGCAGAGGAGGCAGCAAGAGCCAAAGCATAGGAAACCTGACCGAGGATGGAGGGAGTGACCTATTTCAGTTACTTGTGATGGAACTGAGAATTCCAAGGATGAGTTCATTTTTGAAATGAGACTGGAGATGCAAGGCACATGAAGGCAGGGGCCTCAGGGCCATGTTGAATGAGAACTGTGGTCTTGATGCTAAGAGCCAAGGGTGGTTTCACAGAGCAGGGAAATGACGTCATCAGATCTGAAGACTACTCCAGCAGCTGAGTGAAGAGAACGTGGCAAGTTTCAAAAATATTAAGAACAAGGAAGGTGCCATAGAGGGATAGAAGCCCATGAAAGAGACAGAGGAGCACCTGGGGAAGCAGGAAGAAAACCCTAGAAGTGAAGGGAAGAATGCTCAAACGTGAAATCCAAGAAGCTAGGGACTGAAAAGTGTCTGCTCAGCTCAAATTTCTCTGGAGCAGACTATAGGTGACCTTGGCCAGACCTTGGCCCACAGAGTGGTGGGATCAAGCCAGATTCCAGCGGTTTGAGGTATAAATGGAAGTGAGGGAACAGGGTTGAATGTAAACAACTCTTGCCCCAAGCAGGGCAATTAAAGAGAGTAGAGAGATAGCTTGATGGCTTATGGTAAGGGCCAAATGAGATAATGCATGCACAAGGACCTGGTGACTGGTGCTCTAGGACACTTACTCATGATTATTAGAGCATGAAGTCCTATCCACATCCCCGCCACCAGAAGCTAGAGTCCTAAGTGCCAAGGAGGGCTTCCTGCCTGCCATACACCAGCTCCTTTATTCTACACTACTTCTGTGTGAGATAGGGATTATCACTCCACTTTATAGATGACAAAATTAAAGCTCAGGGAGGCAATTTGCCCTGGGTCATTACCAAGCCACAGAATGGGGATTAAACCAGACATCAGTCTTTGTGGTCTGTCTTCTTTTCAATATGTGACACTGTCCCTTTGTGTTCTTTAAATAGAGGTTCCTGGAAGATGGGCAAGGTTTTCCAGCAACCCGAGTCATGGCTTGCCAATGGTGAAGTGTGGCCAGTATGGGTCTGAGTTTGAACACTTCTTGGTTGAAGTGTGGTGGAGCCCACAGCAGCGCTTTGCTCTGGTTATGCTGTTGGAGGCATCTTCAAATATGAGTCTCCCAAGTGATGTGGCTACAGTAACTAGACTGTTTCCTCACTCTCCACTCCCTGGGTTCAAATCCTGCCCTCATCACTTATCACCTGCAAGCTTTAATTTTCAAGTCAGGGGAAAAAAATAAAGAGAATAAAATAAATCTAGAGTTTATACAGAGATAATTTAATCATCAGTCACATGGGGGAATGTTTATAAAGTACTTTGCCCAGTGCTGACACAATAAACACTGAGTAAATGGTGGCTATTAGCATTTATATTGTTCCTCCACCTCCTCCCCATTGCACATCTGCACTTGAACCCTAACCCAGGCTTACTCTCCAACAGCATAATCGACGGGGCAAAGTGCTGCTGCCGCAGGATTCAACATACCTCAGCTGAGAACTGTTGAAACTCGGACCCATGCTGGCCCAACCCCGTGGGTAATTTCAGGGAAGTCCCTTGACCAAAAGAGTCTCCTCCACCACTGGCAAAAGCCATGACCTGGGTCTTGAGAAACCTTGCCCATCTTCCAGGATCCCCTATTTAAATGCAAGTAGCCATAAGAAGGGTCTGTAGAAGGCAGGACATTGACCTCTGGCAAACAGAAAACAGGCAGAAGGCGGAAAGAAGAACCAACCGTGTCAGTGCTAATAATGTTAGAGCTTTGGCCCGGCGTGGTGGCTCATGCCTGTAATCCTAGCCCTTTGGGAGGCCGAGGCAGATGGATTGAGAACAGCCTGATCAACATGGTGAAACCTCATCTCTACTAAATACAAAAAAAATTAGCCAGGCATGGTGGTGCATGCCTGTAATCCCAGTTAGTAGAGAGGCTGTGGCGGAAGAATCACTTGAACCCGGGAGGTGGAGGTTGCAGTGAGCTGAGATTATACCACTGCACTCCTACCTGGGTGACAGAGCAAGACTCGGTCTCAAAAAATAAGTAAATAAATAAATACAGTGAAAAAAAATAATGTTAGGGCTTTGAGGTCACTGACCATAACCCTATGCTCCCCTCATTGAACCTCATTGTAATTCAGCACTGAGGCCACTCCAGAAAAATATGTAAAAATCAACAATTCCTCCCACTCTTTTCTATATCCCAGTCCCAGGAATGGACAAGGCCTTCCATTTCATGCATAACCTTCCAAATCTTTCTCTATACATACAAAAAAATTGCACATGAATGTTTGAGGATGATGCTGTTCAATTTTTCTCCAATTCACTTTCTTCACCACTTGATACCATAGACATCCTCCATGTCAGAAACCCAAATTGGCCAAGCATGCCATGGCAGCTCATACCTGCAATCCCAGCATTTTGGCAGGCCAAGGCAGGAGGATGGCTTGAGCCGAGAAGTTTGAGACAAGCCTAGGCAACAAAGCGAGACACTATCTCTACAAAAAAATAAAATAATTAGCTGGGCATGGTGGCTCGCGGCTGTAGTCCCAGCTACTTGGGAGGCTCAGGCAGGAGGATCTCCTGAGCCTATAGTGAGCTAGAATTGCACCACTGCACTCCAGCCTGGCCAACAAAGAAAGACCCTGTCTCTTAAAAAAAAAAAAAAAGAAAAAGAAAAGAAAAGAAATACAAATCTACTCTTCCCTTAATAACAGCTATATAGTTTTCTTTTTTTTTTTTTTGAGATGGAGTTTCGCTCTTGTCACCCAGGCTGGAGTGCAATGGCACGATCTCGGCTCCCTGCAACCTCCGCCTCCCAGGTTCAAGTGATTCTCCTGCCTCAGCCTCCCAAGTAGCTGGGATTACAGGCATGCACCAACACGCCTGGCTAATTTTGCGTTTTTAGTAGAGATGGGGTTTCACCATGTTGGTAAGGCTGGTCTCGAACTCCTGACTTCAGGTGATCCACCCGCCTCGGCCTCCCAAAGTGCTGGGATTACAGGCATGAGCCACTGTGCCCTGCCCAACAGCTATATAGTTTTCTGCGGTATCAATGTCGCTGGGCCTTTTAACCATTAGTTCCAGTATTTCATTTCCATAATATAGGGTCCTAGAAGTGGAAGCATTTGATCCAACTCATTTGTAAAAGCTGTTAGTTAATACAAAATCACCCTCTAAATATGCTTTCCTTTCCTTCCCAAGCCTGGAACACGAGGACTACATGGTATCCAGATACAATTGTAATCTAGCACAGTCTACGCAGGAAAGCAACTAAGCCAGACCCAAAAAAAAAAAATTACATTTTGTTGAGCTCACTTTGTTTAAAAAGGTACATAATACATATTAGGAAAGATTCCAATTCAAAATGACTCAGCAAACAATTTCTGAGCCCCTGTATTTTGCCACCTGCATTTGGTGAAGTTCTGGGGATAGGAAGACAAATAAGACATCACCCTGCTTGTTCACAGCCTGGAAGAAGAGGCAGAGACTGGGCACAGTAGGACGCTTGTGCAGGGCCTACGGAGAGTGGAAAGCCAGCCAGAAACATGGAGCAGATCTGGCTGGAAGAAACTTGGTGTGCACATGAGAAGGAAAGAGAGAGAGAGGGAAGAAGGTGCCAGATCTTGAAGGACTCTGAATGCCACACAAAGGGCTTTATACTTTTTCTCAGAAACTCTACAAAACTATTAAAACCCTTTAAGCTGGAGAATGACAGGCAGATTTTCATTTTAGAAAACTTGCTCTGGCTACAGGGTGGAGAATGGATTGAAAGGAAGCTGACTAGAGAAAAGGATGTAGGCTAAGTTGTCCCAGGGTTCCGCATATAGGGACTCAGCGTGGGTTTCTGAAGCCACATTGGAGAATGTTCAAGGCAGAAGGATGGTGTGGATTCTGTGCCTTATTCTACCTGGAGGTGAGGCCGGAGCAGGTAGAGATGTGGGGATAAAGAGGCATGGTGTCTCATGCCTGTAATCCCAGCATTTGGGGAGGCCGAGGTGGGAGGATCGCTTGAGCCCAAGAGTTCAAGACCAGCATGGGCAACATAGCAAGACCTTGTCTCTATTTAAAAAAAAAAAAGTTTCTTGAAGGTTACTGGAGAATAGACTGATTTTGCTAATGTCATGTACTGGTGAAGCCAGTTCAGGGAAGAGTTATAGGAGATCCCTCAGTCTGCTGAAAAGAAAGTATTGTAAGAACGTGACAGGGAGCACACACTAGGGATCCGCCCTGGGGTGAAGATGATCCCTAGGAGTCACAAGTCTGACTTGGCAATTGAGGCCCTGCAGGACATTTGCTCCCAAGGCCGTCTCTGTCCTGGGCCTTGTCTCCTGATCTAGCAGACGGCCCTCTCTGCTTTCCTTTACTCAGTTTATAACCTCTTTAGCAGGACACAGGGCCCGACATGCCCACAGTCTTTCTGAACGGGAAAAACAAAAACTACAGCAAAATGACAGCTGAAGTTTTTCAAAATAAGAGACCATGACTATGATTTAAAGGATTTGGGGAAAAGATGCATTATATTTAAACCCCACAGATTTCACTGTTACGTATATTTCAAAAATTTTTTCCAACATATCCCCGGAGACATTTCTTGTGTATTTTAAATGAGCCTGTGGACTTCCCTGTTTTCCAGAGACCCAACTCTGAAAAAACAGTGCCCTCAACTCACTTCAAGGAGACAATGGGCTTCTCAAAGAACCCAATACCTGGAGTTTTACCCCAATCCTGGTCAGAAACTTGTTTTCTGAGCCCAGGAATGAGCTCACCCTCCAGGGGTGTAATTCAGTATCGCGTCAACCAAGAGGGATCACAGGACACCCTCTGGGGTGGGCTGAGCACTTCCAGCATACTCCAGAGACTAACAGAGGCCAGCATTGTCGTTCCCCTCCCCCAAAAGGATCAATATGAGCCAGTCGGTGTAAACAGATCCTCCTCTGCACCAATGAAGCCACACAGGAACATCTAAAGGAGAGGTAACAACGCCACTTTGTGAAGCTGCTGGCATGGCGCCATCTTGCTTCTCTCTCCCTAGAGGGCAGGGCCATGGTGCCACCTGCATATTTGTGCAGTAAGCCTCACTACACATTTGGGAAACATCCACGAGCTATTTGAGTTGTTCGTGTGGGGCTGCAGATTCACCCCAGGCAGGAGCCAAAGCCCCTCACATAGTGGTACAAGTGCTATCTTTTCTCTCTACAGGGGCCAGAGATACTCTGTAATGTGGGTAGGGCAGGGTCTGGTCTCAGACAAATGAATGGAAGTGGGGGGGATACGGGCCGGCACTGTGTGTTCTTTTCCACCATACAAGTCTTGAGCCTCACACAAAGACCCTCCTTCAGGCGGCCAGTCTGTGCCAAGTCGGTTCTGTTTTCACACCTCTGTTTCGAGATAAGAGGTAATGCTTGGGAATCACATAACCGAGTTGCGAAATGAACCTGATCAGCTAAAATTGACTATTTTAGGTGCCAAAGTGGGAGCAAGCTTGGGAGGTGTTCAATGGGGCCCGTTTTCCTTCCTGCACACCCAAGAGCAGCACTTGCCTATAGGCCTCCGGTTGGCTGGCCCATTGGCTAAGGCTCAGAGAACTCAGGGACTTGTGCTCAGCCAAGTGCACTGACTTTCACTCACTGCCTCTTAGAAAGAACTGAGGTTAGCTGACACCAGGAAGCCCGCCTCCGACCCTCCCAACAGCCCAGGCAACTGCTCCGTTGGCAGGCAGCACCTGTCAGGAGCTCAGTTTCCCAGACCTTGGGGGTTTTAGGGGATGAAGGCTAAATGTTGAAGGGCCCTTGGATCTCTGGCCCCCTAAATATGACCAGCTGAGACACCCACAGCACAGAAAAGCAAAGTGCATAAGGATGCCATGCACTCCTGATCCATGCTTGATCCATTTCTTAAAAGGAGATGGGAGGACACCCATATTCAGATGTGTAAGCAGAAGCTGTAGGGAGGTCCACTCCTCGGAGTGGCTAATCATGATCATGTTGTTGCTGCTTCTGCTTCTTCTTCTTCTTCTTCTTCTTCTTCTTCTTCTTCTTCTTCTTCTTCTTCTTCTCCTTCTCCTTCTTCTCCTTCTTCCTCTTCCTCCTCCTCCTCCTCTTCCTCTTCTTCTCCTTCTCCTTCTCCTTCTCCTTCTTCCTCTTCCTCTTCCTCTTCCTCTTCTTCTTCTTCTTCTTCTTCTTCTTCTTCTTCTTCTTCTTCTTCTTTTCCTTCTTCTTCTTCTTTTTCAGACAGAGTCTGACTCTGTCACCCCGGCTGGAGTACAGTGGCACAATCTCAGCTCACTGCAACCTCTGCCTCCTGGACTCAAGCAATCCTCCCACCTCAGCCTCCCCAGTAGCTGGAACCACAGGTGTGTACCACCATGCCCAGCTAATTTTTGTATTTTTGGTAGACATGGGGCTTCAGCATGTTGCCCTTGGGGATTTTAGAGGATGAAGGCTAAGTGTTGAAGGGCGCTTGGATTCCTGGGCTCAAGTGATTCTCCTGCCTTGGCATCCTAAAGTGCTAGGATTATTGGCATGAACCATCACACCCAGGTATACTGCTTCTTTAATCTGTCCTGGCTACAGCCCTGCTCAAGCTTTGTCTCCTTTGGGCACCATACCTGCCTGGCTCCTCTCCTAGCCAGCAGGCTTAGGAGGCTTCTAACCACCAGCCTCCTCCAAACAACGGCTAATTACAGTTCATCATTGAAATTGTCATGGTGTCAATCATCATCCCCACTACTCTCGTTGGCCTGGTATTGCTAACTTCAACTTCATAGACCTTGGGCTCAGAGTTGGCAGCCCACACATCCTCCACAATACCTTGCACAATGGAGATGTGTTGAATGAATGGATGGGAAACTGGGTGGATGAAGAAAGTCTTTCCTATCATTGACATTTAATGAGATTAAAGGCTAACTCCTCCACAGAGCTAAGCTGAATGTGGTTTCTCTGAGTTGGGAGGGGAGTAGGGGGCAGGGATAGGGAAGTGGGTTTCATGCTCCTTGCAAACAGTACTACTTGTGTATCAACAGGTAGGTGCCAACTAATGCCAAATTTGGATAGAAAACCTGATAGAGACTCAGGATGTATTCCAAAGGTTAATTGTAACTGATGGCTGCCACTCAGCAACAAGTAGAGACAAGTGGCAGAGCACCACCGCCTCGCCTTCTTTTCTCCCAGACTCCGTGACCTTGACTGTGGTGCTTTCCTGGGTAGAAGGCAGCTTTGCCAGGCTTATGTCACTCTCCCATGTCCTTATTCCCTCTTGCCTGGCAGAACTTGGTTCTCCTCTTGGTTATTCAACAAGCCTTTTAGGAAAGGGGACTACTTATCTTTATTATTATCAATATAATTGTTAAACCATGGACTTAATGTACTGAAAGATCCTGTCCACCAAACAAACTGTATTTTTTATTGTTTTTTAAATTAAAAAAAATTTTTAGAGATGGGGTCTTACTGTGTTGCCCAGGCTGGTTTGAACTCCTGGCCTCATGGCAATTCCCCTACTTCAGCTTCCCAAGTAGCTGGAACCATAGGCGGGAGCCACTGTGCCCAGTATAAACTGAATTTAAGTAATGCATCTTTGAAATCAGCATAGATGACCAGTGTCACCATATTGGGTAGATACAATTCAAGCCCAAAGCAAAGAACCTGAGTTTCGTTTCTTTTCTTTCTCTCTTTCTCTTTCTTTCTCTTTTTTTCTTTCTCTCTCTTTCTTTTTTCTTTCCTTCCTTCCTTCCTCCCTCCCTCCCTTCTCTTCCTTCCTTCCTTTCCCTTCTTCTTCCTTTCCCTTCCCTTCCCTTCTCCTTCCTTCCTTCCTCTCTTTCTTTCTTTCTTTCTCTCTTATTCTCTTTCTTTCTTTCTTTCTTTCTTTTCCTTCCTTCTTTCTAGACAGAGTCTCACTTATCACCCAGGGACTGGAGTGTAGTGGCATGATCTCAGCTCACTGCAACCTCCACCTCCCGGATTCAAGCGATTCTCCCACCTCAGCCTCCTGAGTAGCTGGGATTGCAGGTGTGCACCACCACCACCTGAGTAGCTGGGACTACGGGCACGTGCCACCATGCCCAGCTAATTTTTGTATTTTTAGTAGAGATGGGGTTTTGCCATGTTGGCGAGGCTGGTCTTGAACTCCTGACCTCAGGTGATCTGCCTGCCTCAGCCTCCCAAAGTGCTGGGATTATAGGCATGAGCCACTGCACCCAGCCCTGAGTTTCTATAACTCATGCATTCTTATTTCAGGTCAACGCATTAATTTTGTTTTGCCATTTGTAACATAAAAATGGCTTAGAGTGGTGCTCCCACCTCTGTCCCCCCAGCACTACCTGCAGATACCAAGTTAGAACTAAAAACCATATATCGCTCCTCCTACAGGAGTGAAATCAAGGGAGACTGCAGTATAGGAAAGATCATTTTCTCCTGGTTTTTCTGGGGTAAGAAAAGCCACTGGACTCAGAGACAGATCTCATGGAAAACCCATCTCTTCAGCTTCGGGGTTGACCAAAGCAAGTTTTTTCCTATATCAGACCACCTCTTCCCCACTCAACAAGAACCGAGCTGAAGACGGTCCCCTGGAGGTGTGCTCACTTCACTCTTGTGCCATCCTAAATGACCCTTCTTTGCCCACCTCATGTAGGAAGAATGTGTGCCTCAGGTGACAGCGGTTGCCATGGCAACATTTTATTTATTTATTTATTTCAGACAGGGTTGCTCTGTAACCCAGGCTGGAGTGCAGTGGCATGATCACGGCTCACTGCGGGCCTCAACCTCCTGGGCTCAAGTGATCCTCCCACCCCGCCCTCCCAAACTGTTGCGAATATAGGCCCGCGCCACCACGCCCAGGCACCGAGGCAACATTTAAGGCCCTCTGTTATCTGGCTCTAACCTACCTCCCAGAGGATCTTATCTCCTCCACCCACCCATCCATACTACTTATTTTGCAACCAATGGTCCAGGGGAAATCAGGGCCACAGCTGGGGGTAGGTGGGGTGGGGTGGAGGAGGTTCAGAATTTCCGGGGAGGGGTGGGTGTAGTTTGAAAAATATAGTATGATCATTTTATATGTGGAAAATGAAAGCAAACTCCTATTTTGGTCCAATATAAATTACAGGAAGAAAATTTTGATAACATCTTGGCTAATGGAGAGCCACTGAAAATAACCAGGGACCACCTCAGTTTGGGGGAGTAGAGCAGTGAGTGTGGAGGTGGGGGATGAGATGGCCATGTTTATCGGAAAGTGGGGCAAGGGCATAGCAGAGCGCCTGGAATCCCAGCTGCTTGGGAGCTTGAGGCAAGAAGATCACTTGAGGCCAGGAGTCTGAGACCAGACTGGGCAAAACCCCTGTAGAGAAGGACCCGTCAAGAAGGGAGGAAGGGAGGAAGAGGAGAAAGAAAAGGGAGGGAGGAAGGAAGGGAAAGAAGAAATGGGGCAAGGCTGGGCAACCCACAGACCTCTTTCTCTGGTGGACCCAGGACAGAGCCTTTGTATTCCTGTGTTGGGCTTCACTCCACCCCTCCACCCCTCTTACTTCTTCACCTCCATCAGCTCTCTGTTCAGAGACCTCTGACCCGGCTGGCTCTCAGCACGCATTTGCTTCCTGATATTCTCACCCCCACTGTTAAGGACGCCACTGCTACTTAAGCGTTCATAGTTGGGCTCCCTAACTTGACTTTCAGTTATTTAGTAGCTTAACAGCTGTAAAGGCTCCAGAGTAACAAAGCAAGCTCAGAACTTCTTTTTGTTTTTTGAGATAGAGTCTCGCTCTGTCACCCAGGCTGGAGTGCAGTGGCGCGATCTGCAACTTCACCTGCCGGGTTCAAGCGATTCTCCTGCCTCAGCCTCCTGAGTAGCTGAGACTACAGGCACACGACATCACTCCTGGCTAATTTTTTTGTATTTTTATTAGAGATGGGGTTTCACCATGTTGGCCAGGCTGGTCTCAAACTCCTGGCCTCAAGCGATCCTTCCACCTTGGTCTCTCAAAGTGCTAGGATTACAGGCGTGAGTCATTGCACCCAGCCACATGCTTTTTGAATACATGCTGGTGTATCTATATCAAATTCCTTGCTTCTAAACACTGGACAGAATTCCATAACTTACACCAACCAATGTTGGCTTATCTCTTCCGAGAGCATTTGACACCTCAGTTGCCTCTAATCCCCGCCACCACACGACACCCCAGTGCCCTTTCCATCCCTCTGGAAGTAGGCTCCATTCTTCCATGACTGTGCCAGGCAAGTTGCAACTGGAGACATGAGGTTGGGAGAACAGGCTGCCTTCTTCCCTCTGACACCTTGGATGGTGACAGGCAGGATCAGAACTGACCCACTAATGTATTTTGGCTTTGTGCCCTCAGAATCTGAGTCTCCAAGTATAGCTTCAGAAAGAATTTTTTTTTTTTTTTTGAGACGGAGTCTCATTCTGTCACCCAGGCTGGAGTGCAGTGGTGCGATTTCGGCTCACTGCAACCTCTGCCCTCTGAGTTCAAGCGATTCTCCTGCCTCAGCCTCCCAAGTAGCTGGGATTACAGGCGCCTGCCACCGCACCCAGCTAATTTTTTGTATTTTTAGTAGAGACGGGGTTTCACCATCTTGGCCAGGCTGGTCTTGAACTCCTGACCTCGTGATCTACCCGCCTCGACTTCCCAAAGTGCTGGGATTACAGGCATGAGCCACCACGCCCAGCCAGCTTCAGAAATAATTTTCTACAGCATGGTTTAGTTTTCTTTTTGTTTTTTTTGTTTTTTTTCTTGAGACGGAGTCTCGCTCTGTTGCCCAGGCTGGAGTGCAGTGGCGCAATGTCGGCTCACTGCAAGCTCCGCCTCCCAGGTTCACGCCATTCTCCTGCCTCAGCCTCCCGAGTAGCTGGGACTACAGGCGCCCACCACCACGCCCGGCTAATTTTTTTTTGTATTTTTAGTAGAGATGGGGTTTCACTGTGTTAGCCAGGATGGTCTCGATCTCCTGACCTTGTGATCCACCCGCCTCGGCCTCCCAAAGTCCTGGGATTACAGGCGTGAGCCACTGCGCCCGGCCTAGTTTTCTCTTTGTTATGCATATGAACCTGCCCCAGCTGTGCTGTTGAGAGCCATCAGAACTTAGAGGTTATGTTGGCAGATTCTGGAGACATGAGCTTGGGTTCAAATCTCAACTTCACTGCTTACCAGCTGTATTCAGTTTCTCTTTGTCTCAGTTTTCCCATCTGTAAAATGGGGATTGCAATAGTCATAATAACAGTACCCACCTCCAGGGTTGTTGCATTTAGAACAGTGCTTGGCAGTAATAAGCATTTAGTAAATGCTGGCTGTCACTGTTTAAACTACATATAAGGGCAGAGCCTGCAGAACCATACAAGCAATTTCTGACACTGTTCAAATAGAAAAGTTAAGACATTCAAAAGAAAAGAAAGAAAAACAGAAGATGTGTCTGGCTACACCAAAGTAATTCTCTTTGTAATCTCTAATGACAAGGCCTTTACAGGCCGATTGTGGTCTTCTAATTCCAAACACTTAAGTATAAACAACAGAACCCCAAAGAAATCTGTTCCCTTCCCTCTGTCTGGCTCTGAGAGTTTTACAACTAACAGTTCTGGCTCCAAGAAGACCCCATTCCCCTCGGCTTGTAAGGTGTTCTTGGCTGCCCCTGCAGATTTTCTACTTTGTCACTTTCCAATGCTGGAGCCCTGAGAGTTTAAGTTGGATTTGGGAGAGACAGGACCAGCCCTTGGGAGCTTGAAGGCTGATACTGGCTGCAGAGATCTCCTCTTTCATGTTGTGTGACTTGCGAGTGACTCAGTCCTGACAGCCTTGATTTGGGCTGTATTTAGGAGGCAGATCTGGTGGGGCTCAAGCCTGAAATTTATAGCTTGTTTGTCTTGGACCGTGCCATATTTTTCTCGCCTTGAAGATGAAAGGGTTACTATGCCACACACTTCCCTGTCTCCTGCATTTTGTAACATGTAAACTTCTGCAGTGTCCCTTTTATTTATCTGGAGAATTAACTTCTAAAGGTTATGCTCATCTCCCTAACCAGCCATAGTTGAGGGTCTTGAAATAGAAGACTCTAAATGGACAATTTGATGGCGTTCTGCAAAACTTCTTCATGCACACTCTCTCATGTTCTTCTCACCCCACGACTATTATTTGTACTCTAAACTCCACAGAAAGACCTTTGAGTGGACAAAGAATAGTCAGTCCTGCCATAAAGCTGTAAATTATTTAAGGGTTCGCCTCTTGTGTTTCTTTGATTCATCTACAGAGCCTAGCACAGTGCCTTGAACATGGTAGATACTCAAATATTTGTTCACTGATAAGATTCCAAGACTTAGATGGGAGTGAATGGACAACACTGTCTAAGGAAACATGAATGGTTTTAATTCTCCTTATCAGGAATAGTCAAAATGCTAATTTATACCAAAATATTTAAATACAAAACTTGCAGTATCTGTGAAATATTTTATAAGCTTTGGAATCTGCCTATTGAGGTGAACTTATTGATTTGTTCATTGACAAACACTTACCAAGTGCCCATATGTGTCAGGCACTATTCTGGGCATTAGAGAAGCAAAGAGGGAGGCAGTCCCTGCCCTTGAGTTCACAAACTTAGAGGGGAGACTGGCAGGCAAGCAAGCTGCTGAAATATTCTAAGGTAAGCTCTTTGGCAAGGTGTGAGGAAATGTACAGTAGAGAGTGCAGCTGAGGTCCGGAGGCTCAGAAGCAGATCACAGGTGGAGCTGGCGTCATGTGGATCCAGAACTACTTAGGGTCATCCTATGAGCTGGGGTTGAGAAGTGGGTCCACAGTGGGCAGACCTTAGCCGGCAGGAGGCCTCAGAGAAGCCACGGAAACAGGAAATTTCCATCTATTCTTTTTTTTTTTTTTGAGAGAGGGTGTTGCTCTGTTGCTCAGCCTGCAGTGCAGTGGCAAAATCATGGCTCACTGCAGCTTCAACACCTGGGCTCAAGTGCGAGCCATGTTCAATTTTTTTTGGTAGAGACAGGGTCTCGCTATGTTGCCCAGGCTGGTCTCCAACTCTAGGCCTCAAGCAATTTTCCAGCCTTGACTTCCCAAAGTGCTGGGATTACGGGCGTGAGCCACCACACCCAGCCTATTCTTTTTTAAATCATGATGATAACACTAAAATTACAGATTTGCTGGGAGAATTAAAATTGCAGTTTGAAAATTATAAAGCACACACAAATAAGTTGTCAGAAAAAGAAGTATGAGGCGAGTGTGGTGCCACACACCTGTAATCCCAGCTACTCAGGAGGCTGAGGTGGGAGGATCGCTTGAGCCCAGGAGTTTAATGCTGTAGTGAGTCATGATGGAGCCCCTGCATTCCAGAGCCTGGGTGACAGAGCAAGACCCCGGCTCAAAAAAAATAAAACAAGAAGGATGCTCACAGGACAGGCCGCAGAGAACTGTCACAAGAATACATTTATTTTGTGGCTGTGAGGGTGCTTCAACATTATGAGGGGCTACACAGATGTCTGTACCACTGTAAAATTAATTAACACCCTACCTCCTCAAATTCTCCAAGGTTAAAACCAAAACTGGAAGATGAAAAACTAGACATCCCTTTCAAAATCCCTTACTATCATACAGGAGAACTTGACCCAGAGTTGGGCCAAATCTGAAGGCAGAGGTTTGGATGTGGCCATTTGATAATAGACAACAGCACTGTTTAATATATTTAATCTGCTCAATCTAGGAGAACAGAAGTCAAAAGAACTCCTCTAAATGCTAATCAAATTGAGTGGAATTCCGGCCGGGTGCTGTGGCTCAAGCCTGTAATCCCAGCACTTTGGGAGGCCTAGGCAGGCAGATCACCCGAGGTCAGGAGTTGAGACCAGCTTGGCCAACATGGTGAAACCCCGTCTCTACTAAAAATACAAAAAAAAAAAAAAAAATCAGCCAGGCATGGTGGCACGTGCCTGTAACCCCAGCTACTCTGGAGGCTGAGGCGGGAGAATCACTTGAACCTGGGAGACAGAAGTTACAGTGAGCCAAGATCATGCCACTGCACTCCAGCCTAGGTGACAGAGTAAAACTCCATCAAAAAAAAAAAAAAAGATTGAGTGGAATTTCATTTGACACAGTTCAATTATTTGGAACTAGCAGTAATCTACAAAAACAAAACAAGAGAGCAAAGCAGAAAACAGCTTTAGCTATCAAGCCCATAGTTTCTACTGCAAGTCCAAATGACACGTGTTCTTCCTCTGGACTGAGACTGAAAGAGTCTTTGTGTCCTGCCCTAACTTAGGTTTTTCTTGTTGAAACATCAAGGGAGGCCACACCTAAAGAGATTCTTTATTTATGTTCCTTCAGTATTATGACTGAAGAAATGAGCCCCTTAAAAGCAGGTCAGTTACACAGCCAGCCATGAATAGAGAAACCTAAAATACAAGCATGAGAGCCAGTGAATTGTTTGTGCTCTCCACCCTCTTCGGTTAAAAAAAAAAAAAAGTAAAGGATGAAGGGAAATGGGCTTAAATTTAATCAAATGAGTTTGCTAACATATCCCTCTTTTTTCCATTTCCTAATCCTTTTATAAATTCCATTGAGATGGGATTTGCTTTAAGACTGATTATGTGACTGAAAATCAGCATAATAACAAGATATTTGTTGAAAGGGAATTTCTTATCTCGGCTCTGTTTGGTTTCCTTTGTGGTAGTGAATGGATGGATGACCTGGCTGAAACCAGTTCCATCTGAGGTCTTCCCCAAACATCTCAGAGGTAAAGAGGATCTTCAAGGTAACCTCTCCATTTTTACTTTCTTTTTTCAATTTTTTTCTTGCCTGTAAACATTATATCATAAGATTCATTTTTAAATGAGGAAACCAGGACCCAAAAGAAGGCAGATAATTTTCCCAGTGACTCCGGGGCAAAACCAAAAATGGGACTCTTGACGAAAGAAGTTTTTGGATATGGAAAGTTCAGGCTTCCTCCAATTCTCTTTTTCGGCCTCAGAATGTATCTTCTGGAATATTCCAGGCCAAGATTTTTCTTGTTATTTCTTTGGTCCTCCAAAAAGCTTCCAGAAATTTTGGGGTTAATTGCTGTTCTATTATCAGTGACTATCACTTGCTTATTGTCACAGAGACATTTGTAGGAGCCAGATAAAATCTTCACTTTCCTAGGGCCTTAGTCTGGATAATATGATCTGGGATTAGGGGAAATATTTTTAATAATAATAATAGAAATAATTTTTTTTGAGACAGGGTCTCACTCTGTCACCCAGGCTGGAGTACAGTGGCACGATCATGGCTCACTGCAGCCTTGACCTCCCAGGCTCAAGCAATCCTCCTGCCTCGGCCTCCTGAGTTAGCTGGGACCACAGGCACCAGCCACCACATCCGGCCAATTTTTGTGTTTTTTGTAAAGACAAGGTCTTGCTATGTTTCCCAGACTGGTCTTGAACTCCTGGGCTCAAGTGATCCACCCTCCTCGGCCTTCCAAAGAGCTGAAATTACAGGCATGACCCACCAGCCCCCACCAATAATAATCTTTATTCATCCAAGTGCTAAGTGCTTTACTTGTTTAGCTGTTCTGATTTTCACAGTAAATCCCACACCCATTTTAAAGACAAAGAAACTGAAACCCACTCAAAGGTCACAGAGCTTTACCTCCCTCCAATCAAAGGTCACAGAGCTTTACCTCCCTCCAATCAAAGGTCACGAGCTTTACCTCCCTCCAAATTTCATGCGCTTAAACACTAAATGAAACTGTCATGCAGGAGTAGGGGTAGGAGGGTAGGAATACCTGAGGAAAAAGAGTAATAGAGACTTTCCTTAAAGAGGGTCCTAAAATATTATATATTACAAATAATATTTTATAATTACTATAATGGTTGTATAGTCCTATCTTAAGCCTCAGAAAACAAGGGTTTTTTCTCATTAAGGACACTGAAAAGACAGCCTCTTCTTACAACACCATTTCAAGTTCATGGAATATTTTAATGCATTAATGTTCCCTTTGTATCCACAGAGCCATCAAATAAGTTTGTTATTTATTCTTTTTTTTTTTTTTTTTCTTGAGACAGGCTGGACTGCAGTGACATGATTTCAGCTCACAGCAACCTCTGCCTTTCAGGTTCAAGTGATTTTCCGGCCTCAGCCTCCCTAGTAGCTATGATTACAGGCTCGCACCACCACACCCAGCTAATTTCTGCATTTTTAATAGAGACAGGGTTTCACTATGTTGGCCAGGCTGGTCTTGAACTCCTGAGCTTATGATCTGCCCGCCTTGGCCTCCCAAAGTGCTGGGATTACAGGCTTGAGACACCATGCTTGGCCTGCTTTAAATTTCTTCTTCTTCTTCTTTTTTCTTTTTTTTTTTTTTTTTTTTTTTTTTTGTAGAGATGAGATCTCACTGTGTTGCCCAGGCTAGTCTCGAACTGCTGGCTCAAGCGATTCTCCTGCCTCTGCCTCCCAAAGTGCTGCATAAGCCATTGCACCCAGCCTTATTCTTAATTTCTTAAACACATATAACATTTCTAAGCAGCAAGCATGCTTCTAATCATTTAGTCCTCACAATATCCCAAAGAGGGAGGGTCTATTATTATTCCCATTTTACAAATGAAGAAACTGAGACCCAGGAGAAGTTAGGTAACTTGCCCAAAGTTTTACAGCTGGTAAGTGGTGATGCCAGATTCAAACTCAGGCATTCAGGCTCCTGAGTCCAGACTTGACTCATTCACTGTGTTGCGTCTTACACGTTGTACAAACAGGAGTGCTGCAGCCCGGGAATGTTAGATGCGAACTCAACAACTACCAAGAACAAAGTTGCTTTGCTTTGTACAGTTGTAAGACTGCTTGTTAAAAGTGGCACAGGGCTGTTCCCAGATGATTCTCGCTCCTGTTGCCTCCTCCACAGCCCTTTACAGAGTTTGAGTATCCAGTTGGTTCTAAGGAGAGGAGGAATTAAATGAGCCAACATGTTCACTGAAGGTCAATGTTGAAAGAGGTGCCCTTCAGTGTTTCCTTTTGTTTGTTTCTTCTGGAAGTAAACAGACATTTGGAACATAAAAAGCAGCTGGGAATGTGGACCAAGGACAGTCAGGGTGCAAAGAAAAATAGCATTACTGAAGTTGTTCAGGGTGGAAAGTATTTTGGGGGGGTTGTTTCTGTTTTTGTTTTGGAGGAAAATTGCAAAATAGTTTAATTTATAGTCAAATTGGACAACTTCTTCATTGTTCCCTCGCAACATTCCAAATTTCCTAGTTAATTTCTGGTCACTTCTAAGGTCTGACGTTATTTAATCTGTATGAAAGAGGACTTTTAAATACATATTTTTAATGATAATAATTAGTTTGTTTTTACACCTTAAAAAAATGGCCTCACAGTGTAAACCAGCTATACGAAAAGTTACTTGGCTGAGCAACTTTATAATTATCAGAATACCCCTGAAATGCTGAAGCAGTTCTTTTCTTTCTTTCTTTCTTTTTTTTTTTTTGAGGCGGAGTCTAGCTCTGTCGCCAGACTGGGGGTGCAGTGGCATGATCTTAGCTCACTGCAACCTCTGCCTCACAGGTTCAAGTGATTCTCCTGCCTCAGCCTCCCGAGTAGCTGGGAATCACAGGCATGCACCACCACGCCCAGCTATTTTTTGTATTTTTAGTAGAGACAGGGTTTCACCATATTGGCCAGGATGGTCTCGAACTCCTAACCTTGTGATCCATCCACCTCGGTCTCCCAAAGTGCTGGGATTATAGGCGTGAGCCACCGGACCCAGCCTGAAGCAGTTCTTGAATACAACAATATACTCCCGTTCTAACTCAAATGGAAGAGACAATGAGCAGTGAGGGAATAGCTGGTTTTCTTTATAACTAAGCCACAGGCTCGGCAGTATGTCAGGGATAATAATTCTTACCTGCTCTCAACTTTATTCCCAGGATGCTGGAAATGACTAAGACATCAGACAGTAAAATATAATACCCGGGAAGTTAAACAGTGACTTGCGTGTTTAGAGTCTTAGGAAAAATAGGCAGGAGTGTCTACAAGAGAATTTACTACAGCAAAGCCTCACCTTTTTCCTGGCTTTTCATGAGAAAGGCGTGGAATAAGGAGAGACACAGAGGGGTTTTCGCTTTAAGTTGATGCCTGAATGCTTTTAGCTTGGCAACCAATGGGTAATTGAATAAGGGGGTGGGATGGAAGAAGCTCAGATAGTGGTATACTCACCATTACACCAATGGTATGCATTAATTACACTAATAATGCATTAGTAGTTTAATAACACCCAGTGCAGTGGCTCACGCCTGTAGTCCCAGCACTCTGGGAGGCCGAGGTGGGTGGATCACGAGGTCAGGAGATCGCGACCATCCTGGCTAACATGGTGAAACCCCGTCTCTACTAAAAATACAAAAATAAAAATTAGCCAGGCGTGGTGGTGGGCACCTGTAGTCCCAGCTACTCGGGAGGCTGAGGCAGGAGAATGGTGTGAACCTGGGAGGCGGAGCTTGCAGTGAGCTGAGATCACACCACTGCACTCTATCTAGCCTGGGTGACAGAGCAAGACTCTGTCTCAAAAAAAAAAAAAAATAGTTTAATAACTATGAAGAGGTATGGTACATTTTGTTACGTTTATATTACCACAATTTTTAAAATGGAAAAAATGTGAGGAGGAATAATATTTCATGTGACATATAGAATTGTGGGGAGATAGACAGGTTTTGAACATCATGTTCAAGACTATGTTTGCAGTAGATTGTTTGAAAAATGGACTGAGAATTCCTCCCATTCCTGTTCATATGCCCCTTTTTAAAATGGCCTTACCCCTCCTCCCATTGAGAGGTAAAATCTATTTCCCTATCTCTACCTGTGGACCAACCTTGTGTCTAACTTTGACTAGTCGAATGTAGCAAAAATTATATTGTATGACTTCTGAGCCTAGGCCTCAAGAGACTGTACAGGTTCCACTCCTGCCCTCTTGCAGTGCTGCTGTTCTGAAGAAGTCCAGGCTAGCCTCTTTGAGAATGAGAAACTATATGGAGAGAGAGGCCTAGCTGATAGCCAACACAAGACCCAGGCATGTGAGTGAGGCCACAGGCTTAGCTGGTCCCAGCCTACCTGACACCTGACTACAGTCACCTGAGTGACCTTAGCTGAGGGCAAAAGGAGAACTGCCCAACTGAGGCCATCCCCAACTGCTGACCCACTGAACTATGAGCAAATCAGTGGTATTTATTTATTTACTTATTTATTTTTAAGTTGGAGTCTCACTATGCTGCCCAGGCTGGTACCTAACTCCTGGGCTCAAGTGATCTTCCCATCTCAGCCTCCCAAGTAGCTGGGACTACAGGTGCAGGCCGCCACCCCCAGCTAAATCATTATCATTTAAGGCCACTGCATTTGGGGAAGGTTTGTTACACAGCAATAAACAACTGATATAGAAATTGGTACTGGAAGTGGGGTGCCACCATATATAACCTAAAACAAGTGGCATTGGCTTTAGGACCAGGTGGAGGGCATAAGCTGGAAAAACGATAAGGAAATTTTTTTTTGAGTTGGAGTCTCCCTCCACACTCCAGGCTGGAGTGCAGTGATGCAATCTTGGCTCACTGCAGCCTCCACCTCCCAGGTTCAAGAGATTCTCCTGCCTCAGCCTTCCTAGTAGCTGGGATGACAGGCACCCGCCACCACACCCAGCTAATTATTGTATTTTTAGTAGAGATGGGGTTTCACCACATTGGCCAGGCTGGTCTTGAACTCCTGACCTCAGGTGATCTGCCCACTTCGGCCTCCCAAAGAGCTGGAATTATAAGCATGAGCCTGGCCAATGATAAGGAAATTGCTAGTAAATGCTGGAAATGCTGTGAGGAAACTGCAATAGGAGACTGGGGGAAAAGGCAATCTGGTTTTTTGGATTTTGTTTTGTTTTATTTTGTTTTTGTTTTTTGAGACGCAGTTTCCCTCTTGTTGCCCAGGCTGGAGTGCAATGGTGCAATCTTGGCTCACTGCGACCTCTGCCTCCCAGGTTCAAGCAATTCTCCTGCCTCAGCCTCCCGAGTAGCTGGGATTACAGGCGCCTGCCACCACACACAGCTAATTTTTGTATTTTTAGTAGAGACGGGGTTTCACCGTGTTGGCCAGGCTGGTCTTGAACTCTTGACCTCAGGTGATCAGCCCGCCTCAGCCTTCCAAAGTGCTGAGATTACAGGCGTGAGCCACCGAGCCCAGCTGCAATCTGTTTTATGTAGTGACAGAACAACGGGCAAAATGTCATCTGCAGTGGCTTGGAAGATAGAAAATGTACCTAATGAACGATGGATCTGAGTAAGAAGATTTCTGTTTGGAGAGAGAAAGATAAGCTAAAGAAGGGACTACTCAGTTTGCAAGCAGAATTTGGAGGGACTCTAGAAGGTCTGGTATGTGCTCGACTGAAAAATAAAACCATTTTTCATCTCCAAGTCTCTTGAGTTAGCAAAATATTATCAGAGAAAGAAAGGGCTTCAGAAAAAGATAAAATCAAAGGTGTGGCTTTAAAACTCTCTGATCAATACCTCAGAAAGCCTATCCTCTCATTGGATAAGAACTCCACAAATCTTAAAGGCATTTTCCTGTAGCTGCTTAACTCATTGCTCAAACTAAAAAGAGGTCTACCTACTAGAGGTGACTATAATTTGATTTACTAGAAATCCATACAGTTTTAAGGGAGATATATTATATGAGACTAAAGGGGACAGAGTTTGTTCAAAATAAAAGGTTTCTGGGTCCCCAATTTTCCATGGGCAGGAAGCAGGTTGAGAAAGCTATTTATCTGAAAACGGGCTGTTCCTAGAGAAAAGGATAGGACCGCTTAGACAGTGGAGCGAAGAGCCCAGAGGGCAGAACCAAGAGTCAAGGAGAGCAATGGACTAGGAAATCACTTTCAGTTAGCAAAACTGGGCCCTAATCAAGGAAAATTCCCTACCCTTAGAGTAAAGAGATCTAAAAACATGCACCAGCCGGGCGCGATGGCTCACGTCTGTAATCCCAGCACTTAGAGAGGCCAAGGCCGGCAGATCACCTGAGTTCAGGAGTCCGAGACCAGCCTGGCCAACATGGTGAAACCCCATCTCTACTAATAATACAAAAAAATTAGCTGGGCATCATGGCACATGCCTGTAATCCCAGCTACTCGGGAGGCTGAGGCAGGAGACTCGCTTGAACCTGGAAGAGTTGCGTGAGCCGAGATTGCACCATTGCACTCCAGCCTGGGCGACAAGGGTGAAACTCCATCTAAATTAAAAAAAAAATGCACCCAGCTGGATTTCAGAATTGTCATGGACCAGTGACTGCTGTGAGTCTCTGAATGGGAATGTCCACAGTGGTTGTCTGGTCCTTCTAGTGCCATAGTATGTTTAGGGGCAGAATGGTGCAGATTCTTTTCTTTTCTTTTTATTTTTTTATTTTTGAGACAGAGTATTGCTCCATCACCCAGGCTAGAGTGCAGTGGCATGATGTGGGCTCACTGCAACCTCCACCTTCTAGGTTCAAATGGTTCTCTTGCCTCAGCCTCCTGAGTAGCTGGGATTACAGGTGCCCGCCCACCACATCCAGCCAATTTTTTTGTATTTTAAGTAGAGACGGCATTTCACCATGTTGGTCAGGCTGGTCTCGAACTCCTGACCTCAAGCAATCTGCCTGCCTCGGCCTCCCAAAGTACTGGAGTTACAGGCATGAGCCACCGCACCCAGCCAGAATGGTGCAGATTCCTGTGAACTAAAAAATACAAGTTCTCTTCACCATTCTGACTCTAAACCTACTATGGCACTTTTTACGATTTACTAGAGGAGTCTCATCCAGATCTGGATCTAATATTAAAGACCACATCCTGGACTTCAAGGCCTGATGCCCTAATGGGATAAGCTTTTGGGGAATAAGTATTGCCCATGAAAGAAGGACGTGATTTATTATGACCAGAGGTGGACTTTCGTAGATTATTTGCAAAGATGGGTATAATAATTTCTCCCATTCCTACATGCATGTCCATTTGCAGTATGACTTTGCTGTGTTTCCCATCAAGAGGTAGAGTCTGTTTGCCTATGCTTTGAGGCTGAGGGGTCCTGCAGTGGATTGTGGCTAAGATGACACTGTGCAATACCCGAGTCTAGGCTTCAAGAGTCCAGACTTTCTGTGTGTGTCTTCTTGGAATGCTGCCACCTTGTGAAAAGCCCAGACTGGCTGGCCTCCTTGAGGATAAGAGACCAGATGCAGAGAGAGACAGCCCCGACAGACAGCACCAAATGCCAGACATGTGAGTGAGGCCATCAAAAGCCATTGTCCCAGCCGGCCCACCAACTGACCCAGTCAAGACAGGCAGAACTGTTCAGCTGAGCCCAACCCAAATTGCTGACCCACAGAGGTATGGGTAAATAAAAATGGTTGTTGTGGCCGGACGCAGTGGCTCACACCTATATTCCCAGCTCTTTGGGCAGCCAAGGAAGGAGGATGGATTGAGCTCAGGAGGTCAAGGCTGCAGTGAGAGCTCTGATTGCACCACAGCACTCCAGCCTGGGAGACAGAGTAAGATGCAGTCTCAGCCCGGCACAGTGGCTCACGCCTGTAATCCCAGCATTTTGGGAGGCCGAGGTGGGTGAATCATGAAGTCAGGAGTTCAAGACGAGCCTGGCCAAGATGGTGAAACCCCATCTCTACTAAAAATATAAAAATTAGCCGGGCGCGGTGGCAGGCACCTGGGATCACAGCTACTCAAGAGGCTGAGGCAGGAGAATTGCTTGAACCCGGGGAACCGAGGTTGCAATGAGCTGAGATTGCGCCACTGCGCTCCAGCCTGGGCGACAGAGTAAGACTCCATCTCAAAAAAAAAAAAAAAAAAAAGGCCGGGCGCGGTGGCTCACGCCTGTAGTCCCAGCACTTTGGGAGGCCGAGACGGGTGGATCACGAGGTCAGGAGATCGAGACCATCCTGGCTAACACGGTGAAACCCCGTCTCTACTAAAAATACAAAAATTAGCCGGGCGTGGTGGAGGGCGCCTGTAGTCCCACCTACGCGGGAGGCTGAGGCAGGAGAATGGCGTGAACCCGGGAGGCGGAGCTTGCAGTGAGTCGAGATCGCACCACTGCACTCCAGCCTGGGCGACAGAGCGAAACTCCGTCTCAAAAAAAAAAAAAAAAAATTGCTGTCTCAAAAAAAAAAGTTGTTGTTTGAAGCCATTACATTTTATGGTTGATTTGTTACACAGTAGTAAATTAGTAGATAACTGATATTAGAGGGAAATGTTTATCACAACAGTAAAAGATTTTTTCTCACCTTCCTTTAAAATAGTTTCTGGCTCACTATGAAGTAGGTGAAGTTAGGAGGAGCTGGGCCTGGTGGCAGGGCACTTGCTGTGCGCTGGTGTGGGGTTTGAGTTTCCTGCCTCTCCCTGGGGGAGGGAGGACTCTGGGCACATGTAGCTCTCCATTAAGTCTTTTTGAGGCTTGGGACTTCCTCAATAGTGGGCAAGGGTAAGAACAACAACTTGAGCACTTATTAGCGTCAGACGCCATGCCAACTGTTTGACTTGGATCATCTAGTTTAACAACGGGTCCTATTGTACCTATTTTCAGTCAAGGTAACTGAGCCTTGGGGAGGTTATTTTGCTGGAATTCAAACCTAGTCTCCTTCCAGAGGCCTTAACCACTGTGCTAAAGCCCCTGTTTTACTGGGAACAGCAATACACGTATGGGGGGCAAATAGGGAACTGGGGTGGGCTTCAGAGGTGCTGAAGGTTGAATATGGAAAAAACGTTCAGACGGTTCTTAGCTGAGCTCTCCTCTTTTCTCCAGACTTTCGAACCCCCAACCTGGTTATTTCATTAGTTTTCTGCAGTTATGGCATCTTTGCAAATTGCTTCTAAAGGCTCACTTCTAGTTTAGAAACTCCGGGAATCTCTGTTGTAACCACCAGGTAAAGAGAATGCAAGTCGGTCTGAATTGTGGAAGGGAAGACAATTGCATGTTTATTTCTCCAGCACAACCTCCTTACCAGCTGCTTGTCAGGCATTTGGTTGTTTTGCTCTTTGCCAGCTTACCAATGACTAGAAAGCCTCTTTCTTTGATTAGCAGCTATTAAAATCACAATATGAATACAGAATCGTGAACAAAAGCAGAGCCCTGGGTACATGTACTATGGCAAACTCTACAAGCCTCTTGTGCTGGCAGGCTTTATTTTAAAGAAACGTGATGTAGGGAATAGCTGATGTGTCTGGCCATGCTCTGGGTCAAGTTCAAGTTCTCTGACTTACAGCCCCTGGGGAGAGTAGCAAGAGAAAAACAAATAAGAGGGGGAAGCTTAAAAATAGAATTAAAATAAATAGGAAAAAAGTAAAAATTAGGAAGTAGACAAAAAGGAGATTATGTTAGAAAAATAAGGAAGATGAGAGCAGAAGGGATTCATTTAAAGAAAAAAGTAAAATAAATGAGAGAAAATATGGAATGTTAGAAGGTGAGGGAAGGAGGCAGAAAGATTAGGTTTTATTTTATTTATTTTATTGTTATTATTATTTTGAGACGGAATCTTGCTCTGTTGCCTAGGCCGAAGTACAATGGTGCAATCTCAGCTCACTGCAACCTCCACCTCCTGGGTTCAAGTGATTCTCCTGCCTTGGCCTCCCTACTAGGGATTAGAGGTACCTGCTACCACGCCCGGCTAATTTTTGTATTTTTATTTTGTTTTGTTTTGTTTTTGAGACAGAGTCTCCCTCTGTCACCCAGGCTGGAGGGCAGTGGCGCGATCTTGGCTCACTGCAAGTTCCGCCTCCCGGGTTCACGCCATTCTCCTGCCTCAGCCTCCCGAGTAGCTGGGACTACAGGCGCTCGCCAACACGCCCGGCTAACTTTTTGCATTTTTTTTTTTTTTTTTTTGGTAGAGACAGGGTTTCACCGTGTTAGCCAGGATGGTCTTGATCTCCTGACCTCGTGATCCGCCCGCCTTGGCCTCCCAAAGTGCTGGGATTACAGGCGTGAGCCTCCACGCCCGGCCAATTTTTGTATTTTTGGTAGAGACAGCATTTTGCTATGTTGGCCAAGCTGGCCTCAAACTCCTCCCCTCAGGTGATCCACCCACCTTGGCCTCCCAAAGTCTGGGATTACAGGCATGAGCCACTACGCCTGGCCAGATTAGGTTTTAGAAATGAGACAATGAAAATACATATTTGTTTTGTTTTGTTTTGTTTTAGAGATGGGGATCTCACTATGTTCCCTAGGCTGGAGTGCAATGACCATTCACAGGCTCAATCATATCTCACTGCAGCTCAAACTCCTGAGCTCAAGCAATCCTCCTGCCTCAGCCTCCCAGGTAGCTGGACACAATAGGCAGACATGCACCACCAGGCACAGGTATTGATTAGAGGGTCTCATATGTTATGAAAATACATATTTTTTAAAACCCTGTTCCCCATATTCCTCCCGCCTACCACAAGGCACAAGGCTAAATGGAAATACAGTGGGATCCCTGTGGAATCAGCATCCCCACCCCGACATTCACACACACGTGCATTCACACATGGAATGATGGTCAGAGGGTCAGGGATGCTAGACTCTGTGCAGGCCTATTTTCTGTTCTATAATTCTCTGGCTCTTCCCTTTCTCTCCAAAAGACCTGTAGCCTCCCAGGTCACCTTAGCAAAGGGCAGACATGCTGGTCTGTGCTGAGTGCTGGTCTGATGTTGTCATCTCCCAAACATTTTCATAAGATAGCAAGTTAGGGACCAGTGTGTTCAAAGGGAGGATTTAATCTATTTACAGATTCATATCAGTGGGTGGCCAACTGAGTCTGAATCTTGATAGAGGACAGGAAAACAAGAAGCCTGGCTCGCTTAATCAAAGGTTTTCAAATATCCATTTGAAAAATACATGGAATTTTGAGGAAAGTCCCAAATGTTTTCAGAGGAGTCTGGTCCTCCATTCTAAGTTCCACATGACCAATAATTAACACACTGTTTACTTAGGGTTTTACTTCTTTGAGGCTTAGAACCAATGACAGAAGATTCTACAATAGCTTCAAAGGACCTTTTAACAAATACTTTCTGGTAGTTTAAGGAGCTATTTTTGTCTTTCTCCTTGAAAAAAAAAAGGCCAGCGTCTTTTCCCAAAATGAATGAAAAAAGAAGAGTTACATACTAAAAGAACTATATTCTAAATTAGAGCACTAAATACCAGTTCTTTCATCTTCCAACCTTCAACTTCGGCAAAGTTTATGTGTATTTATATGTATATGTGTATATATATATACCTATTTCTCCCCTCATGAAATGGGGTCTCACCATAGTGAGACCTTGGCAACATAGCCAAGGCTGAGCTCAAACTCTTGGGCTGACACAATCCTCCCTCATCAGCATCCCAAAGCGCTGGGATTACAGGTGTAAGCCACTTCACTGTATACTTATAATTGAAGTATAACTTGCAAGATACGGAAGATAACTCTTTACAACTTTCCAATGTCCAGAAATCACAGCTAACAAAATATGAAACACCAATGAAAAACAAACAACCATCTTGGTGTCTTTATTTTCTCTACCACGCCACCATCATCCCCCGACCTCCGTCCATAATCCTGGCTTCACTATAATGGGACAAAGCAAAGGAACTGGGCATTGAATGAGATTCTGTCTTTGTAATGAGAGCAAATAGAGAACCGCCACCACCATCTGGGTGCTACCCAGAGTCAGAGCACAGGTGCTTATGTGATGTCTAGGTTCCCATTGGCCTTCAGCAAACACCAGCACGTTCATCACCATAGCCAGGTAGGCAAAGGAAGTGGAACCATTATGATCCTCTTTTCCACAGGTGGAAAAACAAAAATCAGAGTGGTAAGGAGCTGTGTCAAAGGTCACACACACAGCCAGAAACCCAAACTGGTGGCAGTGATACAGATAGCTGTGGATCTGGCACCTCAGGGCACCTGGCACTGAAATGAACAGTTGGGAGCAGCACTAAGCTCTCCTGGTAGGTTACAGCAAGGTTTATGCCTTGGTCCTCACTGCCTGCTCCATTTCCTCAACAATGAGGCAGTACGACCTCAGAATGTCCCTTTAACTCAAAAGTACAGGAAAAGAAGGACATTGGCATTTTCCTGCAAGACGTTTAAACTTTCCCATGCTGTATGGAACAAATGTTTTGTGTAATTTTCCAGTGGCCTTGATGAAAGATGTTATGTAATTCAATATAATTGTAGCATGAAGAAATTAAAGGCCATGCCAGGCTTATCAAATGTTTGGACCCAGTTAAAGATCCAGAAGCATTAAGCATTCAAGACACGGCCAGCTTATTTCTGTGGATTCTGTTCCTTCAGGGTCTCTCCTCCTTTGCTTGGCACTCAAGTCCTCTTATAATCTGTCCCTGATCTACCATTCTCACTGTTCCAGCCTGTTTGCACATATCGTTTACTCCAGCCAGGCTGCTGGCATGAGCTCACTGCCAAGGCTCCTGTGCAGCCTTCCCACTCCAGTTCCATCTCTCTCCCGCATTTCCTGCTTACCCAAATCCAATCCCTTCATAATCCAGTGGACACACTGCTTCTTGGAAAAGACTTCCTTCACCACCCCAGTCCTCTGAGCTCCAAACTTGTCCCAGTTCAAGTCAGTCTATTGGTTTGTAAATCATTCAGGAAGCTTTTTGTGTGTGTGTGTGAGACAGAGTCTCACTCCATCGCCCAGGCTGGAGTGCAGTGGCGCAGTCTCAGCTCACTGCAACCTCCGCCTCCTGGGTTTAAGCAATTCTCTGCCTCAGCCTCTCAAGTAGCTGGGATTACAGTCATGTGCCACTGCACCCAGCTAATTTTTTGTATTTTTAGTAGACACAGGGTTTTGCCATGTTGGCCAGGCTGGTCTCGAACTCCTGGACTCAAGTGATCCTCCCACCTCCCAAAGTGCTAGGATTACAGGTATGAGCCACCGTGCCTGGCCCAGGAAGCATTTTTTGCCAGCCTGTACCCTGCATACATCCTTGGCCTCTCAGAACCCCCTTCCTCCTTCATATGAACATCGTGGTCCCTACCTCAATGGAGTTTGTAAAGATGAAGTGAGAAGGCCCACGTTAAGTGCCTAGCAGCATCTGGAACATTGGCGGGCTCCCCAGAAATGCATTTCCCCATCCCTTGTGCCAGGTACGGCACTAGGCACTGGAGGGGGCAGCTGGGGAAAGTTACTAGTATGTGCAATGGACACTGCAGAGTGGTAACAGGTGTTCCCATGTGCCTTTGAGCAAGTTTTTGCATTTCTCTCTCACCCACTTTTCCCATCCTGAAAATGGGCTGATGACAGTATCTACATCATAGTCTATGTGATAAGCTTAAAAGAGCTAATGCCTATGAAGCACTGAGAACAGTGCCTGGGCCAAAGTAAGTATTCAGGGAGCCTCGGCAATAATGCAGATGTGCGCAGAGGACATATCATGAGCAAGACAGATGTGGTTTCTGTCTTCAGGGAGTGAGTGGAAGAGATAAGACACAAATACATTTGCTCTACAATACAACTCATTTGGCATTTGACATATGTTATCTTGAGTTGCTATCTAGCTAATTACATGTATGTCTTGTCCCCCTATCAAGATGGTAAATTTATTGAGAGAGGAGAGCCTGGATCCAATTCTGCTAGGTCCCCTGCACTGACCAGAGTGTCTTGTGTATAGACATCCAATACTATTTATTGCTAATTACCTAAAGGATTGATCTTGCCTTTGCCATTAAAACTTTATTATGAAGATCCTATTCATTGATGGAGTTCTGTGGCTTTCTTGGTGTGATCAGATTCATATGTGAAAAATTAATGTGTAACCACCGTCCTGTGGACACCAGCGTCCCCAAGTCTCTGCTACACATAAATCTGTCATCATTCTGGTTAAAATGCATCGAACCCAGATACCATCAACCCACAGCTAAAGCTATCTCTGAGTCCCCTGAATTGCATTTTTCCATGAAATAATAATAATGACACTTTATGTCATTTAACCCCAACGATATTCTATAAGGCAAGTACTATTACCATCCCTATTATATAAATGGGGAAGCCAAGGCTTGGAGAGCTGAGGCTGTTTGCCCGAAGCCACAGGTGAATGATGGAGCTGAGATTTGAACACAGGTAGTCTGACATGAGGTGGAAGCATGTAATTGCTACGCCAGTCTGCCTGATTTGGTGACAAAAAGACAGCCTGGTCTCTAACAAGAAAGCAAAGACATAAAAGAACCGGTAACATGGCACAGTCCTCCCTGCAAGCCCCCAGGGGAAGATCTTAATGGCAGAGACTTCTTTCTCCACAGCCATGGTGAGACAGACAACCCTGGCCCACAGGGGGCCATTTTTTCATGGGATTTGTGGCAACTGTGCTGTTCATGCTGGCGTGGGGAACACTGGCTCAGTCTCTCATCAAAGGCTCCCACGTGGGACCTTCACTCATGGCTCCCCACCCAGGGGTCCCACTAGGGGTTAAACCTAGGGGTTCCTCCTCTAGAGCAAGGACACTGAGCCACTTTTCTCCTCCTTCCCGTTGTACTGTCTCTTATTGGTGATTTTTTTTTTTTAATTTATGATTTTCGGCCCAGCCGGTTGTTAGCCTGCTGTGTTTGGAAAAGGTAGATGATTAAACCTCCTGGCCAGGTGTAAATGCAACCTTTGTCATCTGGAGGCTGGGAGAATTACCTTGTTGAGCTGCAGCCTCTCTGTGGCTCCACATTTTCTGCTTGAAGCAGAACCTCTCCCAGGCTAAGGTCTACAAGTCTTAGGCCTACCATTGGATTGCCCTGCTCTGAGTGAGCCCAGCCCAGAAGCCAGAGATCACAGATGTCCCCACATGGCCACAAAAGCTCTGAATAGACCCTAAAATTTGGAGGTGGAGAATCAAGCACCTGTCTCTCTCTCTCTCTCTCTCTCTCTCTCTTTCTTTCTCTCCTCTTTCTCTCTCCCTCTCAAGGGAATTTTTACTAGGTAAATAATAAAAATATGTAATCATTGACTAGGCCTTTAAACCTGACCTGAAGGTACGTTTGCATTTCTGTTGCCAATAGAGATTCCCACTAGTCCCTTACTCTGCCTCAATAGCCACCTCTCAGAGTCTACTTGTCCACTTGGCTACTGGGATGTTCAGCCCCAGAGAGCTACAGCCATGCAGAGAGGAGAGAACCAGCCCGAAGGCTGCAGCTCAGGGAGGTCACTTAGAGAAATGGGTTTACAAACCCCTTCCCTTAAGGAAGCCCTACAGTTGGCCACAAACCCTGACCACAGGTCTGTGAGAGGGAGAGGCCAAGCCAGGACTGACTCCCTGTGCTGTGAAATTGTGAACCCAGAGGACAAGAAGTTCTGGATCTGCGTGGAAGGCATCAGCAGCCCAGTGTCCTGGAGCATCAGCCAGAAGCCTTGTGTTGACTTTGTAAGGCTGAGTTCTCACCAATAGACTCATGCTTCAGGAAGGCTATTTCTGAACAAACAGCATGCAGCAAGTGAGCTCTTTGTGCCTCTTCCCAACGCACTGAGCTTGGCCCCTGCTCAAGGTGAGCTGAAGGCAGCAAAACCTGTTCTCAAGTTGCTTTCATTGGTCAAAGTCCTTTCCTAGGTGTTGGGTGGCTCTTGTTGAATTTTGGTGCCATTTGGGAAGATAAGTAAAAATCGACTTGAGCCTTCTCTGTAGGCAGTAAATAAATGTTTGTCAAAGACCAAATGACTAACTCAATAAGTCAATTAGCGTGTGTGTAGTGAGCGTCTCCCCCCGCCCCTGAGCCCAGCCCTAAATAACACGCTGTGAGAGGCTCACAGACACCCCAGCAGCAGTAGCAAATTGGGAGGTGGGGGGACAAAACTAACATCCCTGGGATCATTCAAAAACAACCCTATGCTAAATGACTAAATTTGCTTTAACTTTGACCAGTTTTGCTCTTTGCAATGTATGTGACAGATGACATGGCTCTGTGAAGTTTTCAAAGGCTTTTGGCTGAAAGCAACACCATTTTAACCAGCAAGAGGATAGAGACATGCCCAGCAATGGCAGGCTCATTTAATATGCAAGCAAAGAAGGAGACTTCAGCCTGGGTTGGAGTCCTCTCATGGATGGCAGGATGCAGATTAAGTGGCAGATTAAGTGAGGAGGAGAAAGGTTTATCTCAGCCAGTGCAGGAATGCAGGGTCAGGAAGAGACTGGGGACTGGAGACAGCTCTAAAAACTGCATTGAGGGGTTTCCTTTCGGGTGCAGTGAGAAATAAGTATGCCGAGTCAGAAGGAAGAACCCCCTGCAGGGCCTCGAGGTCACTCACGTTTCTCTAACTGAGGATGGGCATCCCTGAAGAGGTGCATTTGGAAGACTGGGCCACACAGGACCATCTGCAGAACGTATCGCAGAGGAGCAGGATCAGCCCGGGAGATGGAACTTGATGGAGAGAGGAAAGGAAGAGTCAATCTTAGAGATATTTTGAAGAAGCAAAAGATAGAATGTGTGACAGGCAGGTTGTTGGAGCCAGTGGCAAGAGAACAGGGGAAGCTGCCCTGACTATCCTGAGAGATATGAGACAGGATAAACAGAACCAGGATAGATGGGAAGGGACAACCATAAGCAGAAGCGGCACTTCATCAGAGTCTACTGAACTCAGAGCTGGGTGTCCTCTGAGCAGCCACAATTCCCAGGCCCTTCTTTCTCTTTTATTTTTTAAATCTTTCTTTTTTATTTATTCGTTTTTATTTTTTTGGGGGGGGGCACTTTCCAGTAAAAAGCAGAAAGCATGCTAGACAAATTCAAAAAGAGCTGTAACACTCAAGACCTCCTTATCTGCGGCCTTAGCATCTTCTTTTCTCCTCGTTCTCAATTTGGCTTCATTTTGCCCCAGATTCTTCCCCAATCCAGTCTTTCCTCCTCTTCAAATGACGGCTGGCTCATCTTTGAGGAAGAGATGCTACTGCAGAATAAAAGATAGAACCAGTGAGACTTTTTCTTAATATGGAGACCATAGTCTTGGACATCATCAGTAGGCTCATCTTGGAGAGTTTTGATTATCCTTCTCCAAAAGACCACCCTCAGAGCACACCTGGTTTTTATACAGGGGTAATCCAAATAGAAAGATAGACAGGGGCATTGTTCTAAAGAAGGAAAGAGGGAAAAAGAAATAACTTTGTTCAGGAAGGAACGTAGGGGTTGATGGCAGGCAAGGAGAGATAACACTTTAGGCCTGGCACAGACCTCAGAAAGGGTTTCCGTTTGTTGACCAGGCACGGTGGTTCACGCCTGTAATCCCAGCACTTTGGGGAGCCAAGGCGGGAGGATCACTTGAGGTTAGGAGTTCCAGACTAGCCTGGCCAAAATGGTGAAACCCCCTCTCTACTAAAAATACAAAAAATTAGCCAAGTATGGTGGCGTGTGCCTGTAATCCCAATTACTCAGGAGGCTGAGGCAGGAGAAACATTTGAACCCAGGAGGCGGAGGTTGCAGTGAGCTGAGATTGTGCCACCGCCCTGCAGCCCGGGTGACAGTGAGACTCCACCTTAAAAAAAATTAAAAAGAGACAGGCACGGTGGCTCAGGCCTGTAATCCCAGCACTCTGGGAGGCTGAGGCGGGCGGATCATGAGGTCAAGAGATCGAGACCATCCTGGCTAATACCGTGAAATCCCATCTCTACTAAAAATACAGAACAATTAGCCGGGCGTGGTGGTGGGCACCTGTAGTCCCAGCTACTTGGGAGGCTGAGGCAGGAGAATGGCATGAACCCGGGAGGCAGAGCTTGCAGTGAGCCAAGATCGCAGCCACTGCAATCCAGCTTGGGCAACAGAGCAAGACTCTGTCTCAAAAAAAAAAAATTAAAAAATTAAAAAGAAAGAAAAGAAAGGGTTTCTGTCTGCAAAGTCCTTTCACGGGATGGGGAGGGAGGTTAGGAAAACTGGATACCAGCCACCTGGTAGTGGCTGATCGAATGAAAGAGCAGAGTAAGTGAGTGAGCGAGTGGCTTTAACACTAACATTTATGTAGTGATTAAGGCATACTCTGTGCCAAGCACTGTGCTAGGGTGGGGGGCACCTTTCAGGAAAAAGTAAACACAGCCCCTATGTGATGGGGACCCACAGTTCATACAAAGACAAATAATCAGCATGTGAACTGTCTCAACAAGGTATAGTAACAAGGGACTGATTCTTCCTGGAGGAGGTGAGAAAACTCCATGGATGAGGAGGCAGTTGATCAGGATCAAGGAGGGTAAAAACACAGATATGCACACATGCAGACATGTACACACCCATGCACGTGTGTACACACACAGTAAAGAGGAATGCAGAACCCACCAAATCAAGGGTCAATGGAAGAACATTGTTGATCCATACCAAAGCAGGGACATATGATGGTGTCCAGGGTGTTCTCATGAACTCAGGAAAGTTCTGAGGGGCTGGCACACAGGGTGTGAGGGGAGAAAGCCGAGAGGAGACTGGCCTTCCTGTGATGCTGTTAACTGACAAGAGGCCTGTGGGTGGGTCAAGAAGTTGGTGGCAAAACCATGAATTCTGTTTTGGACAGGCTTCTCTCTCACTGCCGGTCTCTTTATCCTCCTCTCACAGCAGCCTAAACGACCCCCCAAAGCCTTGTCACTTGATCTATCTCATGTTCCAAGAGCAAAATGGACAACTGAGCATGAAACAGGATTACTTTCATGTAAGTGTTTCAGATGCCGGCATTTTTTTGGTTTTCTTTTGTCTTGCTTTCTTGAAATGGAGACTTGCACTGTTGCCCAGGCTGGAGTGCAGTGGTGCCATCTAGGTTCACTGCAACCTCCACCTCCCGGGTTCAAGAGATTCTCGTGCCTTAGCCTCCCAAGTAGCTAGGATTACAGGTGTGCACCACCACACCTGGCTAATTTTTGTATTTTTAGTAAAGACAGCGTTTCACCATGTTGGCCAGGCTGGTCTCAAACTCACGACCACAGGTGATCCACCCACCTCATCCTCCCAAAGTGCGGGATTACAGGCATGAGCTACCGCACCTGGCCAGATGCCGGCATTTTAATTTACAGTCATTCTTCACTTTGGAAAGCAACTCCCAAGTGGTCAGCATTCAGTATTGTCCTAAAATGTGGTACTCCTGATCTCCAGTTTAAAATTACTAAGAGATTCCGACAAAGGAACATGACATTTTAATATATGCAAGAATGTGGGCACGTGATGGGAGATATTCCCATCTATCTTTACGCTTATGAAATGAATGACTGTACGGACTTCATGCCAGGCCCTGTGTGAAAGGCTGCAACAAGCTAAACAGAGTTCCTGCCCTCAAGTGCTTCATAGTCTAGCAAGGAAGGCAGGTGTGTAAACAAATTGTTTCAATGAGATTGCCATCATATAGGAGAAAAAGCCAGACATAAAATAAGAGCTCTTTATTGCTAAAGTACAAAGGGCAAAGGGGCATGTGGCCCAAGCCAACACAGGGACCTGGTGCCAAGTCGGAGAGTCTGATCTTTATCTAGAAGGTAATGTTGAGCCACTAAAGAGTTTTGAAGCTGAGGAGCGACATTATCAAAACCGCATTCTGGAAAGATCTATTTGGCAGCTGTGCTGATGATAGCTTAGTTAAAGAAGATTTGGGAAATAGTAGACCAGCCAAAAGGACATTTCAAACATCTAGATCTGGGGTGTCCAATCTTTTGGCTTCCCTGGGTCACAATGGAAGAAGAATTGTCTTGGGTCACACATAAAATACACTAACACTAGAGATAGTTGATAAGCTTTAAAAAAAAATCGCAAAATAATCTCTCTCTCTCTGTCTTTTTTTGAGATGGAGTCTCTGTCACCTAGGCTGGAATGCAGTGGTGAGATCTTGGCTCACTGCAACCTCCACCTCCCAGTTCAAGTGATTCTCATGCCTCAGCCTCCCAAGTAGCTGGGATTACAGGTGCATGCCACCATGCCTGGCTAATTTATAATGTTTTAAGAAAGTTTGTGAATTTGTGTTGGGCCGCATTCAAAACGGTCCTGAGCTGCATGTGGCCCTCAGGCTGCAGGTTGGACAAACTTTATCTAGATCTAGCTTTATCATAGATGTTGACATTCTGAACCAAAGGGGTGCCAGGAGGGGACAGAAAGCAAATCTAGGAGCTATTTGCAAGCTAGAATCAACGGAGTTTAGGGACTGATCTGATCCTGGAGATGCAGGAGAGGGGCATGTTGAGATACTTCCCCGGTTCCTGGCTTGGGTAACGGGGTGGTTGGTGAAATATTACCAAGAGAAGAGATCAAGACGAAAAGCAGTTTGAGGTGGGGAGATGAAGAGCAAGAAGGAGAAGAATGAATTCCGATTTAGATATGATGAATTTGAGAAGCAGAGAGTCCCATCAATGGAAGGCCTGGGAGGCAGCGGATATTCAAGCCTGCAAGAAACAAAATTGGGGCCAGGAGAACTAAATTACTGCATGACTTTCAGCAAGTGTCTCAGCCTCAGATTCTTTACCTGAAAAACGGAATAGCAGATTTGTGTATGACTCTAGGGTGCACAGAAACTGGGGGGTACCGGGGAATGCCTAGTCCTGAGGTTTCCATCACATAAGAAAGGGTCCCAGGCCCACCAAAAGCTTCAGCCATATCTTTCACCAGAAAGAGCTGCAAATGCTTGTTCCAAGGCCCCCAAAGTGGGACTGAAGATAACTCACCAAAGCAGTGCTCACTCAGCCCTGATGGTATCGCTGAATCTCAAAGTCAGCTCCTGCTCAGGCACCATCTTTAAAGAGCCAAACCATGAGACCCGGGCTTGGTGGGGGTTGTTCCTCTCAGCAGCCCGCAGTGGGCACCATTTAGACGAGGAATAGGGGTGGGCTCTCATGACAACTTCTACGGAGCCAGAGCCTCTCAGCAGCCCCCTCCACACCTCATCCCCTCCTGGCTAACACGGTGAAACCCCGTCTCTACTAAAAATACAAAAAATTAGCCGGGCGTGGTGGTGGGCACTTGTAGTCCCAGCTACTCAGGAGGCTGAGGCAGGAGAATGGCGTGAACCCGGGAGCAGAGCTTTCAGTGAGCCGAGATCGCGCCACTGCACTCCAGCCTGGGTGACAGACTGAGACTCCGTCTCAAAAAAAAAGAAAAAGAAAAGTATTGGAAGTTTTAAGATGCCTTTATGTTTCAAGTAACAGTATTAGAACAACTGAATATTCCTATGCCAAGAAATAAAATAAAATTAACCTTGACTTATACCTTACATCATAAAACAATTAACTTGGAAAGAGTCACAAACCTAAATGTAAGTCTTAAAACTACAAAATTTCAAAAATGAAACACTGGGGAAAATCTCTGTGATCTTGGGATAGGCAAAAAATTCTAAGATAGAACACAAAAAGCACAAACCATTTTTTTTTTTAGACAGGGTCTCACTCTGTCATCCAGGCTCTAGAGTGCAGTGGCGCAATCACAACTCACTGCAGCCTCAGTCTCCCAGGCTCACACAATTCTCTTACCTCAGCCTCCCAAGTAGCTGGGACTACAGATGTGAGCCACCATATCTGGCTAATACTTTTTTTTTTTTTTTTTGAAATATGGGGCCTCATTATGTTACCTAGGTTGGTCTCAAACTCCTAGGCTCAAGCAATCCTCCTGCCTCAGCTTTCCAAAGTGCTGGGATTACAGACATAAGCCACCATGCCCAGCCATATTTTTTAAAGTTCATAAATTGAACTTTACCAAAATCGAAAACATTTGCTCTCCTGAAGATGCACTTAAGAAAATAAAAAGTCAAGTCATAGACTGGGATAAAGTATTGGTAAAAGTTTACCTGATAAAGGATAATATCCAAAATCTATAAAGAATTCTCATACTTAGAAATTAGAAAGTAAAAAATGAACAAAAAGAAAATAAATCTGGCCAGTGAGGTGGCTCACACCTGTAATCCCAGCACTTTGGGAGGCTGAGGTCGGTGGATCGCTTGAGGTCAGGAGTTCAAGACCAGCCTGGCCAACGTGGTGAAACCCTGTCTCTACTAAAAATATAAAACTTAGCCAGGCGTGGTGGCAAGTGCCTGTAATCCCAGCTACTTGGGAGGCTGAGGCAGGAGAATGGCTTGAACCCGGGAAGCGGAGGTTGCAGTGAGCCGAGATTGCGCCACTGCACTCCAGCCTGAGGGACAGAGCAAGACTCCATCTCAAAAAAAAAAAAAAAAAAAAAAAAAAAAAGAATTTTCACACTTAATGATAAGAAAACAAACAACTCAATTAAAAATAGGTAAATATTTGAATAGACATTTCACCAAGGAAAAGATATGGATGTCAAATAAGCACATTAAAAGATGTTCAGTATCAGTAGTCAGTAGTCACTGCACACTTATATGTGCAGTGGTTTGGTTTCTATGACTAAACCAAAGAAAGAAAAGAAAATCAACCCTGTCAATATCGAGTGCTGGTGAGAATGCAAAGCACTGGAACTCTCATGCATCAATGGTGGGAATGCAAAATGGCCCAGCCACTTTGAAAAATCGTTTGTTATTTTCTTTTTCTTTTGTTTTTTTTGTTGTTGTTGATCAGTTTTTTGCAGATTGATGCTCCTTTCTCTTTCCCATCGAGCACCCTTCTAGCTTCAACAGGGCAGAACTCTTCTCCAGATGTGTGTAACTTATGTCTGAATATCGGGGAGTAGCTGAAGGATACAGAATTTCTTCCAAATATCACACCTCTGGATGCCAGGAGCAAGCAGAAAGCCAGTAACCTCGCTCTGTTTGTTATAGGTGGAAGATCTTCCTATGGTTCCCTTCATTTCCTGATGGGTGTTTTGGAATGGATTAAATATTCTCCCGTTTTTTATTTTTATTTATTATTTTTTTGAGATAGAGTTTGGCTCTGTCGCCCGGGCGGGAGTGCAGTGGCGTGATACTGGCTTATATATCTCAGCTCACTGCAACCTCCACCTCCCAGATTCAAGTGATTCTCCTGCCTCCAGTCTCCCAAGTAGCTGGAATTACAGGCGTGTGCCACCATACCCAGCTAATTTTTATATTTTTAGTAGAGACAGGGTTTCATCATGTTGGCCAGGCTGGTCTTTAACTCTTGACCTCAGGTAATCTGCCCGCCTCGGCCTCCCAAAGTGCTGGGATTACAGGCATGAGCCACCGCACCCGGCCACATTTTTTTTTTTTTAAACAGCGTCTCACTGTGTCACTCAAACTGGAGTGCAGTCGTGTGATCTTGGCTCACTGCAACCTCCACCTCCCAGGTTGGAATGATTGTCATGCCTCAGCCTCCCAAGTAGCTGAGACTACAGGCGTGCACCACCACCCCTGACTAATTTTTGTATTTTTAGTAGAGACAGGGTTTCACCATGTTGGCCAGGCTGGTCTCGAACCCCTGACCTCATGTGATCTGCCCACCTCAGCCTCCCAAAGTGCTGGGATTACAGGCATGAGCCACCACGCCCAGCCTTCTCCTGTTGTTGTTGTTGTTGTTGTTTAATTGAGAGGACCAGTGTGAAGACACTGGAGAAGATGGTTCTTCAACAAAAACCGATTAACTTTATGTAAAGTAAATTATATCTCAATAAACCTGTCTTAAGAAAAATAACACACCAAAAGAAAATCACTTTTACGGGATTTCTCTTTTCACTTCTAAGATAAAGTGTTTATATACATTGTTCACCAAACTGGCTCCATCATTTGGATCAGTCAGCTTTATGCTCTTCCTTGCATGATAGGATGGACAAAGTGAGAATGGAAGTCTAAGAGATGAACTCCACACAACCCTAATTAGAGTTCATTCTTCCTAGGTGTGTGCCTCACCTCAGTCAATCATTTTATCTCACACACACATACACACTCAACACACACCCCACAGAGGCTTTGCATCCAACAGCCCCTCGTGCACTGCTGTTGGAGATGTAAATGGGTATAGGCTCTGGTGGATGGGTAATTTGTATGAAAAACACTAAAAATGCTCAAATATACTTACCCAGAATTTTTTTTTAATAGAGTCTTGCTCTGTTGCCCAAGCTGGAGTGCAGTGGTGCAATGTTGGCTCACTGCAGCCTCCACTTCCCAGGTTCAAGCAATTCTCCTGCCTCAGCCTCCCGAGTAGCTGGGACTACAGGCACACAACACCATGCTCGGCTTATTTTCTGTATTTTCAGTAAGGACGGCGTTTCACAATGTTGCCCAGGCTGGTCTCAAACTCCTGACCTCAAGTGATTCACCCGCCTCGGCCTCCCAAAGTGCTGGGATTACAGGTGTGAGCCACCATGCTTGGCCTCACCCAGAAATTTAACTTTATTTTAGGGAATTAGCAAGTGCGTAGGAAATAATAGTAAATATAGTAAAGACTGTGACTTATAATGGCAACAAAGTGCCTAAATGCACAACTCAAGCTAGACTGCCTGGTTTGGATCCAGCTCTACCACTTACTTGCTGTGTGCCCTTGAGGTAAGTTACCACACCTCTCTGTGCCAGTTTTGTTATCTGTGAAATGGAAACAATAATAGTACCTACATCCTAGGTTTGTTAAGGAGTTAAATGAGATGCTTTATGTAAAGCAATCAGCACAGTTCCTGGCCCATAGTAAGGCTTTAAGAAATATCGGCTATTGTTATGGGTTGAATTATGTCCCCTGCCCAAAAAACTCATATATTGAAGCCTTGTCCCCAGTACCTCAGAATGTGACTATATTTGAAGACAAGGTGATTAAAGAGGTAATTCAGGCTGGTCGCAGTGGCTCATGCCTGTTATCCCAGCACTTTGGGAGACCAAGGCGGGTGGATCACCTGAGGTCAGGAGTTCAAGACCAGCCTGGCCAACATGATGAAACCCATTTCTCTACTACAAAAATTAGCCAGGCGTGGTGTCGGGCACCTGTAATCCCAGCTACTTGGGAGGCTGAGGTAGGAGAATCCCTTGAACCTGGGAGGCGGAGGTTGTAGTGAGCCAAGATTGAGCCTGGGAAACAAAGTAAGACTCCATCTCAAAAAAAAAAAAAAAAAAAGGTAATTCAGTCAAAATGAGGGCATTAAAGTGGACTCAATCCAATATGACTGATGTCCTTATAAGAAGAAATTAGGACGCAGACAGGCACAGAGGGAAGACTATGTGAGGACACAGGAGAAGACAGCCATCTGTACGCCCAGGAGAGAGGCCTCGGGAGAAATGAAATCTGCTGACACCTTAATCTTGGACTTCCAGCATCCGGACTGTGAGGAAATAAATTTCTGTTAATTTAAGTCACCCCATCTGTGGTATTTTGTTATGGCAGCCCTAGCAAACCAATACAGCCATTAAATTACCAAATAGGGCAATTGATTAAACAGATTTTGGTACAATCACAATGGAATACTATATACAGCCATTCAAAACAATGCTCCTGGTACGTATTTACTGATCCATAATGAATGAATTATTATTAGAGTGAGGAAAACAGGCTACTAATATGCATAGAATAACACCTTTTCGTTTATGTGTGTGTGTGCATGTGAAATGCGGAAAGCATGATTATCTGCGAGAAAGAGGATTATTTCAGATTTCTTTTTTTATTATTCATTTTTATAGAGACAGGGTCTCACTATGTTGCCCAGGCTGGTTGCAAACTCCTAGACTGAAGTGATCCGCCTGCCTCTGCCTCCCAAAGGGCTGGGATTACAGGCGTGAGCCACCGCATCCAGCTGTGCAAGACATTTAGATTTGCCCCGAAGATTAATGACTTCACAAAGCGTTTGCCAGGAACTCTTCAAAGCTGGAAACAGAAGTCCTGGAGCATTAAATATAAATAAATACTTAGTCCATTGGTTTCTTCCTTGCTTTTCAAAAGGCAATTTACTTCCTGGATTATCATTACAGTAGTCTGTTCTCCGGAAACCAAGATTGTTCAAGTGCCACAGATCAGGGTTGGGGCAAAAGAAAAAAAAAATCTCAAGATCACCCTGTTATAATTCCCCTGTGCTTGCTGTTTCCTCGTGTTGAGCCTGTGTCTGGAAAAGCCAAGGCATAAAGCATTCTTGCTGTGCGTGTTCCCCCAAAGGCATGCGGGTTTGGGCTGCAGACCCGGATTCTTTTCTCTTTGAGATTTACTAATTCCATTTGGAGAAAAAGTTCAGTTTCATTACACTAAAAAAGAAAGCAGTTGCACCGGTCACTAAGGTGGGGATTCACATCAACAAATATTTATTGAGCTTCTAGAATTTGCCAGAAACTGTATCAATGCTAGGGAAAGGCCAGGCCCAGTGGCTCACGCCTGTAATCCCAGCACTTTGGGAGTCTGAGGTGGGACCACCACTTGAGCCCAGGAGTTTGAGACCAGCCTGGGCAACATAGCGAGATCCTGTCTCTACAAAAGAAAATATGAGCTAGGCATGGTGGTGCATGCCTGTAGTCCCAGCTACTTGGGAGGATCGCTTGAGCCCAGGAGGTCGAGGCTGCTGTGAGCCATGTTTATGCCACTGCACTCCAGCCTGGGCAACAGAGTGAGACCCTGTCAAAAAAAAAAAAAAAAAAAAGCTAGGGAGAATACCAAAATAACTTAAGACCTGGTGCCACTGTCAACAAATTTGCAATCTATTGTGCAGACAAACATGTAAACAACAATATAAGATAAAGGAAATAGCTGTCTCAGCAGTGTGGGTTTTTAACTGAGGCCACGGGATGGGCCCCTGTTCTGTGACCTGCAAATATTATAGGCAAAGTGTGCATGTGCAGGCCTGGAGCTCTGCCTGGAGGTGGGGGCACACGCATTTTTCAGTTCTCAAAGGGTGGTGGCACCCACAGGCAAGAGACTACAGAAATGGGTTGGGAGACATATTCTAATCACTTCCATTTCCCCAGCAGCATCTTGCGAGTAAAGTGAAGAATCCTGCGGCAGGAGCATAAGGGCTGGGGGCCAATGGGGCATTGTTCGATTCCATCTGAAACGGGTTCTTCCAATTCTTTTTCAGTTTCCTCACATTATCCCTTTCTACGGGAGGGCATTCCCCAGAGCATTAGGTCTCAAGCTCCCGGCAGTGTGCCTGTGTTCATGTTGAAAGACTTTGGGGGCTCTTTAAAAAGTGTTTCAGACTCCCCTGGCAACACGACTGCAGCTGGGAACAGGCTCATTTGCCTATCCTGGATTTGGTATTTCTCATGGAATTTTGACCAATAAGAAAAACATATTCCCAGAATCACAGAAGTTTGTCCGCAATTTTAAGGTGGTTTTTCTTACCCCAAAAAGTATTGTTGAAAACTCTAAGTAGACTTTAGGAAGTGATACTGGAATTACCCTAACCATTTGAGAGGTCCATTCTCCCAATCCTAAATGGCAAATGTTGGTGACAGATTCATGTTATGATCCAATTAGCTAAGACAGGAGGCAAATCACAGCCCAGGAATATTCACTGGGGGCCGTAAGTACAAAGGAAAACTCCTGATCTTCAAAGTGTTGCAAAAACTGGTCTTCCCGTCTCATTAACTCTATTTTCATTCTCCTTTCAGCTTTTCTTGGAGATTTTCCATGCTATTTCATCTACCAAGAATGCTTTTTCTCTTTTTTCAGCCAACCTGTAATCTGTGCTTCCTTCAAAATCTGACTCATAATGGTCACTCAGCAAACACCTAAATCACGCCTACCCGCCTCCTATCACTCCCCTACTTACATTCCTTGAAGGCTCACTCACTCCAAACTCACCATAGGTAGTGATTCACACATGTCATTCATTCAAAACACATTTACTTAGCACACATCATGTGCTATGCACTGAAGCAAGAAATTTTATTTAAATTCTACCCCAGTCCTGTTATGACTGTTTGACAGATGAGAAAACTGAAACTCGCAAAGGGCAGAAAAAGTGTCTATTTAATGAACTCCTAGAATTTGCCAGAAGCTGTGTCAAAGCTAGGGTAGCAAAATTGTCTAAAGTTCAGACTCTGAAACCCACCCAAATCTGGTTGTAAATGTCAGCAACTGCACAGCAATTATTAGATGCTGTGCCGGTTAAGTGCTTCATCTGTATTCCTTTAATCTTTATAAGAATCCTATGAGAGAGGTACTGTTATTATCCCCATTTTATAGACAAATAAACTAAGGAGGAGAGATTAAATGGACAAGGTCACACAGCTAATACCAGGAGAGCTGTGATTTAAACCCAGGCTGTCTGGCTTCAGAGTTTATGCTCTTAGCCACTGCTGCCTTTGAAGATACAATTTCAAAGTTCATCCTTATTCCTCTGAAGCACAGTACTAATTTTCACTCCATTTGTTGCTTGTCAGTTAATAAAGTCCTTTTAACGCATGTTTGCTTTGTCTCCCCAACAAAATCACAAGTTTGTTCATTGATTCATTCCTTTAACAAGCAATATTAAAAGTCCACAGTTGTCCGGAGCTTCGGGAGCGGGTGTGGGGTGTGGGGGTCACGTGCTGTGCCAACTATTTCCTTAAGGTTTATACCACTCCTCTACATGCTAGGACCTCCCACAAAACTCAGCAGAGTTTGAGCAACAGCAGGCCCTTAGAAAATGTTGTAACTGGGACAGGCATGGTGGCTCACGCCTATAATCCCAGCACTTTGGGAGGCTGAGGTGGGAGGATCATCTGAGGTCAGGAGTTTGAGACCAGCCTGACCAACACGGTGAAACCTCGTCTCTACAAAAATACAAAAATTAGCCAGGCATGATGATGGGTGCCTGTAATCCCAGCTACTGGGGAGGCTGAGGTGGGGGAATCGCTTGAACTCAGGAGGCAGAGGTTGCAGTGAGCCGAGATCGTGCCATTGCACTCCAGCCTGGGCAACAGAGAGAGACTCTGTCTCAAAAATAAATAAATAAATAAATAAATAAATGAATAAATAAATAATGCATTTGCTATTCCAAGACCAAAGAGAGTCTAATCCAGCTCCCCTTGGAGAAATTACATTTTTTTCTTGATGGATTTCTGCTACTAAGCCATAATTTTCATTTTGTCTCTCTAGGGAAAAAAACAAAAGGTCTCCATATTTTGAACCATATTAGTCCAAGCTTCCATGCCAGAACTAGAACTTCCACAGTTGGACAACGGTACTCATGCAGCCTCATCTTCTAGAACCCCTCAGTATGGACCATGAGGTTGTTCATTCATTCAACAAATATTTACAGGGTTCTCCCCACTGTGCCAGGCACAGTTCCAGGCACTAGAGATACAGCAGTGATCAAAACAGATAAAGTCCTTGCCCTCATGGAGCTTCTATTCTAGTTGCGGGAGACAGACAATAATCACATAAATACTGCAATATGTAAGAAGGTGATGAACGCTGTGAAGATCAAGCAGAGAGAAGGTAGTGGAGTTGCTGGTTTAGGTAGGGAAATCAGGGCTCCCCATGAGAAGGAAACACTTGAGCAGAAATCCAAAAAGCATGTGGGAGTCAGACCTGTGCAAATCTTTGGGAAGAACATTCAGGCACCAGCAATAGTTTCAAAGGCCCCGAGGCAGGAGGGTGCCTGGCCTGCTGAGGGGGATGTAGGAAGAAGTGCAGCTGGCACGGTGCAGGCTTGGGGAGGGCGGTAGGAGACAAGATCTGACACGGGCCCTGTGGAGCCTACAGGCCACTGAAAGGTCTTGGAGTTGACTTTGAGCGAGATGAGAAGCATTTAGAGGGGTCAAAGCAGAGGGTAGCTTGCCATGACAGGCTATAAACTGGCCTTCAGCTGGTCTCTTCTTCCCAGCTCCAGAGATCTAGAGAATTCCTCTTTTTTACCCATCCAGATGGAGGTCATCCTTTTTTCCTTCGTAGTTCATGCCAATCTTTCCCTTTTCTGAGCTCCTAGTGATGAACAGTTCAGTCAATGGTCATTTCCCTTCTGAAATCCCCTAATGATCATGAACTCCTTGCGGGCAGGAACCCATCTTGTCATCTCTGGCCATTCAGTAGACGATCCCTCCCACATAGTGCCCAGAGGTTGTCAGCCACTGCCCGCAATAGGACTGCAATGGTCCTGTTGAAAAGTTCTTCTGTTATTGCCCTGAAAGCCACATCCTTACAACTCTCACACTTCATCCTAGTTTTGGCCTCAGAGCTACACAGGTGTGTCTGTGTCCTCTTCCACATGGCAGCACCTGGAAGCTGCTGTCATATCCTTCTTTCATGTATGCACTCTTCCTAGCTCCCTCAGTAAGTGGATAACTTCCACACAAGGCCCCAGGCTAGACCTGTCTCCCAGGCCCCAGAAGACAGCTTCACTGGGATCCCAGCCACTCCTCGCCACCATCACACCCAAAGTCAGGCTCACCCACCTCTTCCTCCCCAGCTTCTTTATTTTGGTAAAAGGCTTCATCTAGTCACCCCTGGGGGCATCCGCATCAGCTCCACACTCCCGTCCTTCCACTCCCCACGTATCCTCTGTCCACCCCCTTCTCTCGGCTCTCACTGCTGCTGACTTGGAGGAGGCCTTCCCCAAGTCTCCTCTCCGAGGTCCAACATGATCTCCGTACCTGGTATCTTGCAGCCGCCAAGTTAATCCTCACCTCTGCTCCTTGGGTGATATCTCTAGCAGGAAAATCTGTTATTATTATCCTGCTTAAAGCCCTTCAGTGGCTCCCCATTGCCTTCAGAATAAAGTCCTGACTTCCTAGTTTGGGAAAAAAATGTCTTGAAGACCCCCAAACTCCGATTATTTAGAATTAGGAATCAGCATCTCAACAGAGTAAAACACAGGTGAAACTAAAGAAAGGAAACTATTGGGGGGAAAACACAAACATCCTGCCCTGAGGTTGAAAAATACATGCTTACGTAGAACAGAATAAGGATCAGTTGGTTTAATAGCTATTCCTAATAGCTATTTTGGGAAAAACTCACAAACACCCTACACTGAGGTTGAAAAGTACAAGCTTATGTAGAACAGAATAAGGATCAGTTGGTTTAACAGCTATTCCTGAAAAAACAAGCAACCCACTTACCCTAGGGGTTTCTGACAACTGTAAACTCACTATGTGACAACAGGGTGACATTACCATCCACACAAATAGCAACTGCCTCCTCCATCCTACTGTGTAGGTGAGATGTTGGCATCCTGGAGTTTTCTTTTTTTTTTTTTTTTTTTTTTGAGATGGAGTCTCACTCTGTCGCCCGGGCTGGAGTGCAGTGGCGTGATCTCGGCTCACTGCAAGCTCCGCCTCTCGGGTTCACGCCATTCTCCTGCCTCAGCCTCTCTAGTAGCTGGGACTACAGGTGCCCGCCACCATGCCCAGCTAATTTTTTGTATTTTTTAGTAGAGATGGGGTTTCACCATGTTAGCCAGGATGGTCTCCATCTCCTGACCTCGTCATCTGCCCGGCTCGGCCTCCCAAAGTGCTGGGATTATAGACGTGAGCCACTGCACCCGGCCGGCATCCTGGAGTTTTCTCAGAGGAGGGTAGTCAAGAGAGTGAGGGTCTGAAAATCTAGCCAAGTAGAGGACTTTTTTTTTTTTTGAGACGGAGTCTCGCTCTGTAGCCCAGGCTGGAGTGCAGTGACTCAGTCTCTGCTCACTGCAACCTCCACCTCCTGGGTTCAAGCGATTCTCCTGCCTCAGCCTCCTGAGTAGCTGGGATTACAGGCTCCCGCCACCACACCTGGCTAATTTTTGTATTTTTAGTAGAGGCGGGGTTTCACCATGTTGGCCAGGCTGGTCTCAATCTCCTGACGTCAGATGATCCGCCCACCTTAGCCTCCCAAAGTGCTGGGATTACAGGCGTGAGCCACTGCGCCCAGCAAGAACTTCTAATTCATTCGAATTCTGTTCAATCCAACTGAAATGTATCACTGGACATCCATGCCACAATCTACATCACAGACATATATCACGACACCTGGAGAACTTCAAGCTCATCCCCTGTCCTGAGACTCTAGACTCCCTATACACTGCAGTAGGTACTCAATATGTAAGTGATAAATATAATTTGTATATAAATGAGACTATATGAATGATAGTCTCATGGAGATACACATAGAACTCTGTCCACCAATTGTACTAGTTTTACCTTTCAGCAAAACGGAAAAATGTGCCTTCCATATTTTTACCCAAGTTGTTTATTAAGGTATTGAAAGATGTAGGGCTATAGGTACACTGACTCAGGTGCTCCAAGAAGTAGGTACAAGGATATTCATGGGGTCAACATTGAACATAGCAAAATATCATATGTACCTGTTGGTCAATAGAGGCCTGATATGCCCAGGTTATAGAATGTCATGCAGTCTTTTATTTTTATTTTTATTTTTGAGACAGAGTCTCACTCTGTTGCCCAGGCTGGAATGCAATGGTGTCATCTCGGCTCACTGCAACCTCTGCCTCCCGGGTTCATGTGATTCTCGTGCCTCAGCCTCCCAAGTAGCTGGGATTACAGGTGTGTGCCTCCACGTCTGGCTAATTTTTGCGTTTTCAGTAGAGACAAAAATACACCATTTTGGCCAGGCTGGTCTTGAACTCCTGGTCTCAAGTGATTTACCCACCTCAGCTTCTCAAAGTGCTGGAATTACAGGCATGAGCCACAGCATCCAACTTATGCAGTCAATTTTTTAAAAGAATGAGGCAAATCTCTAGGTACTAATTTAAAACGATCTCCAAGATGTATCACTAGATTGAAAAGTAGAAAACTCATAACAGCATTTATAATACTTTCATTTGTGTTTTTTAAAGTATCCTGAAGGAATTTAAATATCAGCCTTTCCCCTACTTTTACTTTTTGTTTTGGTTTCTTGCTGTGGCCTTGGTGGTTACATTAATATGGTGGGTCTGTTTAGGAATAATTGGTCAAACAAACATTACCTGAGCACCCACTATCTGCCAAGCAGGGGCTGGAATCTAATATGTTATTTCCTTTAGTCCTTTGACATAGTGGTTACTGTTCTTATTTCACCGTTGAAGAAATTGAGACTCACTGGATTTCAGTGCTCAGGATCACACAACAACTAGATTTTACCTGACCCAGTGGCAACATGCTCTTTCCCTTCCAGCCCAGCACCTCTGTCGAGGGCAGGGTTTGCCTGTACATTCCTCTGCTTCTCCTCCTGGTACACGGACGATGCAGGGGCTTCACAGAGGCCACATGATCTTCCAGACACTCTGGCTTCCTGGCTTTGGGAAGCCTGGCCATCTCATCCCCTCTCCCCTGCAGAGGTGTGGAATGACAAGGTATTGTCACAGCCCTGTCAGAGAGCATGAGCTGGCAGGCCTGTCTCTCACCTGCCCAGGAAACAGACCCTTGCAGACACTCACAGTCTGCCTGCCCAGGTGGGGGACGGGGGCCAGATTAGTCCCATAGCCTCTCCACCGGCCGCTGCTTTTCCTCTTAGGAGCTACAGGGAGGAGAGAAGCACAGCCCATCAGGACAGCTGCAGTATCAAAGCGAGCTCTGTTATGTCTAAGACAGAAGGCCAGTAAAAATTTAGTTAATTTTATCATTTTGGGTAATTCAACAGTTTTAATGAAAAGAGGGGACCTTGGAGCGGATGGCGTCACAGATAAGGGAGTGTGGAAAGCGGCAGCAGATGGGTGACCTTGTTCTGCTTATTAACTCCTTTCCTTCCCAGCTGCCCTTCCATGCCCCCTCCCTGATTTCATTTTCTAGTCCAAGGTTTTAACAGTAGGAGGGGAAGGAATAATTAGCACAGCCAAACCTTGGGAAAATGCTGCTTCAGGGCAATCCACATGTGCCCAGTGGAGCCGCGGCCTTCAAGCAGGGCCCGGCTGGACGCTTCCCAAAGCCAGGCCTGCATCCACGTGGGGAAGAAGGCAGCCAGCCGCGCACCCACAGGGACAGGAGGCTAAGGCCATCTGCAGGGCCAGCCTGGTTGTCTGGGCTGAGGCACTCCAGGAGGTATTGATCCAGGTGGCTCAGGAAGTAGGAGAACATTGCTAATTCTCACCCACGCTAATTCAATCTCATTCAACAAACACTGATTGACTGCTTGTTCTGGATCAAACCCTATACTAGGAGCTGGGGGATTTGAAGAGGAGTTAGATGTGTCCCACTAAATAACTAACTTGTGATTGTTTTAGTAGACAGAGCCCAATGGGTAACCTACCCAAGGACCAGGAAGAAGCTACTGGAATAGACTAAGAGAAAGAAATGGGGTTGGGCGCCATGGCTAACACCTACCAGCACCTTGGGAGGCCAGTGTGGGCAGATGGTTTGAGCCCAAGAATTCGAGACCAGCTTGGACAACATGGCGAAACCCCATCTCTACAAAAAAAAAAAAAATACAAAAATTAGCCAGATGTGGTGGCTTGTGCCTGTAGTCCCAGCTAGTGGGAAGGCTTAGGTGGGAGAATCTTTGGAGCCCAGGAGGTGGAGGTTGGAGTGAACTGAGACCACGCCGCTGCACTCCAGGCTGGGTGACAGAGAGATACCTTGTCTGAAAAAAAAAAAAAAAAACAAAAACACACACAGAAATGGGCCCAAGATCCCAAACCATAGGGACCATTTGGCCCTCAGAAGCCCAAGATCTACTCAGAAACATGGGAGTCACAGCCACGGGAGAATGTCAAGAGGCCATGGAGAGTCCAAGGCAGTTCCACGTGGTAAAGATTCTATTCCATTGTTCCCCAGGGCCATTTGTATTTCTCGTACTATCTATCCTGATTTTTGGTTTGAAAATATATCTTCCTGAATTGGACGTCATGTGACTGTGTGTGTGTGTGTGTGTGTGTGGTTAATATGCTTGAAAATCTCCCGCCTTTAACCAGTCCTGTCTCTGACCTACCCCTTGAGAGGTTTATCCACCACACTTCCCACTAATTCCATCCATCTAGTTGGAAACCTACTGTGGATGTGTAAAGTTGTGAGGGTTCTATACCTGACATATTTAAAAAATGAAACAACCTCATTGGCTTATATGTAAGGGGATTATGAAGTACATTAAGTGTTTTGTTTTGTTGTGTTGTGTTGTGTTGTGTTGTGTTTCAGCCAGGAGCTCATGCCTGTAATCCCAACACTTTGGAAGGCTGAAGCGGGCAGATCACTTGAGGCCAGGAGTTTGAGACCAGCCTGGGCAACATAGTAAGACCTGCCCACCCATCTCTACAAAAAAATATATATATATATATATATATGAAAATACATAAAAATATATATTAATATATAGGAAAATATATTAAAATATATATTAAAATATATATATATATTAGCCAGGCATGGTGACATGTGCCTGTAGTCTCAGCTACTTGGCAGGCTGACGTGGGAGGATCGCTTGAGCCAGGGAATTCAAGGCTGTAGTGAGCTATGACCACACTCCTACACTCCAGCTGGGGCAACAGAGCAAGACCCAGTCTCATTTAAAAAGAAAAAAAGTATATTCTTTCAAAAATAATCATATCCCTCCATAAATGATTTTTCAAGTCATCATTAGGATAAATCCCTGGAAATTTTCAAATAAGGGAGTTCTTTTTGTTTTTTTTGGTTTTTGGTTTTTTTTCAAGAACAACAGTTCTCTGAAACAGAGCAAGACCCTGTGTTTAAAAAAATACAAAAAACTCCCTGATTTGTTATCCTTTTAAATATTAATACATGTCCAGGGCTGGGTGCAGTGCTCACAATAGTCATCCCAGAGCTATAGGAGGGAAGGCTGAGACAGAAGGATTGCTTGAGGCCAGGAGATAGACACCAGCCTGGGCAACACAGTGAGACCCTGCCTCTACAAAGTTTTTTTTTTTAATTTAAATAAATTGGCCGGGCATGGTGTCTCACACCTGTAATCCCAGCACTTTGGGAGGCCAAGGTGGATGGATCTCGAGGTCAGGAGATCGAGACTATCCTGGCTAACATGGTGAAACCCCATCTCTACTAAAAATACAAAAAAATTAGCTGGGCATGATGGTGGGCGCCTGTAGTCCCAGGTACTCGGGAGGCTGAGGCAGGAGGATGGTGTGAACCCAGGAGGCAGAGCTTGCAGTGAGCCAAGATCGCACCACTGCACTCCAGCCTGGGGGACAGAGTGAGACTCTGTCTCAAAAATAAATAAATAAATAATAAATAAATAAATAAATAAATAAATAAATTGCTACTTATTAAGCAGGTTCCATGTATCTGGCATGGTGCCAAGCACTTCATAAATATTTCTTCATTTAATCTTCTTAAAGTCCCTATAAAGTAGTACTTTATCTAAATTTACAGACAGGGACACAGAGATTTAGAGAGATCAATTAACTTGCCCTCGTTCACACAGCTGGAGGCATGAGGGAACGTTATGCTATCCAAATTCAGAGCTCACGCTGAACCATACTGCTGTACTGGCTCCTGTTGTAGCCTGGCAGGGTGTCGCTCTGTTGCCCAGGCTGGAGTGCAGTGGCGCGATCTCAGCTCACTGCAAACTCCGCCTCCTGGGTTCAAGCTATTCTCCTGCCTCAGCCTCCCAAGTAGCTGGGATTACAGGTGCCCACCACTACACTTGGCTAATTTTTGTATTTTTAGTAGAGATGGGGTTTCACCATGTTGGCCAGGCTAGTCTCGAACTCCTGACCTCAGGTGATCTGCCTGCCTCAGCCTCCCAAAGTGCTGGGATTACAGGCGTGAGCCACCGCGTCCAGCCAGTTACAAATATGTCTAAACTAAGAGTTCCTAGGCTCCAGGTCAGGGTCTGTGACGCTCTCCAACTAGGAAGGCTTCTAGGCCTTACTGGGTGTCCTTTCTTTGCTGACTTCCTTGTCCTCAAGAAGAGTTCAGACAGCTAAGACGGCCGAGAAAATGAAGCTGGCTCACTGAGGTGGCTTTGGCCCCTGGAATAGTACCTTACTCTTGTATAGCACCTATCCTAGAATTTGTTCAGAAACACACACCTAAAGCACCTTCTTTATCCTTACATCTCTGTGATACACTCTTGTTCGTCATTTTATAAAAGCGTTACATTATTATAAGAGCTTTACAACTTTAAAAATGAGGCTAGAGACCCCAAACGCCAAGATGAGAATCCACAGGAATCATGGCACTCGTGACGACCCCAACACTTCTTTGACCCACTTTCCCAAACTGTAGAGACCACTTGGCCCTTGGAAGCCCAAGAGCTGCTCAGATAGCTTTAGGCAAATATTTGCTCTCCTTTTCTTTTTCCCTTTTTTCCATTCCTTCCACATGGTTTGTTGACAATGTGGGAGGACTGATGCCAGGCACCCAAGGCAACTCCTTTCCTTCCATGGCTTCTATTCCCGTATATTCAGGAGGGAATACAGGCCAGGCAAAGGAGAGGATTTCACATCTTTGTCTTCTCAGCAAATGGCAGCTCCATTCTTGCAGTTGCTCAAGCCAAAGTCCTTGGAGTCATCCCCGACTTCTTTCCCTTTTTCTTTCACATGCCACATCCCATTCATCAGAAAAGCCTGTCAACTCTACTCCCTAAAATATACCCCAGATCGAGGCTGCAGTGAGCCATGATCGCACCACTGCACTTCAGCCTGGCTGACTGAGCAAGACTCTGTCATATACATATATACACACACCCAGAAACTGACCCCTTCTCACCACCACTGCCATGGGAATTGCCTGGTCCGTGCCACCATCCCCCTCCTACATTAGGGCAATGGTCTTCCCACTTCCACCCCTCTCCCCCTCACTCTGTTCTCCAACAACAGCCAGAGTAGTTCTTTTAAAAGTCAAATCAGGCCAGGCGCGGTGGCTCACGCCTGTAATCCCAGCACTTTGGGAGGCCAAGGCAGGCGGATCACTTGAGCCCAGGACTTCGAGACCAGCCTGGGCAACAAGGCAAAACCTCATCCCTACAAAAAATACAAAAACTAGTCAAGCATGGTGGTGCACGCCTGCAGTCCCAGCTACTTGGGAGGCTGAGATGGGAGGATCACCTGAGCCCGGGAGTTCGAGGCTGCAGTGAGCCATGATCACACCACTGCACTCCTGGACAATAGAGAGAGACCCTGTCTCCCTTGGAAAAAAAAAAAAAAAGAAAAGAAAAAAAAAAGAAAAGAAAAGAAAAAAAAGAAAGAAAAAGAAAAAAGTTAATTCAAGACAGACAGTGTACTCCTCTGCTCAAAACCTCCCCACGTCCCCCTGTTCACACAAAACAAGAGCCAAAGTCCTCTCAAAGGACTGCACCGCCTCCCACCCACTCCGTCAACCTCCTCTAAGGCATCCACTGGTGACAATTGTGTATGTATCTTTCCAGAGTTCAGTTTTGATTTTTGTTTTTTTATTCTCAAGCTTTTTCCCTGCAAATGAGACCTGGGATGCCGTGCAAAGCTGCCTGGCAGTCCTCGGAAGCCTTGGTAGTGCCTGTCTTTCCTCATGCACCAGCAAGGGGGTCTGGCGCTTGGCCTTCCCAGGCCACCTGGATGGCTCCCACCTGAGCGCTGGACTCCTCCCTCTATCCAGCAGGTGTGTCCGGCAGCCGCTGGGGCCCACCCTTCCCCCAAGGGCCACAGCAAACATTGGTGGCGACAGTAAGGACACATTTTCCTTTTCTATTTGCTGTAGATGGCAGAATGCCCAGGACCAGCCCAGTGCTAGCATTTTGGGGAGAAATTCCAGCCTGAAGAGACACCTAGAGAAAAAAGGAGACACAGAAATCTCTGTGGGTTTCAACAGTTATGCTTAGCAGCAGGCTGAAAACAGGCAGGTTAACAGAAGTGTTGGAGGGCTACCTCAGGCCAAGTCAGAACCAAGTTAGAAAATGTCGGCCCAGGCCGGGTGCAGTGGCTCACACCTGTAATCCTAGCACTTTGGGAGGCCGAGGCAGGTGAATCACTTGAGGTCAGGAGTTCGAGACCAGCCTGGTCAACGTAGTGAAACCCCGTCTCTACTAAAAATATAAAAATTAGCCAGTCATGGTGGCACACACCTGTAATCTCAGCTACTCAGGAGGCTGAGGCAGGAGAATCGCTTGAATCCAGGAGGTAGGGGTTGCAGTAAGCCGAGATTGCGCCACTGCACTCCAGCCTGGGTGACAAAGCAAGACTCTGTATCAAACAAAAAGAAAAACAGAAAAGAAAACATCTGCCTTAACCAGACAGAGCCGGGCATCTGGTGCTGGCTCCTTTACATGTCAACTCCCTCCTGCTCCAGTTGCCCCCACCAAGGGCCACCACGTGGGTGCCCAGGCAGCTTTCCACCTGCCAAGGCCAAGTCTCTTCCCCGGCCTCAGCTCATTGCAGTGTCCAGGGTCAGGGAGGGGTTAGCCAGCCATCAGACCAGGTCTCCAAATTTGTATCTCAGCCCCGTCATGCCACACCTTGCACACAGTAGGCACCTCATAAGTGACTGCTTGCAGAAGGAGTAAGTTAAATAGAGCCAACCCTGCAGAGCCCCTGGCCTCCTGCCTCCCTGCTCTGACCCTCTTTTCCTTTGATTGGGAACCCAGGAGACCCGCCCTGTCTGTTTTCTCTAGTCCCATTCCTCTGGCTATGCAAACGGCCACTTCCCCTGCTTGCTTTCCTGTCCTCTTGGAGGGACAAAGAGGCCCAGCTCCCAGAAACACCATGCCCTGGAGTCAGGAGAATTCCTGGAATGGGCAGGGACGTTGCCTGAAAAGGAGAAAGGAGAACTCTAGGTGAAGGCAGAGAGGAGCAAGGGACAGATCAAAGCGAGCCTGGACAGGGTCAGGCATAAGGAGGGCCAGCAGGGAGATAAATGAGGCCCCCGAGGGGTCAGCCGAGGGACAGGGGCCTGCAGAGGCAGTGGCAGCACAGGCACATGCTGGATGGACGTTCGTCACAGGGAGACAATAGATGCAAAAGATAAGAGAAGGTGTAAATTAATGGAGAAAACATCTGGCCAGAGATAAAGGTATCTCCTTGTAATTAAAAACGTATAGCCTTGCCATAGATTGGTGGTGTCCAAGGTTGGTGGTGGCCCAGACTGTCCTGTGTCTGAGTATGGGTAGAGAGGAAGGCGCAGGAGGGGCAGAGATAGAGCCAGTTAATCATTAGCTCCCAGCGAGGAGGTTTAGGAGCTGACTCCTCTCAGTCCCAGGCAGGAGAAGTGCCCGAGCCAAAGTTACAGCGATGGGCTAAGTGACCTACCCAGCTCAAGAAGAGCCAGTGGTGACCTCAGGCCTGTCACAGACATCCTCACTTCTTAGGCCTGGCCAGCATAGGCCCTTTTCACATTTTCAAGTTTTTATTGTTTGCTTGGTGTTAGCATGATGGTTGTTTTGGTTCTAGGGCCGGGAGCAGTGGCTCACACCTGTAATCCCAACAATTTGGGAGACCAAGGCGGGTGGACGGCTTGGGGTCAGGAGTTCGAGACCAGCCTGGCCAACATGATGAAGCCCTGTCTCTAATAAGTGGTAGTGCGCAACTCTAGTCCCAGCTACTCAGGAGGCTGAGGCAGGAGAATTGCTTGAACCCAGGAGGTGGAGGTTCCAGTGAGCCGAGATCGTGCCACTGTACTCCAGCCTGGGTGACAGAGCGAAACTCCATAAAAAAAAACGAAGGTTCTAAAATCCTAAACTCTTTCTCAAACGCTGCTTGTACCTGAACTACACCTTACTGGTTCTGCATCCAAAAAGTATGCTGGATGGCAATGCCCAACAAAGGGCATCTGCCTACATTCAGAGCCAGCTTAATAGCACGGTGGTAAAAACAGCAGATTCTAGGGCCAGGCCACCTGGGGGCTGTCCTGCCTTGTCGCCTTGCTACCCGTGTGACTTAGGGCAAGATACTTGGCCTCTCATAGCGTGGCTGTGGGTGCCCGGCTCATAATAAGAGCTCAGCAAGTGTTAGCTATAATTGTTATTATTAATTATCATCTTCATTTTAACTATTGTCACTTTTTTTTCCCACAACCTGGGAGAAATGGCCTGAAACAAGTGTAGGCCTCTTTTCAAAAATCCCACTTCCTGTCTAAGAACTTCAGAGAGCCGCCACCCCCTCAGCACAGATGCATGTGGATGCTACGCTAGGACAGCCGTCTCAGAGTACAGTGTAAAGAAACCAATATCTCAGATGTTAGTTGCAGGGGTCTGGGGAGATGATTACAGGTTCACATGCATGCTGTCTATAAATTCCTCTGTTCCTCTCCCTCACTCCTCACATCCAGTCCATCCCAAATCCTGCTTGGTCTACCTCCAAAATAAATCCTTGCCAGCTGCGGTGGCTCACGCCTATAATCCCAGTACTTTGAGAGGCTGAGGCCAGCACTTTGGGAGGATCACTTGAGATCAGGAGTTCAAGAGCAGCCTGGGCAACATAGTGAGACCCCATCTTTACAAATAAAAATAAATTAATAAAATTAAAAATTAAAAAAATAAAGTACAAAATAAATCCCGACTGCATCCATTTCTCCCCATCTTCACTGCTTCACCCCTGCTCAGTCAGAGCTACCATCATCTCCCACCTGAACTGCTGCAAGATCCCCCCTGTTTCCCTGACTTCAACTCTTACCTGCACCCCGCAATGTGCTTTGCATGCCTCATGTGCAGGGATACTTTTAAAACTATGACTATAGAAGCAATGTCACTCCCCCACTTAACCACCCTACCCACCACCCCACCACCACTGCCAGTGGCTTTCCATTGCACTTCAGATAAAAGCTCAAGTTCTCAGCGGCCTTAAAAGCCCCTGTGTAGCTGAGCCCCTGCCCACCTCTCCACAGGCTCGTCGGAGCCACACTCTTCCCTGTCAACTACACTCCAGCCTCACTGGCTTCCTCTCTGTTCTTCAAACATGCTTTCTTCCTCTTTCAAAGGGCCAACTCCTTTTCAAGTCTGAAGGTCAATGGTATTTCTTCAGAGAGGCCCTCCCTGGCTGTCCTATCTAAATACTTCCCCAACCCACCCCCTTTGCTCTCTTGCACAGCATCAAGTTCATTGGTTTCATAGTGTTGGTTTCTGTAATGAGATATTGATTTGTTTGTTAGTTTGTTTGGTTTCTTTTGTCTCCACTACCATGCTTCACCAATGTGAAGACAGAGGCCTTACACAAACAATGAAGAACTGAGGGGTATGAGTAATTTGATCACTAGGATTTGAGATCTGGGAGGAAGGAAGAGGCAGGAAGGAGGCAGGGGGAGAAATTCAAAGATTTTTTTTTTTTTTTAGATGGAGTCTTGCTCTGTCACCCAGGCTGGAGTGCAGTGGCACAATTTCAGATCCACTGCAACCTCCACCTCCTGGGTTCAAATGATTCTTCTGCCTCAGCCTCCCCAGTAGCTGGGATTACAGATGCATGCCCCCACACCCAGCTAATTTTTTTTTGCATTTTTAGAAGAGATGGGGTTTCATCATGTTGGCCAGATTGGTCTCGAACTCCTGACCTCAGGTGACCTCGGCCTTTCAAAGTGTTGAGAGTACAGGCTTGAGCCACCACAGCCAGCTGAAATCCATACTTTTTTTTTATTTTTTTATTTTTTGAGACAGAGTCTCGCTCTGTTGCCAGGCTGGAGCACAGTGGCGCGATCCAGTTTTAAAGAATTGGATTCCAGCGGGGCGCGGTGACTCACGCCTGTAATCCCAGCACTTTGGGAGGCCGAGACGGGTGGATCACAAGGTCAGGAATTCAAGACCAGCTTGGACAATATGGCGAAACCCCATCTCTACTAAAAAATACAAAAATTAACTGGGCATGGTGGCATGCGCCTATAGTCTCAGCTACTTGGGAGGCTGAGGCAGGAGAATCGCTAGAACCCAGGAGGCAGATGTTGCAGAACCCAGGAGGCAGATGTTGCAGTGAGCCAAGATCATGCCACTGCACTCCAGCCTGGGCGACAGAGCGAGATTCTGTCAAAAAAAAAAAAAAAAGAAAAGAAAAGAATTGGATTCCAAGGTGGCAGAGTAAAGACATTTCCATTTGCTGCTCTTCTCAAAATATAAATAAGTAAAATTCCAAAACAATGAAAACAAGAAATTAACACAAAATTAGAAATTCAATGAAACTAAAATATCTGAAACCCCTTCCCCAAATGTAGGAAGAACTAAAACTGATGGAGAAATGATAACTGATTCAAAACAAAGGAGGAAGGTCAGCCTAACTATTAGTAAGGTATGAAAATAGGATCAGACACAGTCCATTTATTTTGCAAAATTCCTGAAATGCTCAAGTACAGGCAGCAATTAATACAGAAGATAAGTGTAAGAGCCGGGTGTGGTAGCTCACGTCTGTAATCCCAGCACTTTGGGAGGCCAAGGCAAGTGGATTGCCTGAGGTCAGGAGTTTGAGACCAGCCTGGCCAACATGGTGAAACCCTGTCTCTGCCTAAAATACAAAAATTAGCTGGGCGTGGTGGCAGGCGCCTGTAATCTCAGCTACTTGGGAGGCTGAAGCAGAAGAATTGCTTGAACCTGGGAGGTTGCAGTGAGCCAAGATCACGACATTGCACTCCAGCCTGGGCAACGAGGGAAACTCTGTCTCAAAAAAAAAAAAAAAAAAAGATAGGTGTAAGAGAGTAGTGCTATGTTTGGAAGGTTATGTAAGAAATAGCCAAGTTCCAACCTCTACGCTGCAGTCAGGCAAACCATCACCATACCTCTACCTGATCACTCTTTGTGATGAAACTAGAGATTCCTTTTCTGGAGAAACCAAACAAAAGAAGCTCTATCCAGGAAGTTCTACTTCCAAATACAAGGAAGTCCAGAAATAGTTAAAAAAGAAAATGGAAAGGAGGAAATTATCAAAGAAATAATACAAGAAAATTTGAAGGACATGAGTCTCTGGATTAAAAAATCCAGTGCCAGCGGGGTGCGGTGGCTCACGCCTGTAATCCCAGCACTTCGGGAGGCCAAGGTGGGCAGATCATGAGGTCAAGAGATCGAGACCTTCCTGGCCAGTGTGGTGAAAGCCCATCTCTGCTAAAAATACACACAAAAAAATTAGCTAGGCGTGGTTATGCGCGCCTGTAGTCCCAGCTACTCAGAAAGCTGAGACAGGAGAATCGCTTGAACCCAGGAGGCGGAGGTTGCAGTGAGCCGAGATCACGCCACCACACTCCCACCTGGCGACAGAGTGAGACTCCAAAAAAAAAAGAACAAAGGAATGAAGAAAGGCAGAAAGGCCTGGTGTGGTGGCTCACACCTGTAATCCCAGCACTTTGGGAGGCCAGGGCAGGAGGATCACTTGAGGTCAGGAGTTCAAGACTGGCCTGAGCACCAGAGATAGACCCCCGTCTCTACTTTTTTTTTTTTTTTTTTTTTTGAGACAGAGTCTTGCTCTGTTGCCCAGGCTGGAGTGCAGTGGCACAATGCTGGCTTACTGCAACCTCTGCCTCTCGGGTTCAAGCAATTCTCCTGCCTCAGCTTCTCAAGTAGCTGGGACTACAGTTGCCCACCACCACACCCAGCTAATTTTTGTGTTTTTAGTAGAGACAGGGTTTCACCATGTTGGCCGGGCTGGTCTCAAACTCCTGACTTTGTGATCTGCCCACCTCAGCCAAAGTGCTGGGATTACAGGCGTGGGCCACTGCACCTGGCCCCCATCACTACTTTTTAAAAATAAATTAAAAAACAAAAGAAGAAGAAAAAAGAATGAAGAAGGACCCACAGCAGGACACATTATCATCAAATTTCACTAATAAATGAAAAAAAGATTCTAAAAACTTCCAAAGAGAAAATATAGGTAATATTTAAGGAATCATTTGAGACTGGAATCAACATTTTTAATAGCATCATTGGATGCTGGAGTATAGTGAAGTAATAACCTCACAATTCTGAGTATATTTTCTACCTAGAATTTTATATGTAGCCAACCACTAATCAAGTGTAAGAGTAAAATAAAGACATATTTTAGATGTTTAAGGAGACTAAAAAACAAATGTACTTCCCATGCACCCTTTCTTGGGAAGGTACTGGAGTGTATGTTCCACAAAACTGAAGAAGTACATCAAAATAAAGTGAAACATGGAGCCAACAAGCAGGGAATCCAGCAGAGAAGAGGAGGAAGGAAAGTCTCAGGATGAGAGTCATGAGGAGCTCCAGGACATCAGCTGTAAAACCACAGGCCAACTGAGTAATCATTGCAGATGGAAACAGAAAGTCAAAGGCTCTAATAGAAAATATTATCAAGAGACACACTTAGAAGAGAGGGAATGAGGTTCCTATATATGAAACGAAGTGAGAAAAAAAAAAGTGAATGAGTGAGAGAAAACTTAGGCTTCTTTTTTTGTTGTTTTTTGAGACCGAGTTTCACTCTTGTTGCCCAGGCTGGAGTGCAATGGCACGATCTTGGCTCATCAAAACCTCTGCCTCCTGAGTTCAAGTGATTCTCCTGCCTCAGTCTCCTGTGTAGCTGGGATTACAGGCATGCACCACCATGCCCGGCTAATTTTGTATTTTTAGTAGAGGCAGGGTTTCCCCATTTTGGTCAGGTTGGTCTTGAACTTCCGACCTCAGGTGATCTGCCCACCTCGGCCTCCCAAAGTGCTGGGATTACAGGTGTGAGCCACTGTGCCCAGCCAACTTAGGCATTTTTTAAGAATTAGGCAGATAGAATACACCAGCCGGATATTAACTCCAGGAAAAAAAAAATTTGGACAGGAAAGGCAACATGATCAGAGTGCTCAATTTGGCTTAGCAGGGGACAGGGTTTACAAATCCATAAAAACAAAAATCTGAAAATGAATATTATCAGAATAGGAATGTAATTATATTATGAGAATAAAGAGAGGGAAAAAGGAGTTTAAATGAGCTATTATTCCATAAGAAGCCAATAGTTAATGTTTAAAATTGATGAATTAATGATATTCATATTACTTAGAAATATGAATGTAAAAAACAGACTTCCATTTCTGTCACACAGAATAAAAAATTTTAGACTTATTCTATAGTCTTATAAAACTATAAAAATAAACAAAATATATGATGTAACTCTTTCTAGGCATCAGACAAACAATATCACAAGGATGTGGTCCTTGAGAGAAGGGAAATACACAAGGCAAGCTCCACATTCATCCCAGTTTTCTGCCTGGGAATACTTCCCAACCCAAGGCCAAGGGAAGTGGAGCCAAATAGAAAGCAACCATCTTTCTGGGTGAAGGAAACAGATTGGAGAACAGGGCTGTTGAGGCAGCAACTAGGACTTGCTTGGAAGGATAACAGAGAGGAAGCCACTGTGCAGAGGAGAAGCTCCATAAATCTGCATAGGCATCTCCTTTCATCTTCAGCTGAATATTAAGTCATACATGCACAGGGAAAGATTTTGCCAAGTATGGCAGAGAACAGTTCTGGGAATATGTGAACTAATCAGAGAAGTTCTGGAAACTGGACAATGCGGGAAGAATTAGAGTTCTAACCAGCCAGACTGGAGGTATTTCACTTAAATCCCAAGTATTCAGTTGAGACTCCAGAAAGCCATAGGAAAAATGGCTACTCTAGCCTTAAGAGTGTCCTAACAAAAACTTAAAGTAAGCCTTAATATGATCAGACTGATCCACCAGAAAATAACTTCTTTCCAGAACAAAATTCAATGCACTTTAAAAGAAAATAACAAATCCAGATTATCAATAAATACAGTACATAATACCCAGTAAATCATCAAGTTATGAGGTATGTTAAGAGACAGGAAAGTGTGACACATAATCTGGGAGGAAAATCTACAGAAACAAATGCAGAGATGACATAGATGTTGGAAATGGCAGGCAAATCTTTTTAAAATAGCTATTATAGATATGTTTAAAGATTATAAACAAAAAGATTGACACAATGAATGAAGAGATGGGTGAAATTACCATATAAAAAAGGAAAACTATAAAAGTTAACCAAGTGGAAATTCTAGAACTGAAAAGAAATTAATATCAATTCTGAAGCGAAAACTCAACTGGATGGGCTTAACAGTATATTGGAAACTACAAAGTAAGGTATTAGTGAATGGATGACAGGTCAATAGAAACTATCAATACAAAACAGAGGAAAAAAAAGACTGAAAGACATGAACACAGTTTTAATGACCTGCGGGCAATACCAAGTGATCTAACATACAGCTAATTGGAGCCTTGGCTATAGAAGAAAGATCAAGAAATAATTTTTTTTAAGAGATGGGGTCTCACTGTATCACTCAGACTGGAGCACAATGGTGCAATCATAGATTACTGCAGCCTCGAACTCTTGAATTCAACCAATCCTCTTGCCTCAGCCTCCCAAGTACCTAGGACTATAGGTGTGCTCAACCATGCCCAGCTAATTTTTTAAATTTTTTGTAGAAACAGTTTCTTGCCATGTTGCCCAGGCTGGTCTTGAACTCCTGGCTTCAAGCAATCCTCCCACCTCACCCCCACAAAGGGCTGGAATTATAGGTATGAGCAACAATGCCCAGTCTGAAAAAAATTTTGAATATAGAATGGCCAAAATTTTCTAAATTTAGTGAAAAATGTCAGCCTAGATATCTAAGAATCTCCATAAACCCCAATCTGAATAAAAACAAAGAAGATTACACCTAGGTCCATCAAGATCAATTTGCTATGAACTCAAGATACAGAAAAAAATCTTAAAAGCAACTAGAGTGGGAGAAGACAATGATACATGATAACAAAGGGTAAACAATTTATCATAACCAATAAGGTAACTCAGAAGACAATGGAATGGAATAAAGCACTTAAAGACAAAACCTGACAACCTAGAATTTTATATCCAGTGAAAATATCCTTTAAAAAATAGGTAAAATATTTTCAGACAAACAAAATTTGTGAGAATTTATGACCAGAAGACTTACACTACAAGAAATACAGAAAGTCCTTCACATTTAGTTTTTCTTTCTTTTTCTAATCACCCAGCTCAAAATGTCAAAGTTCTTCACATTGGAAGGAAGTTATCCAGATGGAAACAGATCTAGACAGAGGAATAAAGAGCCCTGGCAATAGTAAATATATGACTCTTATGTGAATAAATATAAAATACATTTTTCCTTATTTTAAAATTTCTTGGGGCCAGGCACGGTGGCTCACGCCTGTAATCCCAGCACTTTGGGAGGCTGAGGTGGGTGGATCACGAGGTCAGGAGATCAAGACCATCCTGGCTAACACAGTGAAACCCCATCTCTACTAAAAATACAAAAACTTAGCTGGGCATGGTGTTGCGTGCCTGTGATCCCAGCTACTCAGGAGGCTGAGCCAGGAGAACTGCTTTAACTCAGGAGGCAGAGGTTGCAGTGAGCTGAGATTGTGCCACTGCACTTTAATCTGGGTGACAGAGCGAGACTCTGTCTCAAAAAAATAAAAAATAAATTTCCTTAAAATACAATTGGCTATTTAAGGCAAAAATAATATCAATTATGAGTTTGTAGCATACATAGAAGTAAAACATGTCTTTGCATGTAGTAAATGTATAGTAAATAGCAAAGATGAGAGGTGTAATACGTGTAGTGAATGTATAGAAAATAGCAAAGATGGGCACATGAAAGTTTACTACTATTGAAACATTCTTACATTATACATAAAGTGGTACTGTATTAATACTGTATTAATTCAAGGTATGACAAGTTAAGGATGCCCCCCACCCAAAAAAAAAAAAAACAAAGATATGTAGCTAAAAATTCAATAGAGGAGACAAAAAAAAAGGGACTTAAAAATATAATTTATTCCAGAAGAAGTCAGGACAGAAGGAAAACAATTCTTTAAAATGGGATAATGGAAAACAAATAGCAAAACGTTACCTTTAAAGCCAACCAAATCAATAATTACATTAAATGTAAATAGATTAAAAGACAGAGATTAACAAACTGGATAAAAAAACAAGAGCAATTGTATAATGTTTATTAGAGAAATATAAAATACAGAAATATGATGCAATTACCAGAAGAATGAGCATAAAGAGTTGAAAGTGGTTGCCTCTGAGAAAAGACAGAGGAAAAGAGGAACTATTGGTTCTTCATGTAAACCTTTTTAACACTATTTGTAATCTTAAACCATTTGCTTGTAATGCGCTAAAAAATACATTTTTAGAAACTGAATGAATTGTTCTGGGAGTGCTTTATAAGCTGGCTCTTATTCTTTATCATTTTTCAAGGCATTTAAAAACTGTGAGGAGTCTGGGTGGGGTGGCTTATGCCTGTAATCCCACCATTTTGGGAGGCCAACTCAGGAAGTCTGCTTGAGGCCAGGAGTTTAAGAACAGCCTGGGCAACAGAGCAAGATCCTGTCTCTACAAGTTTGTTTGTTTTTTTGTTTTGAGATGGAGTTTTGCTTTTTCTCCCGGGCTGGAGTGCAGTGGCATAATCTCAGCTCACTGCAGCCTCTGCCTCCTGGGTTCAAGTGATTCTCCTGCCTCTGGAGTAGCTGGAATTACAGGCACCCACCACCAGGCCCAGCTAATTTTTGTGTTTTTAGTAAAGACAGGGTTTCACTGTGTTGGCCAGGCTGGTCTGGAACTCCTGACCTCAAATGATCCTCCCACCTTAACCTCCCAAAGTGCTGGGACTACAGGCGTGAGCCACCACATCCAGCCTATATATATATATATATAATTTTTTTTTTTTTTAAGCTGGATAAAGCCAGGCACGGTGACTCATGCCTATAATTCCAGCACTTTGGGAGGCCAAGGTAGGAGGATCGCTTGAGTCTAGGAGTTCAAGACCAGCCTGGACAACATAGTGAGACCTCATCTCTACAAGAAATAAACAAAATTAACTGAGCATAGTGATGCTTGACTGTGGTTCTAGCTACTCAGGAGGCTGAGATGGGAGGACTGCTTAAGCCTGGGAAGTCAAGGCTGCAGTGAGCCAAGGTCATGCCACTGCACTTCAGCCTGATGATAGAGCAAGACCCTGTCTCAAAAAAGAAAAAGAAAGAAAGAAAGAGAGAGAGAGAGAGAGAAAGAAAGAAAGAGAGAGAGAGAGAGAGAGAAAGAAAGAAAGAAAGAAAGAAAGAAAGAAAGAAAGAAAGAAACAAACAAACAAACAAACAAACAAACAAACCTGGGTGTGGTGGCACATGCCTGTAGTCCTACCTACTCAGGAGGCTATGGCAGGAGAATTTCTTGAGCCCAGGAGTTGGAGATGTACAGTGAGATATGATCACACCACTGCACTCCAGCCTGGGTAACGAGGTGAGACCCTGTCTTAAAAAAAAAAAAAAAAAAAGTGATGAGGTACAAAAACAAGGGAAAAAAGACATTCTACCCAGAAAGGCAAATGAATTGTAAGTGTGATATTATTTGCTCATAATTTCTAGGTAGAGAGGTCGAGGTACAGGCTAACATAATGACCTCAACAAAAGCACATAAACCCAAAAACCAAACCCAAGAGTGTTTCTTCTCCAGTTACTTATGCCATGTGGAAATCAGTGGGTGTCAGACTGTAATCACAGGTGGTCTCACTTAAGCCTTCTGCTACTCTAGTGGTGATTGAGACTTACAGATATTAAAGTAACAAATAGTTTTTGAATACCCATTTTATGATAGGACCTGGGCTAAACATTACATGGGGGACACAAAGTATAAAACAAGTTAAAGAAGCTTACCATCAATCTCACTCATTTACATTTTCCTTCAGTGTCACAAAGTACAATAAACTCTTTTACCAGCCATTGGATGATGCAGTGAATTGTTATAGGATAGACTCAAAGAATCATGCATCCCTATATCCACACACTTGGGTAATCCCCTCCTACATTGACTCTATATGCTTGAACATGTGCTTTGCTTTGGCCAATGGGACACTGGTAAACATAATACAAGCAGAGGCTTGAAAGGTGCTTGCTTGTGCATTGAGGCTTGGTCTCTCTCTCTTTCACTGCCTTTGGAACACAATATCATATGAATAAGGCCAGGCTAATCTTCTAGAGATACATGACCCAAACAACAACCAGCACTAATCAGCAGATATGTGAGTGAGGCTATCTTAGACCATGTGGCTCTAGCCACACTGTTGAGTGAGTCTAGGTGAGACCAGCAGAAGAACCATCCTGTTGAGCCCAGCCAAAATTGCTGATGCACAGAATTATCAGCAAATACAATGGTTGTTATTTTAAGCCAATAAATTTTGCTGGTTGTTTCTACCACAGTGGTTAACTGATACAAATGGGATGATCTGGCTGTCACAAGGGCATAACAGCATGCCTTGAATATGTTTTTAAAAATCTAACAATTTTGTATTAGGGTTCACTCAAAGAAGAAGAACCATTGGTAGGTTATTACACATACACACACACACACACACTCAATAAGAATTTGTTAAATGCAATTATGCAATTGCAGGAGCTAGTTAATCAGTCTCCATAAGGCTATTGTTTTACTATCTAATGCTAGAATTTCAAGTCCACAGGAAGATGGATGTAAAGTAGGCAAGAGCAAGGACAAGACAGGACCCACAAGTATCCACTAGAATCAGGAGGATGGACTGAAATGTGTTGTTTTTTGCCACCTCTTACATTAGCGTCCTGCAGGAGAAGCTGGTGCCGTCATCATGCAGCTGAACACAGGAGTCAGAGTTGGCCCAGAAGTTTAGTAAAGCTGCAAAAGGATCCAAGGGAAGGCAGAGCCATTGCAAGCCTGGCTGCTGCCCACGCCAACGAGGGCAGCAGGCAGATAAGTGACAATCTGTGTGAGCTACAAAACATCTTTGCTTCACTTCCACCCTCCCAGTTCACACAGTCCTCTCTTTGGGGGCCTACACTAACTGGAGACACACACAAGAGGGAATTCTGGGAAGTTCAGCCTAGCCAAGGTGACACACTACAAAGCTGCCATCCATTCAGAAAGGTTCACACTGAAAAATGTCTCCCTCCCACCTTAGTTTCTCCATTTCTCTGCCTTCAAACAATCTGTTATCAGTATCAGTTTCTTATGTTTTCACCCTGAAACATTCTATGCACATACAAATATACACAAATATCCAGCATGTGTTTTATTTTACACTAAAGATCACATATGGCTGGGAACAGTGGCTCAGGCCTGTGTAATCCCAATGCTTGGAAGGCTGAGGTGGAGGGATCGCTTGAGCCCCAAAGTTCAAGACCAGCCTGGGCAACATAGAAAAAATAAATTAAAAATAAATTTTAGGCCAGGCGTGGTGGCTTACGCCTGTAATCCCAGCACTTTGGGAGGCCGAGGCAGGAGGATCACCTGAGGTCAGGAGTTCGAGACAAGCCTGGCCAACATGGTGAACGCTATCTCTACTAAAAATACAAAAATTAGCCAGGCATGCTGGCAGGAGCCTGTAATCCCAGCTACTTGGGAGGCTGAGGCAGGAGAATTGCTTGAACCCAGGAGGTTGCAGTGAGCCAAGATCACGCCACTGCGCTCCACCCTGGGCCACAGAGTGAGATTCCGTCTCAAAAATAAATAAATAAATTTTTAAAAATTTTAGTGGGGAATGGTGACACATGCCTGTAGTCCCAATTACTCAGGAGGCTGAGGCACAAAGATTGCTTGACCCCAGGAGATCGAGGCTTCAGTGAGCTATGACTGCACCACTGCACACCAGCCTGGGTGACAGAGCAAGACCTTGTCTCTAAAAACAAAACAAAACAAAACAAAACAAAACAAAACAGATCACACACTATACCCACTGATCAACATCTTGCTTTTTTTTTTAACTACACAATATATCCTGGAAAAGTTTCCATATGAATATATAAAGATTTGCATTTTGGGGTTGTTATATTTTATAAATTTTGATAAAATAGAGACAGAGTCTTGCTACGTCACCCAGGATGGTCTTGAACTCCTGGCTTCAAATAATCCTCTCGCTTTGGCCTCCCAAAGTGTGCCTTTTTTTTTTTCTTTTTTTTTTTTTTGAGACAGAGTCTCCCTCTGTCACCCAGGCTGGAGTGCAGTGGTGCGATCTCGGCTCACTGCAAGCTCCGCCTCCTGGGTTCACGCCATTCTCCTGCCTCAGCCTCCTAAGTAGCTGGGACTACAGGTGCCTGCCACCGTGCCTGGCTAATTTTTTTGTATTTTTAGTAGAGATGGGGTTTCACCATGTTAGCCAGTATGGTCTCGATCTCCTGACCTCGTGATCCGCCCACCTCGGCCTCCCAAAGTGCTGGGATTACAGGCGTGAGCCACCGCGCCTGGCCACCTTTTTTTTTCTTTAATAGCTGCATAGTATCCCACTGTGTGGCTATATTATTATCTGTTTAATTAGACCCTTATTGATGAACATTTAGACTATTTTGAAAGGTTGCTATGTTATACAATCCTACAAAGAATGGACTTGCACAAGAGTAAATGTTTTTATAATTGATGCGTATTGTCAATTTGGCATGATATCAACCAAAATTGAGGCCAGAGTGAGAGACTGATGGTGCCAATCAGTGTGCGTGGGCTGCAGTTGCAATAAAGTTGCTCTCAGACACTCAATTCACTTTAATGGACACCATTTATAAATTCATTTTACACCTTCTGTGGACCTGCACCTTTTTCCATCTTTGACTTGGTCATGGGCTGTGACTCAGATTGTTTTGCAGCACCCTGGTGAAGTAATCTTCCCAATGAATAGCAACTAACAAGCAATTTAATATTTATGGGATCACGCTCTAAAATCCCTCATTGGCAAAAATTTACTTAATGATATAGATGTAATCATCAAAAACACAGTAACATGGAAATCTATTGACAGATAAAACAAGTGATTGACAAAGCTGAAAAATCCTTCACTGTTCCGCCATCTTAATGTTACATTTGCCAACAGTGGACCTTGCAACTATCAGATGGAAGACAAGCTGTTTCAGCAAAGAAATGTGACACTCACAAAGACAGATTGGCCAGTTTCTTTTCATACGAACATTTTCATTGATTTTTCCATTATTGAGTGTTTGCTCAAAGGCCCTTCATCACAAAGGGTTTTATAAATATCACATTTACTTCATTCATACTTTTAAAGATTTAGACCTCTCTGGAGAGAAAATATTTTTCTTTTAGAAGTCATGGCTTTAAAATATAAGCATAGCATGTCTTCATTCTTATAGCATAGTGGCAGAGAGACAAGACATGTTCCCAAAAGACAAAAACAGAGGCACTCATAATAGTACACCCCAAAGCAGTTTGTGGTACTGGCCTAAGAAAAGCTCTCAAAGAGCAGAAAGAGATCTGAAAAGCGTGACGCCTGAGCCTTCCACCCAGACTCCCAGAGCTTTTTCTGGCCCTCCAGGTCCCTGCCATCTCTACCGGCCTGTGGCTCTAGAAGGCACTTACTAGACAGTAAGTCAAAAGGTCCAGATCCCAGAGAGTCAAGATTTTGAGCCAGAAAAGAGCAGTCTCAAGGAATCATGTAAAGCCTCTTTTGGCCAGTACAAAATATAAAGGCATGAAAACAGGGGAAATGAGTTGGACTCAGACTGGGGAGACCCTGAAATGCCAGATTTGTGAGAATCAAGTAAAGTTATTCCACAAGAGGATTGGTCCCAAAGAGTGATTCCATATGAAAATACCTAATCAGGGACCTTGGGGAGGAAGTAATCTTAATAGCCATTTTATAAATGGGCACACACAAGCCTGGATGAGAAATATTAGAATTAGGACTAGATAGTGGCCGATTTCCAGGTCTGTGCTTCAGCTATCTAGCAGGCATGGCTACTTACAGGGCTCAAAAGATTTACAAACACATTAGGAAGTCTCAGCAGAGCCAAAAGCCAGGCGTGCTCCCCATTCCCAGGCCTGGTCTCCTTCACAGAAAGGCTACAACAAAACTGAGCCGTTGGCCTCCAGCCCCATCATGAATCAAGTACAGTGAGAATGCTTCATGAGCTGAGTCCAAACAAGCTCCCGCTGGGGCCTACAGACCAGCTCCTAATTAATAGGCTCTTGGCCCACAAGTAACAGTAAAAAAATGTTTGCAACAATGAAAGGAAGACAAAGAGGGAGGGGGCTCACAAAGAAAGCAGAAGGGAAAATTATGATGGGAAGATGAATCCAGGTCTCAAGTTAGCTAGCTGAGCCATAACTCAAATCTGTGTTTATTTGTTCAAGTCAGATGTGAACAACTACATAAATTTGATTCCTGGTTTTGTAATTCAGCCTACACAGCAAAATCTGAGAAAGCAGCTGTGTTGATAGGTTTCAAAAATACAGACAAATCTCCATCCGTTAATATTTTGCTCATGCCAGCTTGAGGCACAGCTAGTGCTAAGGCCTGGGAGAGTTCACCCAGAGGTGGGGAGTTGCAGGGGAACCAGACAGAGATGGAGAAGTGAGGAGACTGCCCTGACAATCTGGCTTCTGAGTGTCACTCTGAGATTCCTAAATGGATACGCCTTCTGGGAACTCTTTCTTCTCCTCACTTTCAGAGGATTCAGGACCACAGTCCAGACAGGGCTTGGGGTTGCTGTCTAAAGTGCTGGCAGATTAGAAAAGGGTGCCAGGAGCATAGAAAACAAGAGACTCCTTTAGAATAATCAGGAACACGACTTCAGAACGTTTGGAATCTTCCATTTGTTTTCACATTTGATGTGCCTTCCTGTTGCCCATCTTTTGGCATAAATTTTCTGGCACACTCTAGCCTGATCATGTCTTCATATACTAGAGAAATTTGTAATAAGGAACATTAGTTTTCAGAGACCAGTTATCAGGACAGTCAATGACAGACTTCCCATCGACAAGTGGTCAGCATTCTTAAAATGTGTGAGTTGGAGTTTTGGAACCAACAACACCTTTTTTTTTTTTTCTTTTGAGACACAACCTCACTCTGTTGCCCAGGCTGGAGTGCAGTGGTGTGATCTTGGCTCACTGCAACCCCGCCTCTTAGGTTCATGCAATTCTCCTGCCTCAGCCTCCTGAGTAGCTGGGATTACAGGCGTGCACCACCATGCCCGGGTAATTTTTGTATTTTTTGTAGAGACAGCATTTCACCATGTAGGCCAGACTGGTCTCAAACTCCTGACCTCAAGTAATCCACCCACCTCGGTCGGCCTCTCGAAGTGCTGGGATTACAGGTGTGAGCCACAGCACCCGGCCAATAACACCTTTTGTGATAGAAACAGTGTTGGCCAGACACGGTGGCTCATGCCTGTAATCCCACACTTTCAGAGGCCGATGTGGGCAGATCACCTGAGGTCAGGAGTTCGAGACCAGCCTGGCCAACATGGTGAAACCCCACCTCTACTAAAAATACAAAAATTAGCCAGGCATGGTGGCACACACCTGTAATCCCAGCTACTCAGGAGGCTGAGGCAGGAGAATCGCTTGAACCTGGGAGATGGAGGTTGCAGTGAACCGAGGTTGTGCCATTGCACTCCAACCTGGGTGACAGAGCAAGACTCCTCAAAAAAAAAAAAACAAAGAAAAAAGAAAAAGAAACAGTGTTACAAGTGGAGATTAAGTCCCTGTGCTAGTTCACAAAGTCTATTTAATAAAGTTCCTAAATATCGTGTGTGCATTTGAAATGAAAATCTATAATATTGGAAATAACTTTTTGTCAAAATTTTTATTTTATTTTATTTTTTTTTGAGATGGAGTCTCCTCTATTGCCGAGGCTGGAGTGCAGTGGTTTGATCTCTGCTCACTGCAACCTCCGCCTACACGGTTCAAGTGATTCTCCTGCCTCAGCCTCCTGAGTGGCTGGGATTACAGGCACGTGCCACCATGCCTGGTTAAATTTTTTTGTATTTTTAGTAGAGATGGGGTTTCACCATGTTGGTCAGGCTGGTCTTGAACTCTTGACCTGGTGATCCACCCGCCTCAGCCTCCCAAAGTGCTGGGATTACAGGCGTGAACCACCTCGTCTGTCCCAAATTATGTTTTACTTGTGGATTATGCTTGAAGTAAAATTACAAAGGCTATCGTGGGAAATCAACTTATGATAGTGTCTTCAAGGCAAAAGGGGTTCTGAATTCCATCTCACTTGGAGATGGAACTTGGAACTTGGGAGAAAGTCACACACAAAACACACGTACACACACCCCAAGCAGCAGAACATGTCCATTCAGGGACAATTTTTTTTCCGGGGGGTGCCAGTAGGAGAACAAGGCTGGTGGTTCTCATGTGTAAGATATTTCTAGGATATTTCTATATCAGAGATTTTTAATTTGGAAAAAAAAAGCCTATTTAATTTCTTAAATGGTAAAGAAAGTTTTAAGTCAAATTTATATCTTTCCTAATACATTTCCTCCTAAGGCTTTAATCTTGCATGGTTCCCACACCAGCCGGCTGGGCTGGCCCTTCCTTCCGAGACGCAACAGAGCACACTGGTCCTGCTCCTGGCTCGTCCTTACCAACTGGGTGACTTTGGACCTGGCAACCTCATTTACCTACTCCTTAACCCAATCAAATTAAAAATGAGGACGGTGATCTCTGATAAGTCAACCTTATAGAGTCATGGTGAGCTCTAAATGAACTAATAATACCGCCTTCCTTTTCTGTAATACTTTAGTTTTTTAAATACATTCGCACATTTTATTCTCCTGCCAATTTAGGGAGAAAAGAAAAAACCTAACTATTTAGACTTTAACATCCTCCAAGGGCCCGAAACAGAAGGAAATAAGTAACAGTCCCAGAGTACTTGGCAACTCCTGTACCCACCCATCACACCACTGCCTGCCTCCACCTCTTTCTTGTTGGCCTAACAACCAGCTGGAAAAATAACTGGGAAAAACACTGTATTTCTTGTTTCTTCTTCAATAACTCGCTCAAGTGCATAAAGAAGCCCCAAGTTTTGATTGTGGAGAGTTAAGAAGAATGTTATTCTCACTCACTTTCACAAATGTTTCCCTTGGCCAGGCGAGGTGGCTCACGCCCGTTATCCCAGCACTTTGGGAGGCCAAGGCAAGAGGATCACTTGTGGCCAGGAGCTCAAGACCAGCCTGCACAACATAGCGAGACCCTATCTCTATTTTTTTTTTTTTAAAGAAAAATCAATAAATTTCCCTACATTGCCAGTGACAGGCACAGGATCTAACCCAGGTGTACCCATCCAGGTATTGCTTGTGCTTAGCTGGTTCATGGAAAATCAAAGAGTCCCTCTTCCTTCAGCAGGTGGCAACATGCAGGCCTGCCTTCTGGCCACAACGTGCCAATTTCTTGCTCTCTCGACCTTCTTTATGGTGCCCTCAACTCACACCTGGATGGAGGCACAGCAACTGCACAAAAAAGTCACGACTCAAACGGCGGTCACTGAGACCACGCTTAACAGTGGAGTCACTGGGTTAATCATAAATCATGGTTGTCCTCGCCTAGTCTTTAAGACCAGAGTTCGCCCTTCTCAAAGCAAGTCCACGTCCTCCCTTTGAGTAATGGGTCTGACAACCCGAACTCAAACACAAGCCTGCCCACCACGCAGACTTATCAGGGCTGCCCGCAGGGCGCGGGAAGGCGCAGGGAGAGAACAAGGGCCCCTGCCGCAGGGTCGGGCATTATCGGCGGGACAGGGCCACCGCTTGTTTTCCTTTCGCTGAGCGTGTGAACTGGTGCCCGTGTACAGTACCAGGCGGTGTAAAAGGTGGTTGCTGGGCCCCTCTGTTTGTGAGGGCTGTTGACACAAGGTTGGGTCCGGGTGATGAAGGCTGATTCCCGCCCTATTTTTCTGATAGCCATAAATGAGAGAAATTCTACAGGCCCCTTTGCCCGGAGCTTGGGAGTTCCATCTTGCTGGGGAAGGAGGCTTTTTGCATCCTGGGAAGAGCTGAGCTTTCCCCTTCAGTGGAACGAGAGCACGTCAAAGAAAAGGGGTTTTGGCGGGACACGGTGGCTCATGCCTGTAATCCCAGCACTTTGGGAGGCCTAGGCGGGTGGATCACTTGAGGTCAGGAGTTTGAGACCAGCCTGGCCAACATGGTGAAACCCTGTCTCTACTAAAAATACAAAAATTAGCCAGGCGTGATGGCGTGTGCCTGTAGTCCCAGCTACTCCGGAGGCTGAGGCATGAGAATCGCTTGAACCTGGGAGGCAGAGATTGCAGTGCAACAGAGGGAGACTCTGTTTAAAATAAATAAATAAATAAATAAATAAAAGAGGCAGGGAGTGGTGGCTCACACCTGTAATCCCAGCACTTTGGGAGGCCGAGGTGGGTGGATCACCTGACGTCAGGAGTTCGATACCAGCCTGGCAAACATGGTGAAACCCTGTCTCTACTAAAAATACAAAAATTAGCTGGGTGTGGTGGTGCACACTTGTAATCCCTCCTACTCAGGAGGCTGGGTCAAGATAATCACTTGAACCCGGGAGAAGGAGGTTGCAGTGAGCTGAGATCATGCCACTGCACTCCAGCGTGGGCAACAGAGAGACTGGGTCTCCCCTCCCACTGCCACAAAAAAAAAAAAAAAAAAAAAAAGCCGGGTGCAGTGGCTCACACCTGTAATCCCAACACTTTGGGAGGCCGAGGTGGGCAGATCACGAGGTCAGGAGATTGAGACCATCCTGGCTAACACGGTTAGAGAATGGCATGAACCTGGGAGGCGGAGCTTGCCAGTGAGCTGAGATCACACCACCACACTCCAGCCTGGGCAACCAAGCAAGACTCCGTCTCAAAAAAAAAAAAAAAAAAAAAAAAGGGAAAGGAAAGGGGTTTTAGTGAAATATCACATGCAACAGTACCACGGAGAAAAGGCACTAAGAACTTGAGAACTGCTGCAGAGAGGGGGGCCTATGGCTCTTCAGCCAAACACTTGTCTTACCCTGGGGCCTATAAGACAGACTAAGGAAGGGCCTGTTCCCCAAGCAGAACTTTAGCTCTAAGGCCAGACCATGCCTTGAAGTATCTCCCATTTTCTACAGTAATTCACCTGACCCAGGGACTCGTGAGGAAGTTACTTGGATTTTGCTGCCTATAGTCCCTCTGGGAGTAAATGCAGTATTTACTCCAATTAAAAATACCACACGGCCTACCTGACCTGATTCAGGGCTATTGGCATATATTTTGGAAATTAACCTTATTCCTAGCCTAAATTTCTCCTTCCTACCTAAATTTTCTGTTTTCTTGTGGTACAGTTGTGTAGTTGTGAGCTGCTTATAATTCATACTGGAAAGGGGTGAGCCATAAGTCCAAAGTAAAATACTTCTAGAAAGGAGCTTTACATGCCCTTCCAGGACAGAATTTCCAACAGTTCTACGGGAAGTCCTTCAAGCTGTGTTAAGACTATGATGAATTTGGCAGAGGAATTTGGCAGTGGTATCAGGTTTTAGGGACTTTGGGAAATTGGGAGAGATCTAATTTTCCTCTGGGTCAAAATACAAGTCAGGGCTCCGCATCTTTTTTGAGCTAGCTTGGGCTTTGGGCTCAGGCTCAAATCCCAGCCCCTTCACTTACTAGTTTATATCCTGGGCACATGACTTAACTTCTCTGAGGCTAAGGTTTGCTCTCCATGACTATGTAGGTCATATCCACAAAGGGTTATTGAGTTCATGCATGTGACTGTCCCTGGCACAGCACACAGGAGGTTAACAGATTTTCCAATCCTCCTTTCTTTTGTTTTCAAGCTACTCTCTTTTTCAACTTGCAACCATGTATTTTCTTTAAAATGTATCACAGCATCAGGCCAGAAAACAAATAGCACCTAATTTGCCACCAATGGAAAGAGCATTTTGTTCACTGGTATATTCATGTGGGAGCTAGTGTAGTGGTTAAGAGAGCAATTTAGAGAGCCAGGCAGTCTGGATTCCAATGTGAGTTCCACGTACAAGCTCCAGGCCTTGGGCCCAATACCTAATCTCACTAGGCCTCAGTTGCTTCATCTATAAACTGGTGATAGTATTATACACATCATACACGTTTGAAGAATCAAATGAGATAATCCAAGTGAAGTGCTTCATTTAGTGCTTGGCATATATTAGGTTGGTGCAAAAGTAATTGCTCTTTTTCCAATTACTTTTAACGGCAAAAACCACAATGGCTTTCACACCAACCTAATGATAAGCATCCAGGGAATGTTAGCTATGGTTAGTGTTTAGTATGATATAATTATTGTTGCAGTTATTGTTGGTTTTACTATTATTGTAATATGGTATCATCATTATTCATACTGGGAACAACAAAAAATTGGTTTAGCTACTTGAATCTCAAATTTACTTCCATAATCTTTACTAATAATTGTACTAGTCTTGATAAAAAATGTGTCCCTCTCTACCTCCTATAGGTCAGTAGCAATTTGATAATATTATATGTTGTTACTTAATTAGAGTCAGGCATTGTGCTAAGTGCTTTCCATGAATTATCTCATTGAATCCGCATAGCAACCTGTAAACTCAGTTATTTATTGCCCCATTTCACAGCCAAGAAAAAAGGTTTAGTGAGAGGAGGTCACACTGGAAGTGGCAGATGAGAGAAGTCCCTACACCAGCTGAGCCTCAGGGGCTGAAAGGATTAGACTGAAAATGATCTCCAAGATTCCCACCCAGCACCATCATCTATTATTTTAAATTAATAATAGTTTTGCTTTATTACCATCTGCCGTATATGTGAATTTATTCATTTGGATGGAGTCTAATGTATAAAGAAAGCTATTGTGACTTTTAGAAAAGACTTTGCTCTAGCAAATTCTACGTAAATAGGCTGATTTCTTTCAGTGTCTCTTGGCTCCATGCTCCCAAAGCCTTGGAAGAACTTTTCCTCCATGTCCAGCACACTATCTCCTTCTTACACGCTCCCAGCCTTCCTAACTTCCACCTTCTGCCAACAGTGTCCACACCTCCCCTCCTCCCCCTGCCATCCCTACACCCAGACCCGCGGCGCATTCCATCTGCCGCCAAGTCCTCACAGCTATTTCTGTCAACGTTATCAAGACCCAAATCCGACCAGCAACACTCCTCACTTGGAGTCCAAAGTCACTTCAGAAAGGCCGGAGAACTCTACAGATGTAAGCTGCTGCTATTATCCTCTCCATATAGATCTGTACACTGATTATTTGTTCCTTGAGGACAGGAATTTTAAACGTTAACATACATGCAAATTACTGAGGGATCTCATTAAATGCAGATTCTGCTTAGGTTACTCTGGGGTGGGGCCTGAGGTTCTGCATTTTGACAGCTCCCTGGATGCTGCTGGTCCCAGACTACACCCTTATCTCAGTTATAGCTCTCAACACCCCTTCAAGGAAGGAATATTGCTCACATTTTATAAATGATCAATGGGCAAGAGAGGTTAAGAGATGTATCCAAGGCCCCAGAGCCGGCGGGTAGCAAAGCTGGGATCTGAACCCAGCTAGATCTTTCTGACTCCATACAACAAAAAAGAAAATAAAATAAAACAAAAAAGAGTATACACACACACACACACACACACACACACACACACACAGAGTTATGTATACGTCTGTATAATGATATCAAACATATTTCATTCTTTATCTCATTTTAACAGCATGACCCTCATAAATGCCTAGAGAAATTTTCAGTCCTGCATGTTGTCAGAACTTAATAAACATTCAATCCGTATGTGGAGTAGGAATGTCTGGGACCTGTTGCTTGGGAGGCCTCTTCCTTTCCTTATAAGCAGACTCATGAAGATCTTTCCTAAAGGTTTCCCTGGGGACTCTATACTTTACTTCTGTTACTGATTAAACTTATTGACTCTAGCACTTTTTTTTGCCTCTAGCAATCCAGTCCCATAGAGAAGCTGACAGATACGTGTTTCCCAATTAGTTTGAATTATGAAAGTAAGGGTGTGAATAATAGCGACCACTAGTGGTGAGTCAGTGCCATCTCACGAAGTAGAAACAGGACGTTGTTAAGTCAGCAAAAAAAAGGGGATGCAGCCTTGCTTCTCCAAGGAGGGTAGCTCCTCTGCGGCAGCCATGAGCCAGTCCAACACTGGCTGCCTTTTCAGGGCCCTGGAATCCAGTTGGAAGATGTGTGTAGGGTCGGAAGGAGGAACAGGAAGATACAAATTAAACAGAAAACACAAAACGAAGCAGCAAACACACAAAAGATGATTACTGGGCAGCTCTCCTGTGAGGGGAGAGTGGACGTCATAGGAGGCTGAAGGAGGTGCTCCCGGGAGCTGGGTAGACAGGAAGGTATCGTGAGGAGGCAGGACTTCAGCTGGGACTTGAAGGGAGAATGGGATTTGGAGATAATGGCATTCCAGGTGGAAGTCATGGGCCACCCAGACAGAGGCCCAGGAGATAGGGGAGTGAACCAAGGTATTCTCAGGATGGAGTGGAGGTGGGAGGGATCCCAGCCCATGAGACAGGGCAGAGAAATCTGGGTGGGCGGCCTGCTTAGTGGAGAGTTGATTACCCGGCCAGGGACTGTGGCCATCACACAGTCGGGGAATGACTTGAGGGAGACAGCAGGTCAGGGAGTAAGTAGTAGACAGGCCATCTACAGCCAGGCAAAGTGGCTTTGGACCCTGACTTCACTCCGTAATAGGTACAAAATAGGAAGGGACACACCTGTTTGAACTTTAGGTACCTCTATTTGTTACTTGGGCTTGATAGGTATTGTCCCAGCGCTTTTCTGGGGCCCCTCCTGGCATCAGAGAACAGGAATCAAGTCCAAACAGGCCTGGAGAGGCAGATACACCAGGCCCTTTCCCAATCACCTGTCACAGCTCTCTGCCCAGGGCCTTTTAGAGAGGCCAAACAGGAACAAAGACAGGGGTGCCACTAGCCACCCCGGGTAGGACACTTCTGTCCTTTGTGGGATATAAGCCAGAGGTCCAAATGAAGGATATTTAGTTTGCCTTTTTGCTAACAGATTAGATGAACAAATAGTACAAGGCCTCCCAGAACAATGAGCCCAAGAAAGGGCTGGGCCAGAACGGACTTGAGTCTGGGGTTCCTGACTCCCAAAGCACAAGGCCCAAAGGCCGCCTGGGTGAAAGGTCTGAGTCAGCCTGGGAGGGACCCGCAGCTGCTCAGGGCTGCTCCTTCTTGGGTGATTTCAAAAGCTACTCCTGGCCTCCAGCTCAGAGGACTGTGTGCCTTCAAGGATTCATTATTCAGTAAGAAGTCAGATGCTATTTGGAAAACAAACATTTCCTGCATATCCATCCAAGTGGGACACTTTAACATAAGAACACTATCTATCATCACAACAGCCCTGTCATTTAGGTATTTTTAATCCACAATTTACAAATGAAGACATTAAGCTCAGAGAATTTGATCCAAGTTTCAGAGCTGGTAAGCCACAGCTCCAGCATTCAATCCTTGGTCTCATTCCTTCCCAGCCCACCGTTTTTATCCAAGATGCCTCAATGACCTCTTCCCTGCAAGAGCCTGCCTTGAGGCTTCCGGGAGTTTTGTCCATCAAAGCTTTCTTGGCTCTGTTTTCACAGTTTGGGAAATGGTACCAACACAGGCATTTCTTCCTACTGTTTGCCCATCATGACCCACCCACTGTTGCCTCCTTAGACTGCTCCTGTGCTATTCCCAGGAGAAATATTACTGCTACTACCACTACTACTAATACAAATGATCTTCACATATTGAGTTTCTACGGTGTGCTGAGCACATGAGTTTATAAATATATGGTCTTATTTAACCCTATAATTATACCTTTTTTTTTTTTTTTTTTTTTGAGACAGTCTCACTCTGTTGCCCAGGCTGGAGTGCAGTGGCCCAATCTCAGCTCACTGCAACCTCTGCCTCCCGGGTTCAAGCAATTCTCCTGCCTCAGCCTCCCGAGTAGCTGGGACTACAGGCTCACACCACCATACCCAGCTAATTTTTGTGTTTTAGTAGAGATGGGGTTTCACCCTGTTGGCCAGGCTGGTCTCAAATTCCTGAGCTCAAGTGATCTGCCCGCCTTGGCCTCCCAAAGTACTGGGATTATAGGCGTGAGCCACTGCTCCCGGCTTATACCTATTTTCTATATTAGGATCCGAAAACACAGAGAGATAAACCCACTTGCCCAAGATCACCCAAGTAGTAAGTGGTGAAACTGGGATTTGGACGCATGACCTCTGACTTCAGAGCATGTGAGTTTAAGCACTGGATTCAATACACATATGTACACACCCAACCTGTTCTCCCTATTTCCTGTCTTGATCATTTTGGAAATAATTGAAACAGGAAATAAATGTGACAAATAAACTTGTCGCAGGTCCTTTCCTTGAGAACTAACATCACCATCTACCCATCAACCCCGTGGCTCTAGCCAAATATCTAAGAGTCATCTTGATTCGTATATATATATTTTTTTTCCTTTTTTTTGAGACAGAGACTCACTCTGTCACCCAGGCTGCAGTGCAGTGGCACAATCTCGGCTCACTGCAACCTCCACCTCCCGGGCTCAAGCGATTCTCCTGCCTCAGCCTCCCCAGTAGCTGGGATTAGAGGTGCCTCCCACCACACCCAGTTAATTTTTGTATTTTTAGTAGAGACGGGGTTTCACCAGATTGGCCAGGCTGGTCTTGAACTCCTGCCCTCAAGTGATCCTCCCGCCTCAGCCTCCCAAAGTGCTGGGATTACAGGCATGAGCCACTACACTCAGCCTTGATTCAGTGTATTTTCACATACTGATAATTATAAAGCAGGCAGAGTCTTATTTAAACCTGTGATTATTCTATGTAACAGAATTTTAATCCATTAGCATGGTGATTATTCTTCCTGAGTGGGAGACACTAGTCTCTGTTTGGTCTTTAGCCATGAAACACCTTTATACACATCACACTAAATCTCATTCTCTGCAACAAGCGCTGTCCCTCCTCTGAACGCGTGAGCCATCCAGCCTAAAACAAAGAGAAACTTTTATGACTAGCCACATTGTTTTCACTTTTAAACAAACCTACAGAAAAGAACACTCATTATCAATGTATTTGTTAATTGTAAATTGCTATCATCAAACCTAACAAGGTTTGGGCCTTTCAAGTGTTGGGAGCTTGGAATTTGGGAAGCCAGGATTGGGGCTGGAGGAGGAGGTGGCATTCTTAAAGAGATGGAAGGATCTTATCCATCTGATCAAAGAATCCAATCAAAGAACAAACTTCCTAATCTTTAACGATCCATGCATACCTTAGTGAGGACAGCAAAATGCAAAATAAATTATTATGTTAAAATTGACTGGCATGAAATTCTCATGGCGGGAAGAGAAATGGAAACCCTGGCTCACCCATGGCCTGCTCATATCCTCAGCTCGGCCAATGGGAAGTGCATTCCCAGCATCCTTGTGGTCTCCATGATGTGATCGAGGCCAGCAGTGTCCCCTCTGAGTGGCAGCTGTGCAGCGTCGAAGCCCCTCTGATGTCTACAGGACTCACCTGCTGCATCCTCTGCAAACTGCAAAGGATAAAAAGACACTGTCTGACCCTCCAGTGCTGCACCACCAGCCTCGCTGCACTTCCATTCCTCCATATTGTAAATACTCCCTTTACTTAGCTGACAGCTTCAATTTTTTTTCTTTTTTTCCCCAAGACGGAGTCTAGCTCTGTCGCCTAGGCTGGGGTGCAATGGCACGATCTCGGCTCACTGCAACCTCTGCCTCCCAGGTTCAAGCAATTCTCCTTCCTCAGCCTCCCCAGTAGCTGGGATTACAGGCATCTGCCACTATGCCTGGCTAATTTTTGTATTTTTAGTAAAGACAGGGTTTCACTGTGTTGACCAGGCTGTTCTCTAACTCCTGACCTTGTGATCCACCCGCCTCGGCTCCCAAAGTGCTGGGATTACAAGCATGAGCCACCGCGCCCAGCCAACATCGTCAATTTTTAAGTATTTGGAGCCAGGCAGCCTTCTGGTGTCAAAGACCTGGAGTGCTAGAAGAAGCTATCAGCTCCCACGAAACCAGTGTGGTCATGGTGTGATTTTGAAAAGCCCCTTGGCTCCTACCTTAAGAAGCCCTCAGAGTCTAGGAGAATGGAGTTGCCAAATGGCATAGAAACAGCGATTGTTCTGTGCTGTCTGTTACACCACTGTTTGCACAGTGGTTCTCTATGCCCATGAAATGACACCCACCAGCCAAGCAACAGAAGTAGCTGCTGCTTGGAGCCGGTGCAAAACTGAGCTGCTCGGCAAGTATAGAAAGCCCTTTTCTCTGAAAACAATATTCTGAAGTATTTGTCAAAATACTGTTATGAATCTTTTAAATTTTACAAAGCTGGCTGGGCATGGTGATTCACAGCTACGATCCCACCTTGGGAGGCTGAAGTGGGAGGATTGCCTGAGGCCAGGAGTTCAAGATGAGCCTGGGTAACACAGTGAAAACAAATAAATTAAAAATAAATGTTGAAAAATTTGAGCTGGGCATGGTGGCATACACCTGTAGTCCCAGCTACTCAGGAGGCTGAGGCAGGAGGATTGCTTGAGCCCAGGAGTTTCAGGCTGCAGTGAGCTATTAGTGCACCACTGCACTCCAGCCTGGGTGACAAAGGAAGACTCTGTCTCAAAAAAAAAAAAAAAAAAAAGCAAAAAAAGACAACGCCTTTACAAAGCTATTTTTCTTTTACAGAGATAACCATGTTAAGAGTGAAAGGTTAGGCCAGGCACAGTGGCTCACACCTGTAATCCCAGCACTTTGGGAGGCTGAGGCAGATGGATCCCTTGAGTCCAGGAGTTTGAGACCAGCCTGGGCAACATGGTGAAACCCTGTCTCTACAAAGAAAAAAAAAACCCACAAAAATTATCTAGGTGTGGTGGCTTGTGCCTCCCAGCTACTTGGGAGGCTGAGCTGGGAGAATCACTTGAGCCCAGGAGGTGGAGGTTGCGGTGAGCCCAGATCATGCCACTGTACTCCAGCCTGGGCCACAGAGTGAAACTCTGTCTCAAAAAAAAAAAAAAAGGTGAAAGGGTAAATGTACCCTGTCAGGTATTGTTCCACTAAATGTTACAAGATACTTGACTACGACTTTATTTTAACTAAGGGCTAACCTCAAAAACTGATAGCCATCTTAAAATGAAGATGACAAGCATTCCATCCTCAAATAATCTAAAATGTATTCCCAATCAGAAGATCAGTAGGTTTTACCAATATTAACATTTCTATCCTTTCCCTAATTGATTGTTTATTTAGCTGAAGGCCTCTATGTGTGATATGCTACTGGCATATCAAAAGAGGGTTATTTGTTTTTGAACCTGCATGGTGATTAATTCTGCATTTTCATTCTTTTTTTGCAGGGTAGGGAGAAGTATGAGTATAGTGTATTGGAAAGAGAGTTTTGAAAACAGAAGGATCTTAATGCAAATCCAGATTGAACCATTTCCCTCTTTGTGGTCTGGGCAAGTTCATTTCACCCCTCTGAGCCACAGTCTGTTTTTCTAACTTCTGTCACAGGTTCCAGCAGTGATTAAGTAAAATTACAAATTTGGGAGCCCGCCACGTAATAGGAGCCCTTTACCTTTTCTAATTATTTCTTACATGGTAAGCATCCCTAATAAGTATTCACACCTGGTTTGTGGAGTCTACCTGCATGCCTCAGGTGACGTGAGAACATGGTTCACGTGAGGTCTGATCTCACAGGGCGGTGCTGGCCAGGCCCAGCATTGCAAAGATTCCTTCTATTATTCCCAGATTCTTCTCATTTTTTTAACACTCTTTGCCCTTTTCCCTAGGTCAAATGGAAGGGTATGATCCCTACAATAAAGCACAGACTTATTTTTTCCATAGGCCTGTCAAATACTCCCCGATAGCCCCTGTTCTGTCCCAAGGAATGATGTAGCAACTCCTTAAGAATTCCTACCCAGCATTCTTACTAGTGAAACCTGAGTTGGTCATTACAACTATTTTTGTGGGATTTTAAAAAATCAGATCTAAATAACAAGCAAACATGTAACCGTGCATTTGTGCTATCCTTAGATTGTTATGGTTAAAAAGGGATAATTGATTTTAAGTTAAATATTCCTCATATCCTGATCCACCCCTCAAGTACTAGCTTTAATATTTTATAGACTACATGGTCCGACCTATTGACCCAGGTCCTGATGTGCCCACGGACAAGCCGGAAGGGCCATCCTTCCCACTGGCTTTGCAATCTGGAGGCTGACAACCACCCAGCCTGCCACCCATCAAAGTCCCTGCTGGTGACTCTCTCCCCCAGCAAGCTGCCTCCCTTCCCCCACTTTCCCAAACATCTTGGGCATCTCAAACAATCCAATTACACTCAGGTTGTTTAAACAAACAGCAGCACAATTCCCCAGCCCAGAGCCCCAACTGAGGGATTCCCTTGGGCCGACTCTCACCACCTCCACCCCCAACCACAAGCCACTTTCAGAGAAGAGCAGCCCTGAGCAGAGACAATGAGCTCTGGGTTAACAGTGGGTAGTTTTCCATGTCTAAATGTTTGCAGACACTTGGTAAAGTGTCCCAGGCCAAGTTTCCAAAGGACAATACCTCCACACCACTGAGTTTGTTTAAGCAGGCAATCCCAGATAAGAAGGGGGTTGCCCCTCCTCTTCAAAAGCCAAGAATGCAAGATGGGCTGGAGGCAATGCTGTGGGAGGTTGGGACAAATTCCACTGGAACAAGGAATACTTGAGTCCCTCTCTCCACTCCCACCCTCCCTTAAAATAATAGATTTACCCTAAAGGAAAGGTGAAGTCAGGAGATTGGTGGAGTTTTTCTAAGTATTTCACAAATAAGACAGCTGGGACAAGGCAGAGTGCTATTTACAATGCCACAGCTGAGCTGGATTTAGAAGATGCAAGGCATGGTGGTGGGTGCCTGTAGTTCCAGCTACTCGGGAGGCTGAGGCAGGAGAATAATGTGAACCCAGGAGGCGGAGCTTGCAGTGAGCTGAGACCAGGCCACTGCATTCCAGCCTGGGCAACAGAGCGAGACTCCATCTCAAAAAAAAAGAAAAAAAAAAAAGAAGATGCAAAGGTTGCTTACAGTTTCTCACTGAGCAGGCATTCAGTCCCTGCAGAAGGACTGACTACCTTCCCCACTGGGCATTTCACATCATGTAAAATGCCAGTCAATGCCCAATGCCTTACATTTTTTGTTGAAAAGCAAAAGAACCAACCATTCTTATCTCCAGGCCAATTCTGAAGGGCTGCCACCAAACTTGTAAGGACCATCACTCGCCCAACAAATATGTCTAGATCATCCACTTAGAACAAATCCATAATGGTACAGGGGCAGCGAATAGAGGCAATATCTAGTTTCACATGTGATAGAAAGTGGCGTCTTATTTATTTATGTATTTATTTATTTTGTAGAGACAGGGTCTCCCTATGTTGTCCAGGCTGGTCTCGAACTCCTGGCCTCAAGTGATCCTCCCACTTTGGCCTCCCAAAGTGCTGGGATTACAGGCATGAGTCACTACATCTGACGGGTAAGTGTCTTAAAAGAAGAGCAAGCAAAGACTCTGGAAGCTCAGAGAAGAGACGGCTTCTGGCTGAGAGGAGGTGAGCTGATCAGAGAAAGCTTCACAGGGAAGAGGTGTTTGAGTCAGCCCTTGAACCGGTAGGAAGGGTGAAGATGAAAGCCAGCTCCCTCATCAGGCCATGGATAGGCTCTTCCCACATATTTCTAGTTCTTTCTACGTCTCTGGAGCCTTCAGCCATTAAAACAGGTATTCTTATATTTTCTGGGTTACAGACCCTTTCAAGGGAATCCTTGAAAGCTGTGGATTCCCTCTCCAGAAGAATGTCCCAAAATATGGCATGCCATTTCAGCCAGTGCCCAGACTTATCCAGGGACTTCTGGTTAAGAATTCTTGGGATCAAATGTTGCAGACCCATTTCTGCCCAGGGTCTGATAGGAGAATTGAGAGAAAAACAAAATTTCCATCTATCCGTTCTTTACACTTTTATTCTTATTTTTAAAATTAACTAATGTATTTGGTCTACAAAACCCTAAAGAAGAAAAGAAAGGGCTTGTTCACTTTCCATGTTATTTGAAAAGTCCATTGATCTAATGAGCGACATCTTGGGAGAAACCAGAAAGCCTTTTGTACCTTCTTTGGATTGCAAATTCTGAAGAAGGCTTTTCAAAAGCCCAAAAACTGACACTCCAAAAGTGGTTTTCACAAAAGAATCTAAATCAGACTTCAGCGTGTCACTTCTACAATATCTGGGAGCCACAAACATGGATAGAAAGGTCTGGCTTAATGGTGCGACACCAAGATGGCACTGAGCCTCACTCATCCTTTGCACACCAAACATGTTTGAATGAATAAATCACTGATTGAGGGAGTGGATGAGAAGTTTTATGACAGAACAAATGGGACAGACACACATGGAGTTTCGGTGAGAGTAAAAGTGTAGGTTGGCTAGGTGCGATGGCTCACGCCTGTAATCCCAGCACTTTGGGAGGCCAAGGCAGGTGGATCACCTGAGGTCAGGAGTTTGAAACCAGCCTGACCAACATGGAGAAAATCCGTCTCTACTAAAAATACAAAACATTAGCTGGGCATGGTGGCGCATGCCTATAATCCCAGTTACTCGGGAGGCTGAGGCAGGAGAATCGCTTGAACCCGGGAGGCGGAGGTTGCGGTGAGCCGAGATTGCGCCATTGCACTCCAGCCTGGACAACAAGAGTGAAACTCCGTCTCAAAAAACAAAAAAGTGTAGGTTACTTTATACTGTAGCTCATTCCAGAATACTGGATAAATAAAACAGATGTGGAAACAAACAGATGTGTATGTAAATAAAACAGATGTGTTAAATATTAATTTGAGCAACTACCTAAAATATATACAAGCTCATAATTTAAAGGTATTTGACTACAATTCCTGATATATCTGAAAAAAAAATTTTTTTTTTTTTGAGATAGAGTTTCGCTCTTGTTGCCCAGGCTGGAGTGCAATGGTGCGTTCTCGGCTCACCGCAACCTCTGCCTCCCGGCTTCAAGCAATTATTCTGCCTCAGACCCCCGAGTAGCTAGGATTACAGGCATGCACCACCACACCCAGCTAATTTTGTATTTTTAGTAGAGACAGGGTTTCACCATGTTGGTCAGTCTGGTCTCGAACTCCTGACCTCAAGTGATCCGCCCACCTCAGCCTCCCAGAGTGCTGGGATTACAGGCGTGAGCCACCGCACCCGGCTGAGAAATATTTTTAATTAAACCTTTGATATAAGTGTAAACTCACATGCAGTTGTAAGAAATAATGCTAAGAGATCCTGGGTACTCTCTAGCCAGTTTTTTGGGTACTGATTCTTCCCACTTTATTCTCTTTCAAGATTGTTTTAGCTATTCTAGTTCCTTTTCCTTTCCATCTATATTTTACAAGAATCAAAATGGTATATCTCCCACTGATAACATCCTGCAAAACTACAGCACAGTATTTCAACAGGGATATTGACAGCATTACAGAGAAGACATAGAATAGAATGGTTCCATCACTACGAGGATAACTCATACTGCCCTTCCCTTCCACCCCTACTACTTCCTTAATGTTTGGCAATACTAATCTGTCGTTTGTTTCCGTAATTTTTTCATTTCAAGAATATCATATGAATGGAATCATTTTGAGATTCGCTTTTTTCCCCAATACCCTTGAGATCCATCCAAGTTGTTGTGTGTCTCCACCCTCTGTTTCTTCTTATTGCTGAGTGGTATTTCATGGTATTGATGAACCGCAGTCTGTTTAACCAGTAACCTGTTGAAGGACATCTGGGTTGTTTCAGTTTTGCTATTAGGAATAAAGGTGCTACAAATATCCATGTACAAGTTTTTTTGTGAACATAAATTTTCATTTCCCTGGGATAAGTGCCCAGGAGTGTAATTGTTGAGTCACATCATAATTGCATACTTAGTTATCGAAGAAACTGACAAACTGCTTTACAGAGATGCTGAAGCATTTTACATTCCCATCAGCAAAGCATGCTGGTCTTCAGCACATCTTCACCTGCAGAAATAGTGTTATCAAAACGTTTTGTTTAAACATTCTGATAGGTGTGTGGTGATATCTCATTTTGGTTTTAATTTGTATTTTCATAATGGCTAATGGTGTTGAACATCCTTTCATGTGTTTATTTGCCATCTGTATGCCTTCTTTAGAGAAATGTCTCTTCTGATTGTCCATTTTTCAATTGGATTGTTTGATGGTTTTATTGTAGAGTTTTGAGGGTTCTTTATATATTCGAGATACTAGTCCTTTGCCAGATATGTGGTTTGCAAATATTCTGTCCCAGCTTCTAGCTTGTGTTTTCATCCTTTTCACGTGGTCTTTTATAGAGTAAAAGTTTTCAATTCTAATGAAGTACAGTTTATCAAGTTAAAAAAAATACCCAACTAATTTTTTAAAGTAGTTGGGTATATTTTTTAGAATTAAAAAAAAATAATTTTTTTATTTTTAATTTTAAAATTTTTTTCTACAACTTTTTATTTTTTCCTATAATTTTGATTTTTATATAAGGTGTGAGACTTGAGGTTCTTTTTGTTTTCTTTTGTTTTGTTTTTTGCCTATGGATGTCCAATTGCTCCAGCACTGTTTATAAAAGGCTATCTTTCACTGAATTGCTTTTGTACATTTGTTAAAAATTAGTTTTGTATATTTGTGTGAGTCTATTTCTGGGTTCTCTGTACCACTGATTTATGTACGTATGTCTCTGCCAATACTACACAATGTTGATTACTATGTATATTAAGTCCTAAGATCAGGTAAGTTGATCCCAGCACAGTGGCTCACACATGTGATCCTAGCACTTTGGGAGGCTGAGGCAAGAGGATCACTTGAGCCCAGGAGTTCAAAACCAGCCTAGGAAATATAGCAAGACCTCATCTCTATTTTTTTCTCTTTTTATTTTTACTTTTTATTTTTTGAGACAGAGTCTTGCTCTGTTGCCCAGGCTGGAGTGTAGTGGCACAATCTCGGCTCACTGCAACCTCCATCTCCGGGGTTCAAGTGATTCTCCTACCTCAGCCTTCCTAGTAGCTGGGATTATAGATGCACGCCACCATGCCTGACTAATTTTTGTATTTTTAGTAGAGACGGGGTTTCACCATGTTGGCCAGCCTGGTCTCGAACTCCTGACCTCAAGGGATCCACCAGACTCAGCCTCCCAAAGTGTTGGGATTACTGGCATAAGCCACTATGTCTGGCTTATTTTTTAAAAATAAAAAATAAATAAAATTAAAATCAGGTAGGTTGATTCTTCCCACTTTATTCTTTTACAAAATTGTTTTAACTATCCTAGGTCCTTTGTCTTTCCATATAAGTTTTAAAATAATCAAAATCCTGCTGGAATTTTGACAGGAATTACATTAAAGCTGTACTTCAGGCCAGGTGCGGTGGCTCACGCCTGTAATCCCAGCACTTTGGGAGGCCAAGGCAGGCAGATCATGAGGTCAGGAGATCGAGACCATCCTGGCTAACACAATGAAACTCCGTCTCTACTAAAAATACAAAAAATTAACCAGGCGCGGTAGCGCGGGTCTGTAGTCCCAGCTACTTGGGAGACTGAGGCAGGAGAATCACTTGAACCCGGGAGGTGGAGGTTGCAGTGAGCCGAGATCACGCCACTGCACTCCAGCCTGTGTGACAAAGCAAGACTCCATCTCAAAAAAAAAAAACAAAAAACAAACAAAAAAAAAACTGTACTTCAATTTGGGGAAAATTGACATTTACTATAAATGAATCTTCCAGTCCATGAGTGTGGTATTTCTCTCCATTTGTTTAGATCTTGTCTAATTTCCCTCATTAGCATTTTGTAGCTGTCAATATACAAATCCTATATATGTTTTTTCAGACTTCCTAAATATTTTTCTCTCTTTTTTTTTTTTTTCAGCCAGAGTCTCGCTCTGTTGCCCAGGCTGAAGTGCAGTGACACGATCTCGGCTCACTGCAACCTTCACCTCCTGGGTTCAAGTGATTCTCCTGCCTCAGGCCCCTGAGTAGCTGGGACTACAGGCGCACGCCACCACGCCCAGCTAATTTTTGTATTTTTAATCGAGATGGAGGTTTCACTATGTTGGCCAGGCTGGTCTCGAACTCCTGACCTTGTGATCCGCCCGTCTTGGCCTCCCTAAGTGCTGGGATTACAGGCGTGAGCCACCGCATCCAGCCTATTTCTTTTTTTGAGCGATTATAAATGGTGTAGTATTTTGTTGTTGTCGTTTCCATTGCTAGTATATAAAAATACAATTGATTTTCATGTGTCTATCCTGTATCCCATGACTTTGCTGAACTAATTTGTTTTAGTTCTAGAGGTTTTTGTTTTGTTTTTGTTTTTTAATTCTTTGGGATTTTCTATGTAGACAATTATGTTACCTGCAAATAAAGACAGTTTCCATTTTTTCTTTTTAACCTGTATGTCTTTTATTTCCTTCACCTGCCCTGTTGCACTGAGTAGCACTTCCAGAACTATGTTGAATGTGAGTAGTGACAGCACACATCCTTACCTTCTCCCCAGTGTTAGTCTTTGATTGTCAAGTATAATGTTAGTGGTGGATATTTTATAGATGTTCTTTATCAAATTGAGGAATTTCTCATCTCTTCCTATTTTTCTGAAAGATTTTTTTATCAGGAATAGGTACAGAATTTGTCAAATGCATTTAATGATAAATGGGTTAATATAAAGTTATTTTTCTTCTATAGCCTATTAATATGGTGGATTACATTGATTGGTTCATTTTACAAAGTTTGAACCAGTCTTGCATCCTACAATAAATACTACTTGGTCTTGGTGTTTAATTATTTTCATATATTGCTGAATTCTATTTGCTATTATTTTATCAACAATTTTTGAGGCCAGGTGCAGTGGCTCCTGCCTGTAATCCCAGCACTTTGTGAGGCCAAGGCAGGAGGATCACTTGCATCCAGGAGTTTGAGACCAGCCTGAGCAACATGGCGAAACCCCGTCTCCACAAACAATACAAAAATTAGCCCAGTGTGATGGCATGCACCTGCAGTCCCAGCAACTAGGGATGCTGAGGTGGGAGGGTTACTTGAGCCTGGGAGATTGAGGCTGCAGTGAGCCATGATAGTGCCACTGCACTCCAGCCTGGATGACAGAGCAAGACCCTTTCTCAAAAAAAAAAAAAAAAAGGATTTTTGAATTTGTATTCCCAAACGATATTGTTATGTAGTTTTCTTTTTTTGTCATTCTTTTTTTGGTTTTGTTATCAAGATTATACTAGCTTCATCAAATGTATCACGAAGTGTTCCCTCTTCTATTTTCTGGAAAAAATATTGTGTAGAATTGGTGTTACTTCTTTTTTCTTTCTTTTTTTAATTTGTGTGTGTGTGACAGGGTCTCACTCTGTTGCCCAGACTGGAGTGCAGTGGCACAATCGTGGCTCATTGCAGCCTCGACCTCACAGGCTCAAGTAATCCTCCCACCTCAGCCTCCCGAGTAGCTGAGACCACAGGTGTGTGTCACCACATCTGGCTAATTTTCTTCCTTTTTTTAGAGATGGGGGTCTCCTTATGTTGCCCAGGCTGCTCTTGAACTCCTGGGCTCAAGTGATCCTCCCACCTTGGCCTCCCAAAGTGCTGGGATTATAGGTGTGAGCCAGCACACCCAGCCTAATTCTTGTTTAAACATTTGATAGAATGCTCTGGCAAAACTATTTAGGTCTAAAGATTTGTGTGTATGTGTGTGTGTGTGTGTGTGTGTGTGTGTGTGTGAATGTCCTTAATAACTATAGAGCTAGTGAAATTATCTATTCCAACTTAGATGAGTTGAGGTTGTGTGTGTGTGTGTGTGTGTGTGTGTGTGTGTGCATTCTGAGATGGAGTCTCGCTCTGTCTCCAGGCTGGAGTGCAGTGGTGTGATCTTGGCTAACTTCAACCTCTGCCTCCTGGATTCAAGCGATTCTCCTGCCTCAGCCTCCCGAGTAGCTGGGACTACAGGCACGCACCACCATGCCCAGCTAATTTCTGTATTTTTAGTAGCGATGGGGTTTCACCATGTTGGCCAGGATGGTCTCAATCTCTTGACCTCGTCATCTGCCCGCCTCGGCCTCCCAAAGTGCTGGGATTACAGGTGTGAGCCACCGCACCCGGCCTGTAGTCTGTGTTTTTTGAGGAATCAGTACATTTTATCTAAGTCATCTCAGATCTAAATTTATGGATGCAGAGTTGTTTGCAGTATTCCCTTATTGTCTTTTTGATGTTTTCAAGACACGTAGTGAAAGCCCCTATTTCACTTCTGATAGTTGTAATTTGTGTCTTTTCTCTTCCTTGCTTTGTCTCTCCTTCTAGAGGTTTGTCAATTTTATTGATCTTTTTAAAAACCAACCATTGCTTCATTGATTTTCTTAATTGTTTTTCTGTTTTCAATTTCACTGATATCTACTTTTATCTTTATTGCTTCCTTCCCTCTGATTGGCATAGGTTTTTTCCCTCTTTTCTAGTGTAAGCTTTTTTTTTTTTGATACAGAGTCTTGCTATGTCACCCAGGCTGGAGTGCAGTGGCACAATCTCGGCTCACTGTGAGCTCCGCCTCCTGGGTTCACGCCATTCTCTTGCCACAGCCTCCCCAGCAACTGGGACAACAGGCACCCGCCACCCTGCCCGGCTACTTTTTTTGTATTTTTAGTAGAGACAGGGTTTCACCGTGTTAGCCAGGATGGTCTCGATCTCCTGACCTCGTGATCCGCCCGCCTTGGCCTCCCAAAGTGCTGGGATTACAGGCGTGAGAAACTGTGCCTGGCTAGTGTAAGCCTTTAATGCTATAAATTTTCCTCTCAGCACTGCCTTAGCTGTATCCCACAAATCTTGGTATATTTTATTTTCATTTTCACTCAGTTCAATATGTTTTTTAATTTCCCTTGACACTTCCAAAAAAAGACTTTCCTCTTTATGTTTAGTTTCCAAGTGTTTGGAGATTCTCCTGTTAACCTTTCTGGTATTGATTCCTAGTTTGATTCCATTGTGGTCATAAACACTCAGTATGATTTCGACTTTCTTTCTTTTAATTTAATTTAATTTTTTTTAGAAATCAGATCTTGCTGTATTGCCCAGACAGGAGTGTAGTGGCTATTCACAGGTGTGATCATAGCGTACTACAGCCTCACATTACTGTGGCCTCAAGCGATCCTCCCAAGTAGCTGGGACTACAGGTGCATGCCACCACGCCCTCAGTATAATTTCAATTCTTTTAATCATATCTTTATATGTATCTTTACATATATCATTAATGCATCTTTTTTTTTTTTTGAGACAGAGTCTCACTCTGTTGTCCAGGCTGTAGTGCAGTGGCGTGATCTTGGCTCACTGCAACGTCCGCCTCCCTGGTTCAAGCGATTCTCCTGCCTCAGCCTCCCAAGTAGCTGGGACTACAGCACGTGCCACCATGCCTGGCTAATTTTTTGGATTTTTAGTAGAGACAGGGTTTCACTGTGTTAGCCAGGATGGTCTCAATCTCCTGACCTTGTGATCCGCCTGCCTCGGCCTCCCGAAGTGCTGGGATTACAGGCATGAGCCACTGCACCCGGCCCATTAATGCATCTTTACACATATCTTTAAATGCATCTTTAATGTATTATATATTTTGTAAATTGGGTTTATTTTAATGTGGCCTACCAGTATCCCCAAGGGCTTGTTTGCGAGTACTTCCAGCTTCTGGCTTATCTGAAGACATTAGCTCCTTTAGACCTTTTATTAAATTGGGCTATTTTCCATAGCAAGCAACTGAGTTTTAGATTAAAAAGTCTTTTTCATCTGCAATAATGAAATTTTAAATGCCATCAGCTCTTTTTTTTTTTTTTTTCAAACGGAGTCTCACTCTGTTGCCCAGGCTGGAGTGCAGTGGCATGATCTCGGCTCACTGCAACCTCCACCTCCCAGGTTCAAGCAATTCTCCTGCCTCAACCTCCCAAGTAGCTGGGACTATAGGTGCGCACCACCACGCCCAGCTAATTTTTGTATTTTCAATAGAGACGGGGTTTCACCATGTTGGCCAGGATGGTCTCAATCTCTTGGCCTTGTGATCCGCCCACCTCGGCCTCCCATAGTGCTGCGATTACAGGCGTGAGACACCGCGCCCGGCCCAGCTCTTCTTTTGATGTTGCATCTTTTTTCTGCTCCACACTGTCCTCAAATGAGAGAGAATTGGGAGATGGCTAAGCCAAGGGTCCACGGGGGAGGACAATCTTCACTTTGCTAAAAGTCAACTAAGGAAGCTATAAAACATACCCCTGCTTTCCCCTCTCTATCAATCTTAGAGAGCCAAGCACAAGAAAAAAGCAAGATTAAGATCACTCTCTAAAAAAGCCCCTAGCTGGTAAGGAATGTAAACCTGGCAAAATATTTTCCAGGAAAATCTGTAACATCCAGAAGAGGGAGAGGGACAGGGAAAGTTTTCCATTTCTTCAATTGTCTTTTCCAATGCTTACTGCAGCCAGCTCCCCACAGTGATCTATTACCTCACTCTAGGCCTTGGAAGACCCTTGCTTCATTCTGCAGCCCAGGTGAGCTGGCCCCACACATCTTGCAATCTATATTTCCAAAATAACTTGTTCATCAACTCCTGTAAAAAATACAAGCCTGCACCCATACCTTTTACTGGATTCCTGGGAGCAGAGGGGATACCAATCCACTTCCAGAGGCTCTGATGAGTAGGCCAGGGATGTTTTCCCAGCGGAGACCCAACCCTCTGGCCCCTCCTGCTTTTCTCCCCAGCATAAACACAAAGCAGAGACCAAGCTCCCAGCAGGATGACCTATAAGTGACCCTTGGACTGACCTAACACTCTGGTCACTCTCACCGACAGATTTGTTTATCTTGGAACCTTGGAGGCTCTGCACCCAAAAGCTTTGGCCCTAGACTCTAAGTCCGCCCCCAGCAAACTGTCAGTCACAGCTTAAGTGCATGTTGGGCAGTTGCGTGATAGCCTGAGTTTATTTACCAGAACCTGATGTTTATGCTGTCCAGCAATGAGTAGGGGCCATCAGCTGCTGAATTTAGTAAGCGAGGAGCCAACTAGACGTCTCCAGTGGACATCAGCCTTCATGTCCACAAAATTATCCGGGGACCCCAATAGTGTGCCTCTCTTCCTCCACCCTCAGAAATTAGAGGTCCCCTGGAGATCCAAATTTGGCATCTCCATCCAAAGGAGGGATCTGTGTTCAGGCCATTTTCCTGAGAGCTTTTTTGTTAGTTAGTTTGTTTGTTTGTTTGTTTGTTTTTTGAGACGGAGTCTCACTCTGTCGCCCAGGCTGGAGTGCAGTGGTGTGATCTCGGCTCACTGCAACCTCTGCCTCCCGGGTTCAAGCAATTCTCCTGCCTCAGCCTCCCAAGGAGCTGGGATTACAGGCACGCGCCACCACACCCGGCTAACCAAGAGCTTATTTTTATGAAACTTATGTGGCACAGCTATATCTAAGGCGAGAAAGAAGCTTTAGCTTCTAACCCTTAGTGCATGATGAAAAGCAGCTTGTCTGAAAGTACCATGGGCGTTGTTTACAAATGAGAGTGACATCTTGATATTTACCTAAAGAGAGACAGATGCTTCCTAAGTTGTGGCACTGGAGGGAGTGATGATCAACAAATTCAGAGCAAAATGGAAATCAAATTTTTACCTTTTTTTTTCCTCTTTGCCCAGGCTGGAATTCTGTGGCACAGTCATAGCTTACTGCAGCCTCAAACCCCTGGGCTCAAGGAATCCTCCTGCCTCAGCCTCCTGAAAAGGTAGGACTACAGCCATGTGCCACTAATCCTGGATAATTTTTTGTAGAAACAAGGTCTCACTATATTGTCCAGTCTGGTCTCGAACTTCTGGCCTCAAGTGATCCTCCCACCTCAGCCTCCCAAAGTGTTTGGATTATAAGTGTGAGCCACCACATGCAGCCTGAATTTTTTTTTTTTTTTTTTGAAAAATACAGTCACTTAAGGAACCCCAATTGTACTCCTATTCACATTTCATTGGTAATCCCAAGGGGATTATGGCTGTTTGGAAGATTGAATTCATTCTTACTTAGACCCTCCCTACATAATGTCTTTAAGAATGCCTTTTTCAAATGGCTAAGTAAGGTAAACATGAACTTCTAAATAAATGAGGCCAAACCAAGAAAGATGACAAGGTTGATTACAGAGGTGGGCTTTTTTTCCTCCTCTTAGCAGAAGATTTTAAATAGATCTGAACCTTCAAGGAATGCTTTTATTTGGTAGACAAGATGAGGAGAATGAGAACTACCCCTTCAGAGGGCAGTGCAGAAAGGGGACTCTCCCCTTCTCTTTATCCCATTAAAGTCCTGCTGGTCAGTGACTCACAAGGCCCCTCTATTATCAGCCTTGGCTTAAATAAACCTTCTGCCCCTGCACCCACCCGCCTCCCTCAAAGCTGCAGGCTCCATCCATCAATGTCACCTTTGCAGAGTGGCTGCCATGACAGTTCATGATCATTAACCAGCCCTGGTGTGCTTTGTGTTAAAAGTTAAGACACATCAAACGCAGCAACTCCGCAGTTCCTTAAAGTTACAGGAGACAGGGATGCACTAGGGCTGGGGCCCCCCAAACTTGACGCACAGCTTTGACAAAAGGTGAAAGATGAGCCCGGGGTTTAAAAATGCCTCAGTATCCCTCCCTGCCCCCAACTTCACTCTCAGGGGCAGAAACCAGGAGGAAAACAGACACTGAGAATTGGGCTAAAGAGCAGTGATAAAAGAATGTGAGCCACGGACACAGCGGCCCTGCTCCGGAACCCCCAGCTGCCCTGTGACATGGCCCCTCCTGTGCCGGTGACCCCCCACCCCACCCGGAGCAGACAGGCTGCTCCACGGAGAGAACCTCACAGAGAACATGCCCCTTTCTCCTGCACCCTCATCTCCTGGGCCTTCTCCCTCCCGGGCTCAAATCTCTGTAAGAAATGGAGGTTGGGCAGTTTCTCTTTCCACTTCACAAAGGTTTAGAACATCTAAGTAAGAGAGCGCGTGAAAGGTGTTGTTTGTGCCTTTGGGTGCCCCTGCTTACATTTCGTGATTTCCCTTGGGGCCACTGTTTAACGAAGACATTTGCTTTTCTTATCATGGCTTTTCTGTGGCAAGGCCCAGCTTGGGGAAATGACCTTGAGAGGAAGTTGGAAGAGGGAAAGAGGGAGCTGGCTCTGCCCACCAGTATGTAAAAATTAAATAACAAAAAGAAAACCAGCAGCCCACAACCGCCCTCCCTGCCACCCAAGCAATTCTCCTATCCCTCTATGCATTCACATGACACATACTCCACCCCTCCCATGGGCCGGGCATTGAGTTAGGACCCAGGGTATAAAGAATCAAAAATGGGTTATAACTCTTTAGGAGCTTAAATTCTATGAAGGTAGACAAAATATCTACCATAGAAATAGGCATTGAGGAACCAGAAAAAGGAGGAGGGGATCTGTTCTGATGCGATGTGTGGAGAAGGCTTTGGGGATGTGGCCAGTTGGCCAAATCTCGAGGTAGGAGCAAGACTTCAACAGAGAAGGAGGAGGATGTGTAACAGCATGAGCAAAGGGAGAAAATTTATGACAGCTAGCATTCATTAAGTGTGCACTGAAATTCAGGCAGTACACCTAGCGTGTTGCACACCTGCTCTGTAGCCACCAGCCACAGTGCTCATGAGCACTTGAAATGAGGCTGGCCCGAATTGAGATGTGCTATTATGAATAATGCACACCAATGGTTTCAATGATTTAGTATGAAAAAAATGTAAACTATCTCAGTAATAATTTTATATTGATTACATGTTAAAATGATAGTATACTGGATGCATTCGATTAAATAAAATATATTAGTCAAATTAATTTCATCTGGGGCCACGCTCGGTGGCTCACACCTGGTATTACAGGTGTGATGCCAGGATGCCGAGGCAGAAGGATCGCTTGAGCCCAGGAATTGGAGACCAGCCTGGGCAACATGGTGAAACCCCGTCTTTACAAAAAATACAAAAATTAGCCCGGCATGGCGGTTCACATCTGTAGTCCCAGCTAATTGGGAAGCTGAGGTGGGAGGATGGGTTCAGCTAGGGAGGTCAAGGCTGCAGTGAGCCATGATCACGCCACTGCATTCCAGCCTGAGCAATAGGGCAAGACCCTGTCTCAAAAAAAAAAAAAAAAAAAAAAAAAAAGGCTGGGTGCAGTGGCTCATGCCTGTAATCCCAGCACTTTGGGAGGCCAAGGCGGGCAGATCACGAGGCAAGAGATCGAGACCATCCTGGCCAACATGGTGAAACCCCATCTCTACTAAAAATACAAAGATTAGCTGGGCATGGTGGCGCGTCCCTGTAGTCCCAGCTACTCAGGAGGCTGAGGCAGGAGACTCGCTTGAACCTGGGAGGCAGAGGTTGCAGTGAACCAAGATCACGCCACTGCACTCCAGCCTGGTGACAGAGCGAGACCCTGTCTCAAAAAAAAGAAAAAAGGGTGCAGGACACCAACATGGCACATGTATACATATGTAACAAACCTGCACATTGTGCACATGCACCCTACAACTTAAAGTATAATTTAAAAAAAAAATCAACCATTTAAGGGAGTAGAGTGACATGTAAGGATCCCTTCACACCTGGCCACAATCCCCACAATTCTTCCTCATCACCATTTTATTGTATTCTCTGACAGGTTCCCAAGGCATCACAAACATAAATATATATAAAATCTCCCTTCTTGTACAAATACTGTGGCCTCTTTTTCAACTGTTTTATCTATGGACTAATAAGATTTTGCTGAAGAAGAGGTTTCTCTGCTTTAGAAAGTTTTAAAGCTACTTACTCTGTCGTCTCTGAGGTCCCTTTGAGTTCTGAAATCCTTGGATTTTGAAGTGTAATTTTATTGTTTGGTTCTGCTTTTCCACCATATTGTTGGTCATCGGTTTGATTTATTGGATGTGAAATTCTCAGCCAAGAACAAGGCCCTTTATTACAACATTGCTCCTATGGGAAAATATGATTTACTTTACAATAGGTCGCTTTATGACATAGAGTAGCTCCCTCCAACATAAAATGTTGAACTGCATGGTATTTTTGCCATATGTATTTAAGAATCCGATGGAAATGGAAACAAAATTATCCTTCTTTTACTTCAAAGAAGAATAAAGCTTCCTGCTGCTTTAACTGCATAATGGCTTTTGCATTATCCTGTGTATTTGTATGTTTCAAATCTCAGCCCCCAGCCTTTTAGTAGTTCACTGGCTTTAGTTACGTTCATTATTTAACCTCCGTCTATCTTATTTTCCTTGTATGGATCACAGGGAGAATCTTCTCCACCTCACAGGATTAGGAGGAATAAATGAAATAATGTAAAGGTGCTTAGCTTAGCTCCCTAAATATAAAAAATAATACATGTAATTTATTATTATTGTTATTGTACTTATATTTATTGACCTCTGTTATGTGCATAATATATAAAGATGGGTAATTTTTTTTTTTTGAGACAGGGTCTCACTCTGTTGCCCAGGCTGGAATGCAGTGGTGCAATCACCACTCACTGCAGCCTTGACCTCCCAGGCTCAAGCCATCCTCCTGCCTCAGCCTCTCAAGTAGCTGGGACCACAGGCACACACTGCCACACCTGGCTAATATTTTAATTTGTTGAAGGGACAGGGTCTCACTATGTTGCCCAGGCTGGGTTTGAACTCCTGGCTTCAAGCGATTCTCCCACATTGGCCTCCCAAAGTGCTAGGATTACAAGCATAAGCCACCATGCCCAGCCAAAGTGGATAAATTTTATTGCCAATCTCATAGGACTTTTTGTGGATTAAGTTAAATAACAGCCATTAAGCCTTTCTGGTACCAGAAGTATAGTAATCATTCAGTATTATAGTACAGTTAATCCTTGGAAAAACATGGGATTAGGAGTGCCAAATCCCTCCTCAGTCAAAAATCTGAGTATAACTTTGACTCTCCCCCTAACTAACTACTAACAGCCTACTCTTGATCAAAAGCATTACCAATAACATAAACAGTCAATGAGGCCTGGTGCAGTGGCTCACGCCTGTAACCAAAGCACTTTGGGAGGCCGAGAAGGGTGGATCACTTCAAGTCCAGAATTTGAGACCAGCCTGGCCAATATGGTGAAACCCTGTCTCTACTAAACATTCAAAAATTAGCCCAGTGTGGTGGCACATGCCTGTAATCCCAGCTACTTGGGAGGCTGAGGCAGGAGAATCACTTGAACCTGGGAGGCAGAGGCTGCAGTGAGCCAAGATTGTGCCACTGCACTCCAGCCTGGGCGACAGAGCAAAACTCTGCCTCAAAAACTCTGCCCAAAAAAAAAAAAGTCAATGAACACATATTTTGTATGTTATATATATTATATACTATGTTCTTACAATAACGTTAGTTAGAGAAAAGCAAATGTTATTGAGAAAAATCATAAGGAATAGAAAATATATTTACTATTCACTAAGTGGAAGTGGATCATCATAAATGTCTTCATCCTTATCGTGTTCACGTTGAGTAAGCTGAGGAGGAGAAGGAGGAGTTGGTCTTGCTGTCTCAGGGGTGGAGAGGAAGAAAAAAATCCACAAATAAGTGGACCCCCAAAGTTCAAACCTTCGTTATTCGAGGCTGAACTGTATATGCTTGTAACTTACATCTTATAAACTAAAACCTTTAAACTAAAATAGCATGATATATACAGTTGTATACTTAATGCAAAAACTAATCAGATCATCAAGCTGACATTCTTTTTTTCTCCTAAGATGGAGTCTCTCTGTATCTCCCAGGCTGGAGTGCAGTGGCCCAATCTCAGCTCACTGTAACTTCCACCTCCCAGGTTCAAGTAATTCTCCCTGCTTCAGCCTCCCAGGTAGCTGGGATTACAGGTGCCTGCCACCATGCCTGGCTAATTTTTGTATTTTTTAGTAGAGATGGGGTTTCACCGTGTTGGCCAGGCTGGTCTGGAACTCCTGACCTCAGGTGATCTACCAGCCTCGGCCTCCCAAAGTGCTGGGATTACAGGCCTGAGCCATCGTGCCTGGCCATCAAGCTAACATTCTTAATGCTATCCTAAATTGGTGCTACTCTAAGGGATTATTCCCTCATCACATTTGGCTTTTACACTCACAAATGAAAGGTGACATTTAATACCAAAGAATACTCACTGCTCTTCCATGTCACTCAAAGTCCTCATGCATGCCATCTCCTTAATTCAAATCCTTATCATACTCGACCAGAACAATTCTAGATACCATTTTATAGCTAAAGAAACTAAAGGTCTGAGTCAGCTAGGGATAGAATTTGGGTCTTCTTCTTTTTTTCTGAGGCAGAGTCTTGCTGTGTTGCCCAGGATGGAGTGCAGTGGCGCGATCTCGGCTCACTGCAACCTCCGCCCCCCCGGGTTTAAGTGATTCTCGTGCCTCAGCCTCCCGAGTAGCTAGGATTACAGGCGTGAGCCACCGTGTCCAGCTAATTTTTGTATTTTTACCAGAGATGGGGTTTCACCATGTTGGCCAGGCTGGTCTCAAACTCCCGACCTCAGGTGATCTACCAGCCTCGGCCTCCCAAAGTGCTGGGATTACAGGTGTGACCCACTGCACCCAGCCACAATTTGAGTTTTCTTTGACAAGACCCTAACCTCACACCATCTTCACCACAGGCCTCTAGGCTTAGAAAAGTGGTTCTCATACCCCGGCTCTGGTTTGTAATTGAATTCTAAAAGAGCCCACTTGTGGCTCACGTCCTCCAGGACAAAAGGACTCAGAACCTCATGAAGGTTCATATGAACTCAGTTAAGTGAGGACACTGGATAGCAGTTTGACCCAAAGTCTAGTGAAAATATTCCCCTGGTGGGAGAGAGGAAGGGGAGCCAGGGTTGAAAAACTAACTGTCGGGTACTGTGCTAAGTACCTGGGTGATGGGATCATTCATACCCCAAAGCTCAGCATCACACAATATACCCAGGTAACAAACCTGCACATGTATCCGCTGAACCTAAAATAAAAGTCAAATAAATAAATTACCTATTCCGGGTTGGCATAGTGGCTCATGCCTGTAATTCCAGCACTTTGAGAGGCCAAGACAGGAGGATTACTTGAGCCCAGAAGTTTGAGACCAGCCTGAGCAAGAGAGCAAGACCCCTGTATCTATTTATTGGTATCATAAAAAAATTTTTGGCCAGGTGCATGTGGTGGCTCACGCCTGTAATCCCAGCACTTTGGGAGGCCAAAGTGGGCGATTGCTTGAGTTCAGGAGTTTGAGACCAGCCTGGGCAACGTGGCGAGACCCCATCTCTACTAAAAAAAAAAAAAATAGCCTGATGTGGTGGCGTGTGCCTATGGTCCCAGCTACTTGGGAGGCTGAGGTGGGAGGATCACTTGAGTCGGGGGGTGGAGGTTGCAGTGAGCCAAGATCATGCCACTGCACTCCAGCCTGGGAGACAGAGCAAGACACTGTCTAAAAAAAATAATAATAATGATTTTAAAAAATTAATAAAAATAAATTTTAAAAATTCTCGGCTGGGCGCAGTGGCTCATGCCTGTAATCCCAGCACTTTGGGAGGCCGAGGCAGGCAGATCAATTGAGGTCTGGAGTTTGAGACCAGCCTGGGCAACATGGTGAAACCCCATCTCTAGTAAAAATACAAAAATTAGCCAGGTGTGGTGGCAACACACCTGTAATCCCAGGTACTCAGGAGGCTGAGGCAGGAGAATCGCTTGAACCTGGGAGGCAGAGGTTGTGGTGAGCCGCGATTGCACCATTGTACTCCAGCTGGGTGACAGAGCAAGACTCCATCTCAAAAAAAAAAAAATTCTCCTAAAAATAGACTTAACTGCATGCTAAGCATGCTAGATGGACCTTGATGAAACTGATAAAAGGAAGAGCAAAAGGTAAAGATTTTCTTTTCTTTTCTGCCACATACTGCAGACACGGCAGAACAAATGAATGTGAGCTTTAGGTGGAAAGTTGTAGTCACCTTGAAACCAAACCTTGGGATTTCTGAATCCAAAAGAAGAGATGTCAGGTTTCTGAATGAGTGACAACAGGCTTTTGTTGATCTTGTAACATGTTTTGGCACTTCCCCAGTCCCGTTATTTATGGGGTTGTACTTTCAAGTTTGGATTTATATAGATGTTTGCCGCTTTCATCCTAAATGGAGTTTTCACCAATCCTAAGCACATCCCCCTCAGGCAAACCCCCCTCACCACTTCCTAGCAACCCAGGCACTGCCAGGCCAGGCCGACCCATTCACTGACTGCAAGGGAAAAGCGACAGGCAGAGAGGACACGGTGGCCCTGTCAGTGCCAAGGGGAAGAACAACTTGGTTGCTGCCCATCAGCAACCAGGACACAGAGGGCAGAGGTTAAGGGTGAGGAGGTGAGTGCTGCGTCTCCCTGGTCCCCAGTCCTAGAACCACTCCAACTCCCAGGCCAGCTCAGGGAAAACAAAAGAAACCATAAAAACACGGCTTCCTAACATAGCTGCTATGGCGTGTTGGTGGTGGGTCTGGCAATAGGTAGAACCATTTTGGAGGCAATTTGGCAGTGGCCACCAAAATGTAAATATGTATTTCTTTTGACTCAGCAATTCTGCTTCTAGAAATTCACTCTACTGGCATGCTCACCCAAGTGAGAAAGAATACTCCTTGCAGCAATTTTATTTACTGTAGCATCTGTTTGTGAAATTAAAAACTAGAAACAATCTAAATGCTCATAAATAAAAGAGTCGTTACATAAATAATGGGGCAGCTCAATCTATGCCATTGTTAAAAGGCGCAGTGGCTCATGCCTATAATTCTAGCACTTTGGGAGGCTGAAGGTAAGAGGATCACTTGAGCCCAGGGATTCAAGACCAGTCTGGACAACATGGCGAGACCCCCATCTCTATATTAAAATAAATCTCTATGTAGAGGCATGAAGAGATCATTGAGATTGTTCTGAAAATACACATTCATGACTAATGAATCATACTCTACCACCCTGCAGTAACACTGTATGCTTTTTTAGAGAAGGCAGGGGAACTGAAGCAAAAAGAAATGAATCTGGAAGAGTGGCATTTGCAGATATCCTCAGGTGGACAAGGGAGGCTTTAGTGGGGATAAGAGGCTCCCCTATGATGCAGAAACCACAAGGTGGAAGGAGCTGCTGTTCTGCTGACTGCTAACTCGGCTTCTTTGGTTTGTTTTTGGGAGACAGGGAAGAGGGACAAGGGACTCTCAGGAACATAGTGTCAGATTGTGATTGAATCATCATCCTGGCTCATCATCATCCTGGACTCTATTCGTTGACTTTTTTTGAGACAGGGTCTCCCTCTGTCACCCAGGCTGGAGTGCAGTGGCATGATCACGGTTCACTACAACCTCCACCCACTGGGCTCAAGCAATCCTTCCACCTCAGCCTCCCAAGTAGCTGGGACCACAAGCGGCCACCACCACACCTGGGTTTTCTGTTGTTGTTGTTGTTGTTGTTGTTGTTGTTTAGTAGAGACAGGGTCTCGCCACATTGCTCAGGCTGGTCTCAAACCCCTGAGCTCAAGCAGTCTGCCCGCCTCAGCCTCCCAAAAAGTGCTGGGACTATAGGTGTGAGCCACCACACCCGGCCATCTTCATTGACTTCTGCACCTGCTGTTATTTAGTTACTTCTTTTTAATAATGCAATAAGCACCCTCAAACTCACCACCCAAAATAAAAGCAAGGAACTGGGCAATGGCCCTCATCAAACCATGTGGCCCCATCCTAGCCTCCTTCATAGCTGCTTGAATCTCCTGTTCATCCTGCCCTGGCTTTCCTTTGTAAATAGTTGTATTGAGTCTATATGTATATTTTAAAGAATACAGTTATTGACATTGTTTTTAATTATAAAAAGGGGTACCATGCTGTCACTAATCTTCTGGGACTTTTAACATATGCAAAGATTCATTCTCATTGTTATATATTGCTTAGTCCATACATTTCAATTGCTACATAATACTTATTTATACATTCTCCTGATGTCTCCAGTGTTTCGCTATTGTGAACAGTACTGTTTGATCATTTTTGTACTTATCCCTTTTATTGTTATTGTTGCTGTTGTTATTGTTATGGTGCAGAAATCACTCTTTCGTGTATCCCATAGAGTGGAACTGTTCAGTCATAAGGTATGTAAATATGCCACTTTAGGAACTAAGACCAATCAACTTTTCAACGTGGTTATACCAAATTATACTCCCACTAGCATGTGTAAGATGATCCTCTCCAACATTTAGTATTGTCAGACATTTTGTTTTTTTGCCAATCAAAGGATGCAAAATGGTATGCCAACAGCTGCCTTGATTTTTATTTTGCGGACTACTGATAACTCTGGGTGTCTCTTTAAATGTATCGTATTCGCGTATATTTTCTTTTCTACGACATACCTACTCATGTCTTTTTCTTCTCTTGTTTTTGGCTAAACAAGTCTTGCTGGTACCTGAAATGAAAGTTCCAGGGGAAACCATTTATTTTTTGTTTTTTGGATTTTTTTTAGAGACAGAGTCTTGCTGCATTGTCCAGGTTAGAGTGCTGTGGCTATTCACAGGCACAGTCATAGCATGCTACAGCCCAGAACTCCTGAGTTTAAGTGATTCTCCTGCCTCCCGAGTCACTGGGACTGCAGGTGCACCACTGCACTTGGCTGAGGGGGAAACTATTTTTTTCTTTTACTTGCCATTATATAAATGAGGAGGGAGACATTTTAAAATGCAATCCATTTCCACCTATCAAAGGAACAGACAAAATTCTAAGAGGCTGGTTTGGAGAGAGAGAGTTCAGCAAAGGTCGAGCATGAAATCCTAAGCAGTCAGAGACTCGAGGAGGCAGGTGGGGCCAGCGGGGAGGCTGGAAGGTTAGACCAGCTGTGTCCAATTCCTCCCCTTTCCTGCCCGCTCCCTATGGCAGCAGCACATCCCTGGGGTCCTGTGTCAGGGGCTTCCCTGCACTTCCCACAGCACCCTGCCAGGAGCCCTCAGCACCTAAATGTTTGGTGTTGCTTCTGGTGAGAGCAGAACAGCGAGTTCAGATTCCTACCCAACTCATTTGGCAACTGAAGTGATAACTGTAGCTCCAGTTATTAGGAAACATTGAATTTCCAGAAGTTTCTGAATAGTGAGGGAAGAACAACAACTACAGGCACAAATTTTCCAATGCATACATACATACATAGGAAACTGCAGGCCCCATTCTTTTTTTTTTTTTTTTTTTTAAGAATCTCACGCTGTTGCCCAGGCTGGAGTGCAGTGGCGCAATCTGGGTTCACTACAACCTCCGCCTCCCGGGTTCAAGCAATTCTCCTGTCTCAGCCTCTCAGGAGGCTGAGAGGCGCCCACCACCACGCTCAGCTAATTTTTGTATTTTTACACAGGCGCCCACCACCTGTGTATATTTACACAGGCGCCCATCACCACACTCAGCTAACTTTTGTATTTTTAGTAAAGATGGGGTTTCACCATATTGGCCAGGCTGGTCTCAAACTCCTGAACTCAGGTGATCCACCCGCCTCGGCCTCCCAAAGTGCTGGGATTACAGGCGTGAGCCACCATGCCCGCCTCAGGCCCCATTCTTTTAAGGAAATATATTGATATTCAAGAGGAGAAGGCCAGGCACAGTGGTTTATGCCTGAAATCCCAATACTTTGGGAGGCTGAGGCAGGAGGAGTGCTTGAGCCCAAGAGTTTGAGACCAGCCTGGGCAACATAGTGAGACCCTGCCTCTATTATAAAAAAAAATTTTTTTTAAAGAATTTCATTCCTTTTTAAGGCTAAGACTCCATTGTATGTACATTCCACGTCTTGTTTCTCCATTCATCTACCGATAGACATTTGTGTGGTTTCCATCTTTTGGCCGCTGTGAATAACGCTGCTGTGAACAACGCTGCTGTGAACATGGGTGTACAAGTATCGGTCTAGTGGTGTTTTCAAACACTTAAAATTATGTGTTCCTGCAGTGTACAAACTGCCTTGAGCCTATGTGACAAGCTAGTAAAAACTGACCCCCCAAGGCTAGGTCATGCCATCACAGTGGGATCAGTTTTAAGCTAGGACGCAGGGACCATGCACTGTCCAGGTTCTGCACAGTCTGCACAGTGCTCAGCTCCCAGGACACACCCAATCCACATGGCGTGCTGGGACGCAGAGGCAATACGGATCATGTGGGGCCTGCCAAGGCTAGACCTCACAAAGAACTCCAGGGCCAGTGAGGTCCGGGTTATCAATGCTTGCCATGGCCCTGCCTTATCAGAGGGCTATTTCACTCTCATTTTGATTAGCCAAGTACTTTATAATCATTTACTAATAGGTCTTTTCCATCATCAATAACCATCACCTGGTATGTGGAAATGAAGTATTTGGACAGGGAGGGAGCCAATTTTATATGCAAATATGAATGCAACCATAGAGGCCAAACCTACTTTGCTCTTGGGAAATAGTGGTTCCATTTAGCTAAGGGTAAAAATTAAATGTGCTGTTCTACATGAGAAGCCATAGTGCTGAGGCTGGCATGTAGCCCACTGCACCTGAACATGGTGTTAAGAACCTGCCATCCAAAAGGTTGGCATTAAGACCGTGGGCCTGCACGGGCTCCACCCCACATCCTCCTCGACTCTCCTTTGAGCTTAGAGCTTGTAGCAATAAGAAGGACAGTGGGGTAAGGAGCATGACCTGTAACAACTGATCTCAAAAAGGTAGGCCCAGGTGAGATATATATATATATATATATAAAACCACTGAGCACTGAGCAGCCTGCCTCAATTACCAATACATTCTCTCATCCAATAATGTCAACATAGGGGCTTCCAAATTCCACTCTGAGTTTCCATTTTCCTAGTCTTTTCTCTGATCCTTGGCGTGTGAAATTACACAGATTTTTTTAAAATTTTGTTTTCTAAAATGAGCATGTGATATTTAAATATAAAATGCATTTTCTTGAATTTTTTTATTTTTTTTGAGACACGATCTCATTGTGTCACCCAGGCTAGAGTGCAGTGGTACAAACATGGCTCACTGCAGCCTTGACCTCCTGGGCGTAAGCCATTCTCCCACCTCAGCCTCCCAAGTAGCTGGGACCACCATGCCCGGCTAATTTTTTTTTTTTTTTTTGAGATGGAGTCTCGCTCTGTTGCCCATGCTGGAGTGCAGTGGCACAATCTCAGCTCACTGCAACCTCCACCTCCTGGGTTCAAGCAATTCTCCTGCCTCAGCCTCCCAAGTAGCTGGGATTACAGGCATGCACCACCACACCCAGCTAATTTTTGTATTTTTAGCAGAGATGGAGGTTTCACCATGTTGGCCAGGAGGGTCTCAAACTCCTGGCCTCATGTGATTTGCCCATATCAACCTCCAAAAGTGCTAGGATTACAGGCCTGAGCCACCGTGCCCGGCCCCCCGCTAATTTTTTAATTTTTGTAGAGACAAGTTCTCACCATGTTTCTCAGGCTGGTCTCAAACTCCTGGGCTCAAGCAATCCTCCCACTTCAGCCTCCCAAAGTGCTGGGATTATAGGTGTGAGCCACCGTACTAGGCCTTGAAATCGTTTTTAACACATAAAAATCACTTGCAGTCATCATATTAAATTTGTATGTGTGTGTGTGTGTGTGTGTGTGTGTGTGTGTGATACGGGGTCTCACTATGTTGTCCAGCTGGCCTTGAAATCCTGGACTCAAGTGATCCTCCTACTTCAGTCCCTCGAGTAGCTGGGACTACAGATGCATGCCAATTTTTATGCCACATATATTATGTTATTCATTTTATATGTACAAAATATTTCACAATAAATTTAAGAATTTGTTTGTATGCATTAGCTATACTTGCACTGTTATTTTTCCATTTTTTGACCATGATATTCTCATTACACATTTCCATATCATATACTGAATTTTCCTATCTATCTTCTTATGTATTCTATCTATATATCTCTGGCCTAAGGAATAGGACAGCAGAAGGAAGCAAGCAGGAGCCAGAAAGTTCACTTATACAAAAATTATGACACATTCTTATTTCATTATCTGAAACAGAAACTGAAAAGACAATAAAAGATAGTTACTTGGGAGGCCGAGGCAGGTGGATTTTCTGAGCTCAGGAGTTCGAGAGCAGCCTGGGCAACACGGTGAAACCCCGTCTCTACTAAAATAAAAAAATTAGCCAGGCATGGCAGCGTGCACCTGTAGTCCAGCTACCTGGGGAGGCTAAGGCAGGAGAATCGCTTGAACCCGGGAGGTGAAGGTTGCAGTGATCCTAGATCGCAACACTGCACTCCAGCCTGGGCGACAGAACAAGACTCAATCCAAAAAAAAAAAAAAGATAGTTACTTGGTAACTGAGAATCTGTGCTTCGCAGATTATGGGCAGCCAAATCTTAATGGCCTCATTCAATATATTCATTTTTTTTCATTAAGCATCTATTAAATGCCTCTGATGCATGAGGTCCTGAAACTGCCAAAGTGAATAAAACCCTGTCCTGGAGAACCTGACTGTCAAGTGATTCTATAAACCAGTGGTTGGCAAACTATGGCCTATAGGCTAAATCCAGTCACAGTTTGTTTTCATAAAGTCCTGCTGGGCGCGGCAGCTCACGCCTGTAATCCCAGCACTTAGAGAGGCTGAGGAGGGCAGATGACTTGAGGTCAGGAGTTAGAGACCAGCCTGGCCAACATGGCAAAACCCTGTCTCTACTAAAAATACAAAAATTAGCTGGGCATGGTGGCAGCTGCCTGTAATCCCGGCTATTTGGGAGGCTGAGACACGAGAATTGCTGGAACCCCAGGGGACGGAGGTTGCAGTGAGCCCAGATTGCACCACCGCACTCCAGCCTGGGCAACAGAGCGAGACTATGTCTCAATAAATAAATAAAGTTTTATCGGAACACGGCCACACACATTAGTTCACATTTTGTTTTGGTTTTTCTCTTAAGAGACAGGGTTTCACTCTGTCACCAGGTTAAAGTGCAGTGGCGTAATCAGAGCTCACTGCAACCTTAAACTCCTGGGCTCAAGTGATCCTACTGCCTCAGCTTGCTGAGTAGCTGGGATTGCAGGTGTGTCCCACCATGCCAGACTGATTTTTAATTTTTTGTAGAGATGGGGCCTTGCTGTGTTGCCCAAGCTGGTCTTGAACTCCTGTCCTCAAGTGACTCTCCTGCCTCCACCTCCCAAAGCGCTAAGACTACAGGTGTGAGCCATTGTGCCCAGCCTAGTTTATGTATTGTCTGTAATTAATTTCATGCTATAATGGCAGAATTTAGTAGCTTTGAAAAATAATGACCCATAAGCCTAAAATATTTACTATTTAGCCCTTTACAGAAAATGTTTGCTGGCACCTGCTTTTCATTTTTTATTAATTAATTTATTTATTTATTATTTTGAGACAGGGTCTCACTCTGTCACCAGGCTGGAGTGCTGTGGTGCAATCACAGCTCACTACAGCCTCAACCTCCTGGACTTGAGTGATTCTCCCACCTCAGCCTCCCAAGTAGCTGGGACCACAGGTGCGTGCCACCACGCCTGGCTATAACCCCTGCTTTAGAGGAAGGAACTAACTATGGACTCCTTAAATTTCTGAAGATTCTGAGAGGACTTGTCCCTACTCCTTTCAAGAAGCCCAGATGCTCTGAGAACCCAGGGAAGGTGCTCTTGCTACTCAAAGTGTCACCCATAGACCCATATCATCAGCATCCTCTGATAACCCAGAAATGCAGAATGTCAGGTCCCACCCCAGAACTACATCAGAATCTGCGACTTAACAAAATCTCCAGGTGATTCGTAGTTACATCAAAGTTTGAGAAGCACTGCTTGTATGAGTCAGGGTCCTCCAGAGAAACAGAACTAATAGGATATGTGTATAGAGAGAGGGATCGATTTTAAGGAATTGGCTCATGTGATGATGGAAGCTGGCAAATCTAAAACTTGCAGGACAGGCAAGCAGGCTGGAAACAGGCGGGAAACTCCAGCAAGAGTTGACATTGCAGTCTTGAGTTTGAAGGCAGTCTGGAGACAGAATTTTTTTTGGGGGGGAGGGGGAGAGGTGGGGGTGGGTATTGAGACAAGGTTTCTCTCTGTCACCCAGGCTGGAGTGCATTAGAGTGCTCATGGCTTACTCTAACCTCCAACTCCTGCATTCAAGTGATCCTCCAAATTCAGCCTTCCAAGTAGGTGGGACTACAGACATATGCCACTGTACATGGCTAATTTTTTTGTAGAGACAGGGTCTCACTATGTTGCCCAGGCTGGTCCCGAACTTCTGGCCTCAAGCTACTCTCCCGCCTCTGCCTCCCAAAGTGCTGGGATTACAGGCATGAGCCACCACACCCAGCTAGAGACAGAATCATTTCTCTTTTTTTATTATTATTATTTTTTAAGACAGGATCTTGCCATGTTGCCCAGGCTGGTCTCAAACTCCTGGGCTCAGGTGATCCTCCCACATCAGCCTCCCAAAGTGCTGGGATTATAGGCATGAGCCATGGTGACTGGCCCAGAATTCTTTATTCTGTAGACTTCAATTTTCTAAGGGCTTCTACTGATTGAATGAAGCCCATCAACATTATGGAGATTAATCTGCTTTACTCAAAGTCTACTGATTTCATTGTTAATCACATTTAAAAATATATACCATGGCAACATCTAGACTGGTTGTTAACCAAACAACTGGGTACCATACCCTAGCCAAGTAGACACATAAAATATCAGCAGCATTTTTGAAGTCAACTGTTGAGATCAATAAGCATTTTAATTAATATATTTTCTAGAGGTTTATATGTTAGCCTTTTTCGATACATCACTTTCTTTTTTGTGGAGGCAGGGACAGGGCCTCGCTCTGTCACCCAGGCTGGAGTGGAGTGGTATGATCTTGGCTCACTGCAACCTCCATTTCCTGGGTTCAAATGACTCTCCTGCTTCAGCCTCCCGAGTAGCTGGGACTACAGGCACACACCACCATATCCAGCTAATTTTTGTATTTTTTAGCAGAGATGGGGTTTTACCATGTTGACCAGGCTGGCCTCAAAATCCTGACCAAGTGATCCACCTGCCTTGGCCTCCCAAAGTGCTGGGATTACAGGCATGAGCCACTGCACCCAGCCTCATTATTTCCTTTTTTAAAACCTTGGAACCTTTCCCAGTGTCTTGTTTGTAGGTGCCATTTCTGTTCTTAATTCTTCAGATATTGTCTTCTACGCAGGTTCCCATAAGGACTGAGACCACGCACGATCCCTCCTTTTCACCTGATGACACACGGCTTAAGGCACTTCCCCAGAAACGGTGGCAAGTGCAGGAGCAGAGGACCTGAATGCCAGCTGTCCTTTGATCCATGACATGGTTCTGATGTTCATCCACTCAGTCAGAAACATGTCCTGTGCCACACATCATTCTAGGCATTGAAGGGAGATACAGCTGTGAATGAAACAGGTAAATCCCTGCCCTCACAAGATGTGTATTCTAGTGGGATATACAAATGACAAATAAGATAGATTAGTAAAATACATGGTATGTTAGCTAGTGATGAGTGCTGAGAATAAAATTAAAAACGGGAATGAAATAGAAAGCAGAGAGTGGGAGTTGAAATTTAAGCCAGAGTGCCCAGAGAAAGCCTCTTTACTATCTGAGTAAAGTCCCGAAGCGAATCGGGAAGGCAACGAGGCCGTGGTCTGGTGTGTGTTGGAACAGTCCAGTGTGCAGTGGGTAAGAGGGAAAAGGTGTAGGACAGGAAGGAGGTCAGGGAAAAGGTGTAGGACAGGAAGGAGGTCAGGGATGAACAGGGGGAGATCTGTGAACACTCCATGATGTTGGTATAGATAGGTCTTCTGTAATCAGCAAATATCCTTTCTTAGGATCTACATCTGGCAGGTTTGTCTCCTCCTAGGCCCCATACCAAGGACATCATGACATCATGAGGTAGAAAAAGATTAAGACCTGTGCTGTCCAATATGGTAGCCACCAGCCACATGTGGCCATCCAAGCATGGACATGTGACCAGTCCAGATTGAGAAATGTCTGAGAGTGAAATTCACACCAGATTTCACAGGTTTTGTATAAAAAAGAATGTAAAGTATCTCAATAATTTTTATATCAATTATATGCTAAAATGATAACATTTTAGGTCAACTGGGTAAAATAAAATAGATCATAAAAATTAATATTGCCTATTCCTTTCTTTTTTTATTTGGTGACAATTTTATGTCACCAATTGTCTGTTTCTTTTTTATTTTTTTAAAATGTGGCTCTCGGAAAATTTTAAATTATATGTGTGACTTGGCCAGACCTGCTTTAAACCCTTGCTACCTGCTGTGGACTGAATTGTGTCCCACTAAAATTCATGTGTTGAAGTCCTAACCCCCAATGTGACTGTATTTGGAGACAGGGCCTTTAAAGAAGTCATTGAGGTCATAGAACCCTAACTGGAGAGGACTCATGTCCTTACAAGAAGAGGAAAAGACACTAGGGGTGCCCATGCAGAGGAGAGGCCACATCAGGACACAGCAAGAAGGCTGCTGTCCACAAGGTAAGGAGAAAGATGTCACCAAAAATCAACCCTGCCAACACCTTGATCTTGGACTTCCAGACCCCATAGCTGTGAGAAAACGAGTTTTAATTGTTTGAGCCACCCAGTCTGTGGCATTTTGCTGTGGTGCCCCTCACTGACTAATAAACACTACTTAAAGTATGGTCCCAGGGCCAGTAGCAACAGCCTCACCTGGGAGCTTGTTACAAATGCAAAATCTCAGGTCCCACTCCAGATCACCTGAACCAGGATCTTCATTTTTAACAAGATCCCTGGGTGGTTTGAGGAGCCCCGTTCTAGCGTATGAACCAGGTTTTGAGAGGATAGAGAACGCTTGTTAGAGATTTCAAAGAAGGATGGGAGAAGGGATACAGGAAAGGCAGGTGGAGAGGTGATGAAGTCAAAAGGGTTTGCTACATGGCCTCTGTCTCCTTAGGAAGAGCCTGGAATTCACACGTCCAGCCCTGGCAGCTTTGCTCTTTCTGATGCTAGTGATTAGAATCAATGCATTCCAGAGCTGGAGGTGATCTTTCAGAAAATACTCATTTCAAAAAAATTAAAGTTAGCTGGGCATGGTGGCTCACACCTGTAATCCCAGCACTTTGGGAGGCCAAGGAGGGCGGATGACTTGAGGTCAGGAGTTCGAGACCAGCCTGGCCAACATTGTGAAACCCCATCTCTACTAAAAGTATAAAAATTAGCCAGGCATGGTGGCAGGTGCCTGTAATCCCAGCTACTCAGGAGGCTGAGGCAGGGGAATTGCTTGAATTCAGGAGGTGGAGGTTGCAGTGAGCTAAGATTGAGCCATTGCACTCCAGCCTGGGTGACAGAGCAAGACTCCATCTCAAAAAAAAAAAAAAAAATTAAAGTTAAAAAATTTCAACCAAACAATATGTTATTTATTTATTTATTTGAGACAGGGTCTTGTTCTGTCAGGCTGGAGTGGAGTGACACCATTTCAGCTCACTGCAACCTCTGCTCCGCCCACCCAGGCTCAACCTCTGCTCCACCAACCCAGGTTCAGCCTCCCAAGTAGCTGGGACCACTGGCACGCGCCACCACGCCTGGCTATTTTTTTGCATTTTGGTAGAGACAGGGGTCTCACCATGTTGGCCAGACTGGTCTCGAACTCCTGAGCTCAAGCAATCCGCCCACCTCAGCCTCCTAAGGTGCTGGGATTACAGGCGTGAGCCACTGCTTTTAAGTAAGAAAAAGACTATTTTAAAAATAACCAAAAAAAGAAAATATTTCATACTCTTGACGAAAACATTGTGACTTGTCCAAGGCCATTTAAGGCGGGAGGGGGATGAGAATCTGGCCTCCTTGTTCCCAATCTTAAGCACTTTGCTACTATTTAACTCAATAGTTTAATTTATTGAAAATTCTAAGAAATAGTTACATTCTCGGAGCTGCATGGGTGGAGATTTTATTTTTTTTCAGTGCAGAGAAGCCAGTCAAGTACCTGTCCTGGACCAGGCACAGTGGCTCATGCCTGTAATCCTAACACTTTGGGAGGCCAGGAGTTCAAGAGCCCAGGAGTTCAAAACCAGCCTGGGCAACACAGTGACACCTTGTCCCTATTTTCCAAAAAATAGAAGTGACCCTGGGAAAAGGAGAGAGAATGGGCCGAATCCAGTGGGTCTGAGAGGTGAACGCATGCTGTAATATCAACCACATGTCCTTCACCCATCTGATAGGGACCCACACTTCTCACTGCAAGCTTTCTACTAAAACTTACCATATGCTGGAGGAATGTTTGTTTCACCACATGGACTGGCCATAGAGGCTGAGAGCTTTAAGTTACCGCACAGTCAGACGCAGTTAATCTGTGCCTTCATTATCTGTGTGTCTGGCTATCTAAAAACGCCCCTGGCATGGAGCTGTAACTTGTGACTGACTTGCTAATTTGAAATATAGATGTGTGCCTCCCTCCGGGGCCCTCCCTGCACTCGCATACTTCCATGTGCATTCAAGTGCAGTCAGCAAATGGATTGCATGTATTACCAACCCTGCCTGCCCTTCAGTAATTCCTGTGGCTGCGCTGCTGATTGTAGTTGGAGGATCACGCTACAGTGGAACGTCACAGAGAAGCTTGCAGAAGGGGGAAAGGGGTGGGGAAGGTGGAGGTGGAGAAGGGTTGGAAAGGGGAAATGAGAAGTATGTGAAAATTCAATTGCTGTGTGCTTCAGCTGACAACTCTTGCTGCCTGGGCGATGGGCTGAATGTTGGTTTTAGAGTGGGCTGGTTTGGAAGCAAATCTCAGCTTTGCCGCTTGCTGCATGAGTGAACCTGGGCAAGTCATTTCTATATGAGTCTCCATTTCCTGACCTTTAAGAATGGGAATAAGTTTTCCTGTATAATTTTTGCAAGGATTAAATGAGAAGATACAGAAAATGCCTTGCACATGGTAGACTCTCGGTCAATGTCAGTTTTCCTTCTTTCCTTCTGTCCTTCTTTCCTCTCCTATTGAAACTGAGGTGTTTTCCACACACAATGCTGGCATGAATTCATGTGCCCAGTAAAAGGAGAGATGACAGACGGACAGATACAATCTTCAGGAACACTGATTGCCTGGCTTTTAATGTTTTAGTGAGCTACTCACCCAAAAGATAATCTAGTGATGTTTGTGGCTGAATGTGTCATGTACATATTTTTTATAGAAACAAAGTCTCACTATGTTGTCCAGTCTGGTCTCAAACTCCTGAGCTCAAGTGATCCTCCTGTCTCAGCTTCCCAAGTAACTGGGATTCCAGACACGTGCCACTGCACCCTCGTATACCTTGAATGGACATCTCAAGGTCTGGCTACTTCTGTGCACATAAATTTAGAAGGTACCACCTCCAGAGATCTTTAGAATCAGCAAGTTTTTTTTTTAATCCCAACAGTATATTTTTAGAATGTCCTTGGCAAATAGGGCCTGTCTAGGTATAGGATGTTCAAATATTGCCCTATTATTTCAGGAGTCAAGGACACTTAGATGAGGAATGAGGCACTTCCCTGGATGAAGGGACAGTGCTGGCTCCTTGTTGCTCTGTGGCTCTGAGCGGGGAAGTTGGCCAGCTGGACCAAGAGCGGTGGCCAAAAGCCAGAGGAGGAACCTGGGCTGTCAGCCCATCCCTAGACATGAGGACATGGGAATTCAAAGGCTTTCTCCTCTAAGGAGCTGAGGACAATAAAGACCCCAACTGAAACAGACGTATGCCTCTTTTCATCTACTTCTGCCAACTCATTCCCTAAATCACCAGAAAATAAAAATAACACTATTTATCAGGCACTTAACTACATACTAGAAATATGAATTAACTCGTTCAATACTCAACACAATCCTATGAGGTAGGAAATATTGTACCCATTTTACAGATGAGAAAATTGAGGCTCAATGAAGTTAATTAACTTGCCCATGTTTCCCCAGCAGCAGGCAGTGAGCCAGGAATTGAATTCAAGTTTGACAAGTGATGCCACTTTCCAGATCAGAGGCGTTTCCTCAGTTCCTTGGAGGCTGGCTTTATACCTGTTTCAGAAGTTCATTGTATTTCCCTGGCATCTCCTTTTCCTTCAGCTAAGAAAACACCCAGGCTGGTTTTGAAGTAGTATCAATACCTGGACCTAAACCAGAAATGACTACTTTGTCTGAGCTTAGAAATTTTGGCAATCTTGTTCCATTTTGCAAACATTCATGCCGTGTTTAAATACCTGCATTTCATCCTGTTTCTTTTTACTTCGCTAATCTCACAGAGCTGCTTCCTGGGCCCCTGTCTGCTCTATATTCATTTATTTGTTTGAACACCCACTGCGGGTCTGCTGTGAGTCAGGCACTGTGTGCTTTCCCAGAAAGACAAATGTTGATAAGTACCCACCCTCAAGGTGCCCCCAGTCTAGTGGGAGAGACGGACATGCAAACAGTTTCAGTGGAGTTTTGTGACCATGACTCATTTATCTTTTGAGACCGAGTTTCACTCTTGTTGCCCAGGCTGGAGTGCAATGGCGCGATCTCAGTTCACTGCAACCTCAGCCTCCTGGGTTCAAGCGATTCTCCTGCCTCAGCCTCCCAAGTAGCCGGGATTACAGGCATGCTCCACCATGCCCAGCTAATTTTGTATTTTTAGTAGAGACAGGGTTTCACTATGTTGGTCAGGCTGGTTTCAAACTCCTGACCACAGGTGATCCACCCACTTCAGCCTCCCGAAGTGCTGGGATTACAGTCATGAGCCACCGCGCCCGGCCTGTGACCATGATAATACACTATGGCCAAAGCTGGAGGATCAGTAATGACATCAGCTGGGAAGCACTGGCGAGTGGTTCACATTTCAGTTGGTTCTTAAAGGTTGAAAAGGAGATGGCCAGGCATCAAAGTAGGAAGTGAGTAGGATAACAATAAGGTGTTCCGGGGCCGGGGGTATTTCGGGAATGTCAGTGTGTCTTTGCCAGGTGGGGAAAAGAGATGTATGGGTGATGGGGGAGGAGTTAGGAGAAGAAGTCTAAGCCAAGTATGGCAAGCCTCGTGTGCCTTGCCCAGGAGTTTAGACTCTAGACTGGGGGGCAGGAGGCGCTAGGGAGGTTTTACAAGGGGCTTGACAGAGTCTTCTTTTAGGAAGATCCCTTTGGCAGCAGTGAGAGTGTTTGCCAAGACAGCCCAGTGACAGGGAAACCAATGACACAGCTATGCAACGTGAGCTTGATTAAAAGAATGGAGATGGCTGGGCATGGTGGCTCACACCTGTCATTGCAGCACTTTGGGAGGCCGAGGCGGGAGGATCACTTGAGCCCAGGAGTATGAAACCAGCCTGGGCAACAAAGTGAGACACCGTCTGTACCGAAAATAAAAAAATTAGTCAGACATGCGGCATGCACCCATGGTCCCAGGTACTCAGGACACTGAAGCAGGAAGATCACTTGAACCCAGGAGGTCAAGGCTGCAGTGAGCAGTGATTGTACCACTGCACTCCAGCCTGGGTGACAGAGTGAGATCCTGTGACAAAAAAAAAAAAGGAATAGAGATGAGAGCCACATTTGAAGACATTTCTGAGTTGGCAATGACAGGGCAGATGGTAGCCTGAATGCAAAAATTCTGGAGCTGAGTTCAGGCCAACTCCAAGGTGTCTTACTTGGGAGTTTGGAGGATGGTGACAATATTAAGTGAAATGAGGCAGATTATAGGAAGAACAGGTTTGGAGGATTAGAGGATGGGGTAAGTGGTGTGAAATATTTTTTTTAAATATAAGTATTAATTCCTGGATCCTATTCCCAGAGATTCTGGTTTAATTTGGCTGGGATGTAGCCTGGACATCAACTTTTTTTTTTTAATCTGTGTAGGTGATTCTAATGAAAACCCAAGGTGAGAACCAGTGTTATGAAGGGATAAGATAAGAATATTAAAACAGATTCCAGAAACACGACAATTTAAAAGGCAGGAAGAATAGCCCAAGTATCCATTAATCAGTATTAATTAGATTAACTACATGATTCAAAACTCAGCCCAGGTTTCAGGTAAGATGGGGCTGAGTTTTGAGTCATGTAGTTATGACCCTATCCCCCCACCGGATGAAGCGATAAACCTGGACAGAATGCACGGCACAATGACTTGGATACTGTGAGCATCTAGTAGCAGATAGACCAGAAAGGAAGACCAGACTTTAAAGTACCTCTGAATGGGTGGTGAGTCTACTGTATTTTTCGCTTCAGTGTTGCCCAGACTAGGTGTAAGGTAGTGTGGAACCTGGACATGGGCGTCTGCATGAATGGAGAGAAGTCCAAGAGAAACCCTCTGGTTCTGGCTCAAGGGCGTGGTCTCCTAATGCTCAAAGGAGAGGGAGAAATCCCCCATTTCTTTTTTGTTTTTCTTCAGGTTGGAGGACTGAAAAGGGGAGCCCAGGACTCAGAAAGTACTAGGGACATTATAGAGAGGGAGGTATTAGGGAAAGGGACTTGATAAAGTTGTTTAAGAATCCCTGGGTTTATCCACAAGTGGAACATTCATGAATCTGACCCTAAACAGTATATCAAAAGCTTTGAGATACAACTGTAAACTATGAGGTGAACCATGTCCCACCTCCTAGACTGCCTAGACTGGCCACCAGGTGGCGCACATGCAGGACTGCTCTGAATAGCAGTGCGTGTTAGTGGAACATTGAAACCACACACCACTGAAGGATGATCAGAACTTACAACTTGAACCCAACCATACCTATAACCCACTAACGTTAAAAAACAGAATAAAATGTTTTCCATAGAATTTTAAACAAGACCCAGAGACTCATAACATTCAAAATGTCCAGAGTACAATACAAAATTTCTCACTCTGTGAAGAACTAGGAAAATCTCAACTAACATGCTGAGATAACACAGATGTTGGAATTAGCTGACAAAGACTTTATTTTTGTTTGTTTTTGTTTTTATTTTATTTTATTTTAAGTACTGGGATACCTGTGCAAGACGTGCAGGTTTGTTACACAGGTAAATATGTGCGATGGTGATTTGCTGCACCTATCAACTCATTACCTAGGTATTAAGCCCTGCATGTATTAGCTATTTATCCTGATGCTCTCCCTCTTCCCACCCCTATCCCCGACAGGCCCCAGTGTGTGTTGTTCCCCTCCCTGTGTCCATGTATTCTCATTGTTCAGCTCCTACTTACAAGTGACAATATGCGGTGTTTGCTTTTCTGTTCCTGTGTTAATTTGCTGAAGATAATGGCTTCCAGCTCCATCCATGTCCCTGCAAAGGACATGACCTAGTTCTTTTTTATGGCTGCATAGTATTCCATCGTGTATATGTACCACATTTTCATTATCCAGTCTAACATTGATGGGCTTTTGGGTTGATACCATGTCTTTGCTATTGTGAATAGTGCTGCAATGAACATACATGTGCATGTATCTTTATAATAGAATTATTTATATTCCTTTGGGTATATGCCCAGATCTTTGAGGAATTGCCACACTGTCTTCCACAATGGTTGAACTAATTTACCTTTCCACCAACAGTGTAAAAGTGTTCCTACTTCACAGCCTCACCAGCATCTGTTGTTGCTTGACTTTTTAATAATCGCCATTCTGACTGGTGTGAGATGGTATCTCACTGTGGTTTTGATTTGCATTTCTCTAATGATCAGTGATGCTGAGCTTTTTTTAATACGTTGGCTACATAAATGTCTTCTTTTGAGAAGTGTCTGTTCATGTCCTTTGCACATGTTTTAATTTTTTTTTCTTGTAAATTTGTTTAAGTTCCTTGTAGATTCTGGATATTAGACCTTTGTCAAATGGATAGATTGCAAAACTTTTCTCCCATTCTGTAGGTTGTATGTTTGCACTGATGATAGTTTCTTTTGCTATGCAAAAGTTCATTAGTTTAATTAAATCCCATTTGTCAATTTTTGCTTTTGTTGCGATTGCTTTTGGTGTTTTGTCATAAAATCTTTGCCCGTGCCTATGTCCTGAATGGTAGTGGCCAGATTTTCTTCTAGGGCTTTTGTAGTTTTGGGTTTACATTTAAGTCTTTAATCCATCTTGAGTTTAAATTTTTGTACAAGATATAAGGAAGGGGTCCAGTTTCAATTTTCTGCATAAGGCTAGCCAGTTTTTCCAGCACCATTTATTAAATAGGGAGCCCTTTTCCCATTGCTTGTTTTTGTCAGGTTTGTCAAAGATCAGATGGTTGTAGATGTGTGGACTCATTTCTGAGATCTCTATTCTGTTTCATTGGTCTGTATGTCTGTTATTGTAACAGTACCATGCTGTTTTGTTTAATGTAGCCTTGTAGTGTAGTTTGAAGTCAGGTAGCGTAATGCCTCCAACTTTGTTCTTTTTGTTTAGGATTGTCTTGGCTATACGGGCTCTTTTTTGGTTTCATATAAATTTTAAAGTAGTTTTTTTTTTTACTAATTCTGTGAAGAATGTCAATAGTAGTTTAATATGAATAGCATTGAATCTATAAATTACTTTGGGCAGTAAGAATCACAATATTGATTCTTCCTATCCACGAGCATGAAATGATTTTCCATTTGTTTGTGTCCTCTGATTTCCTTAAACAAAGGTTTATTGTTCTTGAAGAGGTCCTCCACTTCCCTTGTTAGCTGTATTCCTAGGTATTTTTTTTTGTAGCAGTTGTGAATGGAAGTTCATTCATGATTTGACTCTCTGATTGTCTATTGTTAGTGTATAGGAATGCTTGTGATTTTTGCACATTGATTTTGTATCCTGAGACTTTGCTAAATTTGCTTATCAGCTTAAGGAGCTTTTGGGCTGAGACGATGGGGTTTTCTAAATACGGGAGCATGTCGTCTGCAAACAGAGACCGTTTGGCTTCCTCTCTTCCTATTTGAGTACACTTTATTTCTTTCTCTTGCCTGATTACCCTGGCCAGAAATTCCAATACTATGTTGAATAGGAGTGGTGAGAGAGGGCATCCTTGTCTTGTGCCAGTTTTCAAGGGGAATGCTTCTAGCTTTTGCCATTCAGTATGATATTGGCTGTGGGCTTGTCATAAATGGCTCTTATTATTTTGAGATATGCTCCACCTATACTTAATTTATTGAGAGTTTTCAACACGAAGGGATATTGAATTTTATCAAAGGCCTTTTCTGAGTCTATTGAGATAATCATGCCTCAATACAGATATAATTTTGTCTTTAGTTCTGTTTATGTGATGAATTATATTTTTTCATTTGCATATGTTGATCCAGCCTTGCATCCCAGGAAAGAAGTCGACTTGATGGTGATGGGTAAACTTTTTGATGTGCTGCTGGATTTGCTTTGCCAGTATTTTATTGAGGCTTTTCACATCAATGTTCATCAGGGATATTGGCCTGAAGTTTTGGTTTTTTTTGTTGTATCCCTGCCAGGTTTTGGTATCAGGATGATGCTGGCCTCATAAAATGAATTAGGAAGAACTCTCTCCTTTTCGATTGTTTGGAATCATTTCAGAAGAAATGGTACCAGCTCCTCTTTGCACCTCTGGTAGAATTCAGCTGTAAATCTATCTGGTCCTGGCTTTTTTTGATTGGTAGGCTATGTATTACTGCCTCGATTTCAGAACTTGTTATTGGTCTATTCAGGGATTCAACTTCTTCCTGGTTTAGTCTTGGGAGGGTGTATATTTTCGGGAATTTATTCATTTCTTCTAGATTTTCTAGTTTATTTGCATAGATATATTTATAGTATTCTCTGATGGTTGTTTGTATTTCTGTGGGATCAGTGGTGATATTCCCTTTATCATTTTTTATTGTGGCTGACAAAGACTTAAAAGCAACTGTTACAAAAATGCTCCAACAAGTAAGGGCTAACTTCCTTTAAATAAATGGAAAAATAGATAGTCCCAACAAAGAAATAGAAAATATAAAGAAAAGCCAAATGAAAGTGTTCGAACTGAAAAATATAATAACTGAAATGTAAAAACTCACTGAGGGGCTGAATGGCAGAATGGAGATGACAGAGGAAAGAGTCAGTGAGCTTGAAGACAGATCAATAAAAACTCCCCAATCTAAACAACAGGAAGAATAAAGATGGTTTACCACGAACTTCACTATATGGAACAAAAAGACAAGAAAATAAACAAACAACCAAAAAAAAAAAAAGGAAGAAAGGATAAAGATGGACAAGTTGGGGAGAGAATGGACAAGCCTCAGGGAACTGGGCAACGACAACAAAAGGCTGACCATTTGTGTTCTCAGAGTGCTAGGAGAAGTGAGTAAAGAGTGCAGTGCAGAAAAAAAAATTGAAGAAATAATGACTGGAAATTTCTCAACTTTGGTGAAACACAGGAAACCTACAGATTTGAGAAGCTCAGCAAACCCCAAAGAGGCTAAACACCCCCAAAATCCATGTCCCCCAATATTATCATCAAACTACTTAAAACTAAAGACAAAATTGAAATATCAAAAGAAACCAGAGGGCCGGGCACGGTAGCTAACACCTGTAATTCCCAGCGCTTTGGGAGGCCGAGGCTGGCGGATTGCTTGAGGTCAGAAGTTTAAGACCAGCCTGGCCAACATGGTGAAACCCCATCTCTACTAAAAATACAAAAATTAGCCAGGCATGGTGGCGCACACCTGTAGTCCCAGCTGTTCAGGAGGCTGAGGCAGAAGAATCACTTGAACCCGGGAGGCAGAGGTTACAGTGAGCTGAGATCATGCCACTGCACTCCAGCTGGGTGACAGAGTGAAACTCCATCTCAAAAAAAAAAAAGAAAAAAGAAAGAAAGAAAAGAAAAGAAACCAGAGAAAAATGACATGTTATTTATAGAGGAACAATAACTCAAATAACTTGGAGATATCCCACAGAAATCATGGAGTTCAGAAGAAAGAAGAAGAGCATTTTTTAAATGCTGAAAGAAAACTATCAACTCAGAATTTCATATTCAGTGAAGATATACTTCAGGAATACAAGGTTAAGTAAAGACCATCTCAGAACAAAGAAAATGGAATTTTGTTGCCAGCAGAGCTGCTCTAAAAGTACATTCTTCAAAAAGAAGGGAAATGATACCAGAAGGAACTTGGGATACCAGGAATAAAGGAAGAGCAATAGAAGTGGTAAATATAGATGAATGTAATAGACTATTTTTCTTCTCTCAGTTTCTTAAAAATATGCTTGATGGGCCTTGTGTGGTGGCTCACGCCTGTAACCCCAGCACTTTAGGAGGCCGAGGCAGGGAAATCACTCGAGGCCAAGAGTTGGGACCAGCCTGCCCAACATAGTGAAACCCCATCTCTACTAAAACTACAAAAATTAGCTGGGCGTGGTAGTGCACACCTGTAGTCCCAGCTACTCAGGAGGCTGAGGTGGGAAGATTACTTGAGCCCAAGAGGCAGAGGTTGCAGTGAGCTGAGACTGTGCCACTGCATTCCAGCCTGGGCGACAGAGCAAGACCCTGTCTGAAAATATAGATATAGATATAGATAGATACATATAGATATAGATTAGATATAGATATACATAAAGGCTTGATGGTTGAAAACCAAAAGTATAACATCGTTTGGTACAATGTATATAGGTGTAACACATACGATAATGACAAAATGAGCCGGGGGGGAAATGAAGGGCCCTATATGATGGTAAAGTTTCTGCATTCTACTCGAAGTGGTAAAATGTCATGAAAAGGTAGCTTCTACTTGGGGGCAATAAAAGTTAAAAAATGTCATGAAAAGGTAAGGATGTATTTTGTAATCTCTAGAGCAATCACTAAAAATATTATACAAAGAGATACAGTAAAACATACACATACACACAAAATAAATAGAATACTACAAAATATTCAAATGACCATAAAGAAGGCACTATATGGGAAACTGAGGAACAAAAAACAGAGGAAACAGAAAACAAATAATAAACTGGTAGGCTTAAATCCACACATAAATAATCACATTAAGTGTAAATAGACTGAACAAATTAATTGAAAGAGATTGGCAGAATGGACTTTTTAAATGACCAAACTATACGCTGTTTTACAAAAAAACTAGCTTAAAATTATATATGAAGGTTGAAAGTAAAAGGATGTAGCACATTCCAGAGAAACAAAAACTTATGTCCACACAAAAACCTGTACATGAATGTTTATAGCAGCATTATTTATAATGGCTCCAAACTGAAAACAATCCAAATGTCTTTCAACCAATGAATGGTTAAACACGCGACGGTACACCTATACCTTGGAATACTCAGCAAATAAAAGGAACCAGCTATTCATACACCCAACATCTTGAATGGATCTCAAGGGAATTATGCTGAGTGAATACAGCCACTCTCAAAAGGTTATGTATTGCAGGATTCCATTTATATAGCACTCTTGAAATAACAAAATTATAGAGACGGAGGCAGATTCGCAGTATTCAAGGGTTAATAAAGAGTGGGGAAGGAAAGGGGTGGCTGTGGCTATAAGAGGATAGCACAAGGGATTTTTGTGATGGAGTAATTTCGTATCTTTTTTTTTTTTTTTTTTTTTGAGATGGAGTTTCATTCTTGTACCACAGCTGGAGGGCAATGGCACGATCTCAGCTCACCACAACCTCTGCCTCCCAGGTTCAAGCGATTCTCCAGCCTCAGCCTCCTAAGTAGCTGGGATTATAGGCATCCACCACCACGCCCAGCTAATTTTGTATTTTTAGTAGAGATGGGGTTTCACCATGTTGGTCAGGCTGGTCTCAAACTCCTGACCTCAGGTGATTCACCTGCCTCAGCCTCCCAAAGTGCTGGGATTACAGGCGTGAGCCACCACGCCCGGCCTGTATCTTGACTATAGTGGTGGTCACATGAATCTACATTTGTACATACATATCTACATATATCTACATACAGAGGTATGTATTTTCTCATAACTAAATACATACATATACACATACAAATGAGTACACATACATCTAAGTAAGGTCATATTGGTGAAATCTGAAGGAACTCAGTGGATTGTATGAATGTCAATTTTCTGGTTGTGATTGTACTGTAATTATGCAAGATGTTGCAATTGGCGGGAGGCGGTGGGGCGGGGCTGGGTTAAAGCTATTGTGTTGGTTGCTAGGGCTGCTGTAAGAAAGTAACACACGCTGTGTGGCTTACACAACAAAAATTTACCATCTCACAGGTCTGGAGGCCAGAAGTCCAAAATCAAGGTGGCAGCAGATTTAGTTCCTTCGGAGGGCTATGAGGGAAAATCGGTCCCATGTCTCTCTCCTTGGCTTGCAGATGCCCATCTTCTCCCTGTCTATTCACCTCACCTCCCCTCTATGTGTGTTTCTGTGTCTACATTTCCTCTTTAAGAACACCAGTCATTTTGGATTAGGGCCCATCCTAATGACCTCACTTTAACTTGATTACCTCTATAAAGATCGTATCTCCAAATCCTCACATTGTGAGGCACCAGAGTTAGAACTTCGACATGAATTTTGGAGGGGAAACAATTTAACCCATAAGAGGTATACATGGTTTTTCTCTACCTCTCACAACTACCTGCAAATATACAATTACCTCTAGATAAAAAGCATTTTTTTAAATTATGAAAAAAAGGATAAAAGGAAAAGTATGGGAAGAATTAAACTCATACAAAGTAAGTTCTATGATCATAATGGAATTAGACAAGAAATCAATAACCAAAGGAAAAAAAAACAGAAAGAATATCCAAGTACTTAATTAAGCAACATACTTCCGTTTGTTTGTTTGTTTGTTTGTTTGTTTGTTTGTGACAGCCCAGGCTGGATTGCAGTGCTGTGATCTTGGCTCACTGCAACCTCCGTCTCCCAGATTCAAGCTATTCTCCTACCTCAGCCTCCCCAGTAGCTAGGATCCCAGGCATGTACCACTATGCCTGGCTAATTTTTTGTATTTTCAGTAGAGACAGGGTTTCACCATGTTGGCCAGGCTGGTCTCCAACTCCTGACCTCAAATGATTCACCTGCCTCAGCCTCTCAAAGTCCTGGTATTACAGGCATGAGCCACCACGCCTGGCCCCCTAAGCAACGTGATTCTATATAACAATTTGATCAAAGAGAAAGTCTCAGGGGAAATTTTAAAATACACTGAACTACATGATAATAAAAATCATAAAAATACAGCATATCAAAATTTGTGAAATGCAACTAAAATATTGCTTAAATTTATAGCATCAATGCTTGCATGAAATAACTTATGTTACACACGCACTGTGGAATATCATCCAGATATGAAAATATTGGAGATGTGGAAAGAACTCTTGAATGTATTGTTAGGTGAAAAACAGTAAAAATCCTATATAGCTTGCTATCTTTGATGTGAGAAAATCAGAATAATTCACATCTGCTTGCTTCTATATAAGAAACACTGAAAGGATACACAATGAACTAATAAAAGTAATTATTAGGTCAGATATCGTGGCATGAGCCTGTTCATCCCAGCTAGTTGGGAGGCTGAGGCAGGAGGATTCATCGAGCCCAGGAGTTTGATTCCAGCCTGGGCAACATAGTAAGACTCCAGAGACCCTGTTTCTAAAAATATTTAAATATTAAGTAATTACCTGGGACAGATAGGGACAGAGGTAGGAGCATGATTTTTCAATGTATACCTTGCTTATAGTTTTCCTTTTTTACAAAATTGAGGTGAACTTTGCATAATATAAAATTAACCACTTTAAAGTATACAAGTCTGTAGCATTTAATACATTCAAAACATGTGCAATCAACCAACTTTATCAAGTTCCAAAACATTTCATACCACAAGAGAAGACTCTGTACACATTAAGCAGTGATTCCCCATTTTTCTTTCCCATCAGCCCCTGGCAACACCAATCTGCTTCCTCTATGAATTTACCTATTCTGGATATTTCATATAAATGGAATCAAACACTATTTGTCCCTTTGTGGCTGGCATCTTTCACATTGCATAATGTTTTCAAGGTTCACTCACATTGTAGCATGAAGGAGTACTTCATTCCTTTTTATGGCTGAAGTTCCATCATATGGATATACCACATTTTACATACCTATTTATCAGTTGATACACGTTTGACTATCATGAGTAATGCTGCTATGAACATTAGTGTACAAGTATCTGTTTGAGTCCCTGCTTTCAATTCCTTGGGGTATGTTCCTGGGAGTGGAATTACTGGGTCATATAGTAATCCTAATTTAACTTTTCAAGGAACCACCTCTCTGTTTTCCACAGTGGCTGCACCATTTTGCATTCCAGCTAGCAATGTACTAGGGTTCCAATTTCTCCACATCCTCACCAATACTTGCTATTTTCTGTATTTTTTATTATAGTCATCCTAGTAAGTATGAGGTGCTATCTCATCATCTTAGTTCATTTTGCACTTCTGTAACAGAATTCCTAAGACTGTGTAATTTATACTGAACAGAAATTTATTTCTCACAATTCTGGAGACTGGGAAGTCCAAGACTAAGGACGCTTCATCTGGCAAGGGCCTTCATGCTGGTTCCTGGTGGAAGGGCAAAGAGAGGGTGAGAAAGAGAAAAGGAGGCCAAACTCATCCTCTTATAAGGAACCCACCAGTCTGGGCATGGTGGCTCATGCCTGTAATCCCAGCAGTTTGGGAAGCTGAGGTGGGAGGATTGCTTGAGCTCAGGAGTTCAAGACCAGCCTGGGCAACATGGTGAAACCCCATCCCTACAAAAAAATACAAAAATTAACTGGGTGTGGTGGCACACACCTGTAGTCTCTGCTACTCAGGAGGCTGAGGTGGGAGGATTGCTTGAACCCAGTAGGTCAAGGCTGCAGTGAGCTGTGATCGCGCCACTGCAATCCAGTGTGGGTGACACAGGGAGACCTTGTCTCAAAAAAAAAGAAAAGCCACTCCCATGATAATGGCATTAATCAATTCATTAGGGCAGAGCCCTCATGGCCTAGTCACCTCTTAATGGTCCCACCTCCCAATACTGTTATGATGGTGATTAAGTCTGCAATACATGTTTTTGAGGACATATTCAAACCATAGCACTAATTGTGGTTTCTTTACTTGCATTTTCCTAATGACTAATAATATTGAGATTTTTTTCATGGACTTGTTGTCTGTTTGTATATCTTCTTAGGTTTTGTTTTTCTTTGAGAACCCTATGAATATATTTTCTATTTGAAATTTTAAAATAAGTCCATTTTAAAAGGAAAAATATAAAGATCAGGTACAAGAGAAGAAACCAGATCACTGTGGTAGGCAGAATAATGCCCCCCAATGATGTTAACATTCTAACTCCTGAAGCTGGTAAATAGGTTACCTTACTTGGCAAAAGGACTTTGCAGGTGTGATTAAGACTAAGGAGCCAAAAGTGAGGGGACTACCCTGGAGTATGCGTGTCGACCTGATGTCATCACAAGGGTCCTTATGAGAGTGAGGCTAGAGATCAGAGTCAGAAAAAGAGGCATGATGATGGGAAGCAGGAGTCAGAGAGAGAGAGAGACAGAGGCTGAAGATGCTACAGTGTGGCCCTGGAAGACAGAGGTAGTGGTCTTGGAGTCAGGAATGCAGGTGCCTCTAGAAGTAGAAAAGTCAAGGAAACAGATTCTCCCCTGCAGCCTCCAGAAGGAAGGCATCCCTGCACACACCTTGATTTTAGGACTTCTAACTTCCAGAATTGTAAGATAATAAATTTGTGTTGTTTTAACACCACCAAATTTGTGGTTTCAAATCTGTTACAGCAGCAATAAGAAAGTAATCCCATCATGAATGTCCCACTCCTTCCAGAAAATGGCATTCCCTGATAACCGCCTCACCATTGCTCACTCTCAGGAAGCACAGCTGAGTCCCACATGTCTCCTAAATCCCTGAGGGGAGGAGAAATGAACCAGAAGGGGCAAAGCTGTGTTGTCCCATGAGGTGTAAAAACATTGATGGCAAAGCAACCCAGCATGTCACACACACCCCTCCAGAGAGATGCTGAGCTGTCACTCTTGTTAGATACATGTACATGACAGACAGGACTCCAAAGTCTTGTGAACATGTAAGACGTCATTACCCTTTACAGATGCTGAGCAAGGTCTACAGAAGTCAAAGCCAATAGGCTTTTTTTTTTTTTTAATCCCCACTGCTGGTGTTACCTTCAGGTGGGAGCTGCAAGACTGAGAAGTTTACCAGTTGGCCGGGCACAGTGGCTCACGCCTGTAATCCCAACACTTTGGGAAGCCGAGGCAGGTGGATCACCTGAGGTCAGGAGTTCAAGACCAGACTGACCAACATGGTGAGGCACTGTCTCTACTAAAAATACAACAATTAGCCAGGCGTGGTGGCATGCACCTGTGGTTCTGCCTACTCGGGAGGCTAAGACAGGAGCATCACTTGAACTCGGGAGGTGGAGGTTGCAGTGAGCCGAGATTGCACCACTGCACTCCAGCCTGGGAGACAGAGTAAGACTCTGTCTGGGAAAAAAAAAAAAAAAAAGAAGAAGAAGTTTACAAGTTGCCCTCCACAGCATTCCTCCTCCCTACCTGATTCCCAGAGTTCCACTGTAACCACAGCACCTGTCCACCTACAGGTCACTCATGCTGAAATGTCTGCATGTGGTTTTGCTTCATGTGCGTCCTCTTTCAAAGCCCTAAACATGCTTCTCATCTACTGTGTGTAATGTGTTCACTTCGTGGAGTTAGCCGCAGTGTGTAACACCACGTGATAAATGATCCAATCGCAGGCTATGTAGCAGGTTCAAATAGCCAATGACCTATGCATTTTTTCCAGCTTGTTCTAGCTTCAGACGAATGAGGATACCACCATCACTATCATCACCTTCAAAGAAAAAAAAAAACACTTTGGCTCTAGGTCAACTATGAACCTAAAAATTCACTTAAAATTCATTGAAGAAGCACTTGAAGAATGTAGATCTATAACTGGGGGATAGGGCTGAATAAAACAATATAATATTTTTAGAACCCAAAAGACAAGAAGGGGTGCAGAGAATGGGTGTGGTGGTTCACACCTGTAATCCCAGCACTTTGGGGGGCCGAGGTGGGTGGATCACTTGAGGTCAAGAGTTTGAGACCAGCCTGGCCAACATGGTGAAGCCCCGTCTCTACTAAAAATACAAAAATTAAGTGGGCATGGTGGCATGCACCTATAATTCCAGGTATTCAGTGGATCACTGGATGTCAGGAGTTTGAGACCAGCCTGGCCAACATGGTGAAACCCTGTCTCTACTAAAAACACAAAAATTAAGCAGGAGTGGTGGCCGCTGTAATTCCAGCTACTCAGGAGACTGAGGCACGAGAATCCCTTGAACCCAGGAGGTGGAGGTTGCAGTGAGCCAAGATCGAGTCACTGCACTCCAGCCTTGGCGACAAAGTCTCAAAAAGACAAAAAAAAAAAACAAAAAATAAATAAAATAAAGGGAGTGTCAGTTCATCTGGGCTGCTATGCTAAAATATCTTAGAAACAACAGAAGTTTATTGCTCAGAGTTCGGAGGCTGGGAAATCAGGGCACCATCAGATTCAGTTTCTGGTAAGGGCTTGCTCCATGCTTCGCACATGGCAACTTTTTGCTGTGTCCTCACATGATGGAAGGGAGCAGGGAGGGTCCTTCCACTTCTTTTAGAAGGACACTAACTCCAATCATGAGGGTGCAGCCTCCATGACTTACTCACTTCCCAAAGGCCCCATCTCTTAAGATTATCACATCGGATGTTAGGTTCCAACATAGAATTTGGAGGGTGAAAGGGCACGAACATTCAGACCATAGTGGGAGGTAATACTCAGTATCAGCCCTAAGGAAATGTGTTATCCACAATGTGGAATTTTGTTATTGATAAGAACAATAACAATAATTGTCGGGCACCTGCTGCAGTACACCTGTGCTGTCTCAGTAACATGCTCTCTTCTAGGCATGAAGTTTGGAAAGGATTAACCTGCCCCCCAGATCAAGGTGTGAACCCTGATTGGTCCAAGCAAATCAGTTATTTCATACCCTTGGCAACAATGATTGGTCCAAGGATAGGAACCCAATGCAGACCTGAGCCAATCAGCACTTAACATTTCACAGCCACTGGTTCAGGGAAGGACAGCACCTGACCAAGTAGAGCCTAATCAGAAGGAAGCCCAGGATTTTCAATCCATGGTGGAGGGAGAGACAGCCTCTCTTCCTGACATTGACAAGGATGCATATCTTCCTGCACAGGAAAAGCATTCATCTCGCAAGAAGGAGGGGAAGTTGTGGTCAACATCTTGAAGGGCCTTGGTACAGTAACTGGGCAACTAGGTTAAAACAGCCCTGAAGTCGGCCTTGTGGATTTCCAACGACATGAAGCAATCAATTCCCTTGTTAGTTAAGCTGGTGTGTGTTGGGCTTTTTGCTGCTTGCTAACTGATGTTATCCGCTGTGTGTCAGGCAATGTATTAGGGGCTTTTCACACCTTTTTTTTTTTTTTTTTTTTTTGAGACAGAGTCTGACTCTGTAGCCCAGGCTGGATTGCAGTGGCATGATTTCGGCTCACTGCAAACCTCCGCCTCTCGGGTTCAAGTGATTCTCCTGCCTCAGCCTCTCAAGTAGCTGGGATTACAGGCACACCACCATGCCTGGCTAATTTTTGTATTTTAGTAGAGACGGGGTTTTGCCGTGTTGGACAGGCTGGTCTCGAACTCCTGGCCTCAATCCACCCACCTCGGCCTCCAAAAGTGCTGGGATAACAGACGAGAGCCACCGCGCCCAGCCGGTTTTCACACGTTCTGTCTCAATTAATCTTCACTACAGCCCAGTGGTGGAGGTTTTATCATCCCCTTTTTATAAATGAAGAAACTGAGGCTGAGAGAGGTCAAGTGTTCTATTCAAGTTCAAACTGCTAGTAAGTGATGGAGCCGGGATACGTCTCAGGTCTGTCCAGTCCCATGGCCTCTGCACCCCACCATCATGCCCCATGGGCCTCTGCTGTAAAGCATGTGGACACAGTTCTGGAGAGATTCCACCTCTGCAGTAATTCTACAGATACACAGATAACCCCCAGGAGAAATTGTTCTTATTGTTATACAAGTTGCTGTATTTCTTTTATTTATTTATTTGTTTATTTATTTTTTGACATGGAGTCTCGCTCTGTTGCCAGGCTGGAGTGCAGTGGCATGATCTCGGCTCACTGCAACCTCCTCCTCCCGAGTTCAAGCGATTCTCCTGCCTCAGCCTCCCGAGTAGCTGGGACTACAGGCGCCCGCCACCATGCCCAGCTAATTTTTGTATTTTTAGCAGAGACAGGGTTTCACCATGTTGGCCAGGATGGTCTCGATCTCTTGACCTCATGATCCGCCCACCTTGGCCTACCAAAGTGCTGGAACTACAGGTGTGAGCCACCACGCGCCGGTCTAAGCTGCTGTATTTCATATGCACATCCTGTTTCAGCAGCTGGGTATTTCCTGCAATTGTTGATGAATCACTATCAAAACATAGTAATAAATCCCTCATTGCAGAAAGCACTGCATAAAGATCTTAAATAATTCTTGTTGCCATTTTAGCTAGCAGAACTTAACACTGAGATCCTAAAGGTCACTATATGTCTAATATAAACTTACGTAATCTTAATGATAAATGTGTTATATAAGTCACTTAGCCTGGGCAATATAGTGAGACTTTTTTTAAATTAGGTGGGCATGGTGGCACGTGCCTGTAGTCCTAGCTCCCCAGGAGGCTGAGGCGGGAGAATCGCTCGAGCCCAAGAGCTTGAGGCTGCAGTGATCTATGATTGTGCCACCACACTCCACCTGGGTGATAGAGTGAGACTCTGTCTCTAAAAAGAACAAACCAGGTCGGGCACGGTGGCTCACGCCTGTAATCCCAGCACTTTGGGAGGCTGAGGTGGGTGGATCACCTGAGATCAGGAGTTTGAGACCAGCCTGGCCAACATGGTGAAACCCCATCTTTACAAAAATACAAAAGTTAGCCAGGCATGATGGCACATGCCAGTAATCCCAGCTACTCGGGAGGCTGAGGCAGGAGAATCGCTTGAACCCTGGGGGGTAGATGTTGCAGTGAGCCGAGATTGCACCACTGCACTCCCGCCTGGGAGACAGAGCAAGGTTCAGTCTCAAAACAAAACAAAAAAAATTGTTTTCCCATTTCCATTGCAAAATACACACATGTATGTATAATTCCTTAAATAATGTTCAAGGAGTTTTTCAGCTTGAACAGAAAATAAAAGGCTTCCGAAGACATTGATCCAAATCTTACCTCTGGGGCTAAAGAATCCAGCAACATCCCTGCTTCCAGCCCCTGCGAGGAGACTCACCACAATTCATGATGCCCGAACCCTATTTCAGGCATTTTTACCTGGTCCAAAGTGCCCTACATGTTTAACTCAAATCTGTATCCCTACAAGAAATAGGCTTTGGAGTTGGACAGACCCAAGTTCACAAGTTCAAATTATTATTCCTCCAGTTCCTATGGGGTGACCTTGGGCTGTTGTCAGTCTCCCTGGCTGTAAAAATAGAGATGATTATACCTGTCTCAGATCATTAATATAAGGCTTAAAAGAGATGCTGTACACAAAGTGCATAGCAACTGTACCTGGCACAGGGAGGAAGCCTCAAATAGTAGCTACTGTTGACTATTTTGGAGCACGCCCCTGAGTCTATTAAGTAGGGTTGCCAGATTTACCAAATAAAAATGCAGGAAATCCAATGAAATCTGAATTTCAGATAAAAACCATGCAATATTTGGGACATACTTATACTAAAATATTATTCGCTGATCACCTGAAATTCAAATTTCACTGGACAACTTGTATTTTACCTGGCAACCCTACTATTTAGCCAGTGGGACCATCAAGGTTGAATTGGGGATAGGATAGTGGGGAATGAACAGTGGGGTCAGGGCAGGGGAATATAGAGAAACCAGGGATGTGGCACCAACCCACAGACCTGGTGCAGAGATACTTACCTGGGATCACCTGTCACCTGCTGTGGAACTGGCTCTGGATGCTTAAATGGACACTCAGCCATATGGAGAAGAACCTGGTCATAATGGTTCATTTCCTGTCCCTTTGGAGACTTTTATTCTTGTAAAAAATCAGCCTTGGCTGGGTGCGGTGGCTCACGCCTGTAATCCCAACACTTGAGGAGGCCGAGATAGGTGAATCACTTGAGCCCAGGGGTTCGAGACCAGCCTGGGCAACACAGTGAAACTCCATCTTTACAAAAAATACAAAAAATTAGCTAGGCATGGTGGCATATGTCTGTAGTCCCAGCTACTTGGGAGGCTGAGGTGGAAGGATCACCTGAGCCGAGGAGGTTGAGACTGCAGTAAGCCATGATCATGCCACTGCACTCCAGCCAGAGAGACAGAGTGAGACCCTATATATTAAAAAACAAAATAAAAATCAACCTTAGTAACCACAACTTGAGTTGGATCACTATATAATTCACTATTTATTACTCTTGTATTAAAGAGTTCTACCTGTTCCATACTTTCTCATTTAACCTTTCAAATATATATTGGGCATATATGTTGCCTCACCTACAATATTGGTGGATATAAATTGAGGCTAAAATAAGACCTCGCTGTCAAGAATCTCATTGTCTAGTGCAATGGTCTCCAATGACTTTTATTATTTGTTCCATCAGCGAAAAAAAATTGAGCAGATATCCCTCTATATGTAAATTTATTTATGTATTAATCACATATATAAAGCCAATAATATATAATAGTGATCTAATATATATGTGTATGTATGTCTGTATATATACATATATAATAAAATATAAGTATACTAACATATTTATGTATTACATAATATACAAATATAAAAATATACAAATATAAAAATAAAATGCATTGAAATGGAGGAGATAAACAATATATAGAATTTATAAAATCCCCCCCACTATGAATCCTCTTGCATTTACACCCTGGTAAGCTCAAGCTCCAGTTTGGAAGCCACTGGGCTAGTGGATAAGAAAGACCTGGATCAAATACGTTGCACACAATGTGATAAGTACTGTCCCTGGGAGGTTAAAAGAGCACAGAGAGGGAGCGAGGAGCTCTGCTGGGGAGGAGAAGGCAGGCTACACAAGGTGGTGACCTCTGGGTGAAACTTGAAGGATGAGCAAGACTTTTGCAAGACTTGAGGACAAAAGTGGTTTTCAGGCAAAGAAAATAGCCTTTTCAAAAACACATTAGCATGGAGGAAGATGACATACTCAGAAAACCCAGAAAAAATTAGTATGATTTAAGCACATAGTTGTCAAAGGAAGAGTTAATTGCAGTTCAAAGAGTAGATTCCAGGAGATTCAAAGAATAGACTCCAGCTTATGCAGTACAGATGAAATTCAGGAAACAACACAAATGTCAACCCTGAAATGATTTGCTCACACACACACACACACACACACACACACACACACACACATACACATATATATGTTTTGTTTTGTTTTTTTGAGACAGGGTCTTTCTCCGTCACCTAGGCTGGAGTACAGTGGTGCCATCATAGCTCATTGCTCAAGCAATCTTGCCACCTCAGCTCTTGAGTAGCTGGGACTACAGGCTCATGCCACCATGCCCAGCTAATTAAAAAAAAAAAAAATCTGTAGAGATGGGGTCTCACTATGTTGCCCAGGCTGGTTTGAACTCCTGGCCTGAAGCAATCCTCCCCACTTGGCCTCCCAAAGTGCTAGGATTACGGGGGCAAACCACCATGCCCAGCCTGCTCACATTTACATATTAGAAATATCACTCTGCTGGAGATAAGAAAATTCTAAATGAAGTCTCAGAAAATTGAATTAAAGGAGTATATTACATTATAGAGTATTATGTCTAAACAGCATTTATCCTAAGATGGCCCAGATAGTTCAATTATTATTACCACAGGAATAATATGCTAATTATTATGGCTCATTATTATTTGCCTAGAATGTTGTAAAATTAAAAGAGTTAATGCATATAAAGTACTTAGAATAGTGGCTGGCATGCAGTAATTTCCTATATTGATTCCTTTTTTAATTGTGTTAAAATATACATAATATGAAATTTGCCATTTTAACCATTTTTAAGTGTACAACTCAGCGGTACTATACGTGTACATCTACATGGTTGTGTGACCAACACCACCATCCATCTCCAGAAGTTTTTCATTATCCGTAACTGGAACTCTGTGCCCATTAAACCATGACTGTCCATTGCCCCTCCCCCCAGCCCCTGGTCACCTCTGCTCTACTTTCTGTCTCTATGAATTTGCCTATTTTAGGTATCTGTCATAAGTAGAATCATATAATTTGTCCTTTTGTGACTGGCTATTTCACTTGGCATAATGTTCTTGAAGTTCATCCATGTCATGGCATCTATCAGAACTGCATCCCTTTTGAAGGCTGAATAATATTTCATGGCACGTATGTATCACTTTTGTTTGTTCATCTATTGATGGACACTTGAGTTGTCTCCATCTTCGGGCTCTTGTGAATAATGCTGCTTATGGACATGGGTATATAAATATTTCTTCCAGTCCCTGCTTTCGATTATTTAGGGTATATATTCAGATTGCTGAGACATATGGTAATTCTGTCTAACTTTTGTTTTTGTTTTTGTTTTTGTTTTGAGAAAGAGTCTGGCTTTGTTGCCAGGGCTAGAGTGCAGTGCAGTGGTGCTATCTCAGCTCACTGCAATGTCCGCCTCCTGGGTTCAAGTGATTCTCCTGCCTCAGCCTCCCAAGTAGCTGAGATTACAGGCATGCACCACCACACTCAGCTAATTTTTGTATTTTTAGTAGAGATGAGGTTTCACCATGTTGGCCAGGCTGGTCTCAAACTCCTGACCTCAAGTGATCCATCTGCCTCAGCCTCCCAAAGTGCTGGGATTACAGATAACAGGCATGAGCCACCACACCCAGCCTATGTCTAATTTTTTTTTTTTTTTTTTTTGAGACAAAGTCTCACTCTGTCTCCAGGCTGGAGTGCAGTGGCATGATCTTGGCTCACTGCGACCTCTGCCTCCCGGGTTCAAGTAATTCTTCTGCCTCAGCCTCCCAAGTAGCTGGGACTACAGGCACCCGCCACCACTCCCAGCTAACTTTTGTATTTTTAGTAGAGATGGGGTTTCATCATGTTGGCCAGGATGGTCTCAATCTCTTGACCTCGTGATCCGCCCGCCTCGGCCTCCCAAAGTGCTAGGATTACAGACGTGAGCCACTGCGCCTGGCCTAATTTTTCGAAGATCCCAAAAATACTGTTTTTCACAGTGGAAACACCATTTTACTTTCCCACCAGCAATGCACAAGGCTTCCAGTTTCTCCGCATCCTCACCAACACCTGTTATTTTCTGTTATGTGTATGTGTGTGTGTTTTCCTATAATAGTCACCCTAACGGAAGGGAAGGAGTATCTATTTTGGTTTTGACTTGCATTTCCCTCATGATCCTATATCAATTCCTAACTATAATAGCATCACAATTAGAAAGAGAAAAATTGAGCAACATAGGGAGACACCGTCTCTACATAAAATTAAAAATTAGCCAGGCATGGTGGTGCTCACCTGTGGTCCCAGCTACTCAGAAGGCTGGGAGGATCTCTTGAGCCCAGGAGGTCAAGGCCGCAATGAGCCATGATCTCACTGTACTCCAGCCTGGGTGACAGAGTAAGACCCTGTCTCAAAAAAAAAAAAAAGAGTAAAATCAGCCTCCGTACTAAAGAATTAAGAGAGAGAAGGGTTTAAGAAATACCAGTTATCTCCCTGCCTTTCAACTAAAATGTGCATTACATTCTTAAGTAAGACACATTTTTTGCATAAGATTAAGAAATGGTAGTTTTTAAAGAGCCTCTCAAATTCAAAGACAAAAGAGGGAGGATCACAGGGATGATGAAGCCAGAATTGAACCCTAGACTGATTGATTTAGAACCTGCATGCTTAGCTGCCTAAGCAAACATGAAGAAAATAGAAACTTACCATAATTAAATGGTCCTTAATTTGCTTATCTGAAGTCTAAGTTCTGTGTTAAAGAGTAAAGAGCCATCACAGTCATCAGTGTCCAGCCCTGAAGGTTAGGCAAAGAGTTGGGTAGGGATACAATGAATAACAGGGAACCACCGATGTTCTTGAGTAAGAAAGTAAGAAATTGATAAGATGGAAACAATGTTGGAGGAATGCAACCCACCTTCCCCAGTGAGCAGTTATAAGAAATGGAGTCTAGGGCTTGAGGTCAGAGAGATTTGAGTTCTAATCTCAGCACCGACACCAACTGTGACCTTAAGGAATTCACTTAACTTCTCAAAGCCTCAGTTTCTTCACCTGTAAAATGATCATAACACTTGCTCGATAAGATCTACATGAGGCGTAAATAAGATAATATATAGAATCGCTCAGCATCACACAGTACACTGTAAGCATGCATTCAGCCATCCATTCACTCCTTCAACAAGTATTTATTGAGCACCTACTATGCACCAAGCCCTGTGCAAGGCATCGCTATAGCATCTGAACAACATAGACATGGTCTCCATCATGGAGTTTAGTCTGAAAGAGGGAAGCAGACAGTATATCTATATAAATATGAGCAAATGACCAGTGGAAGCTTGTTGGAGGGAAGGAACAGGATGCAATAAGAGAATAAGAGAGTGAACATACTTTGGACCAGAGCAGATGCAGAGGTTTTGGGCAACTCCTCTCTGAGGGAGCTCCACTTGGGCCCTGAAGGATGTGTAGGAGCTGAGTGAGGACGAGGGAGGAGCAGGAGCTGGCAGAGGGCCTGGAAGAGGGAGGAGAACCCACAGAGTGTGTGGCCCAGAAAGCCAGGAGAGAGACAGGGCCAAAGGGCAAGAGACCAGCCTGCCAGTGCTGCCGCTAAGATGGAGCCTGGAAGGTGGATTTGCCACCAAGACTTGGACGAGGACCTGGACAAGAGGAATGTCAGGGGCATGGGATTCAGAACCAGTATAACTATCATCCTCCAAAAGGCATGACAGGGGAGCCTTCAAGAGTGGACGCTCCAAAAAAGCCAGCAGGAGCAAAGAAGTGTCCCTCATGGAGGGGGGCGGGCTTTGTGAGCTGAGCCTCGGACCAAAACCAAGAAAGTTTTTCAGCAGCTCATCCCTGTTCACCCGTTCACCTGTTCACCCACCCTCACCCTCCACCTCTGTGACAGTCCCCTGGAGATTCAGTCCCAAGTGGCAGCCTTTGAACTGGGACCATAAAGTAGGCATCTGAGCCTGAACAGTCAGAATTTTTTTTTTTTTTTTTTTGAGACAGGGTCTCCCTCTGTTGCCCAGACTGGAGTGCAGTGGTGTGATCTCAGTTCACTGCAATCTATGCCTCCCTGCTCAAAGGATTCTCCCACCTCAGCCTCCTGAGTAGCTGGGACCACAGGCGTGCACCACCACATCCAGATAATTTTTCTGTTTTTTAGTAGAGACAGGATTTCTCCATTTCGCCCAGGCTGGTCTCAAATTCCTGGGCTCAAGCCATCCACCCACATTGGCCTCCCAAACTGTTAGGATTACAGGCATGAGCCACCACGCCCAGCCAAACAGACAGAAAATTTGTCATGAGTCTTCACATAAGAGTCTCTGGTCACAGAACCAAGAGTCTGTGTCTGCAGTCCCACATGGAAGGGGGCATAGCAGAAAGAATTCCATCCCTGAATGTGGGGAGGCTTCCAGACATCACCCAGGCGCCCTCTCAAAGGCCCTGTCGGGGCTAAGTTGTGCTTATTCTTCATCAATTCTGAATCTGTGTTTGAAATCACCCGTTCCTTGGTAGCATCTCCAGAAATGACTTCAAAGTTCTTCCCTGGGCCTCAGACCGGGGAGTGTGAAGATGCTTTGCAATTCTGACACTGTAAGAGGTCCAGGCTATGTCCCCCTGAGCAAGACTTGTGTGTGTGAAATCACAGCAGGATGTGTCTCAAGAGCACCAGTTGCTCCAGAAAAGCTACCATTTCCTCCCTTACGGAGCCACGCTTTAGCCCACCCAGAAGGGTGCCTTTGAGGAGGAGGACATGGGCTGACAGGAGGCAGAGCCAGGAGAAGGTAAAGGAGGCCAGAGGCCACTGAGACTGGGGCTTATCTGCGACATCCCCAGGTGATTAGCTTTGGGTTCACTCTGTCTGTGAAGGTGTCATCTCAGCGCCAGACTCTCCTCTGCAGGTCAGTTGGAAGAATGAATGAGCTGACACCTTGAGTGGGAGACAGCCTTCACGAGGAAGTCGGGGAGGGCAGAGAGTCCACAGGGAGGCAGGCTGCATCCCACAGCAAGGCCCCAGGTGACAGACACCTTGTCAGAAAATCACTAGCACCCAGGAGCACTGACAACCACCTCTCTCCAGAGAAGGCCTCAAACCCTGGGGTGGGGCAGCTGGAGAGAGGCTGGGACACCCAAGGCCTTTTACGAATCCTGAGCTGGAAGGGCTGCCACTGCCAGCCCCTGCCCCTTCGTACACTGGCCCTTTTGTCCATGAGCAATTTGGCAGTTATTCTAAAGTGGCTAAAATTTGGTACATCCTCCCAGGCCTTTCCTGGTCAGATCAAATGACCGTTTCGCTGAGACCTTTAGAGAAAGGAAGGATTACCTGCCACCCCTCCCCCGGGAGGCAGGTGAGAGTAAATCCACTTAACTGACCAGCACAGCCAGTTTACATATACAACAGCCGCTGAAAATGCGGCCTTTGTTCAACTGAGGCAGGTTTCCTGGCAGTGAGGTTAGATTAGCAATTTGTCCTTTGTCAGAGAATTAGCAGAGCCTCATTGTTTTAGTGTTTATTTATCAATTTGCATCTCTTAGTAGATTGGACCCAACTTGGGGGGGCCCCAATTCCCTCACATCTCTACTGCTCATTTTACCTCCTCTGCCAAGGACCTAAGGAAGCTGGATTAGAGCACGCAGACCAAAGCACATGCAAATCCTCCTGGGCTTTTCTTCTGTTCAGGTTCAACCTCTTTGGCTCTCCCTGGCTGCAGAGTGGAAATGACAGCCCCACCAGCAGGGAGAAACAATGGCTCCTCCAGACAAAGGGGCTCATTCTCACCTGTAAACATGCTGCTTCTAGCACAGAACTCTGAACTCATAGATATTTGTGGGATAAAGAGAGTCTTAGATTTTGTTTTGTTTTGTTTTTTGATACAGGGTCTCACTATGTTGCCCAAGCTGGTCTCAAACTCCTGGCCTCAAGAGATCCTCCCATCTTAGCCTCCCAAGTAGCTGGGATTACAGGTGTAAGCCACAGCACCTAGTCCTTACACTCCCAGTTTTGATGCCAATCTGTCTTTGGGTAGTTGGACAGTTCTCACCAAGTGTGAGAGTTTCCTTTAGATGTCACTGTGGTTATGGTAAATCTGAGAGGGGTGAAGATGACCACATGAAGCTGACAAAATGCCACACAGAATTCTCTGAAGGGGCTGACCGATGGGCATCACATCCCTCTCTCCCTGTCCAAAGAAAATTATGTATTAAGCACCAAATTGTACATGATTCTGTACAGGGAGAATTGTATTATCCCAATACCTTCTCTCCTAGGATATTTTCACCTTAGGCTTTAGCTTACCCCTTTGTTTTAAAAAAATTACAGTTGCACGCCACCACACCTGGCTAATTTTTGTATTTTTGGTAGAGACAGGATTTCGCCATGTTGGCCAGGCTGGTCTTGAACTCCTGACCCCAGGTCATCCACCCACATTGGCCTCCCAAGGTGCTGGGATTACAGGCATGAGCCACCACGCTTGGCCCAGAATTTTCAAGTGTATTGTAGTGAGAGGCCGGCAGAGTTCAGGCTTTTAAGTCTGCAATGTCTGTGTGATTATCTCTTCAACTAAAGTGTAAGTCTCCATGTATATTTCTTTGCTTTATACACATAACACCTAAATCTGTGCCAAGTGCATATCAAATGATCAACAAACATGACAAATGAATAACATTTGTTCTATTCCTTTCATATAAAGATGGTACTTCTTTAGAGCCTAACTAGCTGTATGACGTTGGGAAACTTTTATTTCTCTGAACCTGTTTTCTCATGTGCAAAATGGAGAAAATCCCTCTCTTACATGGGAGCTAGGAGGATCAATAAGCATTTAATTCATCTAGCATAGTGCCCCCTGGCTAGTGCTCAATCATCATAGTGTGGGCCTGGAGGGCACACACTGAATGTTTTCTACTTAGTGACAATGGCTAAGTCTGATACATAAAATATCCTTCTGTTATTCATTGTAAAATTCTTGCCAACATTTGTAGCTACAGACTGGAACTAGAGAAGTAAACACTTCTTGAATGCCTGCTAAGAGCTTCCACAGACATATTTTTAACTCCCTCCCAACCTGATAAATCAAGTGTTATTCTTTTTCTTTTCAGAGAACTGCAGGGAGGTTAAATGACTTTGTAAGCTTGCCCAACAGTGCAGAAAGATCCGAGATCTATCTAACCTATATCAGGTACCACAAGCTAATGAGACCACAAACAAGGGCATCGGGTAGGTCTGCAGCCTCAGAATCTAGACCACTTGATCAACCCGTCATAGAAGCAATTTGGAAATAAAGACAAAAGTATAACCACAAACCTTCTCTGTCATCCAAAATTTCTTCCAGCCCTGGGCAGCATAGACTTCACAAATGCCTGACTCCTTGAGGAACCAAGCCATTCTGAAGACCTCATAAGCTGTGGCTGAGATGGTTACCTCAACTTTCAGTCACTCCAAAACATTGGCAAGGTATTTTTGCCAACCATAGTGGAAGAAAAGAGATCATGGAAGAGAAAAAAATAGAGTCACGACATATCTCTCCAAATGCAGATGAAAAGGAAAGGAGCTGCAACAGCTAATGTACCATATTTGTGATTGGCCACGTCAATATAAGAAGATATATTAGCAAACTGATTAAGAGCAAGTCATCAGGCTGGTGCAATGGTTCACACCTGTAATCCCAGCACTTCGAAAGGCTGAGGCGGGAGGATCACTTGAGCTCAGGAGTTCAAGACCAGCCTGGGCAACATAGTAAGACCCTGTCTTAAAAAATAAAAAAATTATATATATATTCTTTTTTTTAAAAAAAAGAGCAAGGCATCAGATGCAGGCAGCCCTGGGTTTGTATCCTGGTTCTACCACTCATTAGTGGAACCATCTGAATGAGTTACTGAGCCTTAGTGTCCTTACCTTTAAAATGGGTATAAGCATACTCCTCTCACAAGGTTGTTGTAAGGGTTTAAATAAAATACCTATGAGATACTTTTAATAGTGCCTGACATTTAGTGAGCATCCAATACATGGTAGCTGTACTAACAATAAAAATAATAGATGACATGTGAAGTTTTAAGAATTTACACATATTTACTCACTTCTAATTCATGACAACCATATGAAATAGAGACTATTACAGATGAGAAACTGAGGCACAGAGGGGTTAGGCAACTTGCCCAAGGTCACACAACTAGTAAGCAGCAGAAATAGAATGTGAACCCAGGTAGTCGGCCTGCAGAATCCACACTATTCTATACCGCCTGTCAGTCCTCTTGCTGCCATTGTCATTTTCATTGTCAATATCACTAAATGGTGGCAAAACTAGGGGAGGCAGAGACAGTTACAGGCAGGCAAAGAAAACCCACCAGTAGTGACAGCGAACATCTAGAAACACCCAGCCAATCCTCACAGAGAGCTTAGAGCCCCTAAGGCTGAAAGGCACCTACCTGCCCACAATTGGATCTATGCTCTAAAAAAAGATGAAACCAGCTCCAAGCCCCAGGCAGGCTGCAGAACAGCCCCAAGTATGTAACTCAATATATGTGCTAGGGATTGCATTAGGCACCGTGGGAGGTTTCCAAAGAAATACAACTAGGCCTTATGGGAGAGACATGCCATCCACATGAAAAGCCGGGCTTAGAGAAAATCCTTGGCAAAGATGGCATGAAGCTAGCCTCGAGACATTGGGATGACAGGGGACCAAAGACAGTGCTCAGGTGGGTGCTTGAGGAGTTCCTTTGGTGCTGCCATCTTACTGGCTTAGTTGAAAAAACATTGTTTCCCACAGTAGCCCAGCAAGGCAGTAGTTGCAGAATTAACCGCAACCAGGCCGGGCACAGTGGTTCACACCTGTAATCCCAGCACTTTGGGAGGCCGAGGCGGGGAGATCACCGGAGGTCAGGAGTTCAAGACCATCCTGGCCAACATGGCAAAACCCCGTCTCTACTAAAAATACAAAAATTAGCTGGGGGTAGTGGTGCGCACCTGTAGTCTCAGCTACTCAGGAGGCTGAGGCAGGAGGATCACTTGAACCCAGGAGGCAGAGGCTGCAGTGAGCTGAGATCACGCCACTTCACTACAGCCTGGGTGACAGAGAGGGACTCCGTCTCAAAAAAAAAACAAACAACAACAACCAAAAGAATTAACTACAACCTTTCCCGGGTCAGTTGAATCAGCTGGTATGAAGCAAACCAAATGTCTCACTTCCTTAAGAACATCACTGGGAAACTCTAGGGTGAAAGGTTGGCTTGGAAATAGCAAGGGTCCTGGCCCTGGAATTTTTTGACACGTTAGATTCAGGAAAAATAAATCTGTGTAGCAGGGTCATCTGTGGAGTTGCGGAAGAATGTTGGCCTTCGTTGCAGGAAAAGAAAGTGCTCCAATGAGGGTTTGGGGCTCCAGGAAACGCTGCATCTTGGCCTCTGCCCCACTACTCCTCTTCCATGTCATTAAACCGGGGGGCGGGAAGGAGGCCCCTGCTTTCTCTTCTGTGCTGCATAGATGGTGAGCACTCTTGTTTACTCTCACAGAGAAATCTTGGTCTTTTTTTTTTTTTTTTTGAGATGGAATCTTGATCTGTCACCCAGGCTGGAGTGCAACGGTGCAATCTCGGCTCACTGCAACCTCCACCTCCCAGGCTCAAGCAATTCTTCTGCCTCAGCCTACCAAGTAGCTGGGATTACAGGCATATGCCATCATGCCCAGCTAATTTTTGTATTTTTGTACAGATGAGATTTCACCATGTTGGCCAGGCTAGTCTTCAATTCCTGATCTCAAGTGATCCACCCACCTTGGCCTCCCAAAGTGCTGGGATTACAGGTGTGAGCCACCGCACCTGGCTGTTCTTATCTTCAATGTAGAAAGAATTAAGACTGGAAATATTTTGTGTCAGTAGAACTGGATCCAGATGCATCCTGAGAAATTCTAAATTCAGCTCCGAGAAAATGGATTAACATTCCACTTGATTAAAGCAAGAAAATTAAAACAAGAAGTAATAATAATAATTTAGAGTCCAAGAACAAGCCCCCTTTTCATCATAATCAAGAGAATTGGGAAATGTTAATGTTTTGCCAATGTGTGTCACTAAATTGCATTTTCATTCATTTCTTACTGGGTTTCTAACACCTAGTATGATCAAACCTGTCACCAAGAACAGGAAGTCAAGGAAAAAACAAATCAGCTGCTTGCTCTGGAATCAAGATGGCCTCAGAACCATTAGTGAGCCTGACACCTCTGGAGGCTACAATTAGGATGATCACGCGTCCTGAAGCAAAAATCATAACCGTCCTCTGACAGTAGGACAGAAGAGTAAGGCAATGAGTGATTCTCTGATCAGTGAGGTCTTTTCCCTGGACTCTTCAGTACAGACCAGGAACACCAAAGAAGAAACAGGCAGCCCAGCAAGAGCAATGAAGGATGCTGTAAGCTCAGGGCCCAGAGAAGCTAATTTCCCTTCAAGCATCCATTTATACGCAAAACAAAGTGTAATCCCTAAAATGCATCTGAACTACTCACTTTGTGGAATTAAAGAAAAAATAAACAATGAACCTACAATTCACATTTGATGAATGACCCACTAGATTAATCAAGACGCTCCTGAACCTGAAGGGGGCAGGGTTCTATGGATAGAAAGTTGGGTAGGGCCTGCTGCCATAGTACTCTGAAAGCACCCAATCCTGTCTGATCTCAAAAGCTAAGCAGGGTTGGGTCTGGCTAATATTTGGAAGGGAGAAAGTTGGGTAGGAATACGTGGTTTCGTTCTTAGCTAGCTAAATGTGCCTCTCCCCTAGGGAGGAGAGGAGTGGAAGCCACCATAACCCCACAGCCCAAGATATTCCCAACTCTGCAATACAGCTCAGTGCAGAATGGCAGAGGCATGATAAGAAGCTGAAATTCAACAGGTGCATCTCATTGGTTCTTATACGTAAACAAGGATCTTTTTTTAAATTGAGATATAATTTACGTACATTAAAATTTACGCAGTTTAGCATGCAGTTCTGTGACTTTTGACAAATGGATATAGTCACATAACTACTCACACAACCCAAATATAGGACAGTTCCATCAGAACAGGCATGGTGGCTCATGCCTGTAATCCCAGTACTTTGGGAGGCCGAGGTGGGAGAATCACTTGAGGTCAGGAGTTCAAGACCAGCCTGGCCAATAGGGTGGAACCCTGACTCTACTGCAAATACAAAAATTAGCCAGGCATGATGGTGCATGCCTGTAATCCCAGCTACTCAGGAGGCTGAGGCAGGAGAATCACTTGAACCTGGGAGGCAGAGGGTGCGAACCTGGGAGGCAGAGGTTGCAGTGAGCAAGATGGCACCACTGCATTCCAGCCTGGGTGACAGACTGAGACACTGTCTCAAAAAAAAAAAAAAAAGAAAAAAAAAAAAAGAACAGTTCCATCAACTCAAAATATTTCCCCAGGCTTTGTAATCAATCACTCTTCTATCCCTACCCAGCCTCTGGCAACCACATTTGTTTTCTGTTCCTGTAGTTTTACCTCTTCCAGAAAGTCATAAATATGAAATCATATGGTACATGACTTTTAGAGCCTGGCTTTTTCCACTTAGCGTAATGCATTTGAGATCCATTCTTGTTACCTCAGGTATGGGGAGTTCATTTCTTCTTATTGCTGAGTAAATTTCATGCCATGGATGTACCATAGTTTGTAGAACCGTTTACCACTTGAAGAACATTTGGGTTGTTTGCAGTTTGGGGCAATCACAAATCAAGCTGTTTAAACATTTGCATAAAAGTTTTTGTGGCCAGGTGCAGTGGCTCACGCCTATAATCCCAGCACTTTGGGAGGCCAAGGCAGGCAGATCACTTGAGGTCAGGAGTTCGAGACCAGCCTGGCCAACGTGGTGAAACCCCATCTCTATTAAAAATACAAAAATTAGCTGGGTATGGTGGTGTATGCCTGTAATCTCAGCTACTCGGGAGGCTGAGGCAGGAGAATTGCTTGAACCCGGGAGGCAGAGTTTGCTGTGAGCTGAGATCATGCCATCGCACTCCAGCCTTGGCAACAAGAGTGAAACTCCGTCTCGAAAAAAAAAAAAAAGTGAAATTTATATTTACCATTCAACCATGCAATCACATGTTTAGATATTTACCCACATGAAGCAAAAACTTACGTTCACACACAACTTTTTTTTTTTTTTTTTTTTGAGACAAAGTCTCACTCTGTCACCTAGGCTGGAGTTTAGTAATATGATCATAGCTCACTGCAGCCTCAAACTCCTGGGCTCAAGGAATCCTCCCACTTTAGCCTCCCAAAAACCTGGGATTACAGGTGCATGCCGCCATGCCTGGCTAATTTTTTGAGTTATTACTGTTTTTTTTTTTTTGAGACAGAGTCTTGCTCTGTTGCCCAGGCTGGAGTGTAATGGCGTGATCTCAACTCACTGCAACCTCTGCCTCCCAGGTTCAAGGAATTCTCCTGCCTCAGCCTCCGGAGTAGCTGGGATTACAGGTCCCCACCACCATACCTGGCTAATTTTTGTGGTTTTTAGTAGATAAGGGGTTTCACCATGTTGGTCAGGCTGGTCTCGAACTCCTGACCTCAGCAGATCCACCCGCCTTGGCCTCCCAAAGTGCTGGGATTACAGGCATGAGCCACCGCACCTCGCCCTTAAATTATTACTTTTTGTGTGTAGAGACAGGGGTCTCACTATGTTAACCCAGGCTGGTCTCAAATTCCTGACCTCAAGTAATCCTCCCCACTCAGCCACATGATTTTTTTGTTTTATTTTGGTTTCTAATTGTGGCCATTTTAATAGGTGTGTAGCAATATCTCCCTGTGCTTTCAAAAGGGTCACATTGGAAGTCACATAGAAAATGGCTAGGAAGGGGATTGGCACTAGTAGTGAGACTAAGGAGAAGACCATTGACAATTTCCAAGCAAGAGATAATGAATGGCTAAAACCCAAATGCAGCAGCAGGAACAGAAAGCAAGGGACAGATATTAATGACTCAACAGGTTATCATCTGGCCCAAACATTATGTGAATTTGAAAACATCTGACCAATACATATCCTTACAAGAAAAAATAGAGCCATTTGTAGGGGGCCCCGTGTACATTATAAATTGCTTCCTTCCAGCCCCCATGCAAACCCACATCTCTCCCTGGTCATCCCCCCACAAGACATCACAACCAAGTCTCTTTCCTAAAGGTGTCCATTTGCTCACCTCCATTTCATACCTTTTCAACTTACGTGTGATAAAATCACAATTTACCTTGATTCAGAAGCCCAAGTAGATTCTACTGAGATAATTATATTATTGAAGTTAAGTCAATAATTTAATGATCCAGTTAGGATGGGTTCATCATGAATGTATGAAATAAGTAAGCCCCTCTTTTTATGTTGCTGAATCACGTCCTATAAGTCACTTCTCCCTGCCTTGTCTGCTCACTCCACAATTGTCTGGATGCACAGAAGCATGGGCATTTGAAGAATCAGGACTCAAGACATGGACGGTCGGGATGCTGCCTTGCAGACATCTGCTTTCAGTGGCCCCTCCAAGGAAGCAACAGAAATTGTCCAGGAGCGGACAGTGCCCATAAAATACAGTATGCTACAGCAGCAGGAAATCTTTGGGGAGACATTATTATATTCCCAATTCAAATGCCTTTGCCACTAGTCTTTTTCTGCCCCCTGTTGTTGGCACCCCTGGTTCCCTATGAAGAAGAGTTAAAAACAGCGGGAGGGTTCTAGTCCGGGCTTTGCTCTTCATTCACTCTGAGAAGTGACTTAATCCCTCTGGCCCCAGTGTCCTCATTTCACAGATGAGATGGGACTAAAACTGGATCATCTTTAAAGTTCCCAGTTAAACAAGAAGCTGGTTATAAACCTAACTTTGCAGGAAACATCCTAATTTATAACCACTGATTTTAGTGATTAGGGCAATAAATGTCTTGTTAAAGATTTAAAACACTGAATGCTCCTTTAGTGTGCCAGTGGAACAAATCAATACTTCTTTTTGATCCACTTACAACTCATCATCCAGAACAAAGAAAAAAAATCTGGTGTCTGTTAGCAAAGTCAACTTTTTAAAAGAAATATGCAATTGTATATTTATATGTCAGCCACAGCTAAACTTTTTGCCACCTAAAAGCCAAACAAAAGAACTCTAATTACCCTTCAGTTATCTTCAGCCATCATACCAGTTTCATCACTTACTTAACGAAATTTCCAAAATCCCCTCTGGAAGAAAATTCAACCCACATCCACATACGTAAATATTGTAGAATGAGGAGTGGTATAAACTATGTAACTCTTTTCCTCACAATAATTCCCAATAAAGAAGTACTGTTAAATTTTCAGATTTTAGAGATGCAATTTCGAGAAATATAATCATTAGAACAAAATCCCATTACAACATATCAGATATAGTTATATAAGTATCGATATATAGTTAGGTGTAGTTATGTACAGATAGTTATGGTCAGATATAGTTATGCAGACTCTGTAGTAATAAAATTCCATTTCTCATCAGACAAAATCCAAGACCTGAACATTTATTTGTCCTTAAAATGACATGTAAAAACCTTTAGTGTTACCTGTATCATGTAGAGACATAAAACATTAATTTTTTATACATTTAAACCTGTTCATGTTTTTTCTTTTATGATTTCAAGGCTTCCAAAATTTCTAAAAGAAAAAATTTCCCAACTCTGAAATTATGTAAAAATAGTCTGCTAAATTGTCTCCTAATATTTCAAATTTTTTACATTTTAGTCTTATTGCATCTGGAGCTTATTTCTATACATGGTATAAAAAAGAAGTGTTATTTTTGTCCCAGGTGGAAACTGTTAGTTATGCTAGCATTACTTATTAAATAAATCATCTTTGTTTTGTTTTAGGATCTCACTTTGTCACCTAGGTTGGAGTGCAGTGGCACAATCTTGGCTCACTGCAGCCTCAACCTCCCAGGTTAAAGCGATCCTCCTGCCTCAGCCCAGCAAGTAGCTGGGACTACAGGCATGCATCACCACGCCCAGCTAATTTTTTCTATTTTTAGAGATGGGTTTTCACCATGTTGCCCAGGTTGGTCTCGAACTCTTGAGCTCAAGCGATCCTCTCACCTTGGCCTCCCAAAGTGCTAGGATTACAAGCATGAGCCACCGGCACCTGGCCTTTTTTCACTGAATTGAAATGTCATTTTTATGATGAATCAAGTTGCTATATATTCTTTGAACTATTTTTGGACTATCCATTTCCACTGATCCAAGGATATTTGTTGCTTGTTTATTGTTATTTATATTCACAAAAGCTGGAAAAAACTAGCATATCTATCAGTAAGAGAATAGATAAATAGATTGTAGAACATCCATATCACAGAATGTTATTTTTAATTATTATTTTTTGAGACAGGGTCTCATTGTGTTGCACAGGTTGGAGTGCAGTGGCTATTCACAGGTGCAATCATAGAACACTACAGCTTCAAAGTCCTAGGCTGAAGGGATCCCCCAGCCTCAGCCTCCTGAGTAGCTGGGACTACAGGCCCACACCACTGCACCCAGCCAAAATATTATTTTTCTAAGAAAATAATGAATTAAATTATAAATATTGGTCTGATGTGATAGCTATAAATACCATGCTTTCTTTTTAAAAAACAACTTGCAAGGCCGGTTGCAGTGGCTCACGCCTGTAATCCCAACACTTTGGGAGGCCAAGGCGGGCAGATTGCTGGAGGTCAGGAGTTCGAGACCAGCCTGGCCAACATGGTGAAACCCTGTCTCTACTAAAAATACAAAAATTAGCTGGGCGTGGTGGCACATGCCTGTAATCCCAGCTACTCGGGAGGCTGAGGCAGGAGAATCGCTTGAACCCGGGAGGCAGAGGTTGCAGTGAGCTGATATCAGGCCCTGCATTCCACCCTGGGTGACAGAGCAAGACTCCGTCTCGGGGAAAAAAGAAAAAAAAAAAAAACTTGCAGAGTAATGATTTGAGAGATAGAAGCTTCTATAAGTATATACATTTGTGAGAAAAGTGTTTACATTAATTATCTCAGAGATTGATCATGGGGGAGGGGAAGAATATTAACTTTATAGCCTTTCAAATTGCTTAATTTGTTTATGTCAAGTGTGTACTTTTTAAATTTAAAAATCTAACAACAGCTAGGCATGGTGACACACACACCTACTTGGCTGAGGCGAGAGGATTGCTTTGAGGTCAGGAGTTCAAGATTGCAGTGCACTGTGGTCACCAGCATTGCACTCCAGCCTGGGCAATATAGCAAGATCTCATTTTTTAGAAAAGAACAGCAAGTTTTAAAAAGTAAAAATAAGCCAGGCATAGTGGTGCATGCCTGTTATCCCAGCACTTTGGGAGGCAGAGGCAGGAGGATTGCTTGGGGCCAGGAGTTCAAGACCAGCCTGGGCAACATAGGGAGACCCCCCATCCCTAAAATAAATAAATAGTAAAAGTAAAAAATAAATATTTAATAAATAACAGATTTGTTTAAAATCCTCATTTGTCTATGTGTGAGGGGTTTTATTTGCATCACTAAAATTAAGTAGAGGCATAAAACCCAGAGGTCATAAATGAAAAATAAAAGACATATTTAGCTATATAAAAATTAACAAGGCTGTTTAGCAAAGAAATATCATAAATAAAGTTATAAAAGGCAACTCATTGAAACAGAATACGAAAGCTACATAAGAAAAACTATTTATCACATACAAAGACATTTTATCAATCAATACAAATAAATAAATAAATAATAAAATGGGCAAAGTGAATTAACAATTCATAAAAGAAATCCTTGTTGTAAAATTTATATATACTGTGTGTATATATATATGTACAAACATATATAACATATATATGTATAGTTCAACCTCATTTATTATCAAGGAATCCAAATTAAAATAAAAATATATATTTCACCCATCTCCAGAGAAATTGACAGCAACAGCCCCAAGCCTGTCCCATGTCAGAATGGTAATATCAGGGTAGCACAAAAGTCCTGCTGGAGTGAGATATTAATAAAAACAGGCCTGGACTGATGGTCCCCCACACACCAGTTGCCCATGACTGGGGTACTACAAACTAAGGAAACTGGCTTCTACTAGAGCTGCTTATTTCAAAGAGTTTAAAGAAGGATTCCTGAGGCAGAGTTGTCTGGTGGATATTACTCCTGAAAAAGAAATAATTAACAGTAGCTGAGGGCATCTCTCTGCACTGGGACTTCCTACTCCCCTCTCCCTAATACTCAGAGAGATTTGGCTTGGGGTCTGGCCTTCATCCCTTTCCCCAAACACATTACCAGAAAGAGCAGCTGTTATTCCCAGGTGAACATGAGCTCACAGGCACAAATAACTAGATACCTGAGAACGTCTCTAACAGACAAACAGTGAGCTAAACACAGATACCAGCTAAAGCAAAATGGAAACAGATGGACGAAGAATTTTAAATAAACACTATATATATATAGTTTGTATATATAAACAAGGGGTTATATATCTTAGGACCAAAAATTAAGAATTAAAAACTATAAGAAAAAGGTAGAAAAGTTGACTACGAATATATAAAAGTTGACGTAAAGAACACAATAGATAGAAAAAATAATAGAAAATTATAGAAAGCCGGGTGCCATGGCTCATGCCTGTAATCCTAGCACTTTGGGAGGCCAAGGTGGGTAGATCACCTGAGGTCAGGAGTTCCAGACCAGCCTGGCCAACATGGTAAAACCCCATCTCTACAAAAAATACAAAAATTAGCTGAGCATTGTGGCACGCACCTGTAATCACAGCCACTCGGGAGGCTGAGGAAGGAGAATCACTTGAACCCGGGAGGTGGAGGTTACAGTGAGCCGAGATTGCGCCACTGCACTCCAGCCTGGGCAACAAGAGCGAAACTCCATCTCAAAAAAAAGAAAAAAGAAAAAATAATAGAAGACAAAAGCAAAATTAGATGAACTCTCTAGCAGGCAGCAGGAAAGGATAAGGACACATTAAAAGTGCTTTAAAAGTTAAAAGATTTGAAGGGCAGAAAACATATCAATATCTAATATGAGTCCCAGGAGACTTTTTAAAATAAAAGCAGGGAATATGTGAATAAATTATGAAGAAAAATATTTTAGAATTTTTTTCAAATTAGCTCACCAATTAAAAGACAGACTCTAAGATTAGATTTGAAAAATAACACAAACAAAATATGTTGGGCCAGGTGCAATGGCTCACACTTATAATCCCAGCACTTTGGTAGGTCAAGCCAAAAAGGATCGCTTAAGCCCAGGAGTTCAAGACCAGCCTGGGCAACATAGCGAGACCCTGCCTCTACAATTAAAAAAAAAAAAAAAATAGCCAGGCATGTTGGCACTTGCCTGTGGTACTAGCTACTCAGGAAGCTGAGGCTGGAAAGTTACTTGATCCTAGGAGTTCAAGGTTACAGTGAGCTCTGATAGTGCCACTGCACTCCAGTCTGGGCAATAGAGTGAGACTCTGTCTCTAAAAAAAAAATAATTAAAAAATTATAAATAATATGTTGACCACAAAAGACATACTTGAAGACACAGAAACATTGAAAAATAAAGAATGGATAAACACATGCTAGGTAGCTATGGACCAATAGAAAGCAGATATAGCTATCTTAATACAGAAAAAATCAATTTCTGAAAAAAGTATCAAAAGTGAACAGGAAAAAACATAGAAACTGAAAAGGAGGAAAATGAAAAGCAGATATAAAAGTCGGCATGGTGTTGTGCACCTGTAATTGCAGCCACTCAGGAGGCTAAGGCAGGAGGATCACTTGAGTCCAAGACTGGGATCAGTATGTTTCCCAGGCTAGTCAAGCGATCTTCCCACCTTAGCTTCTCAAAGTATTGGGAATAAAGGTGTGAGCCCACCTCACCCAGCCAAAATAAAATTTAAAAAAAGAAAAGAAGACATAACCATCAAAACACATATACACTTAACAATACAATCTCAAGATATGTAAAACAATAAATAATTGACCTAACTCTAAGGAAAAACAGACTATAACTGGAAATTTTAACAGACTACTTTCAGGAACTAATAGATTAATAAAAAAGAAAATAAGAGATATTCAGTGCAGTTAACAACCTCAAACTTTTAGAAATATATAAACTCAGCCAGTCACAGTGGCTCAGGCCTGTAATCCCAGCACTTTGAGAGGCCGAGGTGGGCAGGTCACCTGAGGTCAGGAGTTCGAGACCAGCCTGGCCAACATGGTGAAACCCCATCTCTACCGAAAATACAAAAATTAACCAGACATGGTGGTAGGTGCCTGTAATCCCAGTTTACTTGGGAGGCTGAGGCAGGAGAATCACTTGAACCTGTGAGGCAGACGTTGCAGTGAGCCGAGATCATGCCACTGCACTCCAGCCTGGGCAACAGAGCGAGACTCCATCTCAAAAAAAAAAAAAAAAAAAGGAAAAAAAAGAAGAAAAAAAATAGATAAACTCTACATTCAACAAATATAGAAACACATTCTTTTCATGTGCATGTAGAACATTTACAAAACAAGATGATTTATTAGACCATAAAGGTAGCCTCAATAAATTCATAAAATAACAAATTAAAACTTAAAATAGTTGCTTAAAAATACTATATGCATCAAAACTAAAAAGCATATTACAAAATAATACTGTTTTCCAACTGAATAACTTGATGTTTTAAATATTGAGAATTATTTGTCATGTCAAATAATACATGTCAATGTATTATTTGTCATGTCAAATATACATGTCAAAATTTGGAGGACACAGCTAAAGCAATGCTAAAGGAAAAGTTATATTTTTAAACAAGTCTTTTTTTTTATTTTTTTGAGACAGAATCTCGCTCTGTTGCCCAGGCTGGAGTGCAGTGGCATGATCTTGGCTCACTGCAACCTCCACCTCCTGGGTTCAAGCAATTCTCGTGCCTCAGCCTCCCAAGTAGCTGGAATTACAGGCATGCGCCACCACACCAAGCTAATTTTTGCATTTTTAGTAGAGACAGGATTTCACCATGTTGGTGTCTGGTCTCAAACTCCTAACCTCAAGTTATCCACCCACCTTGGCCTCCCAAAGTGCTGGAATTACAGGTGTGACCACCGCACCTGGCCACACAATTCTACCAAGAAGCAAGAAAGGTTATACACCAGTGAGATTCAACTCAAAAAATTGAGTAAACTGTAACAGGACAAATTTTTAAAAGCAAAAAGGAAGGAAATTATTACACAGAGAAGGGTAGAAATTAATGAAGTAAGGGGCAAAAATAAGAGAATCTTAACAAAACTAAAGGGCTATTTTCTTTTAAGACTAATAATGTAGCAAACATGTTGCAAGACTGATGAAGAAAAAGAGAAAATATTTAAATGAATAAAATAAAGAATGAAAAGAATAGATATAATAGATTAGAAAATAATTATAGAAATATTATTAACAATTGTACACTAACACATTTTATGACCAAAATGAAGTGGACAAATTCCTAGGGGGAAAAATGACAAAATTGGTGCAAGAAAAAATAGAAAATTTAAATAAGCCAATAAGCATGAAAGACATTGAAAAGGTAGTCAACAAAACCTCCCCTCACAAAGAGAAAATTTTACCTTAAATAATTTACAGAGGAAGTCTAGCAAACTTTGAAAGTACAGTTAACTCATATTATACAAGTTGTGCCAGAAAATAAGACAGGTTTACAGTTCATTTTATGAGACCTATGTAATCTTGATTTCAATGTCAGATAAGAACCTGATAAGAAAAGAAAATTACAGGCCTCTTGCCCTTAGAAATGTAGATATAAAATTCTTAAATAGAACAATAGCTAACTGAATCCTGATCAATGAAGTTTATCTCAGAAATGCAAGGATGGTTCAATCTGTGAAAATCTATCAAATCAATTTACCTCGTTAGTAGGCTACAAGAGGTAAATTGCATTATCTCAAATGATGGAAAAAGTTTCAGATAAAAGTCACCACTTAATTATGATTTTTTTAAAAATCCCTAGAAAACTAGGAATAGAAGGAAACTTTCTTAACTTAGTAAAAGTAATACACCAAAGCCTTTAGTAAACATTATAGTTAAGAAAAAACTTTAGATGTATTCCCTTTAAGATAAGAATAAGATAAGACTGCCCACTGTCATTACGTCTGTTGAACATTACAAGGAAAAGTCCTGGCCAACCCTACAAGAGGAAAAGAAGTAAGAGAGGTAAGAATTAAAAGGGAAGACATAAAAATTGTATTATTCACCTATGTAGAAAACTAACAGAACAATCAGGCAAATCATTAGAACTAATAAGAGAGCTCAGCAACACCATAGACTAAAAGAGAAATGTACACAGGTCAATACCATTTTTCTACACTAGCAACTGGAAAACTAACATGCTGTGGGCCAAATGCCCTCTAAGGCCTGTTTTTGTAAGGCCCCCACCAGCTAAGAATGGTTTTTACATTTATTAAAGGGTTGTAAAACAACTAAGAAAAAGAAAAAGAAGGATATGTAACAGAGACCTTACATGGCTGCCAGGCTTAAAATATTTACTATCTGGCCCTTTACAGAAAAAGCGTCCCTATCTCTGCTCTAAACTAATGATAACTGCCTAGGAAACATCACTTTTTAAAATATAGTATTATTCATAACAGCAACAAAAAATATATAGTAACTGAGAAGTTACTAAGTTAAGAATTTATAAATCCTCTGATGGAAAACATTTTAAACTGTAACAAAGGATGTACAAAATGAGCTGAGTTAGTGGGGAGCTATGCCATCCTCTTGGATGGATTCCCTGAGTTCTCCCCCAAATTAATCTACAAATTTAGTGCAATTCCAATTGGACTTTTAAAGAAATTCAATAAACACATTCTAAAATTTATATGGAAGAAGTATCCACCAAAAATACATAATTAACTTTATTTGTTTGTTTGTTTGTTTGTTTTGAGACAGGTTCTCACTCTGTCACCCATGCTGGAGTACAGTGGTGCAGTCACAGCTCACTGCAACCTCTGGCTCCCAGGTTCAAATGATCCTCCTACCTCAGCCTCCCAAGTAGCTGGGACCACAGGCGTGTGCCACCACGCCCAGCTAATTTTTTGTATTTTTGTTAGAGACAGGGTTTCACCATATGTCCAAGCTGGTCTCATACTCCTGGCCTCAAGTGATCTGCCTGCCTCAGCCTCCCAAAGTCTTAACTGACTTTATATAAGATTGAAGAGGGGGACATACTCTAGCATATATTAAGATATATTTAAAAGCTATAATAATAAAAGCAGTGTGGTAATGTACTCATGAACAGACAAACTGACCAATGGAACTGAAGGAGACTTCAGATATACCCTCATGCATATGTGGGAATTTAACATATGATAAAGGTGGCACCATAAGTGAATGGTGGAAAGTCTGTTTAGCAGAAGCCTGGGGGAAACTTTTTTACTGTAATAAAAATAAAACTCAATCCCACGTAACATCGCAAACAAAGGTGGACTCAAGACGGACTAAAAAATTTAGGAATGAAAAATAAAACTATGAAGTCAAAACAAGAAAATGTTGAAGAAAATCTTTGTGACCTACAGGAAAAGGACTCCTTAAACAAAACTTCAAAAACATGAGCTCCCAGGCAACAATGTTAAAAAACTCAATTACATAAAAATTAGGAATTTTTGTTTAACAAAATATACTATAGATGAAGTTAAAAGATGAAATGGGAGAAGATATTTGCAATGTCTAAAACCAAGAAGGTTTTAGAATATCTCACCCTAATTTTCCCTCTTATCCCCATTTCTCACTTCTATTATCTATATGACTGAGATAATTATCACCCAATATTCAATGACAAAATCAGAGATAGGTCTAGCACAAACCATTGGTGAAAATATGACCTGAAACCAAGAATTATGATCAACCTCACTCTCTGCCTCTGAGGTCCATGGCGGGATAAATCATATTTCACAAAATCTGAGACACTCCTTGATTGTTATGATGTCATTATTTTACGTCACTAAGGAAGAAAAGCTGCCAATTAATGATATAATGCTTCCTTGTCATGTCAAATTTTATTTCATATTTTTGCAAATGCTTTTACTGCAAGAATTTTTTTTCAAGCTATGAATAGGCCTTTAAATAATTTTTTAAAAAATATTACTCTTGTCATATGTATAAAGAAGGAAAATATAAGTAAAACAAACTGGTTTAAATATTCCTAAAACTTTTTATATTCAGAATGCAACCCTTCTAGATTATGTTTTAATTCCGACTTGTCAATGCCCTTATTTCTGCACACAGTCCCATCAAGAGTGTTAGAGATGGAACTTTTCTTGTAAGTGGAACCAAGTGAAATTGCTCATTAGACTGTTTTTGACCAAAAGATGGCAAACTTATGTGATTCAACCTAAAAAATTATTGCTCTCTTATCTCCAGAATTTTCTTCCAAGCTGGTTGAAGTTTTGACACTAGTGCTCTCTTGTTCTCCCCAGAAGATATCGATGGAAAGTTGTTTTAAAGACAATGACCAATGACCAGTGATGAAGATATTACTGCTCTTTTCTCTTTCTTTCTTCCTTTCTTTCGTTTTTTGTTTGTTTGTTTGTTTGTTTTGTTTTTGTTTTGTTTTGTTTTTTAGAAACAGCGTGCCACTATGCTGCCCAGGCTGGCCTCAAACTCGTGGGCTCAAGTGGTCCGCCTGACAAATGGCTCTTAAATACCTTTTTGACTGGAAACATCAAGAGGCTGCAGGTGTCCAGTCATGCCACCAAGAATAATATCCAAGGTCATTCATGCACAGGAAGGTAAAATTCTGCTGCCAGTTGGCCAGGAGCCATTGAAAGATGTCCTGTGAATTATAAGAGGTGTTCTAATTTAAGAAGTGTTAAGCAGAGAGCCATCCTAGAATTAATAAATACAGTATGATATTCACAATAAATAAATCATATTAATAAGTGATGGCAAGTGTTTTCAAATGCATACGGTAGAAGGTGACACGAGTGCTGCGGACGCCGTCAGTGCCGTGCCCACAGTCCCCTGTACTCCTCCTGCATCCCACAGGCAGCCGATGCTGCTCACAAGGCAAGTCAGAAATTCCAGGGAGCTGCTACCCCTGGGAGTAGCTGTCAGCCAATGATGAGGACAAGTTAGAAGGAGTTAGTGATCAAATGCCTCAGCTTCCTCGCTCTTCAAGAAAGAGACTCTGAGACTGGTTCTTCATCAATTCCGAGAGCCCCCCAGGGAGCTTGAGGCCCAGTCGCCCACAAGAGGAGCTGCTCAAGATCACATCCTCCACTGGTTTCCGTCTCTCCCCTGTATCTCTTCTCTACTCTCTTGTTGATGCTTCTATTTTTTAATTTAATTTAATTTTTTTATTTGTAGAAATGAGGTCTCACTCTGTTGCCCAGGCTGGTCCCGAACTCCCAGGCTCAAGCAGTTCTCCTACCTTGGCCTCCCAAAGTGCTGGGATCGACCCTGATGCTTCTTGAAGTCTCCCATGAAACAACTTGCACTGAAATCCTTGTTTCGGTGTCTTCTGGGGAGATGCAACCTAAGAGAATTAGCAATTTCATCAAGGACCTTGCAGCATTTGGCCATCATCAGACACAAAAAAGTCATAAGCATCCCTCCCCTCAACATTAGGATTTTCCTGGGGTCTGAACCTGAATGTCACCCCCTCCTAACTTCTCCCTGCAGTCCCAGTTCTCCCAGTCTTCCCTTTGAGTTCTCAGCTTCTCTCAACCCCTCCCCATCCCACCATCTCTACCTTCCCATCATTCCTCATTATTCAGTCTACTTAACTCCTCTTCCCTCTGCTGCCCCCAAGAACTGCATTGTGGGATGGAATGAGCAGAAATTCCCCATACTGAGCCTGACCCCCAGTGGTGGAGATAAGGCATGTCCACAAGTTTCAAGATAAAAAAAAATCAAATTTAAATAACATTAAACGAGCAAGTAATTTTATCCCCCAAGACACTTATATTTAATGGTCAACATACATCAGAGAAGGCCAGGTGCAATGGCTCACACCTGTAATCCCAGTGTTTAGGGAGGCCAGGCAGGTGGATCACCTAAGCCTAGGAGTTTGACACCAGCCTGGGCAACAGAGGGAGACCCTGCCTCTACAAAAACAACAAAAACATTCATCAGAAGTAAAAAAGAAGCAACTCCAAAACTTAGAAGATGCTTGTGATGACCTCATGCTTGCAGATGATGACTGTTTAATGATACCTTATCAAATTGGTGATGTTTTCATTAGCCATTCTCAAGAAGAAACACAAGAAATGTTAGAAGAAGCAAAGAAACATGCAAGAGGAAATTGACACCTTAAAATCCAGAGTGGAATCAATTCAGTGGGTGTCAGCAGATTTGAAAGTTCAGCTGTATGCAAAATTTGGGAGAAACATAAACCTTGAAGCTGATGAAAGTTAAACATTTTATGGGCTGGGTGCAGTGGCTCACACCTGTAACCCCAGCACTTAGGGAGGCTGAGACAGGTGGATCACCTGAGATCAGGAGTTCAAGACCAGCCTGGCCAACATGCAGAACGCCCATCTCTACTACAAATACAAAAATTAGCCAGTGTGGTGGCACACACCTGTAATTCCAGCTACTCAGGAGGCTGAGCCAGGAGAATCGCTTGAACCCAGAAGGCGGAGGTTGCAGTGAGCTGAGATCATGCCACTGCTCTCCAGCCTGGGTGACAGAGTGAGACTCTGTCTCAAAAAAAATTATAATACTCTTAAATATTTGTTTAGTAAACTTGAACATTGTTTTTTAAAAATGTTCAGAATGCAGGTAAAGTCTACATGTAGCCTGCTAGCAAATCCCTATCTTTAACTAGTCATATAGCGTTAATAGGTTTGGAGATAGAAGATGTCAGCAAGCAATGGTGCCTTTTGAACTGGAGGTGGGGGAAAAAACCCCGAAAAGTTAAAACATTTTTTACTCTCCATTCTGCAATTCTTCTTTAGTAACATTAAACAGAAAATATATTCAATGAGCCATTGAGAGACACTGGGTCTCATTATAAAGCAGCAATTAGGCTCACAGAACACAAAGCCATTCAGAGCAGCGCCCATTTCTTGCACTATGCTCCCTGCAGCTCTAGTTAGATGTACAAACTTATGGGTTTAGTAAAGGAAATATGGGCTATTTTGCTTTTTTTTTTCTATCTAGTAGAAGAGGAAGAGGGACTATGAAAGGGGGACTATGGCAAACACATTTAGTTAGAAATCTTTTATTAAAATAAAACACTAAAACAAATATCTTTTTGTTATAATGATCCAGTAATATAAAAGGACACAAAATTAAAAGCACACAATGGCTTATTGCTGCACCTAGGCCAAGGGTGGTGCTGTTCATTGAATTCTTAAATAAGCAATTATGATAACCTATGGTATTAAAGACTGTTGTATTGTCGGGGAAGGTGGAGGTCGAATGCACTGTGCCCGAGAGGACTGCCTTCACTCCTTTGTGGGTTTGATCACACAGATGGGCTTGACCACAGCGCCATCTTTATCAAAAGAACAACATGTAGTTGTTCCAAAATTTTTGTTTAAAAATTTTTAAAACAAACCCCCCTGCATTTCTATCCCCACCAGGGAATAGAGTTTTAATGAACACACGAAGCAACTAGGTGACATCTTTATCAGTCCTCATAAACCTTGATTGAATACACAGTGATAAGCCCTATTTAAACTGTCCTCCTCCTGATAACACACCTGGAGGCAGCACCAGCCTTAGTAACCAGCTGGAAATAAGGCCTCTCCAAAACCCAGAGTGCAGGCCTGTCAGGCACAGAAGCTGCAAGCAATGCAAAGCTCTGGGCCCTCATTTATTTGGGGTGATGGTGGGTAGGTTGGTGCAGGCTTTTCCCTGCTGGACACTTTTTTCAGAACCAGCTTGGGCCTCTAAGGGGCAAGGAAGTGGCTGGAGGTAAAAAGGTGCTTTAAACCCTGCTGACCTTTAGCATTTACATTTGCAAACACAAAGAACCCGGGAGGGGCAGTTGTAAAGGATTTGGGAATGGCCAGCTCTGGTTTTCTTTTTACCAGCATCAAAAATGAGTGAAAGGTACAGACATCTAAAAGGAAAAGGGAGACATGGGATTTTCCCAATCAGCTTGAAGTCTGGATCCTCCTAGTCCTTTGCTTTTTTGGCCCTAGCACACCCTGGGCACTACCCACTTCCAATCACTACTTGCTTCTTCCAAATCCCATCCCCTCCAGCCTTCCCAATACAGAGCCCACAGTGACCCCCACAGGCTGCAGCAGCCAGGGTCACTGGTGTGGGAGGCTGTGATTCTAGGAAACTGGTAGGCTGGTTTTAGCAGCAAGACACACAGGCTTCTGTGGAGGCAGGCTAAAGATCCACTTCACCTGCTGCAGCAGAAACGGCTCTGATACGTCAATGGCAAAAATCGCAATTACTTTTGCACCAACCTAATAATTGGTTTGACTGTTGGAACCATTTAACTATGTACATGTATATCAAAGCATCATGCTGTACACCTTGAAAATGTACAATTTTTGAAAATTAAATTAGGCTGTGCATGGTGTCACAAGTCTGTAGTCCCAGATACTCTGGAGACTGAGGTGGGAGGATTGCTTGAGCCCAGGTGTTGGGAGGCTGCAGTGAGCTATGATCATACCACTGCACTGCAGCCTCGGTGACAGAGGGAGACCCTGTCCCTAAAAAATAATTTTTTTTGGAAAGTAAAAAATGAAATTAAGTCAAATGAGTCTATTAAAAAGAATTTTTCATATTCTCTGCAATTTTTAAAATAAAATTTAATTACCACAACAAGTTATCTTATATAGATCAGGCTGAAATACACAGCATGTCATTCCCGACATTAATAAAATAGAGGTTTTTCACAATAGCCTCTAACACCTGGATGACAATAAAATCTCCCCTCTTCTCCCACCTTGAATGTGCCAATGAAGGCAAAGAGAGACCCCTAAGATGTCTTCCTGAATGTCAGCAACCTCACGCTGTGGCAGACGGTAGTGGAAGGAAGTTTTGCAGCTGGGGAATTCCACTGATCTGTGGAAAACACCTGGCCTCTGCGATGTTCAGGGACATATATCTTCAGATGAGTTTGCAAAAGAGCTCAAGCTCTTTCGACCCAGCAAGTAAATGGGAAGCAAGGTCATGGTCATCTCTAGGGAATTTAGGCTTTAGGATAATAACCTGACTTTTGAGCTATACCTGGCACATGCTCCATGCCAGCAATTGCCCTTGAAACTTTACATGGAATATTATTTGTAAAGTGGTTTCCCATCATTTTACTATAAGTCAGCATCCCTACAACATCAGTATGGTTAATATTATTTGCAATTTTCTTACAAAGAAGGGGTTTTATGCACAGAGAGTGAGAACAAGCAAAGTGACAAAACTAGTAAGTATTGAGGCGAGGATTCTGGTTTTCTGGGTGATAACCTTATGCACATCAGTACACTGTGTGTATTTTCAGACCTAAAACCAGCAGATGTGATGATGACCATCGGTGGGCTTCTGAGGGTGATGAGGCAGCATAGCTGAAATCTCAACTGCCCGGGGCAATCTCATGCAGTCACCAAACCTACCAGAGTTCCTGGGAAGCTCCCAGAAAAGAAAAGATGCCTGGGATCCACTTCGCAGAGCAGAGGCAAGAGACCATGTCTTCACACAGCACTGAACCATCCTAACACTCATGCATTACAAAGGGAAGGAAGTTGACCTCAGGGAAGCGCCAGTTAATCTAATACTACTTCCCTGTGTTCCCCTTTGCACTTAGAGACCCTGCCTCTTTCCATACCATTTCTAGACTCAGAGCGACCATGTAACTTATCATCCAAACAAAGCCTGTGAAAAGAGAACTCTTTTCTAATTCCAACAGGCACCAACTGGGACTGGCCCGGGCAAACGGGACACCTGGTCACCCAATCCACACCCTAAGGAACCCCGTAACATTCATTCCTATCCCTTAGAAGCCATGTTCCATGCAATTCAACCGAGATCATTTTTCCAGATTTGCTGCTTCTCTATGAAAATTCAGTATGTCCAGGTCTAGACTATTATCATTTTTATTTCTTCTTTCCTTCACCAAATATTAATGGAGTGCCTACTGTGTGATATCTTCAGGTCCCCTCAGAGAGCTTGTAGTAAGTTTAGTGATCCTCGAGAGAGATTGGACATCTGGCTTCACCTTGGGTGCAGCACATAGCTTCCCTGAGCTTCAACTTTCCTAATCCATCAAATGGGGACATAAAGTAACGACAGCACAGGATTGTTGTGGGATTAAATGAGTCGGTGCTGTGTGTTACTGCAATCAACAACAGCCACCTGTTTCTTTTTTATTTTCTTTGAAACGGAGTTTCATTCTTGTCGCCCAGGCTGGAGTGCAGTGGCGCAATCTTGGCTCACTGCAACCTCCTCCTCCCAGGTTCAAGTGATTGTCCTGTCTCAGCCTCCCGAGTAGCTAGGATTACAGGCATGCGCCACCACGCCTGGCTAACTTTCGTACTTTTAGCACAGATGGGGTTTCCCCATGTTGGTCAGCCTGGTCTCAAACTCCTGACCTCAGGTGATCCGCCCCCTCAGCCTCCCAAAGTGCTGGGATTACAGGCGAGTCACCGCACCCGGTCCCCCATTTCTGTCTTAACCATTTCATGGAGAGTGATTTTTCTCCCTATAAATGTAGGTGACTCCACAGAACACTCACCTTGTCCTTTCAGCTTGACAGTGGCCTCCAGACGCAGGGCTTTGGGGAAGACACAGGGAAGCGTAAACAATGTACCTCTCTGCCTTTGGGTATTTTAAAGTGAATGGAGGAGGGAAGACATTCATAATTGGAAGTGAGAAGAACCACATGAGTACTTTTAAAAATCAGTGCTGGCCGGGCGCCATGGCTCACGCCTGTAATCCCAGCACTTTGGGAGGCCGAGGTGGGCAGATCACTTGAGGTCAGGAGATCGAGACCAGCCTGGCCAACATGGTGAAACCCTGTCTCTACTAAAAATACAAAAATTAGCCGGTTGTGGCGGCACATGCCTGTAATCCCAGCTACTTGGGAGGCTGAGGCAGAAGAATCACTTGAACCCAGGAGGCGGAGGTTGCAGTGAGACGAGATCGTGCCACTGCATTCCAGCCTGGGCAACAGAGTGACACTCTGTCTCAAAAAAAAAAAAAAAAAAATCAGTGCTTAGTAACCCTGACTACACATGAGAATTGTATGGAGATTTTATTTTTTAAAGCAGTGACCCTACTACTTACCAACTCAATGAGACTTTCTAGGGGGAAAGTAAATAACACAACATTAATAAAAGTGTTTCCTATGCCAGTGAATGGTACAGGAGTAAGTTGTGAGTCCTTTGCAATACTTAGTCATAGAGTAACAGCTGAGCTTTCTGCCGTGTTTACTATGTGCCAGGTATTATAACAAGAGCTCCATGAGTTGGTTGGGAGCAAGATGGCTTCATGGAGCTAGGACTGTGAAGGATAGTGGGACTAGGGTAGATAGAAAGAAGCTGGGCCTTCTATGATGCAAAGAAGGAAATGTCAGTGCATTTTTGGACGGGGGACAAATGGAAGAATGAACTAATTGACTTTTAAAAGGAAAGCAAATTGGTTTTATTTTATGTGTAGTTCACACGTCCTCTGTAGCCTGGATGTATTACTGAAAGCGCACATTCATCCAAAAAAGGGGAGATTTTTATCTTAAAGTACAAAATGTATGGCTTCCTAGACATAAACAAGCAAGCCAACCAACCTATATCCTCACTTCATGGGGCTTTGTGTAACTGACTGTATTCAAAACACAAACTGCAGTGAAACTCCATGGAAAATAAAACAAGAGTAGATCTGAGCAAATTCCTTCCACTTCACCCTTCCTATCTCCTGACCTCTGCTGTATTCCTTACAAAACCAGCAGTGAGTTCTCAGGGCCAGCCTGGAAGCAGCACTTTGGAATCTTAAATTTGACTTTTGGATAAACAAGAATAAAAGAACAACAATCAAAAAGAGAGACAGAGAAAGAGAGAGAGACAGAAACAAAGATTATTAGATTTTAAATTAAAAAATAATAATAAAAGCATGGTCTCATGCAATGTGAGCTCTCTCTCTAAGAGAAGTTACATGAACTGGGGTGTTAGTTAGAAATAGACCAACTGTGAGAAAGCCAAGATTATACAGACAGGAAATAAATCCATCACGTTGCACCATAGGATTTTCTTTTTTTTTTTAAGACAATTTTTTTTTCTTTTTTGTGGCAAGGCCTTGCTCTGTTGCCTGGGCTGGAGTGCAATGGCATGACCAGGGCACACTGCAGCCTCCACCTCCCAGGTTCAAGTGATCCTCCTGCCTCAGCCTCCCTAACAGCTGAGAATACAGGTGCACGCCACCATACCTGGCTAATTTTTAAATTTTTTGTAGAGACTTTTTAAAAATTTTTTGTAGAGATGGAGTCTCCCTATGTTGCCAAGACTGGTCTCAAACTCCCAGGCTCAAGCAATCCTCCCACCTCAGCCTCTCAAAGTGCTGAAATTATAGGCATGAGCCACCACGCCAAGCCAAGACAAAAATATGCATACATATAGGAAAACCAGGGGTCAAAGGGGTTAAGTGGTTTCTGGTAAATTTGGCACACAGTTCCTATTCCAAATCCCATTTCTTTCCACTAAGGTATTTTTTTTCTGCCTCTTTAGTGGGTATTCCATGCTCTCACTCACCCTGGGGTGGGCGAGATAGAGAAAGAAGCCATATTTCAAAAAGCTCTGTTTTGTTCCCAAGAGTTTACTTGCATTGACATCTCTGACACCATCTTAACCATTTAAAGCATCTGCAGACGCTATCTCTGCGTGCCCACATTCATCCCCTCCCTTGCTAACCCAGAGGATTGCATTGGCTCTGCTTGCTAAGCCCTAACACTCAAGCTGCCCGGGGTGGACTGTCCACAGAGGCCATCCTCACTCCCCCTACGCAATGATGAATTGTCCCCCAAGTGTGATGGACCAATTTCAGGAGCCAAAGAACCAAAACCCGAAGAACTTAGTAATCCTGCAACAACAACAACAACAAGAAGCAAACTCCAAGTATTATCCAGGGTCAGGTCGAGGCATGGAGATACTCCAGGCTCATGTGTGTGTTGGAATTCCCGCTGAGCCCTTCAGCCGTCCTCGCTGAGTTTTCAGTCTGTAATGTCTTACAGATTTCGGGGCTGGCCTCTGACAGCTCTGACATATCTGAACTAAGGCTAACCTCAGCTAGTTCCTTTAAAGCCTGATAAGTTATACTGTACCTGTCAAAGCCTCTCTGTTGAGATTTTTCTCCTCTTCTCCAATGGGGCAGCAATAACAACAACAACAAAAAGAATAAAGAAAGAAGGGGAAAATGAATCTTCATTTGACTGGCATAATCTCTTCTGCGTATTATAATTACTGTCATATTATTCCAGATCCTAATTCATATCAAAAAGAAAACATAGGCTGCTTAGTTGAGGGGAAAACATATCAACTCATCTTCCTCTCACTTTCTAAGAGTCATTGTCCTTTCCCAGAATTTATGAAGTCTGAGCTGGGTAAGAGAGAGAAGCAATGTCCACATTGTCCAGAAATGAGACATATCAATTTGCCCCTCCAAAAATTCAACAGGTTCTAAGATCCTCCTCGGCGGAAGTCATTTTTCTGAATAGTGTCACCCTCTGTCACCCGTGTCACCCATGTTGCCCCATCCCAAGCATCATCCTAATAGTTGCACATGTAGCTAGGCCCTGAGTCAGTCTCTGGTGGAGGAACCCTGAGGAGCTCACAGGGAAACTTTCTCAAAAGAAACTGGAAGAAAGGTAAGACCCACCTCCCTAGTCATCCATCCCAAGTCCTGACTAGTGAAGAGGTGTCACTTTAAAATTCCCAAACATTTAGGAAACAAACAACTTAGGGAGATCCAGTCAGACACTACTGCAATCATTGAGTCAGATCGGGAAGGAAAGCATTAGGAAAAAGGTAAAGGCATAAGCAATAATTTCTACTCTTTGCTAATTGCAGTTACATAAGACCTTGAAAAGATCTTTTTCATCTTTTTGTCATAATTATTTACCCATTAAAAAAAAGAAAAGCCTATATATGTACCTTTCAAGACTAATGCAACAGAAAGTAAACTAAAAGCACTATCAGAAAATAAGAATTCCGTAAATGTCAAATCACAAATGATACTGCAAATGATTTCTCAGCAAATAAAATTATCCCAGCTAGACAAATATAATTGCAAAAAGAAACTTCCGAAATGTGCTTTCAGATTGGGTCAGAGCATGTATATTGACGTGCCCAGGACTTGGGTATACGGGAAACATCCAGCCCTCTAGAAGTTTCCATTCAAGATACCTCACTTTCATAACAAATTGTCAAAATCTTTCTTACATGCATACTTTCTTATCGGAAAATTTAAACAGGCCAGGCGCGGTGGCTCACACCTATAACCCCAACTTTGGGAGGCCAAGGCGGGAGAATCACTTGAGACGAAGAGTTCAAGACCAGCCTGGGCAACATACTGAGACCCTATCTCTACAAAAAATAAAAACTAAAAAAAAAAAAATAGCCAGGTGTGGCGGTGCACACCTGTAGTCCCAGCTACTTAAGAGGCTGAGGCAACAGGATCACTTGAGCCTAGGAGCTCAAGCCGGGAGTGAACTATGGTTGTGCCACTACACTCCAGCCTGGGTGACAGAGTGAGATCCTGTCTCTCAAAAAAATAATAATTATAATTTTTTTTTATTTTTGAAAGCACCCTCTTTTTCCCCTCCCACCCCTACCCCTAACCAGCCTCACCTTTCCTCCCAGCTGTAACCCCTGTCAGCTATTTGGTGTTTGTCCCGCCAGGCCGTGTTCTGGGCATTTACTTACACATATGTATATAGTATTTGCCTTTTAAATACGCAATTCCTTACTTAAGGATTAAGGTATCTAAGCTGAGGCAGTTAATTTTTTTTGAGATGGAGTCTCACTTTGTAGCCCAGGCTGGAGAGCAGTGGTGCTATCTCAGCTCACTGCAACCTCCGCCTCCTGGGTTCAAGAAATTCTCCCTGCCTCAGCCTCCTGAGTAGCTGGGATTACATGTACCCACCCCCACGTCCAGCTAAATTTTGTATTTTTTAGTAGATACAGGGTTTCACCATGTTGGCCAGGCTGGTCTTGAACTCCTGACCTCAGATGATCTACCCACCTTAGCCTCCTGAGGCACTTAAATATTAACTTGAACCTCTGGATACGAATTTCATCTCTGCATCTGGCTTACACCCTTTGCCTGATAGAAGCTGACTCTGTAGTAATTATAAAAGAAACCAGTTCTATAGTTAACTCTCAATTATCCAGGGATTCATTTTCCTCATCAGATAACTCCTCGGCCCCCCTGCTTTTTCAGCTCTACTTGGATACCCCTCTTTTGACCATTTCACTTCTCATTCATGAGCCCCTCACCCAGAAAGTCAACTTTCAGTAAGATAGAAAATTGTTGTTATGTATTAGCCCTTTTCATCAATGTGTTCAAAAGCAGAGAAGGTAGAAACAATGTATTTTTTGTTCAATAATGCAAAATATAAGATTTGAGTCTATGTGCAAATTCCACCTACTCACTCCCTAGGGCACCCTTCCTCCACTGCCCACAAACACTGACAATCAAGGTTTGGCTTTGGTTGAGATTTATAGGGGAACATAACTGGATTTCCCTCTCCGTCCTGGTCTGCTAATGTCCAGTTGGCTGATGTTCAGGGCAAGGTGCCAGGCCTTGATTTTGGAGAAGGATCATCCAGAGAGATAGAGGCAGATGTGATTTGGCGGCTGTGTGAGATCTGGCACGGGATTTTACGTGCTGTGGTGTTATGTTTCTTAAACTCAGTACACGCACTTAGAAGGCTGTTCATCATCATCACAGAGTATCCACGCTGCACCTACTTGGCACCAGAAGCATTCTGAATATCTTTTTAAAATAATATTTTTGTGAGAGGCCCAGGATATGCCTGATAGAGTGGCACTGTGTAGTACCACCATGTTATGCTGACACTGGCATTTCATGGGAAATTCAGATCTTTTCCTGCTCCTGACAATAGAGAGAATCCTGGAAAGACATAACAGACATTTTATCATTGCTTTCATTTATTCAGCAAAAACAATAGCAGGCACACGTTTTGAAATGAAACAATATTTCTTGAGCTAATAAAAATGAAGAAGGAAAAAAGTAATTTGAGACCTTTCTCTCCACTCTTCCTCTTTGCCCTTCTTGCATATAATTCACAAATGAGAAAGATGTGCCCCTCTCCTGAACAAAGCCGTCTTACCTGCTGCTTGCAAATCTTTCTAAAACTGGTTTCCAGACCAGGCTGGGATTTCTGACTCATGATAATAGATTCTGGCAGCAGGATTTTGGAAGAGGTGCCGTTAATACTGCACGGTGAAACTCCATCACTTCATTTAACCAAGAATGCTATGATTTTGCTGTCATCAGAACAGAACCCACATATCACTCAAGAAAATAATAGGATTCCAGATATTTTTTAAAAGGATCCAAGTAAAACACCTGGGTGAGCCTTGCAGAAAAAGGTCAGCTAAAATAGAGGTAGCATGGCCCCTCGTCCCTTACTGTCATCAAGTAGCTTATGAAGTTCAGGTTACACAGATGAAGAGCATGGTTCATCTGATTTTGGACAAGGAGTTTAGTTAATTAAAGAAATGCCCTCCCATGTGGAGACTGCCTTCCTGAGGGCTGAATTTCTTCCCATACCAAAGGCAGGAGGCAGGCCCCGTGATCTCAAAGGCCCCCTTCAGATCAAGAATCCTCAGGCCGCCAGTGGGGTTTTCCCTAGTTGGCCTTTTTCCCAGTAATAAAGTTATTAGAAGATTAGGAGGAGAGGGAGATGAGTGAACAAGAGGCCAGCATATTTGCAAGGGGACCATTCACGTTACACAACACCTTGTCCTCACGCCCAGCCCAGCCTCGTTCATAGAAGAAGGCTTGGGGAAACAGACACAATGCTGACACCGCAGTGTCATTTTTTAAAAAATGACAAGTCACTCTTTCTTTCTCTCTCTCTCTTTCTTTCTTGACAGGATCTTGCTCTGTTGCCCAGGCTGGAGTGCAGTGGCATAATCACAACTCACTGCAGCTTCCATCTCCCAGGCTCAAGTGATCCTCCCACCTCCACCTCCCAAAGCTCTGGGATTGCAGATGTGAGACACTGCACCTGGCCAAGGTTTGTAACATTCTAACCAGCTAATTCTATTTTCAGTCTTTCTCATTGGCACCTTAGTTACTATAAAAATAATTTCTTTTACTAAAAATAATAAGTATCAGCTGGCACAGTGGCTCTCGCCTATAATCCCAGCATTTTGGGAGGCCAAGGTGGGAGGATTGCTTGAGCCCAGGAGTTTGAGACCAGCCTGGGCAACACAGTGAGACTCCACCTCTACAGAAAATAAAAAAATTAGCCGGGCATGGTGGTGCACACCTGTGGTCCCAGCTACATGGGAGGCTGAGGCAGGAGGATCACTTGAGCCCAGGAGGTCGAGGCTGCAGTGAGCTATGATCATGCCACTGCATTCTAGCCTGTGTGACAGAGCAAGACCATGTCTCAAAAATAAGAATAGAAATAGACAAATAAACAAATATCAATAGATAAAATGACAAATAATAATAGGTCTTTCTCTCATTGGTGTTATGAGGATTCAATGAGATAATAATGTATGGTAAACCCTTAACACAACAATAATTAGCTGTAGTAAGTAATAATTGTTAGCTATTGTTGCATGGGTGGCAACCCACTTTTACATGGTCCCTTGATTTATGATAGGAATTTCATAAATTTCATGTTATTTCACCTAGTCCAATGTTTAACACATATTTAATGAATGCCTACCACCATGTGCCAGACACCCTTCTGAGCACTGAAAATACATGAGTGTACAAAAGAGACAGAACCCCTAGTCTCACAGGATGTGTGTTCCAGTTGGGGGAGACCAATAATAAACAAGAAAATATGGCGGGGCGTGGTGGCTCATGTGTGTAATCCCAACACTTTGGGAGGGTGAGGCGGGAGGATTGCTTGAGCCCAGGAGTTCAAGACCAGCATAGGCAACATAGTGAGACCCCATCTCTACAAAATATATATATATATTTTTAAATTAGCCAGGTGTGCTGGCACATGCCTATAGTCCCAGCTGCTTGGGAGGCTGAGGTGGGAGGATCACTTGAGCCCAGGGTTTGGAGGCTGCAGGGATCTGTGATCATGTCCCTGCACCACAGCCTGGGTGACAGCAAGAGACCCTGCCTCAAAAAAGAAAGTTTAAGAGCTCTGAAGCTTAGCGTAGAAACAAATGCTTGTGTCTGCTTCAAGCATTTGTTGAGATGAAATAAACCTACTGGCTTTGGGAGCCAGAGAAGAGAACCTGCACAAACGGGGAACAAACTCATCAGCCACATCCTCACTGTCCTCCTGAATCCTTACAAAATAAATCCCGCAGCCGCTGAATGTGGCAGGTTCTGTGACACCCCCTGTTTCCGGCAGAGGAAAGGAAGGCTGGGAGGGTGACATGACTTAGGCCAAGGTCTCATACAGCTTGTGGGGGCAGAGCCAGTATTGACTGAATCCAGATCGAGGGAGACTCAAGCCTGATCTTTCCCCTTCTCTGCACTGCCCCCCAGAACGGGAGCAAGATAAGTGAAAGTAAAACCAGCCAGGAGACTCCATGCATGCTTGCATTATGAGATACTCAGTTTGATCCAAACATTCTCAAACCTTGCTAGCTCACAAAGTAAGGAATTTGGGGTGGGGTTGAAAAGGGTCAGTAAATTAGATTTAGACTTCTACTTTGGTTAAAAATCCAAATTTCTAATCAGTTTACTGAAGAAGAAAAGTTGCTTCCACTACAGGCTGCAGAGTGTCCAAGAATCCATTAGCAAGATTTGGGGGAACTCCATTAAAATTTCTGCAGGAGATAACCCTACCTTCTCCACCCAGTTAGGGAGTCCCCAGCCTACTTAGGAGGAAGCTGCCAAGAGCTTTGGTCCTCAGAGAGGAGACAAAGCTACATCAATCAAGTCAGTATTTATTCAGTGCTGACAAGCCCAGAACTGGGATCTGCCAGCAAGAAATTCTGGTCCCTGTCACCAATTTGTTTATAATCTGACTAAACAGAGATCTGCTTACGCAAAATGCTTTGTAAGCAATTCAGTAAGATTTAACTGCAGGCTAGCCCAGAATGGGTGCTTAACAAATATGTGTTTCAGAATTTCTTTTTCTTTCTTTTTTTTTTTAAACTTGTAAGAGCTCAGATGCAGGAGAGATCCACGGGCCTCGGAGCTGCTGGGAAGGTTTCATGGCTGGGGGTCAGAATGGGGATGTGCACTGGATGGGGAAGATTTAGAAAGGGAAGAGCCTGAGCAAAGCTTTCATCATCCCCGAGCCCTGGTGTGTTAGTCCGTTCTCACACTGCTATAAAGAACTACCCGAGACTGGGTAATGTATGAAGAAAAGAGGTTTAATTGACTCACAGTTCCACAGGCTGCACAGGAAGCATGGCTGGAAGGCCTCAGGAAACTTACAATCATGGCGGAAGGTGAACGGGAAGCAAGCACGTCTTATCATGGCAGAGCATGGGAGAGAGTGCACGAAAAAGGAAGTGCCACACACTTTTAAGCAACCAGATCTCGTGAGAACTCACTCATACCCCGAGAACAGCAAGGGAGAAACCCACCCCCATGATCCAATCACCTTCCACCAGGTCCCTCCCCCAACACTGGAATTACAATTCAACATGAGATTTGGGTGGGGACAGAGCCAAACCATATCACCTGGAGAAAGTGGACAGTTGTGACCCAAGAAGGCTGTCTCTTCTCAGGTCCCAGTTGAGCGCTTGCTTTTGTGACATGAATGTCCCCTAACCTTTTTTACTGGCACAGTGACTCATGGCAAAAGCAATGCACTTTGTCCCAAGCAGAGACTGCAGCAGTAGGGAATATCAGGAAACCTTGGGATCTGCCCGCCTGCAGGTGGTGAGGTCCTATTAGTGGGTGGACAACGCGTCCTTGTTTGCCATGGGTGTGAGATCATTGCTCTGCTGTCTGCTGGCACTCCCCTGGAGCTGCCTCAGGCTGGTGGGTGAGTTAGGTCTCTAAGGATGTTCCATACAGGGACTGGCCCTAAAGTTAATGCAGCTTAGGCTGCAGGACCCTCATTTGCACAGGCCCTCCAAGGCTTGGGAAGGGTCCAGCAGTGTTTTCACATTTGCATGATTACATTGTTTTTTCTTTTTCTTTTCTTTTTTGAGACAGGGTCTTACTCTGTCAACCACACTGGAGTGCAGTGGCACAATCTCAGCTCACTGCAGCCTCAACCTCCTGGGCTTGAGCAGTCCTCCTGCCTCATCCTCCCAAGTAGCTGGAACTATAGGCACACACCACAATGCCTGGCTAATTATTTTATATATAGAGAGAGAGATGGGGTCTCACTGTATTGCCCAGGCTGGTCTCAAACTCCTGGGCTCAAGGGATCCTCCTGACTCGGCTGTATTCCCAAAGTGCTGGGAATACAGGTGTGAGCCACCACACCCAGCCAAAAATAATATATTTAACTGCTATCAGTTATGACTATTTTCTGTTTCTACTCTCACTTTCCTTTCTCCACTCTTTCCCTGTGCCAGGTGGGATGGACCAGCCATGGGCATATCTGAAGGTACATTGAGGCAGATGAGAATGCATTGAGGGTACATTTATTTGGGGTTTTGTTGGATACATTTATGTGGCTTACAATTACTTCTGTGAATTCTTCACTTATTACTTATTACTAAGCTATCTTAGGAGCACCCTCATCTCACTCCCTGCCTAGTGTTATGACGGGAAGAACCAGGGCTATCCCTATACACTGTGTCCTATGGCATCTGGCATGAGAAGTACATAGATTGTGGAGGAAAAAGGTTTGAAATGAATCAAGCCAGAAGGTGGTCTGTGAAAAATTCTTCCAACTGTCAGACATGGAAAATGGTAAGCCAAAGGTTCCATTAACAACTACTAGTCAATGGCGGAGTATGGTGACTCATACCTGTAATCCCAGCACTTTGGGAGGCCGAGGCAGGTGGATGGCTTGAGCCCAGGAGTTTAAGACCACACTGGGCAGTTTAGTGAGACCTCATCTCTATTTAAAAAATAAATTAAAAGAAAAAAACTAATCAAAATGGAATTTGTCTCCTGTGAAGAATATGTTAGCCGGGTGCGGTGGCTCACGCCTGTAATCCCAGCACTTTGGGAGGACAAGGCGGGCAGATCATGAGGTCAGGAGATCAAGACCATCCTGGCTAACATGGTGAAACCCCATCTCTACTAAAAATACAAAAAATTAGCCGGGCGTGGTGGCAGGTGCCTGTAGTCCCAGCTATTCTGGAGGCTGAGGCAGGAGAATGGCGTGAACCCAGGAAGCGGAGCTTGCAGTGAGCTGAGATCGTGCCACTGCACTCCGGCCTGGGTGACAGAGCAAGACTCCATCTCAAAAAAAAAAAAAAAAAAAAAAAAAAAAACGAATATACCTGATAATACAGCACATACAATTATGAACAAACTTTGCTTTTTTTCTTTTTGGAGGGGATCACACAAAATACAATTTTCAGAATTTCTCTATAGGTATGGGATAAAACTGCAGAAGCACTACAAACAGCAAGTTATAGTCATGTGTGAAATCCTATGTGTTATGCATCCCAACCATCAATAATAATTACCAAGCAACCACGCTAATAGGAACAGCTGAATTACATTTCTATTTTCTCTACTAAAAATGATTGTAGAAAATTGCAGACACATTGAAAGACAATCAAAGAGTATAAAGCTAAAGATATGGGGGAAAGAAGCATTAGATACGTTAGGGGGCTCAGTAATAAAAATGTGCATTTTTTCTGGATTTGGAGACATTTGTAGTCTTTTTTCTAATTGTGATCAGTTGTGATTTATTTTCTCATTCTAAATAAAAATTTATTTTCACATATACATTTGTATTTGTCATTTTCTGTTATCTTCCTAAAGATGACACCCAAATTATATACGCTCTGGGCCTCACAAAACCTTGATCCACCTCCTGAATGTCCATATTAGCTTATAGAACTGATAATCATCCTTGCCAGGACCATGGAAAACACTGATTTTTGTTTCTCTGGTAGACAGGCAGTATGTTATGATGCTTAGGGGCCAGGAACTCTGGGACCAGAATGCCAGAGTTCAAATGCCACGTAAAGCATGACCCACAGTTTCTATCATTTATAAGACACTTAGAAAGTGCCGCTTCATAACACTTCGTAAATATTCACTATATTATTATTAGACTTAGACATGTCTTCTCTTGTTCTAAACCCTTATCCAGTTACAATAATTGCAAGATACAGAATTTTGAGAAATCATTTGTGATTATATTTTATGTACAGCAATTTTTAAATGAAACACTACTCTAAACTAAAAGTAAAGAATGAATTAGGGCTGGGCACGGTGGTTCACACCTGTAATCCCAGCACTTTGAAAGGAGGTGGTGGCAGGAGAATCGCTTGAGCCCAGGAGTTTGAGGCTGCAGTGAGCCATAATCATGCCACTGCATGCCCTCCTGGGCAAAAAAGCAAGACCCCAACCCTAAGGGAAAAAAAAAAAGAATGAATTGGAGCTCTCTGTCCCTTTGTTTCCCACCACATGGTAGCATGAGGATGGAGTGCAAGCGCTGGATGAATTCAGCTTGAGTAAAGCCAGGTGATGGAGAGGAGAACGTGTAAAGGTCAGAGGTCCATTCACCAATGCAATGATCCTCACTGCCCCAACGCTAAGCCAGGGAGGAGCAGGGCTTCATTCTATTCACTAAGGGGATTTTACTGACCCCTTGTGGGAGAAGAGGTTGGTGCATCCAATAAACATCCCAGTTTGGGGAACATGTTCTCCTGCAGTCCTTCACCCGAAAAATTCAAGGAACAGAAAGGTGAGGTAGGTTACTAACTGCCCGAGTTCTTCCCATTCAACTCGAAACTCTTTACAGTTACTTCTCAGATCAACTTCTTTCCTGACACTCTTCAGAGTTCTCATCAAAGGCAGGAGGAGTTTGATGTCAGGAATATGGGCTTTGGGTGTTCAAAAACAAAATGAAGGAAGGAAAGCAGGGAGGAGGGAAGCAGGCAGGGAGGGAGGAAAGATAAGAAAAAAATTTTTTGGATCTTAGCACAGCTACTGGCAAATGAAAGACTGTAAGCAATCTGTTTAACTCCCTGGGCCTCCCTATCCTCACAGGTGAAATGAAACTCATAATGCTAATGATTGAATCAGATGGTGTATATAAAGTGCCCGTGCGCAGCCCACAGTGGATGCTAAATAAGTGTCTGTTGTTATCGTTAAACATGATGCTGCCATATTTACTCAGTATCATGATACTCATTCGACAGTTACTTCACACTACTATAAAGCACATCTTTTGAAAGAAAAAAAAAACAGAAGTTTCTTTTAAAAGAACAATTTCCTCAGCAGAGACCAGGCTTGACATAGTCTCTGACAGTATACACAGATGGAAACCACTTCTTGTCCAGACAGCCCGGCTTACCTCGTGCAGGCCAGGCCATTCCGGGGTGGAGAGGGTTGGGAGGGGTCACGGACAGCACCACCCCTTCTGTAGAGCGGGCGGGGCAGCCTAGCTCGGGCGTGTCTTCACTTCTTTTCCCGTAGGAAATGCCTAGGGTCCTACGCAAGTAAATTCTCTTTGCTGCGACTGGAGAGAGACGATTCCCATTTATCCAGCCTCCTCATGTTCTGGCCTAAGACGCCCTCGGCCCTCCAGGGGAGTGGGCTCCCGAGCAGGGCGGTTCCACGGTTAGATGGAGAGGAGGGGCGCGGGAAGACCGCACAAGGCCGGCTTCGCTCCCTCCGCGGCAGGTACCAGGGGCCTGGGCAATGCCTCCTCACTCTTTTCGCCTTCGTCCCCAGGGGAGGGGAGATGGGGCTGAAGGATAACAGACACAACTAAACTGGAGAGACTGGGTTAGAGGAAAACGAACTGCCTGGCTTGGAACCACTTGGCCAGACCCCTGGAGTGAATCCCACACCTTTCCAGGCTGCTTGACCTCCCTACTCATTAAGCCAGTGCAGCCCAGAATCCTGACCTCCCAGGCCTCCTTCCCAAGGTCCCCCCGCTCTGGAATGGCAGCATCTCCGACTTTTCCTTTTTCTGTCTCCCGCTACAGAGCAATCGAAAAAATAAGTTCTTCTATGTATAGTAAGATATTAAAAGTCATTATTGACCATGCGCAGTGGCTCACGCCTGTAATCCCAAAACTTTAGGAGGCCGAAGCAGGAGATGGCTTGAGTCCAAGAGTTTGAGACCAGCCTGGCCAACATGGCAAAACCCCATTTCTACCAAATATATATATATGTATATATATATTTTAAATATATATATATGTATATATATATTTTAAATATATATATATATTTTAAATATATACAACATATGTATGTATTATATATATGTATGTATGTATACAAAAATTAGCCGGGCTTGGTGGCACACGCCTGTGGTCCCAAGCTACTTGGGAGGCTGAGGTAGGAGGATTTCTTGAGCCAGGGAGGTTGAGGCTGCTGTAAGCTGAGATCCCGCCACTGGACTCCAGAGAATGCGACAGAGCAAAACCTGGGCATCAGAGTGAGAACCTGTCTCAAAAAAAAAAAAGTCATCGTTGTTAAAATGTGAAAAGTTAGATGAGGTCATCATGTATGCTATATGTATGTTTTTAAAAAGAAAGGAGATACCAATACATACATGCGTGTATTTCATAATATTAAAATAAAAAACAGTGTATTTTTCTACTAAAAATACATTAAACACTGTCTCTACTAAAAAATTAATAAACTATACTATTGTTTATAGGAGAATGAGGAGCTGAGTGGAAGAAACAGGGATAGAAGAGAGACTTCTTCCTTGCAGATGAGCAGTCTGGGTAATAATCATTATCATCATTTAAAAAAGAAAGAAAAATAGGAAGATAGACTTCTTTGAATATATTGTTTTGGAGAACTGACTTTGGAACAGTGTACATATTTTTCATAATTTAAAATGAAATTAATAAATGAATTAATAAAATAATTCTTAATATCCAAAAGTAAAATTAAACTTCTGCACCCAGTTGATAGCATAACTACACAGATACTATACCAACAGACTGTAAAACACGATAATTTGATGATCTATCTCTAGTTAGATACACCCTAATGATAGAGCCAAACAAAAAAATTCAACTTTTCGGAAATCATATTGTTGATAACATTAATATTGTTATTGTACAATAAATCAAATAATTTTTAAAACATTTTTTAAAAAGAAATGTAGGTATAAGATCAATAAGGTGGCTGGGTACAGTGGCTCATGCCTGTAATCCCAGCACTTTGGGAGGCCAAGGCAAGTGGATCACCTGAGGTCAGGAGTTTGAGACCAGCCTGGCCAACATGATGAAACCCCATCTCTACTAAAAATACAAAAAATTAGCTGGGAGTGGTGGCTGGCACCTATAATCCAAGCTACTCAGGAGGCTGCAGCAGGAGAATTGCTTGAAGCTGGGAGGCAGAGTTTGCAGTGAGCTGGAGTGCCCGCTGCACTCCAGCCTGGGCAACAAGAGCAAAACTCTGTTTCAAAAAAAAAAAAAAATCAATAAAGTTGTAAGCAGTCCTGAATTTGAATTGCAAAGTTCAGTTTGAACTCACTTATTTTTTTTCTTTAAAATATTCTTAGCCAACTGGGTTTGGTGGTTTACACCAATAATCCCAATATTTTGAAAGGCCAAAGAAGGAGGATTGCTTGAGGACAGGGGTTTGAGACCAGCCTTGGCAACACAGCAAGATCCCAACTCTACAAAAAATAAAAAATTAGTCAGGCATGGTGGCACGCACCTGTAGTCCTAGCCACTTGGAAGGCTAAGGCAGAAGGAGCCAAGTACTTGAGCCAAGTAGTTCAAGGCTACGGTGAACTATGATTGCATCACTGCACTCCAGCTTGAGCAACAGCGTAAGACTCTGTCTCTTTAAAAAAATCAAACAAACAGAAAACATTCTTAGCTCTTTCCACTGAAAAGAAAAAGTCTAAGAAATAATGACCAGCCCAGTAGCACTGACGCCCCTGATACCCACATTGTGATCTCTAAATGTCATTTCCTTAAACAGAATCAGGACTTCTTGGAGCAATGTTTTATTTCAGGTCAGGCATTTCAGAAACAAGAAAGCCATCAAAGATTAACAGATTTGTGTCAATAGGACTGCTGAATGAGTGTCTGCTAGCCAAAGATGGGCAATGTGAGCATCAGTGAAGACAAGAACTGAAATACATTGAAACATCTAAAACATGTTTAAATCCTTAGATTTGTACTGTTATTTTTAAAAAACATATTGGTCATCTTTGGAAGATGCTAAGGACCAACTCATTAATCAATAAAATAAGAAATGGCTGGGCACGGTGTAATCCCAGCATTTTTGGAGGCTGTGGTGGGTGGATCACTTGAGGTCAGGAGTTCAAGACCAGCCTGGCCAACACGGTGAAACACTGTCTCTACCAAAAATACAAAAATTAGCCAGACCTGGTGGTGCACGCTTGTAATCCCAGCTACTCGGGAGGCCGAAGCAGGAGAATCACTTGAACCCGGGAGGCGGAGGTTGCAGTGAGCCAGGATCACAGCCACTGCACTCCAGCCTGGGTGACACAGCGAAACTCTTGTCTCAAAAAAATAAATAAATACGTAAGAAATAACCAGTCCCTGCCTTCGTTTAGCAGGGGTAAGGAGTGAATATACCACACAGAAACAAAGCTCCGTGTCTGCTGTGAAGGCTTTGGAGGAGACAGACCATGACCAGACACAGGCCCTGTTTCTGATGCTGAGAAGAGAGGAACTAAATAAATCCTGGTTAACAAGTGCATCAGGTGAAGATGGGACTTGGAGCCCCAAGCCAAACTTTAAATTTTCTCAATAGGAGCCTTGACAGGGACAGACTCAGCACGATACTTGTGAAGGTCATTAATATTCTTTTTCTTTTTTTAAGTTGAAGTACCATTCACATATTATAAAATTCACCACTCTAAAGTGTGCAATTCAGTGGGGTTTAGTAAACTCACAGAGTTGTCCAATCAATGTCACTATTTAATTCCAGAACATTTTCCTCAATTCAAAAAGAAACCCTGTACCCACTAGCAGCCACTCCCGTTAACCTCTCCCCCAAGCCACCAGCAATTACTGAAACCTATTTTCTGTCTCTATGGAATAGGTGTGTCTATTCTGGATTTTTTTTTTTTTTTGAGACAGAGTCTCGCTGTGTTGCCCAGGCTGGAGTGCAGTGGCGCGCTCTCAGCTCACTATAACCTCCGCCTCCCAGGTTCAAGTGATTCTTGTGCCTCAGCCTCCCAAGTAGCTGCAATCACAGGCATGCGCCGCCACACCAGGCTAATTTTTGTATTTTTAGTGGAAACGGGGTTTTACCATGTTGGCCAGGCCGGTCTCGAAATCCTGACCTCATCCTCGGCCTCCCAAAGTGCTGGGATTACACCCGTGAGCAACTGTGCCTGGCCTGCACACTTTCATATAAATGAAATCATACAATATGTGGCCTTTTGTGTCTGGCAATTTCTCAAAAGGTTAAACAAATGGTGAATATGACCCAACAATTCCACTTCTAGTTATATACCTAAAATAATTGGAAACTGTAGTATAATTGGAAATATACTTGGTCTTTATTCCCCATTCCTGGCACAGAGCTCCTAAAAACCCTTGAAATTTCCTATGTGATCAGACTGCTTTTTGTTTTTCATAATGAGCCCCTTTTGACTGCACCTAAATTTATGTTATTGAGGTGGTTTACGGTGGGCCCCTAGATAGCCTCAGGATGGGGCTTGTCACCAGGAAGATCAAGTGATGGGAGGGTTGGACCTTTCAGCCCTAATCACTAACCTTTGAGAAGTGAGGCAGGGATGGAGATTAAGCTCTATAAAAACTCTTGAACTAAGAGATTCAACAAGCTTCCAGGTTGATGGATGCATCTAGGTGCTGGGAGGGTGGCACACCTCAATTCCACATGGACAGAAACTCCACTCAGGACCCTTCCTGGCCTTGCCTTATGTGCCTCTTTATCCGGCTGTTTCTCTATATCCTTTATAATAAACCAGTAAAATGTAAGTAAAGTGTTTCCCTGAGTTCTGTAAGCCATTCTAACAAGTTATTAAACCCAAGGAGAAGATTTGGAACTTGCAGTTCACTAACTGCTGCCCGTTGGTCAGCAATATGGGAGGCCAAGACTTATAGTTAGTATCTGAAGTGGAGGAAGTCTTGTGGCATGTAGCTCTTTTTTTTTTTTTTGAGTCGGAGTCTCGCTCTGTTGCCCAGGCCAGAGTACAATGGCGTGATCTCAGCTCACTGCAACCTCCATCTTCCAGGTTCAAGCAATTCTCCTGCCTCAGCCTCCCAAGGAGCTGGGATTACAGGCTCCTACTACCATGTCCTGCTAATTTTTGTATTCTTGGTAGAGACGGGGTTTCACCATGTTGGCCAGGCTGGTCTCGAACTCCTGACCTCATGATCGGCCTGCCTCAATAGAATCTGACACTAACTCTAGGAAGATAATGCCAGAATTGAATTGAATTGTAGGACATCCATTCGATGTCAGAGAACTGGTGGTTGTGAGAAAACCTGCACATCTGGTGTCAGAGGTGTTGCCTGTGACAGTATAGAGAAACAGTATTTTCCAGAGAAACATATATTGACAGAAACACTTTTTCACAAATATTGCTAACATGCTAGCAGTATTATTCATAATAGCCAAAAAGTGGAAACAACAATCCAATTTCTATTGACTAATGAATTGATAAACAAAATGTAGTATATCCATGCAATGGAGATCTGTTTTCATTCAATTGTTAATTTATTAATTTCTCCTTAATTTTTGAAGGATAGTTTTGCCATATACAGAATTCTTGGTTGGCAGGTTTTTTCCTTCAGTACTTTGACTATGTCATTGTACTGCCTTACTCCATGGTTTCTGATGAAGAATTAGCTGTTAATCTTATGAAGACTCCCTTGCAGATGATGAGTAGCTTCTCTGTTCCTGCTTTCAAGATTCTCTTTCTTTAGCTTTTGACAGTTTATGATGTGCCTAATTGTGCATCTCTACTGCTTGAATTTATCCTACCTGGGTTTATTCTACTTGAATTTCATCATGTTTATTGCATGCATAGATTAATTTTTTTATTAATTTTGGGAAGTATGGGGCATTATTTCTTCAAAATGTTTTTCTTTTTTCTTCTTCTAGGACATTTTGCTGTAATTCATTCATTTAAATTGCTGCATAGTATTCCCTTTCATGAGCTTACCATCATTTAATGGTATTTAATTGCTGAGGGACATTTGAGTTTTTTAAAACTTTTGGTTGTAATAACACTGCTCTAACATTCTTGTACATGCATCCTGCTACACGTGTATACACATTTCTGTTAGATACTTATCTAAGAATGAAATTTCTTTATTTCAGGGTATTCATGTCTTCAACTTTAATATATAATGCCAAACTCTTTCCCAAAATGTTTGTATTCAGAGGAAGATTTACAAAATTACCATGACATTAATGAATATAAAGCTTGCATGGCTTCTGTGAATAGTTAGAGTGCTGGCAGAATGCACTAGTGAGGGATGGGTCACCAAGTAGCAATTAGAAAGCATTTCTGGCCAATTGCCTAAAGAGATTTCAAGAGAAAGAACCTGAATCTCCAAGGCTTCTGTAATTATTTTGTGGTTAGTTTTCTCGTTTAGATATTCATTTTTGTATTAAATTTTATTCATAATTTACAGTTTTTAAAGATGGCTCTCAAAATTGTATGTTTCAGACTCCTCAAAACTTGGACTACTCCTGTTTATACCAGAGTGACTTCTAAATACATTTTTCCAATCCAGACATCTCCCTTGACATCAGGATCTTAAATACAACTTCTACTTGGGTCATTTGCATATTAAGAATCTCAAACCAAATGTAGCTAAAATATAATTCATTATTTTTCCTCTTAATCCTGTTTCAGTCACTCTCCAAACATGTTCCTCTCCCACCACTCACCATTTTGGTTAAGTGACACCATTGTTTACCCAGTTACTCTAGTCATTGTTGATTCCTCCTTATACCCTCTACATCTAATTCAATGACAAGTCATATCTGCTCCACTTATTATACAAAACATATCCTGAATGCATTTACTTCTTTCCAACTCCACTGCTATCACCATCATCCAAGCTGATGTAATTTCTTTTTTCTGAGATGCCGTCTTGCTCTTGTCACCCAGGCTGGAGTGCAATGGCGCGATCTCAGCTCACTGCAACCTCCTCCAGGGTTCAAGTGATTCTTCTTCAGCCTCCCAGCTAGCTGGGATTACAGGCGCCCACCACCATGCCCAGCTAACTTTTGTATTTTTAGTAGAGACAAGGTTTCACCATGTTGGCCAGGCTGGTCTCAAACTCCTGATCTCAAGTGACCCACCCGCCTCAGCCTCCCAAAGTGCTGGGATTACAGGCATGAGCACCGTGCCCGGTCAAGCTGCTGTAATTTCTTACTTGGAATGATTCAATAGTCTTCCATTTGATCTTCCAGTTTCCATTTTTCTCAAGTACAATTCATTCTCAACACAGCAACCAACATGATTTCTTTTTAGTTTTTTGTTTGTTTGTTTGTTTGTTTGTTTGTTTGTTTTTTAAGAGATGGGGGCTCACTGTGTCACCCAGGCTAGGGTACAGTGATGCAATTATTGCTCACTGCACCCTCAAACTCCTGAGCTCAATGTATCCTCCTGCCTCAGCCTCCCAAGTAGCTAGAACTGCAGGCATAGGCCACCATGCCCAGATAATTTTTTAAATTTTTTTCTGTAGCAGCAAGGCCTTGCCATGTTTCCCAGGTTTGTCTTGAACTCCTGGCCTCAAACAATCCGTCTGCCTCAGCTTTTCAAAGTGCTGGGAGTACAGGCATGAGCCATCACCACTGGCCCCAACATGATCTTTTAAAATATTAGATTACATCAGTCCCTTGCTTAAAAGCTTCCAGCAGTTTTCTTTTGCATTTAAAATACAATTATAATCCCTTTTCCTTCCCAGAAGGAAAATGATCTCAGATGGAAATGTGAAAATGCAAAAATCATGACAAACACCAGGAAGGTAAATATGTGACTAAATATAAATGAGTATTAACTGAACAAAACAATGAAAATAATATCAGGCTGGGTGTGGTGGCTCACGCCTGTAATCCCAGCACTTTGGGAGGCCGAGGCGGGTGGATAATGAGGTCAGGAGATCGAGACCATCCTGGCTAACATGGTGAAACCCCATCTCTACTAAAAATACAAAAAATTAGCCAGGCATGGTGGTGGGTGCCTGTAGTTTCAGCTACTTGGGAGGCTGAGGCAGGAGAATGGCATGAACCTGGGAGGCAGAGCTTGCAGTGAGCCGAGATCACACCACTGCACTCCAGCCTGGGTGACACAGCGAGACTCCATCTCAAAAAAAAAAAAAAAAGAAGAAAGTAATATCATATGGTATTTAAATTACATGTGCAACTAAAATGTGTAACAATAACAATGTAAAAGGTTAGAGGAGGGTAAAGTGAAATTTTACATTTCTAAGTTTATAGCTATTTTAGAAAAGTGAAGTCATAATTCATATTAGACTTTAAAAGTAGTTTCAGGGGTGGAGCCAAGATGGCCAAATAGGAACAGCTCCACTCTACAGCTACCAGCGTGAGCAATGCAGAAGATGGGTGATTTCTGCATTTCCAACTGAGGTACCGGGTTCATCTCACTGGCGAGTGCCGGACAGTGGGTGCAGCACACCATGTGTGAGCCGAAGCAGGGCGAGGCATTGCCTCACCCAGGAAGAGCAAGGGGTCAGGGAATTCCCTTTCCTAGTCAAAGAAAGGGGTGGGAGACATCACCTGGAAAATCGGGTCACTCCCACCCTAATACTGCGCTTTTCCAACGGGCTTAACAAATGGCCCACCAGGAGATTATATCCCGCACATGGCTCAGAGGGTCCTACGCCCACGAAGCCTCGCTCATTGCTAGCACAGCAGTCTGAGATCAAACTGCAAGGCGGCAGCAAGGCTGGGGGAGGGGTGCCCACCATTGCCGAGGCCTGAGTAGGTAAACTAAGCAGCTGGGAAGCTCGAACTGGGTGGAGCCCACCACAGCTCAAGGAGGCCTGCCTGCCTCTGTAGACTCCACCTCTGGGGCCAGGGAACAGACAAACAAAAGGCAGCAGTAACCTCTGCAGACTTAAATGTCCCTGTCTGACAGCTTTGAAGAGAGTAGTGGTTCTCCCAGCACGCAGCTTGAGATCTGAGAACGGGCAGACTGCCTCTTCAAGTGGGTCCCTGACCCCCGAGTAGCCTAACTGGGAGGCACCCCCAAGTAGAGGCGGACTGACACCTCACATGGCCGGGTACTCCTCTGAGACAAAACTTCCAGAGGAACGATCAGGCAGCAGCATTTGCGGTTCACAAATACCTGCTGTTCTGCAGCCACCACTGCTGATACCCAGGAAAACAGGGTCTGGAGTGGACCTCCAGCAAACTCCAACAGACCTGCAGCTGAGGGTCCTGACTGTTAGAAGGAAAACTAACAAACAGAAAAGACATCCACACCAAAAACCCATCTGTACGTCACCATCATCAAAGACCAAAGGTAGATAAAACAACAAAGATGGGGAAAAAACAGAGCAGAAAAACCGGAAACTCTAAAAATCAGAGCGCCTCTCCTCCTCCAAAGGAACGCAGCTCCTCACCAGCAATGGAACAAAGCTGGACGGAGAATGAATTTGATGAGTTAAGAGAAGAAGGCTTCAGAAGATCAAACTACTCCGAGCTAAAGGAGGAAGTTCGAACCAATGGCAAAGAAGTTAAAAACCTTGAAAAAAAATTAGATGAATGGCTAACTAGAATAAGCAATTCAGAGAAGTCCTTAAAGGACCTGATGGAGCTGAAAACCATGGCACGAGAACTATGTGATGAATGCACAAGCCTCAGTAGCCAATGTGACGAACTGGAAGAAAGGGTATCAGTGATGGAAGACAAAACGAATGAAATGAAGTGAGAAGAGAAGTTTAGAAAAAAAAGAATAAAAAGAAATGAACAAAGCCTCCAAGAAATATGGGACTATGTGAAAAGACCAAATCTACGTCTGATTGGTGTACCTGAAAGTGACGGGGAGAATGGAGCCAAGTTGGAAAACACTCTGCCCGTTATTATCCAGGAGAACTTCCCCAATCTAGCAAGGCAGACCAACATTCAAATTCAGGAAATACAGAGAACGCCACAAAGATACTCCTTGAGAAGAGCAACTCCAAGACACATAATTGTCAGATTCACCAAAGTTGAAATGAAGGAAAAAATGTTAAGCGTAGCCAGAGAGAAAGGTCGGGTTACCCACAAAAGGAAGCCCATCAGACTAACAGCTGATCTCTTGGCAGAAACTCTACAAGTCAGAAGAGAGTGGGGGCCAATATTCAACATTCTTAAAGAAAAGAAGTTTCAACCCAGAATTTCATATCCAGCCAAACTAAACTTCATAAGTGAAGGAGAAATAAAATACTTTACAGACAAGCAAATGCTGAGAGATTTTGTCACCACCAGGCCTGCCCTAAAAGAGCTCCTGAAGGAAGCACTAAACATGGAAAGGAACAACCAGTACCAGCCACTGCAAAAACATGCCAAATTGTAAAGACCATCAAGGCTAGGAAGAAATTGCATCAACTAACGAGCAAAATAACCAGCTAACATCATAATGACAGGATCAAATTCACACATACCAATATTAACCTTAAATGTAAATAGGCTAAATGCTCCAATTAAAAACACAGAGTGGCAAATTGGATAAAGAGTCAAGACCCATCAGTGTGCTGTATTCAGGAAACCCATTTCATGTGCAGAGACACACATAGGCTCAAAATAAAGGGATGGAGGAAGATCTACCAAGCAAATGGAAAACAAAAAAAGGCAGGGGTTGCAATCCTAGTCTCAGATAAAACAGACTTTAAACCAACAAAGATTAAAAGGGACAAAGAAGACCATTACATAATGGTAAAGGGATCAATTCAACAAGAAGAGCTAACTATCCTAAATATATATGCACCCAATACAGGAGCACCCAGATTCATAAAACAAGTCCTTAGTGACCTACGAAGAGACTTAGACTCCCACACAATAATAATGGGAGACTTTAACACCCCACCGTCAACATTAGACAGATCAACAAGACAGAAAGTTAACAAGGATATCCAGGAATTGAACTCAGCTCTGCACCAAGCGGACCTAATAGACATCTACAGAACTCTCCACCCCAAATCAACAGAATATACATTCTTTTCAGCACCACACCACATCTATTCCAAAATTGACCACATAGTTGGAAGTGAAGCACTCCTCAGCAAATGTAAAAGAACAGAAATTATAACAAACTGTCTCTCAGACCACAGTGCAATCAAACTAGAACTCAGGATTAAGAAACTCACTCAAAACCACTCAACTACATGGAAACTGAACAACCTGCTCCTGAATGACTACTGGGTACATAACGAAATGAAGGCAGAAATAAAGATGTTCTTTGAAACCGGCGAGAACAAAGACACAACATACCAGAATCTCTGGGACACATTCAAAGCAGTGTGTAGAGGGAAATTTATAGCACTAAATGCCCACAAGAGAAAGCAGGAAAGATCTAAAATTGACACCCTAACATCACAATTAAAAGAACTAGAGAAGCAAGAGCAAACACATTCAAAAGCTAGCAGAAGGCAAGAAATAACTAAGATCAGAGCAGAACCAAAGGAAATAGAGACACAAAAAACCCTTCAAAAAATCAATGAATCCAGGAGCTGTTTTTTGAAAAGATCAGCAAAACTGATAGACCGCTAGCAAGACTAATAAAGAAGAAAAGAGAGAAGAATCAAATAGACACAATAAAAAATGACAAAAGGGATATCACCACTGATCCCACAGAAATACAAACTACCATCAGAGAATACTATAAACACCTCTACGCAAATAAACTAGAAAATCTAGAAGAAATGGATAAATTCCTCGACACATACACCCTCCCAAGACTAAACCAGGAAGAATTTGAATCTCTGAATAGACCAATAACAGGCTCTGAAATTGAGGCAATAATTAATAGCTTACCAACCAAAAAAAGTCCAGGACCAGATGGATTCACAGCCCAATTCTACCAGAGGTACAAGGAGGAGCTGGTACCATTCCTTCCAAAACTATTCCAATCAATAAAAAAAGAGGGAATCCTCCCTAACTCATTTTATGAGGCCAGCTTCACCCTAATACCAAAGCCTGGCAGAGACACAACAAAAAAAGAGAATTTTAGACCATATCCCTGATGAACATTGATGCAAAAATCCTCAATAAAATACTGGCAAACCAAATCCAGCAGCACATCAAAAAGCTTATCCACCATGATCAAGTGGGCTTCATCCCTAGGATGCAAGGCTGGTTCAACATACGAAAATCAATAAACGTAATCCAACATATAAACAGAACCAAAGACAAAAACCACATGATTATCTCAATAGATGCAGAAAAGGCCTTTGACAAAATTCAACAACCCTTCATGCTAAAAACTCTCAATAAATTAGGTATTGATGGGACGTATCTCAAAATAATAAGAGCTATCTATGACAAACCCACAGCCAATATCATACTGAATGGACAAAAACTGGAAGCATTCCCTTTGAAAACTGGCACAAGACAGGGATGCCCTCTCTCACCACTCCTATTCAACATAGTGTTGGAAGTTCTGGCCAGGGCAATCAGGCAGGAGAAGGAAATAAAGGGTATTCAATTAGGAAAAGAGGAAGTCAAATTGTCCCTGTTTGCAGATGACAGGATTGTATATCTAGAAAACCCCATTGTCTCAGCCCAAAATCTCCTTAAGCTGATAAGCAACTTCAGCAAAGTCTCAGGATACAAAATCAATGTACAAAAATCACAAGCATTCTTATACACCAATAACAGACAAACAGAGAGCCAAATCATGAGTGAACTCCCATTCACAATTGCTTCAAAGAGAATAAAATACCTAGGAATCCAACTTACAAAGGATGTGAAGGACCTCTTCAAGGAGAACTACAAACCACTGCTCAATGAAATAAAAGAGGATACAAACAAATGGAAGAACATTCCATGCTCATGGTTAGGAAGAATCAATATCGTGAAAATGGCCATACTGCCCAAGGTAATTTATAGATTCAGTGCCATCCCCATCAAGCTACCAATGACTTTCTTCACAGAATTGGAAAAAACTACTTTAAAGTTCATATGGAACCAAAAGGGAGCCCGCATTGCCAAGTCAATCCTAAGCCAAAAGAACAAAGCTGGAGGCATCATGCTACCTGACTTCAAACTATACTGCCAGGCTACAGTAACCAAAACAGCATGGTACTGGTACCAAAACAGAGATATAGACCAATGGAACAGAACAGAGCCCTCAGAAATAATGCCGCATATCTACAACTATCTGATCTTTGACAAACCTGACAAAAACAAGCAATGAGGAAAGGATTCCCTATTTAATAAATGGTGCTGGGAAAACTGGCTAGCCATATGTAGAGAGCTGAAACTGGATCCCTTCCTTACACCTTATACAAAAATTAATTCAAGATGGATTAAAGACTTACATGTTAGACCTAAAACCATGAAAACCCTAGAAGAAAACCTAGGCAATACCATTCAGGGCATAGGCATGGGCAAGGACTTCATGTCTAAAACACCAAAAGCAATGGCAACAAAAGCCAAAATTGACAAATGGGATCTAATTAAACTAAAGAGCTTCTGCACAGCAAAAGAAACTACCATCAGAGTGAACAGGCAACCTACAGAATGGGAGAAAATTTTTGCAACCTACTCATCTGACAAAGGGCAAATATCCAGAATCTGCAATGAACTCAAACAAATTTACAAGAAAAAAACAAACAACCCCATCAAAAAGTGGGCAAAGGATGTGAACAGACACTTCTCAAAAGAAGACATTTATGCAGCCAAAAAAACACATGAAAAAATGCTCATCATCACTGGCCATCAGAGAAATGCAAATCAAAACCACAATGAGATACCATCTCACACCAGTTAGAATGGCGATCATTAAAAAGTCAGGAAACAACAGGTGCTGGAGAGGATGTGGAGAAATAGGAACACTTTTACACTGTTGGTGGGACTGTAAACTAGTTCAACCATTGTGGAAGTCAGTGTGGCAATTCCTCAGGGATCTAGAACTAGAAATACCATTTGACCCAGCCATCCCATTACTGGGTATATACCCAAAGGACTATAAATCATGCTGCTATAAAGACACATGCACACGTATGTTTATTGCAGCACTGTTCACAATAGCAAAGACTTGGAGCCAACCCAAGTGTCCAACAATGATAGACTGGATTAAGAAAATGTGGCACATATACACCATGGAATACTATGCAGCCATAAAAAATGATGAGTTCATGTCCTTTGTAGGGACATGGATGAAGCTGGAAACCATCATTCTCAGCAAACTATCACAAGGACAAAAAACCAAACACTGCATGTTCTCACTCATAAGTGGGAATTGAACAATGAGAACACATGGACACAGGAAGGGGAACATCACACACCAGGGACTGTTGTGGGGTGGGGGGTGGGGGTAGGGGGTAGGGATAGCATTAGGAGATATACCTAATGCTAAATGATGAGTTAATGGGTGCAGCACACCAACATGGCACATGTATACATATGTAACAAACCTGCACGTTGTGCACATGTACCCTAAAACTTAAAGTATAATAATAATAAAATTTTTTTAAAAAGACTTTAAAACTTCAAAAATACATATTATAATATTTAGGGTAACCATTGAAATATAACTATAAAATAATGCATAACAAGTTAATCAAAGGGGAAAATGGAATTTAAAATATTGAATTAGCTCAAAAGAAGTAAGAAAAGAAATATACAGAAGGACTAAATAGAAAACAGTAAGATTATAGATACAAATTCAACTATATCTATAATTACATTAAATGTAAATAGATTAGGTGTTCCAACTAAAAGACTAAATTGTAGACTGGATTTTATAAAAGAACTACAGTTTGTGTTTTGCACAATTACTATATGTACACGTTTCAGTTAGCACAGTTTAGTTAAATACACCAATACCACAACATCATGGCTTAGATTTCTGTTACCGTGGCATATTAACTGTAAGTGATTGCATAAAATACAAACTTTGCAGCTATCTCTCCAGTCTACAAATCAATACATAAATAACAGGCATATGATGATTACTGACAATCTACATCCTTCTTTCCAAGTCTACTAGTGACTGGCCAAAGCAGATCTGTTACTCAGTTCACATGCAGACAGCAAAGAATGTCGTTGCGTTGCCTCCTCGTCTCCCAGTGGTAAACCCAAGTGACGCTTTACAAAAATGGATAATTGAAACAGGTAATTTGGCCTCTAAGATAAAAGTTCGCTAAAGCAATGAAAAGTGATAATGCTGGAAGTGAAAATCAAATAGAATGTAAATGGGGTTATAGAAGAAATAGGTGAGCATGGAGTTCCCATTTACCTCCTCCCCCACATGCATGACCATGGGAACGTTGACACTGCCACCGTAAGAGAAACTATAGACAGCGAGAAGAACGCAGTGAAGGTGGCCTGATCAACATAAGCAAGGAAAGTAGTGTGACAAAAAGGATGAAAGTGACCTGAAGAAAGCAATGAAGGCAAAATATTTCACATTAAAGGGACTCTGGGAGACATTTTATGACATTGAAAGCACAAAGATGACATGTTGGAAGCTGATCAAACTTAGAAAGGAGTATGACAATTTGCCAAAGAACAGAAAAAAATGCTTGCTCTGTATGGTATGTTATACAAGAAGCCAAGCATGGTTCAAACTACGCTTGGCTTTGGTTTTTTTTAGAACAGCTTTAGGTTTACCAAAATATTGAGCAGATAGTACCAAGAGTTTCCGTTTATCCCCTTCCCCACATAGAGTTTTTTAAATTATTAACATCTTGCATGGGTGTGGTACATTTGTTACAATGGATGAACCAATATGAACACAGTATTATCAACCAACACTCATAGTTTACATTAGGCTTCACTCTTTATGTTGTACAGTTCTATGGGTTTTAACAAACGCATGATGTCTTGTATGATATGTATGATACCATTACAGTATCATGCAGAATTGTTCCACTGCCCTAAGATTTCTCTGTGCTCAGTCTCTTCATCCCTTCCTACTTCTACCTGAACTTCTGACAATCACTGGTCTCTTCACTGCCTCCATAGTTTTACCTCTTCCAGTATGTCATATAATCAGAATCAGAACCATATGCAGCCTGTTAGCCTAGTGCCCTTCAGTTAATGATATGTATTTAACAATCCTCCAAGTCTTTTTTTTTTTTTTCAGTCTCGCTGTGTCACAGGCTGGAGCGCGGTGGTGTGATCTCGGCTAACTGCAACCTCCGCCTCCCGTGTTCAAGCCGTTCTCCTGCCTCAGCCTCCCGAGTGGCTGAGATTACAAGCACGTGCCACCACACCTGGCTAATTTTTGTATTTTTAGTAGAGACAGGGTTTCACCATGTTGGCCAGGGTTGTCTTGATCTCCTGCCCTTGTGACCCACCCACCTCAGCCTCCCAAAGTGCTGGGATTACAGACCTGAGCCACCACACCCGGCCATTCCATGTCTTTTTATGGGCTGATAACTCTTTTTTCAATTTGACATTTTTTTTAAATATTGATACATATTAGATATACACATTTTCAGGGTGCATATGCTAACAGGATACACTCATCTAATTACATAGGAATATTCATCACCTTAAATATTTATCTTTTCTTTATGCTAGGAATATTTGAGTTAATCTCTTCTAGCTATTTTGTTGTTGTTGTTGTTTTTCTTTTTTTAAGATGGAATCTTGCTCTGTTGCCCATGCTGGAATGCAGTGGTACAGTCTTGGCTCACTACAATCTCCACCTCCTGGGTTCAAGAGATTCTCCTGCCTCAGCCTCTGAAGTAGCTGGGACCACAGGGGCCCACCACCACGCCCAGCTAATTTTTTTACTTTTAGTAGAGATGGGGTTTCGCCATGTTGGCCAGGCTGATCTTGAACTCTTGCCCTCAGGTGATGCGCCTGCCTTGGCCTCCCAAAGTGCTGGGATTACAGGCATAAGCCACCGCGACCAGCTTTCTTGTAGTTATTTTGAAATGTATTACCAATTAATGTTAACCCTACTATCAGTATAGCCACCCTACTGGTCTGTTGACTACCTGCTCTTTTTTTTTTTTTTTTTTTTTTTTTTTTTGAGACAGAGTTTCACTCTTGTCGCCCAGGCTGGAGTGCAGTGGTGCAATCTCGGCTCAGTGCAACCTCTGCCTGCCGGGTTCAAGCGATTCTCCTGCCTCAGCCTCCTGAGTAGCTGGGATTACAGGTGCACACCACCACACCTGGATAATTTTGTACTTTTAGTAGAGACAGGGTTTCACCATGTTGGCCAGGCTGGTCTCGAACTCCTGACCTCAGGTGATCTGCCTGCCTCGGCCTCCCAAATTGCTGGGATTATAGGCATGAGCCACCATGCCCAGCCGAATACCAGGTCTTATTTCTTCTAACTAAATGTATTTTCAGGGGAGGGTGAAGACAGGTTTAAAAAAAAAAAAGGTCAATTAATGAGAACAAAATAATTGAACACAAAATAATATTCTCACATAATTAAGAATATTATTTCTGAATAATATTCCATCCTATACACTTACTACAGTTTCTTTTTTTTTTTCAGGCTTAATTCACTTTATTTTTCTTGTATAAAAACCCTATGTTAACAATATGGAACGCTTCACAAATTTGCATGTCATCTTTGCGCAGGGGCCATGCTAATCTCTGTATCTTTCCAATTTTAGTGTATGTGCTGCTGAAGCGAGCACCTACAGCTTCTTTAACCATTCACCTATTAAGGAGCATCATGGTTGCTTCTAGTTTCTGGCAATTATGCTTTTAGTTTTTGGAGCTACCAACATTCATGTGCAGGTTTTTGTGTGGATGTAAGTTTTTCAGTTTATTTGGGTAAACATCCAGGAATATGATTGCTAGATTGTATGGTAATATTGTGATTAGTTTTATAAGAAACTGCCAAATTGTCTTCCACAGAGGCTGTACCATTCTGCACTCCCACCAGCAATGAATAAGAGTTTCTGTTGCTCCGCTTCCTTGCCAGCATTTGGTGGTGTTCATTTTTTAGATTTTACAGACATTCTAATAGATTGGTGGTGCTATCTCATGGTTTAAATTGCAATTCCATAATGACATTGGTTCTGAGCATCTTTTCATATGCTTCTTTGTCATATATATAGATATACATATGTCTATATCTTCATTAGGGAGGTTGTCTGTTCAAAGCTTTTTGCCTTTTTTTTTTTTTTTTTTTTTTTTGGAAACAGAGTCTTGCTCTGTCACCCAGGCTGGAGTGCAGTGGTGCGATCTCAGCTCACTGCAACCTCCACTTCCCGGGCTCAAGCAATACTCCTGCCTCAGCCTGCCAAGTAGCTGGGATTAAAGGTGCCCGCCACTGCATGCAGCTAATTTTTGTATTTTTAGTAGAGATGGGGTTTCACCATGTTGACCAGGCTGGTCTCGAACTCCTGACCTCAAGCGATCTGTCTGTCTCAGCCTCCCAAAGTGCTGGGATTAAAGGTGTGAGCCACTGCACCTGGCCGCCTATTTTTTAAATTGGGTTCTTCATTTTGTTATTATTCAGATTGAAGAGTTCTTTGTATGTTTTGGATAAAAGTCTTTATTAAGTGAATTTTGCTAATATTTTCTTCCAATCTGTGGCTTTTAATTTCCTTTTTTTCTTTTTAACCTTTTTTTTTTTTTTTCGACTGGGCGTTGCTCTGTTGCCCAGGCTGGTCTCAAACTCCTGGTCTCAAGTCATCCTCAGCCTCTCAGAGTGCTAGGACTGGCATGAGCCACTGTGCCCAGACTCTTTTCATGGTCTTGACAACGCCTCTTACAGAGTAGAACTTCTAAATTTTGATGAAGTACAACTTATCAGGCTTTTCTTTCATAGATAATGCTTTTGGTGTTGTATCTGAAAACTCATAGCCAAACCCAAAGTTACCTAGGTTTTCCTCTGTGTTATCTTCCAGAAGATTTATATCTTGGCATTTTACAGTCAGGTCTATGACTCATTTTGAGTTAATTTTTGTGAAAGGTGTAAGACCTGTGTCTAAATTTTTTTTTTTTTTGCATGTGGATGTCCAGTAGTTTCAGCACCATTCTTGAAAAGACTATCCTTTCTCATTTAATTGTCTTTGCTCCTTGTTAAAGACCTGTTGACTATACTTCTCTGCAGAGTTCATAGAAATAAAGTTAAAAAGAAAAACAAAAAGTCCGGGTGCGGTGGCTCACGCCTATAATCCCAGCACTTTCGGAGGCTGAGGCAGACAGATCACAAGGTCAAGAGATTGAGACCATCCTGGCCAACATGGTGAAACCCTGTCTCTACTAAAAATACAAAACTCAGCTGGGCGTGGTGGTGCGTGCCTGTAATCCCAGCTCCTCGGGAGTCTGAGGCAAGAGAATCACTTGAACCCAGGAGGTGGAGGTTGCAGTGAGCCAAGATCGCGCCACTGCACTCCAGCCTGGGTGACAGAGACTCCGTCACAAAAAAAAAAAAAAAAAAAAAAGATCCGTTGACTATTTGGGTGGGTCTATTTCTGGGCTCCGTTTCTTTTTTGAAAAAAAAAAAAACAATGTTAGACTGGGCGTGGTGGCTCATGCCTATAATCCCAGCACTTTGGGAGGCCGAGGCAGGTGGATCACCTGAAGTCAGGAGTTTGAGTCCAGCCTGACCAATATGGCGAAACCCCATCTCTACTAAAAATGCAAAAATTAGCCAGATGTGGTGGTGTGCGCCTGTAGTCCCAGCTACTCGGGAGGCTGAGACAGGAGAATTGCACCCAAGAGGCAGAGGTTGCAGGGAGCCAAGATCACGCCACTGCACTCCAGCCTGGGCGACAGAGCAAGAGTCCGTCTCACAAAAAAAAAAAAAAAAAAAAAAAATATTGAGGTAAAATATACATATAAGATTTACTGTCTTTACCAATTTTACATGTATAATTCAGCTGTAATAGTATATTTATATATTTTTCCCCTTCATTGCCCCGCTTTTCACCTCCTCTTCCCCACCTCTGGCAACCACCAGTCTAACTCCTTATGTCATGAGATCCACTTTTTTAGCTCCCACATATGAGTGAGAACATTGGGATATTTGTCTTTCTGTACTTGGCTTATTTCACTTAACATAACGGCCTCCAGTTCCATTCATGCTGCTGCAAATGACAAAATTTCATTGTTTTATGTTTGAATAATAGCTCATTGTGTATATATGCCACCTTTTCTTTATTCACCCATTGATGGGTACTTAAGTTTATTCCATATCTTGGCTATTGTGAATAGTGCTGCAATAAACATGGAAGTACAGATATGTATTAATTTTCTTTCTTTTGGGCATATACCCAGTAGTGGAATTACTGAATCATATGGAAGTTTTGTGTTTAGTTTTTTTGAAGAACCTCTATACTGTTCTCCATAATGGCTGCACTAATTTATATTCTCACAACAATGTTTGAGGCTTCCCCTTTCTCCCAGCATCTTTTTTTTTTTCTTTTTTTTCTTTTTTTTTTTTTTTTTTTTGAGACAGAATCTCACTCTGTCACCCAGGCTGGAGTACAGTGGCATGATCTCAGCTCACTACAACCTCCTCTGAACTCAAGCAATCCTCCCACCTCAGCTTCCTGAGTAGCTGAGACACAGGTGCATGCCACAAAGTCTGGCTAATTTTTGTATTTTTAGTAGAGATGGGGTTTCACCATATTGCTCAGGCTGGGCTCAAACTCCTGGCCTCAAGTGATCTGCCCACCTTGGCCTCCCAAAATGCTGGGATTACAGCCCTGAGCCACCACACCCAGCCACCAGCATCTTTTATTGCCTGTATTTTTTATACAAGCCATTTTACTGGAGTTAGCTGATATCTCATTGTGATTTTAAGTTGCATTTCTCTGATAATTAGTGATATTGAGCATTTTTTCATATACCTGTTGGCCACTTGTATGTCTTATTTTGAGAAATCTCTGTTTAGATCTTTTGCCCATTTTTTAATGAAATTGTTTTTGGTTTTTGCTATTGAGTTATTTGAGCTCTTCATATATTCTGCTTATTAATCCCTTTTCAGATGGATAGTTTGTAAATGTTTTATTTTGTTGATTGTCTATTCACTTTGTGGACTGTTTCCTTTGCTCTGCAGAAGCTTTTTAGCTTGAAGTAATCCTAATAGTCTATTTTTGCTTTGGTTGCCTGTGCTTTTGAGGTGTCACACAAGAAATCTTTGCTCAGGCCAATGTCTTGGAGTATTTCCCCAATGCTTTCTTCTAGTAGTTTCATAGTTTCACGTCTGGGATTCAAGTGTTTAATTCATTTTTGTTTGATTTTTGTGTATGATAAGAGGTAGGGGCCTAGTCTCATTCTTCTGCATATAGTTATCCAGTTTTCCCAGCACCATTCACTGAAAAGATTGTCCTTTCTACATTGTAATTTCTTGGCACCTTGGTTGAATATGAGTTGGCTGTAAATGCACGGATTCATATTTGGGTTCTCTATTCTGTTCCATTGGTCTATGTATCTGTTTTTATGCCAGTATCATACTGTTTTGATTACTATAGCTTTGTAATAAATTTTGAAGCCAGGTAGTGTGATGTCTCCAGCTTTGCTCTTTCTGTTCAGGATTTCTTTGGCTATTTGGTCTTTCGTAGTTTCATATACATTTTAGGATTGTTTTTCTATTTCTGTGAAGAATGTTATTCATGTTTTGAAAGAAATGGCATCGGATCTGTAAATTGCTTTAGGTACTATGGTCACTTTAAAAATATTAATTCTTCCAACCCATGAGCATGGAATGTTTTCCCATTTGTGTGTGTGTATGTGTGTCCTTTTCTATTTCTTTCATCAGTTTTACAGTTTTCCTTGTATAGATCTTTCACTACTTTTGTTAGATTGATTCTTAGGTATTTTATATTTTTTTGTAGCTGTTGTAAATAGGATTACTTTTTTGATTTTCCAGGTTGTTTGCTGTTGGCATATAGAAATGCTACTGATTTTTGTATGTAGGTTTTGTATTCTGCAACTTTACTGAATTCATTTATCAGTTCTAACATATTTTGGTGAAGATTTTAGGTTTTTCTAGGTATAAGATCATGTCGCCTGTGAACAAGGCTAATTTGATGTCTTCCTTTCCAATTTGGATGCCCTTTATTTATTTCTCTTGCCTAATTGCTCAGCCTTTAATTTTTCTCCATTTAGTACAATGTTTAGCCATGGGTTTGTCATAGATGGCCTTTTATTATTTTGAGGTATGCTCCTTTAATACCCATCATAAAGGGATGTTAAATTTTATCAAATGCTTTTTCAGCATCTATTAAAATAATCACATGGTTTTTATCCTTGATTCTGTTAATGAGATGTATCATGTTTATTGACTTGTGTATTGTATGGCAGATGCACCTGACAGCAGTAACTTAAGCATACCCTGAGAATGACCCTATGGTCTAAGAAGAATGTGTGCTCAGAGTTCCATGCTAAGGAATCCAGTAGTGGCTAATCTGGAGATTCACTTCTTATGAAGGACGTTGAACCCCTCTGCCCATTCCTTGAAACATAGGATGTGCAAGGAAACGAGGCCACTTTTCTTGGTTAAATGAAGTTTGCTAGGTTGGTGTTGCTACGTGAAAATGCCATATAAACTGCATGCTTTTTACAAACAGTAGCAGTGCTCCTGTCCACCCTGTCACCTCTGGACTGCCTTGTATGTAAGTCCTCTGTAAACCCTGTCTCGTTTACTGGCTCCAGGTCTCTTCTGGGCCTCTCAGACACAATGCCATCTCTTTTGGAGTCAGTAGGGGTCTGGCATGACACATATGTTGAACCATCTTTGCATCCCTGGGATGAATCCCACTTGACCATGGCGAATGATCTTTTTAATGTGTTGTTGTATTTTGTAATATTTTGTTGAGGATTTTTGCATCTATGTCCATAAGGGATAATGGCCTGCAGTTTTCTTTTTTTTATTGTGTCCTTGTCTGGTTTGGGTATCAGGGTGATATTGTTTGGCTCTGTGACCCCACCCAAATCTCACCTTGAGTTGTAATAATCCCCATGTGTCAAGGGCAGAACCAGGTGGAGATAATTGAGTCATGGGGGCAGTTTCTGCCATGCTGTTCTCATGATAGTGAGTTCTCATGAGAGCTGATGATTTTATAAGGGGCTTCCCCCTTTGCTCGGCATTCATTATCTCTCCTGCCACCCTGTGAAGGGGTGCCTTCTGCCATGATTGCAAGTTTCCCGAGGCCTCCCCAGCCATGTGGAACTGTGAGTCAATTAAACCTCTTTTCTTTATAAATTACCCGGTCTTGGGTATTTCTTCATAGCAGCGTGAGAATGAACTAATACACAAGGTAATGCTAGCCTGATAGAATTTGTTTGGAAGTATTCCCTCCTTTTCAATTTTTGGAGGAGTTTAATTGGTATTAATACTTCTTTTGAACGTTTGGTAGAATCCACCAGTGAAGCAATCAGGTCCTTGGGCTTTTCTTTGATTGGAGACTTTATTGGGGTTTCAATCTCATTACTTGTTACTGGTCTGTTCAGGTTTTCTACTTCTTCGTGGCTCAATCTCGGTAGGGTGTATGTGTCCAGGAATTTACCCATTTCTTCTAGGTTTTCCAATTTATTGGCATATCATTATTCATAATATTCTCCAATGATCCTTTGCATTTATGTGGTATCAGATGTTATGTTACCTTTCTCATTTCTGATATTATTTGGGTCTTCTCTTTTTTTAGTCTAGCTAAAAGTCAGTCAATTTTATCTTTTCAAAAAAACAACTTTTCATTTTATTCAACTTTGTTTCTTTCCTAGTCCCAATTTCATTTATTTCTGTGCTGATCTTTATTACTTCCTTCCTTCTACAAATTTTGAGTTTGGTTTGTCTTTTCTTTGGGAAATTTAGTCCATTTGCATTCCATGTTATTATTGATAAGAACTTACTATTGCCATTTTGTTCTTTGTTTTCTGGTTGTTTTATAACTAACTCCTCTCTTCCTTTCTTCCTTTCTTTGTGGTTAATTTTATCTCTGGTAAAATTTTTTTTTGTTTTTTCTTTTTATTTTTGAGACGGAGTTTCACTCTTGTTGCCCAGGCTAGAGTGCAGTGGTGTGATCTCAGCTCATTGCAACCTCTGCCTTCCGGTTTCAAGTGATTCTCCTCAGCCTCCCGAGTAGCTGGGACTACAGCTGCGTGCCACCACACCCAGCTAATTTTTGTATTTTTAGTAGAGACGGGGTTTCACCATGTTGGCCAGGCTGGTCTCAAACTCCTGAACTCGTGATCCACCCACCTCGGCCTCCCAAAGTGCTGGGATTATAGGCATGAGCCATTGCACCTGGCCATATGGTTTATTGCTAAATTAAAATAAAAATGAATAAACAAAAATTAAAAATGTTTTATTTTTTTCTATGAAGATCTTCTATTAACACTTCTGGTAAGGCCAATCTACTAGCACCAAATCCCTTCAATATTTGTTTCTCTTAGAAAATCTTTACTTCTCCTTTATTTTTGAAGGATAATTTCACTAGATACAGAATTCTTATTTGGTACTTTTCTTCTTTCAACCTTTTAATCATTTCCTTTTACTCTTCTTGTTTGCACAGTTTCTGGAGAAGTTCAATATAATGCTTATCCTTGCTCCTCTATCAACAAGGCCCCTCCCCAACACCCCAACCCCACCTGGAGTTCTTTCACAATTTTTTCTGTCTTTGATTTTCTGTACTTTGAATATGAGATGGTAATGTTTTGATTTTTAGTATTTATCCCGGCTGATATTCTCTAAGCTTCCTGGATCTGTGGTTTTGTGTCTATCATTATCTTTGGGATATTCAGTCACTCTTGCTTCAAATGTTTCTTCTATTGCTTTTTAAAAAAATAAAAAATAAAAAAAAATCTGGCTGGGCGTGGTGGCTCACGCCTGTAATCCCAGCACTTTGGGAGGCTGAGGCAGGCAGATCACCTGAGGTCAGGAATTTGAGACCAGCCTGGCCAACATGGTGAAACTCCGTCTCTACTAAAAATACAAAAATTAGCTGGGCATGGTGGTGGGCGCCTGTAATCTCAGCTACTCAGGAGGCCAAGGCAGCAGAATCGCTTAACCTGGGAGGTGGAGGTTGCAGTGAGTGGAGAGCGCACCATTACACTCCAGCCTGGGTGACAAGAATGAAACTTCATCTCCAAAAATAAATAAATAAAATATTTAAAAAGTCTTCTGGTATTCCCATTTGTAGCATTTTTTATTTCAAGAATCTTTTGATTCTTAGAGCTTCCATCTCTCTGCTTATATTACCCATCTTTTTTTTTTTTTTCTTTTTTCTTTTTGAGACGGTCTTGCTCTGTTGCTCAGGCTGGAACACAGCAGCACAATCAAAGCTCACTGCAGCCTCGAACTCCTGGGCTTAAGTGATCCTCCTGCCTCAGCCCCTGAGTAGTTAGGACTAGAGGCACATGCCACAATTCATGGCTTTTTTTTTTCATAGAGACAGGGTCTTTCTGTGTTGTTTAAGCTGGTCTTGAACTCCTGGCCTCAAGCAATCCCCCTACTTGGGCCTCCTAAAGTGCTGGAATTATCTGAATTGTCCACTTTTTTCATCAGAGCTCATAGCATATTAATTGTTGCTGTTTTAAATTCCTTTGATAATTCCAAAATCTCTTGTCATGCTTGCTGGTTCTGGTTTCCCTATTGGGGTAACCTCACCTATAACAGTATTTCCCTGCCTGTCAGTGTCATACTCTTAATATTAATGTTTTGTGGAAAGAAAGAACACAGATGGGAAGGAAGACAATACTTTCAAATATATGAAAAATAATGAATATATTATCTTGGAAATCTGCCTTTCAGAAAGCTCCTCTAACTGTAAATGCAGAGCCCTAGCATGAAGTGGTACCTGCAGCCTGAATGCATCGCATCTGAGTTATGGGCAAAGGCAGCACTGCCTGATGGCCTCCTTCCCATGTCATCTCCTCACCGATGATCTGTTACAGGTCTGGTCTTCCATTTTCAAATAAGGTCTATCATTTTTTTGTCCTTAATAAGATAAAAATGAATTTATCGAGTTTTATTATAAGGGAAAAACTATTTGCCAAATGATTATTCTTCAATAAATAATTTATCTGAGAAATTATTCTTGGTGTTCTATTTTAATCTGTATACTCATTATTATCTTATAAATGCCTATGCACCCTTTAAATGTTTTGGGTTTTTTGTTGTTGTTTTTAAGAGACAGGGTCTCACTCTGTCACTCAGGCTTAAGTGCAGTGGTGTAATCTCGGCTCACTGCAGCCTTGACTTCCCGGGCTCAAGCGATCCTCCCACTTCAGCCCCCCAAGTAGCTGGGACTACAGGTGTGTGCCACCATGCCTGGCTAACTTTTGTATTTTTTGTAGAGACAGAGTTTTGCCATGTTGCCCAGGCTGGTCTCGAACTCCTGAGCTCAGGTATTCCACCCACTTCAGCCTCCCAAAGTGCTGGGATTACAGGCATGAGCCCCTGCGCCTGGCCTTGAATGTTTTCATTGTCAATACATTTGGGAATGTTGTGCCAGAAGACTATCAAATAATTTTAACCTCTGTGAACAATGAAAAACTATCAATGATGAAAAATATAAAGCAAATTTTCTAAAATGTCTTTATTTTTAAAACCTATAGTTTCAATTTAGTAAAAAATATTGCCATGAAATTTCTAACTATACAGCAACAGAAACAAAAAAATACAGTTAATTAGAGGTTACTCAAAATAAATTCACAATTTTAAAGTTGGAATATATATGCTTTTTTCAAATAAACAAAAGATATTTTTTCAGATGTTTTTCCTCTTAAACATCAGATATACATAATCTTTTGAACTGGAGCTAGATGACCTCTCAATAACTTCAGAAATAAGTGCTTATATTAACATGGAAAATAAAATAACCCCCAAACCATACAATTAATGATTTACTCATAAAACTAAAACCCAAATAGATCATTGCTTTAAAATATCTACCTCTTGAAAATGAAATCTACATCTGAGTTGTGAAGAGGAATAAGCTTTTTATAGAAAAAGCTGAATCTTCCAGACTGGTTAAGTTACTTCCTATCAAATTTATCCTATTCAGACTATTTTCATATGTCTTAATCCTGAAAGAATGTGAGGTGTTAAAATATGAAATGCTTCTTTGGCCCTTTAGATAGAGGTACCTTAACTGTAAACAACTGCAATGAGAGCCTTCTAGATGTGGACACTTATGCTGAATTGAAGATGTACATCCTTGTTTCTTAAAGGCATGGTAATTTCCTTTTTAACAATAACAGGTTTTTTAATGTATTGAGATTTGTTTTTAAATGCTTTAAAAATCAAAATTCATGTATACTACTATAAAAGAATAATTCTCCAAAGATCAAAGAAAAGCATTATATGATATTACACCATAGGTTTTATTAACGATAAATGTTTGCATTACTTTTAAAAGCTTAGCTCTTACTAAGCATTCTTTAACAAAAGCTAATAAGCAAGAAATCATTTGCCATACGGAAACTATATTCACAAACAAGACTTTAATCCAATATTGAAAGCTAAAGAATTAGAAAAAATACAAAACACTGCTATGAGTCAATTGAACTGCTATCATTGAATTTGCTGCATTTAGAATGACATAAACATACTGAACATAAAAACAATTTTATGGATTTATTCTATAAGACTAGCATTAAGAATGACATACAATTTGTGATTTCCTTTAAAAATAATTTTTTACAACAGAATCCATTTGAACAAAGGGTCTTTTTTTTTTCCCCTCATTTGAGGGGAAGACAATCTATGTTTCCCAAACAGATCCTCCTTTCATACTAAAATAGCAAACTGTGGCCTCGATCTCCTCTTCCCAGATGCTACTTATAGATGACTTTGCATAATAACTTAATTAGAATTACTTTTCTGGTAACAGTGTCACGGCCATAAATAATCAGTTTTTAAAAAACAAACATCAAGTGCAAATCTAGAAAACTTCCTTTAAAGAATTACCCAAACCCAGCACACATGCAGAATCATTATTAACAAGCTAAGCAATATGACTTTAAAACGTGTATATAATGATACACGTGCACTAAAGACCATCTTTTATAAAGTTTTAATAGTGTTGCCAAGTTAATAATTCTTTCAAGGCACTGGAGAATTACACAGATGGAGTTTCCAAAATATAACTGACAATTGCTTGAACTGTTAAAAAGCCCTGAGTCAGAACTTTCAATAACTTCCTGAAATTATAGATTGCAGACAAAATGGCACGTTTATTTTACTTTAAAAATTACAGGACCATTTTGCTTTTTGGAGGAAATAAGCTGGGTTTATGAAACAAATCATGCAGACTATACAGGAAAAGTAAAATATTCAGCATATGACCTTTCTTAGACATTTTGTACATGTCGATCACAACTTGTAGTTACAGATTTAGGCACCAAATTAATGTGACAAGTCACTTCTCCTGTACCTACTGCTTAAATTCTCAATGAAACAAAAATGTCAATTTTAACCTCAGGTTCCCATTTCCTCTTTACTCACAAATAAGAATAAATGCTGGAAAAAGTAATACTCTGACAGAAAAGGAGGTAGAAAATGCCAATGTAGCAATTTACAATTTTAATTCATCGGCTCTACTGTCTAGTTTACGTTTTTATACCAGAGTTTCACATACTACTAACCAGTAAATTGAGGCTCAATCTAAAGGATATTCCCCCTCACTGTAGTAAAGCAATGTACACGAGACAGCATTAAAGTTTCCTCAAATTTAATGTTTTAAAGAAGTACAACTATCATTATTAATACTGCTATAGTTATATATATGTTAAATTTCCTAGGCTATATATGACTATCAAGTAATATCAGTAAGCATTCCTATCATAATATTCAAGCAAATGAAGTAACGTTGCCTTTTTGAGGGAAAACATATTTTGAAACTTTTACAAGCAGACATAAAGACAGTTGACACTTCCAACAAGGCACACATAATTTATGAAAATCTATTATGTTCCCAATTGTACAAACTCAAAGCTAATCTAATTCTGATATTTAAAATGTGCCTCTCCCCTCTGGCTCAAAATGAAATAACAAACCCTTCCAATGAATAGACATTTAAAACCTACTCAATTTAATTGCTAACAATTCAGAGGAGAGGTGCACTGTCCCTCCCAAAAATTTTAAGAACTTAATGTTTACCATGACCTTAGATCTTGCAAACACAAACAACTAAAGAATTTAGGTGTTTCTTGATTTATATGGAGTCAAAATTCTATTCCACTGAGGAGAAAACAAAAAGGGGAGTTGTTTAATGGGTATGGAGTTTCAGTTTTGCAAGATGAAAAAGTTCTGGAGATCTGCTTCACAACAGTGTAAATGTACTTCACATGGCTGAACTGTATTCTTTAGAAACAGTTAATATGGTAAATTTTATGTTATGAGTTTTTCATCACAAAAAATACAAAAAACTATTCAAAAATTCAATTTTTTACACAAATTATTACTATAAAACATGGTAGACATTCTGATAGGATAAGTGCTTTTCCTTTTGGATTAAAAAAAGCAACCTGTATTAAAGCCTATAATTTGATGACATCTGTATGATCCTCTTTTTTTCTCTACACTCAAATGCTGACTTTCCTTTCCTATCTGTTGTAACCCCACTGTCCTGATCCTACTCTACCCCATCTCTAATTCTCTTAGTTCATGAATTTAACTAATTCTTAGTCCAAAAAGGGTCCAGAATTCAGAGTGGACAAACAGCAATTGGGCAACACATAGACAGTATGTTTCTACTATGTAAAAATGACCCAGCAAGTTTTGATATTTGAACCAGACACATCTTAAGCAGCATGCATTTCAATATGCTAAAATGCTCTTACAGGCTAACACCATAAAAATATAAATTTTAGAAATGTATTTCCAACATTAATTATCAATTAATTTTATGCTTCCATAGCTAGCTGGTCAATTTGCAATGTTTAAAGTTACAAATATCTTATGCATAATTTGACCAACTAAACATTTGTCTAATATATTCCTACACTAATACAAAATTATCTTTTCTTGAAAACCTTCTTGCTCCCAACAAAATTAAATATGTATATAGTATAAGCAGTAAGAACGTTAAATTACGTGAACAAATACCATTAGAACAGCACCATCTGGTATGTTGTATGTGTATGTTTTGAGTAACAACGCTAACAATCTTAGAAGAATAAAGGAGAAAATGGTAGGGTGAGGGATACAGAGAGGAAATCCAAACACTACTCAATGACAACTCTTCTGAAACGTTAGGAAATGTTATCAGGACCTTTGGATCTCTTCCTTTTAACTACAGATTCCTTAAAATACACAACTGCTGCACAATAAATTCTGAGTGTGCTAAGATGCCATTTTTCCACTGTTGTGTATCTAATCCCTAAAGCCCAATAAATACTTTTTTGAATGAATGCGTGTCAGTTTTTTTCTTTTTTATAAATGTTTCTAAGAAAAGTAAAAGCTCTTTTGAGGCACAAGATAAAGAGGTTTAGCTAATGAGCAGGGTAACGAACCTAACTGGAAAAGTACTGCTAAGGGACATATAATAAGAGGTAGCAGATTCAGAGAGTTGGAGGAAAGTCACTGAAATGATGAAGTTCTTAATCTTATTATCTCTCACAAACCCAAAATAAATTTAAAATAATTCTAAGTGATTGAAAACATGAATAAAGAAGTATTTTCTATTCATGGAACAAATTTCAAGGTGATACAAATACAGAAAACCCACAAGTACTAGCACTAAAATTATAATGACATTATTTCTATAATAAAAATTTATGTCATATTCTTATAAAGGAAATAATTAAACTAGTCTGGAAGATGCTATTACCTTTTAGGGATCTGTTTTAGCACTGCAGCTCAGAAAACAGAAAGGATTTGTTTAAGGAAAGTAGAGCTGGAGACCACACAATTCTCTGATTGGCCAAACTCTGCATGAGTCAGCCAGGTGCTCCCTCCTCACCAGGTGATCTAGTGGGAAGAGATGGGTAGCCCATGGCATGGAAGGAAAGGAAAAACCTGACATGCTGTTTTCATGTCTGCAACATGATAGTCTGTCTGTCTCTTTATGTGAACATCATCAGTCAGATGTTCTACCTTTTTATAACTTCAAAATAGTTTTAAAAACAGCGTCGGTGGCCCCTTATTAGATAACTGAGTGTACATGAATTTTCAAATTTGAAATCTATAAAAATTTTACTGTTCTAAATGATAGCAGTTACTCAGCTAAACACAGACATGGAATTGTTGAGACTACAAAACCAGCCAGCAAAGCTCCCCATTGCTTTCACCAGGACTTGCAAAGGCAGCAAGGATTAAACAGCCAGAAACAGTGTAAGAGGGCTAGAGACTTCATACTTTCAAATTTAGTTGGTGTTCTATAAAAACTGAAGTAAGAAAAGCTAGCCAGATTTAAAGGAGGGAAAAAAACTACAAAAGAGGATAACTATTTTTAGGAAAAAGCTTATCAACAGCATATAGTAGACACTATGTAAACACCTGATATAATCTAGCAGCAATGAATCCCCAAACATTTATGTGTATATTTACTCAGGAGACAATAAGATTACAAAGGAGATAAAAGGAGAAAAAAAATGATTAAATGCTCCAAAAATTTTGTTTGTTTTTAAAGTCTACAGGTAAGCAGACATTTCTATACATGTCCTGGTCACTCTTTCTAAAGTATTTATAATTAGGTTATTGACCATGTCTTGGATATTGTTGGCAGTTTAAATAATACCCTCATCCGTAGGTATACACAGAAAGACTGTTTTCTTTATAACAAAAAATACTATAAAGAAAGAGATAATGGAAATAAGGCCTATAATGAAGACAGAATCACTAACACTGTCAGAATTAACTGATACAGAGAAGAAAAGATTTTTTCTTGGAAAAGGCATTAATTTTGCAGATCACTGGGATACTATGTACATCTGCAAAGCTAAATAGAACCTCAGAGGTCCAAATAGGGCAATGTCATTTCACTGGTCAGATCAAGCCCAGATAAGTAATCACAGAAAACCGGAAGTACACTTTTCATAGATTTTTTTTAAAAACACTGGCTGAACAAAATAGTGTATAAATTAATGTAAGAAAGGCAACTGTTAGTGGCCAGTTAATAGATACTCGTTTTTTTTTTCTCTTCAGTTGCCCACTATTATTGCTTATTTTTCCTTTTCTTGTCTATCAGTCACCTTGAAACTGGTAATCTGATTCAAGTTAAACAATGTTCCTTTTGAATCTAGAAAACAAGAGAAATGCAAAGTCATTATTCCCTCATTCTATGCTTCCATTTACTCTAAGAATTCAGAAACAAACATGTGGGTAACTTCCTGTTATCTTAAAAAAAGAATCATCCCTTCGGTATTCCCTTAACTATCTGGAACTTGTACTGTCATTTTATAATTTACCATGTGACATAATTGTTTGACCTGCCTCTTTTATTTGATGCATGACTTCTCAGAGAACCTGTTATCAACTCACTGTGTAAAACCACGATGAAATGAAGGATAACTGATCACAAAGAATTATGTCTTTTGAGATCCAACAAATTTACAAATTATAAGAGAAAAATGCAATTTTTTAAAAAAGGATATCCTTAAAGGACTTTCCTCTTAGAAGCCAAAGGTAAATTATCCTATGAGTTACATGAATTTGATGTTTCAAATTTAAAACAAAAACAAAAAACACAATTTCCAACACCATTTTGTAGGGTTTTTTGTTCTGGTACATTTACAGCCCAATTATACTCTAGTAAAGAAACTATGATATTAGAAATTAACTCATCAGAACTTCCAACTAGATCAAAAGCCTATTAAGATCTCATGACTAGATACATTAGCTAACAAAATACACCATGTGTCTTAGTTAATACAAAAGAATCCTTCGTTCAATAGCCTTGCGACAGATAGGACATTCACTCATGCGGTCTCCACAGAGTTGACAGGTTCCGTGACCACAAAGGAAAATCATATTCTTCAGACGATCTAGACACACAGGGCACATTGTCTGTAATGTGAGATAACAAAGTAATAAATTAGACACTTTATATTTGGAAAGTGACAGACTGTTATATATCATTAATTTTCTTTAGTTGTTTTAGTCAAATAATATTTTGGTGGTTTTTAAAAACAATTTTTTAACATTTTTAAATAGTTAAAATGTCATCCCTATAAAATAAAATAGAAACACTGGTTGTACTATCAGGATAGTATGAAAGGTACTACATAAGATTAAAAACTATTAATATATAAAACACAGCCAGACACCCTGGCTCACACCTGTAATCCCAGCTACTCAAGAGGCTGAGGCGCGAGAATCACTTGAACGCGGGCAGCAGAGATTGCAGTAAGCCAAGATCGCGCCGCTGTGATAGAGGCAGGAGGCAGAGAAATTCTAGGCAGACAAGGGTGGGTCCCCAGTGAAACCCAACCTTTGAGCTGAAAAGCCTGAAACCCACAGGCCAAAGTGAGAACTTCTATTCCTGCTTGCCCACTCTCTCCCAATTGGTTCTTTCTTTCTTTTTTTTTGAGATGGAGTCTCACTCTGTCGCCAGGCTGGAGTGCAGTGGCGCAATCTCGGCTCACTGCAACCTCCGCCTCCTGGATTCAAGTGATTCTACTGCCTCAGCCTCCTGAGTAGCTGGGACTACAGGTGCGCACCACCACACCCAGCTAATTTTTTTGTATTTTTAGTAGAGATGGGGTTTCACCATGTTGGTCAGGATGGTCTTGATCTTCTGACCTCGTGATCTGCCCACCTCAGCCTCCCAAAGTGCTGGGATTACAGGCATGAGCCACCACGCCCAGCCCAACTGGTTCTTTCTAAATAATGTCTTTTTACCAATCGATTGTTGCCTTTTCCAAAACTACCCACAGCCCACCCTGCCCACTCCTCCCATGTTGTGCCTTTAAAGACTCCAGACCCAGGTAGTAGAGGGGAGAGAGGCAACTTGACTTCAAAGGGATGACTGGACTTCGGAGGAGAGATGGCTTAACTTCAGGGAAGAGATGGCCGGACTTCAGGGGAAGATTACCTACCCGTCCCACCCCCACTCCAGTTCCCCTCTCTGCTGAGAGCCATTTCCATCACTTAATAAAACTCTCTGCCTTCACCATCCTTCAAGTGTCCAGGTGACCTCATTCTTCTTGAACACTGGACAAGAGCTCGGGACACACCGAGTGTGGGTACCCAAAATAAGGCTGTTACACTGGCCCTTTGCCCTCACTGGCGGAGGGCAGCTACCCCACACTATGAGGCAAGGGGCCAACTGAGCTGATAACACACCGCTGTCCGTGGACGGCAGAACTAAGAGAGCACTCTAACATGCCCTCAGGGGCTTTGGAGTCGCAGGCACCCCCACCTGGGTGCCGCTGCATGGATCCTGCAATTGCTCGTTCATGTGCTCCCTCCCGCAAACAGTTGAGCACAGTGGCCAAGTAAGCAGCGCACCTCTGTCGCAAGTATGACAAAGGGGTTGAGAAAAATCCTGCATCAACTGCTCTCCAGCCTGGGCGACAGAGCAAGGACTCTGTCTCAAAACAAACAAACAAAAAAACCTATATAAACCAAAACGTAATAGGAAATGGATGAAAATAGCTCCATTCAGTCTAACTGAAATTCCCTGAATCTAGGTACTCAGCTGCTCTTGCATAAAAAGAAGGCAATGTATCATGCAATACATGGTGCAGGGTGGGGAGCAGTGCTGAGAAGTAGCTGAGAACACTTGTCAGGCACTATGCTTAGATAGGATACAATCTCAGTCCTGGTATCATTCCCACTTGGAAAATGAGGAAAACGAGGCTCAGCGGGATTGAAAACCTTCCTCAAAGCAAGCCCTAGAGTGAACCAACTCAGGGCCCCAAAGTTCTTGCTCTTAGACACTGTGCTGCACTGTATTACTATCAATGTAGATTCCCCTGAATTAAAACAAATTAGCCTTAGTTACATATTAATAAATGTAAATTTCATGAACTTGAAAGAATGTAAAAGTATGTCAGGTATATGTCTGAAATACTATTTATTCACAAAACACATTTTACATTTATAAAATCATATTTGCCTTAATGTATAATACTTCTGATTTATAGCTTTCCCAAATAACATGGAAATGAAATAATTAAAAAGAAATGTCTTCATTAAAAAACTAGGCCTAAAGCCTATATGACATGTTGTTACCAACTGTTACCAACTTTGAGAATACCAGAGATCATTGTAAAAGGAATTGTAGCCTAAATTGGTAGCCCCACTCCTCCAAAGCAAACTGTCACATTTTTGTCTTAAAGTTTTGAGAAGCAAAGCTATAGAAAATCCCATCTTTTTAGATTTTTAAAAAGCCGGCCAGGCGCGGTAGCTCACGCCTGTAATCCCAACACTTTGGGAGGCCGAGGTAAGAGGATCACTTGAGCCCACGAATTCAAGACCAACCTGGGCAACACAGACATCATCTCTACAAAAAATAATAAATTAGCCAGGTGTGGCAGCACATGCCTGTAGTCCCAGCAACTTGGGAGGCTGAGGTGGGAGAACTGCTTGAACCCAGGAGTTTCAGTATGCAGTGAGCCATGATTGTGCCACTGCACTCAAGCCTGGGTGACAGAGTAAGATCCTGTCTCAAAAAAAAAAGAAAAGCAAAATAGATTGATAATGTTATTAATAATTTCATGTCTATTAAATTTTCAAGAGGTCTTTGTAATATTGAATAACTCTTATTTCCAAAAGTAGACACATCTGTGCAGCCTGTGTTTACTTTGAGATTAGTATATCCTTAATACCAAGTTAAATTAAATTTTATCTGTTAAAGACACATTGGGGTAATAGACTGGAGATTTAAATGAGCAGAGTTATTCGAATGTTTTCTGGTTGTTGTTTGTTTTTTTTTTTTAATAACCTTGAAGGGAGTCCCTATAAGAAATCCCATCATTCCTCATAAGATGAGTTTTGATAAAACTGTTTAAATACTTCAGTGATAAAATATGGCGATGAGGATTATTTAAGAAAGTATAAACTTGGGTAGAATGCTAAACTTTGGATATAGTAGAGCAGAATTATTCTTTTAGGATCCATATAGGGTTCAATAAATGTCACTATTCATGTTAAGAACAATTTTAATTCATAATTAGAATATAAAATGCTTTTTATAGAAGATGTGTTCAAAACTCAGCTTATTCTGTAGATGTCTTATGGGAAAGGAATCAAGATGCTAGGAGCTTCAAATGTTTAAAAATGTTTTTATTTTATATTAGATGTATTATATTAGATGTATTAGATATATTAAATGTTTTATTTTATATTAGAACTAGCCAAATATGTCCCAAATTACATTAAGAACCATTAAATTCATATTGATCTTCACTTATTCATTCTATAAAAAGTATTGCTAGATGCTGGATTTCAAAAGAAAAACTGGCCTAATCAGAGTTTTCATCTCTTCAGATGGGGGTTTAAATGCCTAATAAATTCATACATTCAATTCTTTCCCTCCACCCCCTACAAAGAGATGGTTTCTCACTCTGCCGTCTGGGATGGAGTGTAGTGGCGCTGTCATAGCTCATTTCAGCCTCAAACTCTTGGGCCCCAGTCATCCTCCTGCCTCAGTTCCCCAAGTAGGTAGGACTCCAGGCATGTGTCATAACAGTCTGCTGATTTATTTTAAAAATTTTTGTAGAGACAGGGTCTTGTTACGTTGCTCAGGCTGATCTCAAACTCCTGGGCTCAAGCAATTCTCCCAGCTCAGCATGCTGAGCAGCTGGGATTACAGGTACACATCACTCACTGCAACTGACCAATTCTTAATTAGTTATCACAAGGGTCATTAGTTATCCTGGGCCGCTAACTACTGACTATGTTATTTTCTTATAAATTCAGATAGAAAACACAGGAGTGATGATTCTAACAACTGCATGGCAATACTGACGTGATTGGCCAAACTAAAGAACTGCTCAAGCCTGTGAATCAGATTTAGTAACTTGGTCAAATGGTAAGGTATGGCCAGAAAGAAAAAATACTTGCTATCTTACTTAACATAACAAACCTACAAGTTTTTGCTAATTTTTTTATCTTATTGTTGCTTTTATTAAATATTAGGTAGAAATAAAAGAGCATATTTGTTGATATATATAAGACGTAAAGAACAGCCAGGCACAGTGACTCACGCCTGTAATCTCAGCACTCTGGGAGGCCAAGGTGTGTAGATCCCTTGAGGCCAGAAGTTCAAGACCAGCCTGGAAAACACGGCAAATCCCTATCGCTACTAAAAATATAAAAATTCGCTGAGGGTGGTGGTGTGCACCTGTAGTCCCAGCTACTTGGGAAGCTGAGGCATGAGAATCACTTGAATCTGGGAGGCAGAGGTTTCAGTGAGCCAAGATTGCGCCACTGCACTCCAGCCTGGGTGAGAGTGAGACTCTAAAAAAAAAAAAAAAAAAAAAAAAAAAGACATAAAGAACAACATAACCAACACCCAGGTTAAAGTATGGAACGTTACTCTTATTTTTGAAGCCCCTCTATAAATCCTCCCCAATCCTTTCCATGTATCCCCCACTGATGACTACTATTGTGAATTTTGCATTATGTTTCCCCTGCTTTTCTTTATGGTGTATATGTATACAGACACATTTTTCCTTTTTTTTTTTTTTTTTTTTTTTTTGAGACAGTCTCACTCTGTCGCCCAGGCTGGAGTGCAGTGGCATGATCTCGGCTCACTGCAACCTCCACCTCCCGGGTTCAAGCGACTCTCCTGACTCAGCCACCAGAGTAGCTGCGACTACAGGTGCGCGCCACCATGCCTGGCTAATTTTTGTATTTTTAGTAGAGACGGGGTTTTGCCATGTTGGCCAGGCTGGTCTTGAACTCCTGACCTCAAGTGATCTGCTCGCCTCAGCCTCCCAAAGTGCTGGGATTACAGGCATGAGCCACCACGCCCGGCCCCTTTCTATTAAAGTATCACATGTATATAGAAATGTTCATGACTCATAAGTGTACAGTTTAATACAAGTTCACAAACTAATCAAATTCATTTATCTGGTACTCAGATCAAGAAACAGAGCATCCAGACTCTAGAAACTTCCCTTCTTCCCTTGTGCCCCTTCCCAGCCATCTCTTACCAAGAAAACCACTATCCTTGACTTTTTTTTTTTTTTTGAGATGGGGTCTCACTCTGTCACCCAGGCTGGAGTGCAATGGCGTGATCACAGCTCACCACAGCCTCGATCCTCAGGTTCAAGTGATCCTCCCACCTCAGCCTCCAAGTAGTTGGGAGGTCACCACACCCAGCTAATTTCTTATTTGTAGAGTTGCGGTCTCACTATGTTGTGCGGGCTGGTCTTGAACTCCTGGGCTCAAGAAATCCTCCTACATTGGCCTCCCAAAGTGCTGAGATTGCAGGCATGAACCACTGCGCCTGGACTACCTTCAACTTTTAATACCATCTGTATGGGTTTTTTCCAAGTTTATATTCCAAACAATAACCTGTTCCATTTTATTAGATAATGACAAACTGTCTTCCGAAGTGTTTCTACTAATATATATTCCCACCAGCAGTGTATGAGTTACGGCTGCTACATATTCTGCCTAACATTTGATACTGACAGTCTTTAACATTTTCCTCAATCTAATACTTATGAAAACTTCCTTGTGGCTTTAGTTTTCATTTCCTGATCACTAATGTGGTTGGACCATTTTTTCATATTCATTGGCCATTTGTGTGTTACCTATTTTGGAAAGTACCTGATTAAACCCTCTAATCAGATTATTACTCATTGCAAATATGCAAATAATACAAGTGATACACTAATATAAACCATACTTATTACAGAAACACTAGTAGTTTTACGGGAAAATATTCAGTGCCATTCACAGCATCACTGTTTACATGAAATCATTATTACCTGCTCTTTAATGTCTTGTAACTGTTGCTGCAACTTTTGCACATCTGCATTGACATTGGTATTATCCTTGTCCTTTTGTAATACTGGAATATTCCCACTTGCTATAATATAGATTTAAAAAGATTTTCAGTTATTATTGCTTTGACAGAATGACATTTATAAAATAAAATATTACTGTTTTGTTTATTAAAAACATAAAACTATTATTAAAATCCTCTTCAAAAATTTTTCTCACACTTGGACAACATACAGTAGTGACGTTCTGTTACACTTTTCCATTTATGAACTCCAAAAAGAAACAGTTTGCACATTAATTTCTAATTATATTTATCTCAGCCAGAGCACAATCCAGACACAGACTTCTGGGTTTTCCAAGGCTCTACGTGCTTCCTTTGGCAAGCTCATCAATACATTTTATGCTTGCTTCCTCTGCTCCTGTACCATATGAACCAAGAAAGTAACCAGCAGGGCTTTGGTCAGCTTTGGCAGCAATAATTATTTTAAAGTCTCTCAGATGATTTTTATGAGGACGTACACAAATCTAGCCTCCTTTCTTTATGACTAAACTTCCTCGTTATTACTGATCTGAGATGAGGAACTCAAGAAAGGCCATCATCTGTAGTATGCAAACATGGAGGGAAATCTTTGATTTCACTTTTCCTATTCTCTAGATTCTTGGTCTTTTATTCTAGTTAATCTGTCCCTGAGATTTTTATTATTCTGTTCTATTTGTGATAAAGACAAAAGCCTCAGACAGAAGTTGCTACACACTAATGCTCTTCCTCATCTGCTCATAAAACATGTTCAGAGAACAAAGAAATCAAAGAAACCATTCAGCTAATATCTAATGCAAAGAGAAAAAATACTTTGAAACAACTGTACTATTGAAAATGTTGAGGGTAAATCATTTATTTTTCATTTTTCCACCCTTTCACTGTTACATTTTTGTTTACCTATAGTTACTCTGTCCCAAATAATTACCATTCCATAAAATACTTAAATGAAGCAAATAAACCTGTTGCATAATGGAAGCAGGTTAATACTTTCAGTAAACTGAAAAATAAATTGTAATATGGTGTCCCACCCCTTGACAAAACACACTAAATTTCATCTTAAAAATAGAGCACAAATTTTCTTTATGCAAGAACACAACAATATTCTTTATAGCATACATGCAGGTTTCTCAGAAGACTGATGTTCACAGTTCCATAATCACACAAAAATAGAACTTCAGGTTTCTTATAATATAATAAGAGCACCAGAAAACAATACCTGTTCCACTGTGGATCCAAGTCAGACATCTTAGGTTTTATAAGGCAGTAGTGTATTACGAAAGAGAAGAGGTGTTTATGCAAGTCCCAAAAAAAAGCAAAATATGAAAATGCTTAAGACAATCGACTTACAGATATCATCAGTGGCATCTTCTGAACTTTTCCCTCCACAGCACATAATGAAAGGCACTCTTCGTTCAACTACTGCTCGACACTGCACACACTTTTTCATCAGGTTAGCACAGTCTGGAAAACGGTAACACAGACACTTCTTACAAGAGAGAACATTAATAGGAGTGTTGCCTTTCTCTGCTAATTTTTATGACTTAAATTTCACACTGAAATAAATGTTATACAAGTTATAGCAATATGCAATTCTACCTCCTTAAAATGTTATCAACCTAAGAATGAGTATTCTCCATCGGTAGCCTCCAGAATAGAGAGCCCATCATTATGAAAACAATGACATTTTCCAATACAGCTGAATAAACTGTGAAATTTGTTTTTTAAAGAAATAAGTGACACAATAAATATTTCAAGATTTTAAGACTTGAGAATAAAGGAGAGAGATACTATTGACAAATGTCAACTAATACTAGAATTATAAGCTTGCTTACGTGATAATTTTCTTTATATTTCTTTATTTTTATTTTACTTTAAGCTCTGGGATACATGTGCGGAACGTGCAGGTTTGTTACATAGGTACAAGTGTGCCATGGTGGTTTGCTGCACCTATCAACCTGTCATCTAGGTTTTAGGCCCTGCAGGCATTAGCTATTTGTCCTAATGCTCTCTCTCCCCCTGCCCAACACCCCCGGACATGATAATTTTCTAAAAACATTTTCTTTTGTAAATGGCTTTTCGCTAAAATACAATGAACAATTATTTCCTTCTCTTATCAAATTGATGCAATGTAACAAGGAAATTGCTTAGTGATTACTTTTTTAATATAGCAGTTCAGGAAAAAAATTTAATTTTCATAAAAGACTATCTTTCTAATATTTGATTTACAAAGGCTATAAACAATATTTCAGAAGAATGCATTCCTATTCCAATAAGAAATATCTAGGCACAACTGTATGTTGTTATGATTGTTTTTTTTTTGTTTTGTTTTGTTTTTTGTTTTTTGTTTTTTTTTTGAGACGGAGTCTCGCTCTGTCGCCCAGGCCGGACTGCGGACTGCAGTGGCGCAATCTCAGCTCACTGCAAGCTCCGCTTCCCGGGTTCACGCCATTCTCCTGCCTCAGCCTCCCGAGTAGCTGGGACTACAGGCGCCCGCCACCGCGCCCGGCTAATTTTTTGTATTTTTAGTAGAGACGGGGTTTCACCTTGTTAGCCAGGATGGTCTCGATCTCCTGACCTCATGATCCACCCGCTTCGGCCTCCCAAAGTGCTGGGATTACAGGCGTGAGCCACCGCGCCCGGCCCTGTTATGATTGTTAATACTACCTTACATCTAAACTTGTTAATTAATTATAAAATAACACACAGCAATTCAACATATTCTTTCTCATTAACATTCATTATGAAAATATATTCCATATCTTAGCCTACATATCAAGTGTCTTGTTCATTTCAAAAATGGGAAAAATAATGGGAACCATGGCAGAATATCCAGGTTATGGCAAACCACTAGATTTGAACAAAGCACAAAACCACTGATGTGGACAAAGTAGGGCCTACACTCCTAATAGTTTGCCATGCACACTGCTGGATGGAGAACAGTCAGTTACCAAGGCTGACCTCTTGCCAAAGCCTAAACATAAATGGGTCTGACGCTCGGTTATACAAGTGCACTAGGTAGGAGCCAACGTTAAGTAGAAATCTGGTTTGGGATTTGTCTTCAATTTGAAGGCAGATTTTTTTCTTAAACATAAAGGACTAATTGACTAAATATATAATACATAAACACAATTATCTAAAATTAACTGTTTAGTTCAGTTATTGTATTGTTTCTATCTTTGCTTCTATCTTCTCTATTTGTGTTGTTTCTATCTGTATTGTTTCTAATCTTTCTTCAGCACCTCCAAAAGGGATGTAATCTCTCCTTCCTTTGGCTTGCCAAGGCACTTTCACCGCCTAACATGACTGCGATGGGGGTACTGGACGAACTACATTACTGTATACTCCTTGGGAAAGGCATATGTTCCACCTCAGTTTCATCTCCGTTAGCAAATAAATGTTTAAGAGCATGTCTATAAAATCAAGAAAACCATCTACTTCTTAGGATTGTTCTGAAAATAAATGAGGAAATACTCAAAAAGAGATTAAAATGCCTGGTACAGAATTAAGAGCTCAATAAAAGTTGGTGTTGCTCTCGTTATTAAATGCATTTTAAAGCAAAGACTGTTTTTCCTCTTCCAGAGATGCTATCTAGAGGCACTCAGCATGATCCAGTGTTTGACGCACCATCATAGGCTTTTCTACAACACAGCATCTAACAAAACTAGGCTGTCCCAAACCCTGGTATTGTTTACCTTTATATCAAGAAGGTAGGGAAAGCACCAATGTCTGCATGTGGCGTGTGCCCAGGCAGACTTCAAGGGATTTATGCTGTGAGACCTCAAGTTCTTGTGAGGTTGTCTAAAATTTTAAAAAGTGTCAGCACGACCAATGGTGTTTCCATGACTGCTAAATGTATCCACGACAGGACCAAGCATGCTTTCCTTTCAAAGAGCAGAATGTCGTCGTGAAAATGTTGAAGGCACAAGCCCAGAGTCAGAAAGCTAAATTTAAAGCTGAAGCTTTTTTAATTAAAAAAAAAAAAAAAAAAAAAAAAGGAGCAAACGCCATGTAAAAAATTCTGGAAGCTCCTGGGGGGAAATATTATATTAAGGCTCTAGAATCTGTGTGAACAACTAATAATTATAATCATCTTTCAAGTCTCATGTAGGTATCACTTTGGTGAATGACAGATGTCAGCAAACTACACCTGAGGGCCAAATCTGACGTGTCATCTGCTTTTATGAGACCAGTTTTATTGAACACAGTCAGGCCCATTTATTTACATATTTTCCATGGTTGTTTTTGCACTATAGTGCAGAGTACAGCAGTGGGAAAGAGCTGAGTGGTTACTACAGAAACCATGTGGCCTACAAAGCCAAAAATATTTACTATTTCACCCTTTACAAAAAATGTCTGCCAACCTCTGGCCTATGAAAACTTAAGTAACCTGAGTCCTTTTTTACTTAAGACAGAGAATTCTCTATGTGCCCTTTTGATAGTATTGGGTAATAGCCATTATACCACTCTTTGGTAAACAGAAACAGTCACTTTAGGCAAAATGTTACAGAAGAAAACGTTCACCCTTTCTTTAGTTGACCAGCTGCCTATTGGAATTTTTTTTTTTTTTTTTTTTTTTTTAAGACTGAGTCTCAGTCTGTTGCCTAGGCGGAGGACACGAGAATCACTTGAATTGGGAAGGCAGAGGTTGCAGTGAGCCGAGATTGTGCCACTGCACTCCAGCCTAGGTGACAGAGCGAGACTGTGCCAAAAATAAAAAATAAAATAAAATAAAATCTTTTATTGACAAAATGAAGAAAAGCAAAGGGAAGAGAATATTTAACAGTGTATGAACTTGAACAAGGGCAATATGAAAAGCAAAGGACTTCAAGAGAATATGTTTAAAAGAAACTTAAAAACATTTTTTAAATTTTAATACTGCCCTCACAAAGAAAAGATTTCTAAAAGCTCTCTTGACATAAAAGCTTACAGAAGGCCAGAAATTACAGCCCCAGAAATGGTTGCTGTTGGTTCTTCTGCAGTGAGGAAAGTACACAGGAGAGGCAATATTAAGGTGAAGCCAAATGAAGACGTGCTAATTTCATATGTGAACAAAGGCGAGACTAAATGTTTCAACATTTATTTTTCAAAATAAATTTCTATTATGTGTGGAAAGAGACCCTTTTGTGCTAATACAACTGAAATCAAAATCCAAGGTGGCAGAACACAGCATATTCAGTCTTCCCTAATGCTCAGACGCATGGAGGGAAACAGCTGACGTTCTAGTACAGAGAAAGAAATAGAAGGTACTCGAGGCCCATCAACTTTTTTATGAGTTATCCAAAATCAAAAGCAAAAAAACCCTCAAAAACATAATTTTTGTTTCACTTTCTATTTTTATAATAATATTGAGGAACTCTGCATAGGCTACTTACTCTCACAAGCACACATGTGGCCACAGGGTTGAAAAAGAACAGCTGCTTTCTTGTCAGAGCATACCACACATTCTTCAATCTATAGAAAAAGAGGTTACAGCACAGTGACCATTTACAGATAAATCTAGTAACTCTTAACAAGTTCAATTATATCCAAATGTATTTCCTCTGTAAGAAAACACCTAGGCACAGAGAAATTTAACACACACTTTCCTCCCATCCTCTACTTTCCTGGTTATTCATTTTCACATCTTTATATACCCTAGCTTAACAGGCACTTATTTCTATTCTACCTTCATCTCCCTATCTGTCCTAAAATATAGAATAGAAAAAACTCCATTTCCTCTGAGGAAGCCTCTGGAGGCTTCAATATTTTTTTCCCCCAAAAACTACTTTTGAGGGGAAACTAAAAAAGACAACGAACAAATAAAGTAGTAAAATAAGAAATGACTGAAAGACAGATTTCTAATATTAATAAAAATCTAGCTAGATTAGCCAAATTGCTAAAATCCACGAGGGATTTTTCTGTTTACCCACATTTAAGAAACTCTACCTTAAAGTGCCCTTTTCCAGGACTTGGTCAATTCCCATGCTGCCTGAAGCCCACAGCTTTGGGCTATTCTTTTTCCCTGATCTCTAGCAAGACTTCCACAGCCTATTCATAATCTCCCTCACTTTCACCTCTTCTTCATGTCCACTTAATCTGAGCTTGGACATTTAACTATTAACCACCTTGGCTCTGGCTTCCTGTATCCCTACCCCATAGCCCTTGGCTACTCATCTGTCTTTCACCTATTCTCCCTTCTAACACACAGTCACATTTAGCCATCTCTTGTGTCACCAAAAATGGTAACTACTACTCACCTACAGCATCATCCAAACAACCAAATACATGCACGTGTGCTCTCTCTCTTTCTCTCTATGGACTTTCCCAACTTACACCTCAGTATGTACATAGAATTTATGTAAGTATAGAAAAAGCAGAATGCAGAATGCAGTAAGACATAGTTGATCAAGACACTGACATTCCTGGATTCAAAATCTACCTCCAACACCAACAAATTACCTAACATTGTTGAGCTACAACATTATTTATCTAAACAATAAAGAATAATCCTTCACAGAGTGATAAAGAGTAAATCAGATATGTATAAAGTAGTTCAATGTGTAATATATAAAATCAGTGCCTAATACATAATAATTATCTTCTCCTTTCTATATAACATGTTGATTTTTAAAATGATTTCCATTGCATTTGTCTTTTTGTCTGAATTGTTTCTGAAGAGTTTAAAATAATACAGCAAACTGATCTAAAAACCATATCTGTACCTATTCCGCTATTATAAGAAAAAAAAACTGTAGCCATACCTTTTCCTCCAATTATTTCCTCAGGTTATACTTCCAGGAGTGGAGTTACTAAACCAAAGCATATTGTGTAATGTCTGTACATATAGCCGGGTTGGCCACCTAGCCTCCAGCAGTGTTTAGAGAGTGCCTGTTTGCCATTTTCCTTGCTAGCACTTTTTAAAATGTATTTTTGCTACTTCAACTGAAATAGTTCATGTTAATTCAATTAATTTCCTTCTTTGTATTTCTCTAACAGAAAAGGATCCCATGCTTGTTTATACCTCCCTCCAAATACTGTAATTTGTTTTTCTTCAATGAAGACATTCATTATCCTTTAACCACTTGGGGTCACTATTTCTTCGTAGTCAAAGGCTCTACAACCAACCTGGCAAATCTGTTGGGTGGGTATATCCGTAGTTTTTCTACTTTTCTATAGATTATAAATTTATAAGATTATAAATTATAAAACTTTCATAATTTAAAAATCAAATTGCAAGCCTATTAATTCTCAGAATAACTATATTCAAAAGGTCTGAAAAAGAACGAAAGCATATTCTTTCCTCTTTCCTCTCTCCTCTGTTCCATCAACTATCCCTTGCAGACATCGTTCTTAATTTTGTCTATGCATCATAACACAGTGAAAAGAACAGGGGCTTAAGAATCAAGAGACCTGCATTCAAGAACCAGATGTCAGTCCATTTCTTTGAGCTGCAGCTTTTATAAGAATAACTTCATAGCTGAGACTCTGCTTCTGACAACCAGAGGCTCTGAACTCCTACTCAGTTTTTAACTCTCTTAAAGCACCTACAACACCCAATATGGCAGAGTTGCTTATATATAAGTCATAGTTTACCAATAGATTACACATTTTTAGCAGGTAATTATTATATACATCTTTGTCTTGACTATAAAACAGATGTTCAATAAAGGTTTGTTGAAATAGGGCTTAATCTAACAAAAAGTTTCAAACACAATGGCAGAATACACAGATCAATCTAAAGACAAAAGAATGGCTTAAATTTTTGTTCTTCTTTTGTATTCTTTCCCAAACTATTACTTCGTAAACAGGTAGCTAAAGCGAATTATAAATGCTAAGTAGAATGATCCACATTAATTTATTAAGCAGGGTTAACACCTATTTAATACAAATGAAATGCCAACACAGTGTCTGGCACACAATAAGTGCTATTAGTTCACCCTTCTCAGCTTTATGAATTGATCAAGCAGCTACATACATACAAGCACTCCAGTATTCCTATCAAAAATAACTTCCTTGTGCTTTTTCCTGTGCCAAAAATTCTACGAAAGATACATTAATTTGGATCATAAAAACCATCCAGGCTTAGAAGGTTGAAAGTAGAAGAAGCAGGGGCAAGGCAACACCTTTTAAGTCCCTGCCAGCTAATTCATTATGATAATTACTAACAGCTCCTTTCTTATTAATGATGGTTAATGAATAGCTTAAGAAAAAATAAATAGCAAGACAGAAATAAAGATTATAAAAAGAAGGGAATGGAAAAAGAGTATAAACTCCATGAGTTTTTACTTCAAAACCAACATGCTCTTTGGTTTAAACTATTCACCTTGAGAGAAACATTTGTAAGAAACTCAAATTTCACTTTATATGCAATACACACACACATTTGAGTATTGAAAAACTAAAAAATAAATTATTTCAGTAAACCAAAATTAGTAATCTGGTACAGTTATAATAAAGCACTAAGTTACTCAGAAAAGAACTATACTTCTCAAAAAGCAAAAGGAGTCAGGAGAGAGAAAAAGTTCAGAGTAGATATAGATTTTGGCCATCACTAATTACAGGGAGACAAGACTTTATTTGCCTCCAGATGGGACATAATGTAAAGTGTGTGGCACCAACTGTGAAGCTTTCTTGCCAAAAATGTTAAGCTGACCCTGATCAAACTATTACATCTAACTTCCAGCTTACAGGAAACACAGAAGATAGCAAGTTAAACAACACCACGATAGAACAATCAAATCTAGAATGTGTGACATTCTACCAAAAAAATGAATTATTTTACAAACATGAATGCAAAACAGTTTTTGTACTCCAAAAAAAGTGCAACATATAAGTAACTATAATCCAAAGTGGAAGTAAATGTATCCTTAGGTTATAGGGAGCTTTGAAAGCAAAATGGTAGATAATTTTAACTTTACCATACTTTAGATATAATGAAGGAAACACATTAAGAGCTAAAAAAATTTGACAGTAAAAATGGTGTATCAATAAACTCAAACAATAATTAACTTAGCAAATCAGTACATTAATAAGCAAGACTGTAAACAAGCAATAAAATAAGAAATTCTGATCTGATAAATGCAGAAATTATATATTCCTATATTTAAATCATTGTTTGGAAGAGCAAAATTACACAGACGCATGATGTCATTAAATCTTATTTATCATTAATTCTAGTCTCAACTTCATAAAATGACAAAATACTATATTAAATATATCTTACCTTTGTCCTGGATTGAACCTGTTCTTTACAGATGAGGCATTTCTTGACACGTGGAGAACATAAAGAACAGGTAGCAATATGTCCACATGGACCAAAAAGAGTATCTCTCTTCATATCTGAGCACACCATACACTCTTCTAAGGTTTCAGAATCATTACTAATCATAGAAGGACTCCGAGAACCCACTTGACCACTAATAAAAGAAAGTATTTCAAATCAAGCCTATCTTATTACAAATTCACTAATTAAAATGTTTTAAAATATACCTGGAGCATCATTAGTATACATAAAAACTAGTCATATTAAAAAATTAAGCTTTAACATCTGTATGTGAAACATTAAATTTTTGTGTTTATATGCGTCTCTGCATCTTTAGATACTTCTAACACAATTCAAACTTCAAACTGAACACTCACTCACCCAATGGAAAAGGGTGAATCTTCTAACAATGAAATAAAAAACAGCAATTAAAAAAAAAACTTAGCATAAACAAAATTTTGCTCAGAACCTGTTGTATCTATATAGAACCAGCAGAGGAAGGCATAGGAATAAAACAAAAATCCTCACTAGCCCCCATGTTAGTTGCCTTACTAAAGACGGAACAAAGCATCATCAGAGTCCACAACAGATAGGGCACTTTGGAAAATTTAACACTTCAGCTGCTGTTTTGACATTTTTAAGTGTATCCTTAAGGAACATAAAATTATATTACAGAAAGATAGACTGCATCCGTAAACACAGATACAAGGAACAGAAATACATATGACCACCTACAGCTACAGAAAAGGGATGCCCTGTTTCTACCACAATCTTCAGAAACTCACGAACACGTACACAACACGTACACAGAGGGTCCACCTTAGACTCCATTGTTTAAAAGTTATTACTGCAATAATTATAGTGCCTTATATCTTTATATTTATAGATTTTTTTTTTTGGAGACAGAATTTTGCTCTTGTTGCCCAGGCTGGAGTACAGTGGTGTGATCTCGGCTCACTGCTGCAACCTCCGCCTCCCGGTTCAAGCAATTCTCCTGCCTCAGCCTCCCAAGTAGCTGGGATTATAGGCATGCGCCCAGCTAGTTTTTGTATTTTTAGTAGAGACAGGGTCTCACCATGTTAGTCAGGCTGGTCTTGAACTCCTGACCTCAATCCACCTGCCTCGGCCTCCCAAAGTGCTCAGATTACAGGTGTGAGCCACCACGCCCGGCCGATGCATTCTCTTTTTGTAATAGAATTTCATGTTCCTTAACAATACACTTAAAGAAATGTATATACCTCACTATATTAATTTCCTCTATAACACAGTTCTATGCACAGATTCCAAAGAGATGACATTTCATCACTACACATAAATTATGAGAGAGGCAAGGAACACTAAGGTTAAGGAACAGCTACTGAAATTTCAGTGACAAGAACCAGGTACAAAGGGCAACAACAGTTGCACAGCACTGTTCAGATTTAAAAAAGCAATGAGATGTGTACCTTTTTGTACATCTATAAAATCTCATAAGGAAATTAGTTATGTCATAAATAATAATTAAAATCACTGACATATCTTTCAGAAAAAGAGACAAATGTGAAATGATCATCTTTAGAGAAAACTCCACCAGGACTTGGTGCATTCATTTGTTCATTCTCCACTGATACTGAGTGCACCTGTCAGGCACTGAGCAGGGTGCTACAGTTTGTGTGAGATATACCCTGTTCATGGAGTATAAGTTGCCTGTCTTAGGAAGATTCTATTTAAATTTTAAATATAGAGCCAGGCACAGTGGCACATGCATACAGTCCCAGCTACTGAGGATGAAGCAAGAGGATTGCTTGAGCCCAGGAGTTTAAGCCCAACCTGGGCAACACAGCAAGACGTATTTTTAAAAAATAATAATAATACAATAAAAAATAAATACAATTTAAAATACATGTAACATTAACAACAGCAATTTTACTAGAAGACTTTTTCTCATAAATCCCTCTAACACATGGGAGTACTAGAAGATCAGACTAGTTTAGAAAAGTTTCTCAGAACTTATTAAGTATAGAGCATTGCACTCAATAATGTGGGGAATATGGCATAAAATAAGAGACATGCTGCCTGCAGAAAAATTTTCAAGGAAGAAAAATTTCAGGAAAGAAAGGGTCAACACAAATATACAGGAAGAGCAAAGATGAAGACATTTTCAAGTAGCCACGTCCTCCATTACGAAACCACATGATATTTTCTGTACAGAATATTAAGTTTTATGATAATAAATAATACAAACCTGACTTTTTCCTTATGACACTTTGCCAGTGCTTTGCAGAGATTCGGATCAGGACAGAGATCAAGTGGCGATTGACCCTTCTTATTTCGAATGCTCAGGTCAGCACCATTGGCTGCCAAGAAACAGGCAATAGATGCTGCACTCTTCTTCTCTGCCCCCTGGGTACCAAGTCCCATTATTAACTGCAATAAAATAAAGAGTCATGATTTTCCCTCTAGGAATCTGCCATCAATTCTTGTCATCATATATATGTATGTGTGTGTGGTGGACACTTATGAGTTCTAGTCCTAATGTTCCCTCCCCACCACTCTACCCCTGGTTTTCTCAAGCATACACACAAGTATGCTTTCTCCAGTTGTAGAGGTGGACCTACATTCTCCAGCTGCAGAGGTGGACCAAACATGGCCCAAACCAGTCAGATACCTCTACCTTACCTATATGGCTAGAACCGGGATGGACACATAACACAAATCAAGTCAATTAAGCCCAACAGAACTCAAAAGTGGAACTTCTGATTGAGATACTAAAGAAACAGTACTCTCTTTCCTAATTAATTTGGCTCTGGAGCAGCTAGCAACCAACTTGAAACAATGACAGGAGAGACAACTGAGAAAAGAACCAATGACTAGGAATTGAGCCAAGATACGGAGAATGAGACAAATTAGGTTCTGATAATATTATCTGAGATTCTTCTCATCATCTTATGTGAAAATAGTCACAATAACTGTTAACATTTATTGAGTGTCTAAAATGGATCAAGTATTATTTTACACACTTTCCATGATCTTTACAACAACCTTATCGAGGTAAGTGCTCTCCTCTTCCCATTTTAAAATGAGAAAAAAAGAGGCACACCGAGCTAAGAGAACTTACCCATGGTCATAAATAAGGCAGAGGTCTCAAACACTTTGGTCTCAGAACCTTTTTACCCTCTAAAAAATGATTTTAAAATTCTTATGGAAATGTGAAGGACTTAGAATAGTCAAATAACTTCGAAAAAACAAGAAAACTGGAGGACTGACACTACCTGACTTCAACACGTATTATGTAGACAGTAATTAAGACTGGGGGCTGGTATCAAATAGCTAAAAACATAGACCAACAGAACAGAATACATGATCCAGAAAGAGACCTTCACATAAACAATTAACTGATTTTGGATAAAAGTATACTGGCAATTCAGTAGAAAAAGAAAGTCTTTTCAGCCGAGTGTGGTGGCTCATGCCTGTAATCCCAGGACTTTGGGAGGCTGAAGCAGACGGATCATGAGGTCAGGAGTTCGGGACCAGTCTGGCCAACATAGTGAAACCTTGTCTCTACTAAAAATACAAAAAATTAGCCAGGTGTGGTGGTGTGCACCTGCAATGCCAGCTACTTGGGAGGCTGAGGCAGGAGAATCGCGTGACCCCAGGAGGCAGAGGTTGCAGTGTGCCAAGATCACACCATTGCACTCCAGCCCAGGCAACAGTGCAAGACTCTGTCTCAAAAAAAAGAAAAAAGAAAAGAAACAAAGTCTTTTCAACTAATGGCACTGGAACAACTGGATATCCACAAGTAAATAAACCTGGATCCATATGTCACACAATATATACAAATTAACTCAAAAAGAATCATAGACCTAAACATAACAGCTAAAACTTTATAAACTTCTAGTACAAAACATAAAAGAAAACCTTAGCGATCTTGGGTTTGGCAAAGATATCTCAGACAGAACACACACAAAAAACACAAATGATGAAAGAAAAACTTGATAAATTAGACTTCCTCAAAATTAAAAAATTTGACTCTTCCAAATCACTATTAGAAGAATGAAAAGGGCTGGGTGTGGTGGCTCATGCCTGTAATCCCAGCACTTTGGGAGGCTGAGGCAGGCAGATCACGAGGTCAGGAGATCAAGACCACCCTGGCTAAGGTGAAACCCCGTCTCCACTAAAAACAATACAAAAAATTAGCTGGGCGTGGTGGCATGCACCTGTAGTCCCAGCTACTTGGGAGGCTGAGGCAGGAGAATTACTTGAACCCAGGAGGCGGAGGTTGCAGTGAGCCAAGATTGTGCCACTGCACTCCAGCCTGGGCGACAGAGCGAGACTCCATCTCAAAAAAAAAAAAGAATGAAAAGACAAATCTCCTACCAACTGGGAGAAAATATGTGCATTCACATATAAAGAACTTGTATTCCGATTACATAAAGAACTCTCAAAACTCAGTAGTAAGAAAACAAACAGCCTAACAAAATAATGAACAAAAGATTTGAGCAGACACTTCATAAAATACATATGGTGACAGACAAATGAAAAGATGCTCAATATCAATAGTCATTAGGAAAATGCAAATTAAACCACAATAAGATACCACTACGTATCTATTTGAATGGCTGATGTTAAAAAAGAACTGAATGGCTGGGCGCAGTGGCTCAGGCCTGTAATCCCAGCACTGTGGGAGACCGAGGCGGGTGGATCACCTGAGGTCAGGAGTTCGAGACCAGCCTGACCAACATGGTGAAACTCCGTCTCTACTAAAAATACAAAAATTAGCTAGGTGTGGTGCAGGCGCCTATAATCCCAGCTACTTGGGAGGTTGAGGCAAGAGAATGGCTTAAACCCAGGTGGTTGCAGTGAGCCAAGCACTCCAGCCTGGGTGACAGAGTGGGACTCCACATAACAACAACAACAACAACAGAACTGAACAACTTTTGGTAAAAATGTGGAGCAATAAGTTAGTACTGACTAGTACTAAGTTCATAAACTAAGTTTCTAAGTACATAGCTCTGATAAAATATTTTATCCAATACAGGTTAGATTACCAGTAAATATAAGATCTTGCATGAAAAGATTCTTCCACTGGTACTGAATGAAAGATGATCTTTACTCACCGTGTTTTTGGATGGCTCCCAGGCAGCATCCACCTTCCCCACATCTTGCATATCTTGGAGCTGACGTAGCTGAGACAAAGTGTGATGCCTTAGAGCTTCATGCAAAGGAGTATCCCCATCCTTATCCTGAATATCAAGCTTGGCACCTGCACGGACCAAAAGCTAAAAGAGAAAGATGTCTCATTTTGGCAAAGTGTCCACATCCATAAGAAACTTCAACATATCTAAAGTAATGGTGAGAACACCCTGGACCTACTGAAGAAGTTACCACTAAAGCTAATCATTTTTATGCTTTTGCCTTCTACTCTTCTCCAACCCTGTGGCTCCTTACAAAGAGTCACGTGTTCTGGTTATTTAAATATATTGAATTAGAGAAAATAAAAATATATGAGAATCAATATGTTGCTTAATTCATCTACTCTAAGATGATGATAACGGAGGGATATTTAGGACTTTATTTCTCTTTTCAACTTTAGATGTATGACTTGAGATATTTTAAGCACTTCCACCAGGACCAAATCATAATGTTCAAAATTCTTCTATTATGTAAACAAACAAGGAACTGTTATTATTGATTCCATTCTCTTTTGGTCAATTTTCTCCAAATGTATGGTCATGAAGAAAGCCATGGAGGATATCAAGAGGAATTTCAAATAACAATAAATACGAACAGTGTTTGCTAAACTACAACCCCCTAAATAAAAATGCACAGTTGACATATTTCAATAGATTACTTAAGCAGTAAATATAAGTTTATTAAAACTTTGCTTATGGTGCTTTAACAATTTTCCTAATCCCTTCTACGATACTTACTGAAGAGCTTTAGAAAAGTACCATCTATATATAGAAGCCAATCTCAAGCATATGGTCTCATCTGTCTTGGCAGATCACATTGTATTTAGATATTTAGATTTACTTATATCTAACTATGCCAGCTTGAGACATGTAACACTGTATCATTTCAATTTTCAGGAAGTTCTAAAAATCTGTATGGTTAAAATGTAATTATAAGCTAAAATGTATGTCAATACTTTACCCTAACAATCTGGGTATGCTGTCGTTCAACAGCAAGGTGTAGGGCAGTTTGTTGGTTCACATTCTGGATATCCAGGTTTGCATTACCCTGAACGAGAAGAACAAATGTTAAATGGTTAAAATTTGACAACAGTAAAGAACATGAAAACTATAACTACTCATAAGGAATAAATAACACCGAACACTGCTGGCTACTTTCTCCTTCAGCTGCTGCAATGTTATTCTCATATGGTAACAGTTGCTGTTAAAGTAGAAAAAAATGGATGGGGCAACAAACTTTCTGAAGTAAAACAGCAAGTTTTAAAAATCATTTTTATTATGGTAATTCCACCCAAGAACAGTTAAAAAGGACAAAGCACAGTAGAGTTCAAAGACAGATCTCTTTCAATCTCCACTATAAAGCAATGGAGATAATCAACTCCTTAGAACTCTAAATATTTCCTGAAAAGTTATAATAATGAGTCTTCATACTGGATTTAGATTTACTTTAATGACCTAATAAGTTCACTTCCCCTTGCTGCATATTTGAGCTCTTCCTCACTCTGTGAAAAGAAAGTTTGCTTTAGGTGAGAAGGTAATGCTTAATTCGTACATAAAATTATGCATTAAAGTAAGCAGAAAATCCTACCCAAGAACCTAGGGCAGCTGAAGAACCGTATGAGAACAGCTGAACCCTAATGAAGAAAGAGACTGAGGAGCAAAATAAGTGCACTTGGGAGTCAGGGGACCTAGGTCAAAACTCCATCATCTACTTCCTCAGCTCCAAAATGGTGACAGTTAAAACCTATTTCACAGGGCTAATGTGAAGATTAAGTAAAATAACATATGAAAATGCCTAGCAAATGTCTAGCATAATTTAAAAATTTTTTAAAATGAGATCAAGAAAAGAGCTAAAGATTCAAAAGATAAACCGATCATTTCGTTTAGGTCTTAGAACCATGCATGCCCTCTGGTTACAACTCTTGATACTGGCGGGGTATGCAGAGCTGAAACTTTGGTAATGTTATGTCATATTCTTCAAGATGGGAATTTCTCATTTGTTTTTATTATGTTTCTTTGAAGTGTGGTCAGAAGGTACCTGATCTCAGCTTCTTTTCTTCTTTTTTTTTTTTTTTTTTTTTTTTTTTGAGATAGGGTCTCACTCTGTCACCCAGGCTGGAGTGCAGTGGCACATAGCTCACTGCAGCCTCAAACTCCTGGGCTTAAGGAATACTCCTGCCTTAGCCTTCCGAGTGTCAGCTTAATTCTTTATCATGTCTATTTCTCACATAAATGTGCACAATGGGGATTTTTCTTTAAGTTTCCTGAGCTTTTCCATCATTGACATTTCACTAAGTAGTATTCATTGCATAGGTGCACCACAATTTGCACAATTTGTTTATCCCAGCACTACCTGAACATTTGGCTTCGCTTCCAGTATGGGGCTAATAATAGCTGCTACAAACATTTAGTACAAGTATTTGCTTGGAAAGGTGTCCTATGTTCTCTTGGGTACATACCTAGAAGTGGGATAGCTGAGTCACATGATAAATATATGTCAAACTTTGTAAGAAACCACCAATTTGTTTTTCAAAGTGCCTGCTTTAAAAAAAAAACACCAGCAATGTATACAAATTCTAATTGTTCCACATCCTAACCAATACTTGGTTTTATTGGTCTTTTAATTTTAGTCATTCTAAGTGGGCAATTGTAGTAACTGGTTGTGGTTATAATTTCTATTTTGTTAATCACTAATAATGCTTTCACTTGCCTATTTGCTAACTGTATATCTCCTTTAGTAAAGTGGATGTTTAAATCTTTTGACCATTTTTATAGAGTTATTTGTCCTTTTATTTATTCATTTATTTTGGAGATGGTGTCTCACTCCCTCTTCACCCAGGCTGGCATGCAGTGGCATGATGCTGGCTCACTGCAACCTCTACTTGCTGGGTTCAAGCAATTCTCCTGCTTCAGCTTCCTGAGTAGCTGGGGACTACAGGTGCGTGCCACCACGCCTGGCTAATTTTTGCATTTTTAGTAGAGAAGGGGTTTCACGATGTTGGCCAGGCTGGTATCAAACTCCTGACCTCAAGTGATCTACCCGTCTCAGCCTCCCAAAGTGCTTGGATTACAGGCATGAGCCACCGCACCCAGCCAGTCCTTTTATTATTAAATTTTCAGAGTTCTGGATTCCAGTCCTTTGTCAAATATGTTCTCCCTACTGTGGCTTTCCTATTTGTTTTCTTAATGGTATCTTTTGATGAGCAGAAGTTTAGTTTTTGATGAAGTGTTATTTATTAATTTTTCTTTTAAGATTATGGCTTTCTGTCTCCTAAAAACCTTTGTGCACCTCATTGTCAGATAATATACTAATACTAATTTTTTGTGTTTGTTTTTTGTTTTATTTTTAAGACAAGGTCTTGCTCTGTTGCCCAGGCTGGAGTGCAGTGGCGCCATCATGGCTCTCTGAAGCCTCAACCTCCCAGGCTCAAGTGATCCTCCCATCTCAGCCTCCCAAGTACCTGGGACACAGGCACATGCCACCACACCCAGCTAATTAAAAAAAAAAAAAAATATATATATATATATATATATATATATATATATATATACAGTAGAGATGAGATCTCACAATGTTGCCCAGGCTGGTCTCGAACTCCTAGATTTGAGCTATTCTCCTGCCTCAGCCTCCTAAAGTGCTGGGATTACAGGCATGAGTCAACAGGCCTGGCTGGCTTTATGGTTTAAGCTTTTACATTCAGGTCTATAACTCATTTAATTTTTGCGTAAGTTGTGAAGTAAAGTTAAGGTTTTTTTGTTTGGGTTTTTTTGTTTTTGGTATACGGATATCTACTTGGTTTAGCCCTATTTGTGGGAAACAATCCTTTCCCATATTACTTTGGCACTTCTATAAAAAAAGTAATTGACTATATGTGTGGTTCTTTTTTTTCTTAATTTGAGTTGCTGTTTATACATATGTGTGGTTCTACTTCTGCATTTTTTATTCTTTTAGTTTGTATGATTGCTATATAGAAAATACTAAGTAATCTGTAGAGAAGATACCAGAATAAGTTTAAGCAAGGTCACAGGATATATGGAAAATATACAAAAATTGTATTTATATATACTAGCAATATGCAAATGGAAATTGAAATGTAAAAACAATTCTATTGAGTGACTCATTGATTGACTGGGTCTCGCTCTGTTGCCCAGGCCAGAATGCAGTGGTGTAATCATAGCTCACTGTAACTCAAACTGCTGGGCTCAAGCAATCCTCCTGCTTCAGCCTCCTGAGTAGCTGGCATTACAGGGGTGTGCTACCACATCCAGCTAAAATACAATTTATAATAACATCCGCAAAAAGCTGCTGAAGAACAAATCTAATATGTGCAAGAGCAATCAAACTCCCAACAGACTTTTTAATAGAAACTAATAAGCTGATTCTAAAATTTATATGGACAAGGCATGGTGGCACTTTGGGAGGCTGAGGCAAAAGGATCACTTGAGCCCAGGAGTTTGAAACCAGCTTCGGCAACATAGTGAGACCTTGTCTTACAGAAAAAATAAATAAATAAAAGCCAGGCATGGTGGCACATGCCTACAGTCCCAGCTACTTGGGAGGCAGGAGGACTGCTTGAGCCTGGGAGGTCAAGGCTGCAGTGAGCCATGATTGTGCCACTGTACTCCAGCCTGGGTGACAGAGTGAGACCCAGTCTCAAAAGCAAACAAAAAATTATATGCAAATGCAAAAGATCTAGAACATTAGAGTAATCCTGAGAAAGACAAAGAAAGAGGATTTAATCTACCTGATTTCAAGACTTTCTATAAGGCAACAATAACCAAGGCAACATGATAGTGGCATAAGTTCACTTAGATTTTTGAATAAAAAGGAATTATCATAATTAACAGAGAGCAGTAATTTTAATAGCAAAGATTTAAAGTAGTGGGGGGGAGGTGGCTTAACTTTTGATATATTTCTTTAAATTTCTGTAGTTTTTGGAATGTATACCTTATAATTTGGTATTTGATTACATATATTATTTGCTAAATTTTTCTGCTGTTTCATCTTCTTAACTAGACTATAAATTCCTTGAAGTCAGGAATCACAGATAATTCTTTGATAACTTCAGTGCATCTATATGGTTTATGCTTGCACATGAAAAATTTGCTGAAATTACTAAAATATCCTAAAACTACAAAATAGGCTCCTCCCAAAATCCAGGCTCATAAAAACGTAGTGTCATCCTATTCTGAGATGAATGAAATGACCAAGGTGAGTCTGTACTGCTATCGAGCCATAAATTCCAGGGGTCAGCAGTAGTTACGAAATAAATCCCCTGATCTTAGCTGCAAACTGCAGTCTGATGACAACTGGCCATACTGTTTAAGTATCAACACAGATGGTTCTTGGTGCTCTGGTTGATGATACTTCCGTAACAGTGGCAGCCATTCTGGGAAATCTCTGTTAGTTGATGCCCATTTCACAGGACCAATCCAGGAAGACTGTGCAGAGGAAATCCTGGGAATTGAGGGACTCACTCTCAAACACACATCACCATCCTGCATTTAAGAAGTATTAGGCAGAAGACAGAATATGCATTATATCTGAATTTTCATCATCATGAGGTTTTACTGGAACCTACTAATAGGCAATTTATAAAGCAATAAATAAATGAATGGCAATGGTCCCAAATTGTTTAAAAAAAAATAAAAAAGAGGGAATTATTTAACTCTTTTCTTACCTGATGTACCAACAGTTCAGCCACTTCTACGTGATTATTAAGGGCAGCCAGATGTAAGGCAGTATAACCATCATCTTTCTTCTCATCCACAATCCATGGTCTTGGTAATTTAGATAGTAAAACACGCATTGCACTGAAAGTTAAATTCACATTATTTCTATATTTGCATAATTTGATATACTCAAAAGAAAAGTTTGCAATCAAATGAAGATACTCCTCTTTAAAGAAAAAAATGCTCTTAGAGACAAATAGAAATTCTACTTTTCTAATCTCAAATGTGCAGCTTTAATTTAATTTTTTTTTTAAGAGATGAGGTCTTGCTATGTTGCCCAGGCTGGCCTTGACAGAGACTACAGGTACATGCCACCATGCCCAGCTAGCTTTTTGATATTTTGAGAGGTAGACACACTATTACTATCTGGGAAATAGAATCAAAACAGAATGGAAGTGCTACAAGGAGGAAACCTAAGAGGAAAAAACCAAAGAGAAAAGAAATATACCCTAATGAGGGCACCACTTTGGCTTTGGGGAACCTCTCAGGTTCAGTATCAACAGTATTTATTAATGAAAGAGTTAATGAAGAACAGCCAGATAATAATTTTTAGAAGTAGGAAAAACTGTGATAATTAATACACTATATATGCTGAACCATCTTAGCTGACGATTATTGTGTAGCTGGTTATCATGAATTGCAAAGTTAAAACTTGACATATGTCATTTAGAAGTGGTAAACCAAGTCTGGAGCAAAACACACAAAATGGCCATTATAATTTAATATTTAAAATTTAAAAATCAGTAATAAAGTATTTTCAAAGCAAAAAAGAGAAAGTTATACAAAAGAGAATTAAAGATTTAAACTCCAACCACCGAAGAGCAGAACTAAGTTCAAGAAGTCTGAGAATGGGTTGTGGAGGATTGAAGAACCTCTAAAATTACACTTAAATCATTTGGAAACTTTTATTAGACTTTTGTTTGTCTGTTTGTTTTCCTGAGACGGAGTCTCGCTCTGTCGACCAGGCTGGAGTGCAGTGGCACGATCTCAGCTCACTGCAAGCTCTGCCTCCTGGGTTCATGTCATTCTCCTGCCTCAGCCTCCCGAGTAGCTGGGACTATAGGCGCCTGCCACCATGCCCGGCTAATTTTTTGTATTTTCAGTAGAGATGGGGTTTCACCGTGTTAGCCAGGATGGTCTAGATCTCCTGACCTTGTGATCCACCCGCCTCGGCCTCCTAAAGTGCTGGGATTACAGGCGTGAGCCACTGCGCCCGGCCTTTTATTAGACTTTTTAAACAGGTTTATGAACCCAAAGTATACTGAGAATCACAGCTTACAGAGCCCCTTCCATGGCTGTAACTGAGTAACAATCACTGTTTGGGGATAACAGGCTTCTTTGGAAAGCTATAGGCTCTCCTCCAGAGAAATGCATGTCAAAATCTTTACCTATTAATACAATTTTGGGTGAGTCTACAAACTCCTAAATCCCATTCATGGGCTTCATAGAAGACTAAGGTTTTCTGCTTTTGTTTTCAGTCACTAGTAAGGATTTTAGTCCTCCTCATTCCATAAATTAAAATAAAATACTAGATATTGTATAGACTTTGAGATTCTCAATGGGAAAAAGTATTGGTACGACATTATACTACTGATGTTTGGATAGTCATGATGTTAATGCCATACATTATCTCTTACCCTACACATTTGAGCATGTGAGAAACAAAATTTACAGGGGTAAACAGTTCTGGAAAATTTAAAAGATACAAGTATTAAATCATGTGAAAAGTGGAAAAACGTTTTATTAAAAACAAAATGTAAAAATAATAATGTAAATACTTGTCATTAATTTAAACAAAAATTGTGATATAATCATGTTGAAAGGAATGGTAGTAACAGAGGGTATTAGTTTTAAATCTTCATTTTCCATAACATGAAATCACTAGATGCCTATAATTGATAAATTAAGAAATTACAGGATAAGTTCCAAGTTGTTGGTCGGGACAAAAAAGGGGTAAGGAGGGATGACGCAGAAGACATTTCTCTTTCATTATAAGTTTTGTAGTAACATTTGACTTAACTATGTACATATATTAGCTTGATTAAAAACTTTTTGTTTTTAGGAGAATGGCGTGAACGCAGGAGGTGGAGCTTGCAGTGAGTGGAGATCGAGCCACTGCACTCCAGCCCAGGCGACTGAGCGAGACTCCATCTCAAAAAAAAAAAAAAAAAACCTTTTGTTTTTTTCTGAGACAAAGTTTCTCTCTGTTGCCCAGGCTAGCGTGCAGTTAGTGGCACGATCAGAGTTCACTGCAGTTTCAACCTCCCAGGCTCAAATGATCCTCCTGCCTTAGCCTCCCGAGTAGCTGGGAGTATGGGTACATGCCACCAAGCCCAGCTAATTTTTTTGTATTTTTTGTAGAGGCGGGGTTTCACCATGTAACAGCCCAGGCTGGTCTTGAACTCCTGAGCTTAAGCCATCCACCTGCCTTAGCCTCCCAAAGTGCTGGGATTACAAGCATGACCCACCATGCCCAATCTAAAAACGTTTTTGAAACTCTTCAATATAATAGTATTATGACAACTCTAAGATTATAGATGTATACTCAAACATAGTACAAATACCTCTTTGCCCCCTCCTCTTTCCCAATACTCCTCGTGTGTGTTTGTGTGTGTGTGTGTGTGTGTGTGTGTGTGTGTGTGTGGATATATATATATATATTTTTTTTTTTTTCTTGAGATGGAGTCTTGCTGTGTTGCCCAGGCTGGAGTGCAGTAGCTCAATCTCGGCTCACTGCAACCTCCACCTCCCAGGTTCAAGCAATTCTCTGCCTCAGCCTCCCGAGTAGCTGGGATTACAGGTGCCCACCACCAGGCCCGGCTAATTTTTTATGTGTATTTTTAGTAGAGACAGGGTTTCACCATCTTGGCCAGGCCGGTCTTGAACTCCTGACCTCGTGATCCACCCACCTGGGCCTCCCAAAGTGCTGGGATTACAGGCGTGAGCCACCGCACCCGGGCTCCTCCTATATTCTTGATCTTGATTACCCTTCTTACCATTTAATCAGCCATTCTACTCAGAAACCAGGGAATCATTCTAGACTCTTTCCTCTCTTCTTATGTCCACATTCAATTTGTCCTGCCGTTTCTCCTTTTTAAAACTCAACTGTTCTTCCCAATGGCCCCCAGTCTCCTTTCCACTCTATTCTCTATACCACCCCACACAAATCTGACCATTTCACAATTTTCACATATTCTTTTTAAATAAATCTTTTAAAAATAAGACTAGTCTTGATAAAAAAAAAATTCTAAAATATACTTCCCTGCCTTTAATACACTTTTAAAAGAACATGAGACTAAACATAATATTTTCTTGAAATCAATTATAGCAAAATCAACTTGATTTACTAAGCTGTGGAGAAACACTGCAGATAGCCCCAAATCAAAACTAATGCAAGGGTCAACTAGCCAGGAGTGGTGAACTTTTTGGTTTTGTTTTTAAATATCTATTTTAAAGCAATGTTAGATTTATAGAACATTGCAAAGCTAGTACAGAGTTCCCATATACTCCTCCATCCTTGTTACTAACATTTTACATAGTATGGTACATTTGTTTCAATAAACCAATGTTGAAGCGCTGTTATTAACCAAAGTCCACACCTGAGATTTCCTTAGTTTTATTCAATGTTCTTTCTCTGTTCCAGAATACCCCTTTACATTTAGTTGTCTTTTCTCCTTAGCTCCCTTTGGTTGTGACAGTTTCCCAGACTTTCCTTGTTTTTGATGAGTCTGACAGTTTTGAAGAGTACTAATGGGATATTGTGTAGACTATTCCTCAGTTGGAATTTGTCTGATGCTTTTCTCATGATTACGCTGTGCTATTGGTTCTTAGTAAGAAGGCCACAGAGATAAAGTGTCATTTAATCACATCACACCAAGGGTACATACTATCAACATGCCATATGACTCTAGAAGTTAACCTTGATCATCTGGCTGAAGTAGTGTTCTTCATGTTTCTCCAATGTAAACATTTCCGTATCTCTAAACTATGCTCTTAGGAAGGAAGTGACTATGTACAGCCCACACTTAAGGAGCGGGAAGTTATAGTTCACCTCCTTGAGGGTGCTACATAAATTATTTGAACAGAGACCTACAGCCCTCTCATCTTAATCAAAAATTGCCAACCCCCTCAAAAAAAAATAATAATACAGGGCCTCAAGAAAAGAGGTCATCTTTGGGCCCAGCCTGCAAGGTAAGCTAAGGGAAAGTTAAGCAAAACAGTTTCTGGTCCCATCACTCTCACGTCAACAGCAGTAGTTCAGAGCAGCCTGTCTCCTTTCTTTCCATGAGGCAGGCAATCTTAGGAAGACACACTATAACCACAAGGACAGCAGCAGGCTGTTCCCTGCAGCACTTTAGTTAATTAAGAGGAGACTGTTAAGCTGCAAGCACTGAGGTCCGTAGAGTTACTGGGAAAAAGGTGTTACCAGCTCGAGAATTCAGTAATTTTGTTAAGCCAATAGACTGTCTCACCTGTGGAGCATAGTATATGAGATTTAGAGATATTTTCCCTAATGCTCAATTTGGTTGTTTTCCAAGAGGTTAAGGACATGGATGTTTTAAAGATAAGATCTTACTACCAGTTAAGCAGGCATTTGTGAATAGTGCCAAAGAAGCATTAAGTTCCAGAACAACTAATAGCAGTGCCTACCATAATCCCTGGCACATGATAGTATTCAAACGTTTGCTGAATGATGAACAAATGAGTTATAAAGAAGCAGAGGGGACAAGCAGCTGTCTACACTGGTATGCAGTATTCAAGTGGCACTGGGTCAATTTTTAGGGCCTGCCATGCTTTGCAATCTTTCTTCAGAGGCAGGCAACATTTTCCCAAACCCTACTAGCTAAACTGTGGAGGCCTTACATGTTAGTACTACTTAAGGCAAAACAACATTAGAATAGCACTGTAGCACATATTAGGTGTTCAATAAATGCTTGGTAAATTAATAAACAATCCCTCAAATCGGTAATGTAGATTAGTCAAGAATTCAAAAAGGAATTTATTAAGAAAACTGATCAACTGCCAGTAGTTCTTTTGGGCATGCTAAAAGCAGGTTACTATAAAACTGAACACATTTTGATCAAAAAGGTATACTTTGTATACCTAGTATAGGGAACTCAAAGTTTTGTTGAATGGAAGAAATGAATAAACAAATAATCAAATAATCATCTTTCTGAATATACTGAGGCAAAGATATTGGCAATATATATTTGATGCATGGTTTTGTTCCCAAGAGGAATAATTTCCTAACTCATTTCATTATCACAAATCTGAGGAGCAATGTGGCATAGTGGTGAAGAGCTCCCAGTCTGAAACCAAATTATCTGAGTTCAAATTCTGGCTCTAGCCACAATGGCTAGTGACTTCAGCAGATTACTTAACTTCTGTGCCTCAGTTTCCTCATCTGTAAAATGTGAGAAGAATCACAAATCCTACTTTATAGGGTTGTTATGAAAATTAAATGAGTTAATATTTATAAAGGGCTTAGAAAGAGAACCTGGCACATAACACATTATGTAAGTGTTTGCTTAAAAAATAAGTACTTTCACTGCTACAAAATCATTAACAAAATGGGGTACTTGAGAAAACTGAAAATTAACCTACTTTATACTCTGAGACATGTCATCTTCTCATAATATGAGTAAAATTATTTCAATATCTAGGAAAGCTGTTTAAAATTGCCCAATATCTAAAGAAGTATTCCTTATGCCACTGTTTTAAAACAGACATTCAAAATAATTAAACTGCTATGATATTAAATGCTAAAGACAACAAGAATGTGAAGGACAAACTTCCGTAGGTGAGTAAGCTCAGAAAACTCGTAATAGTTTTTCTTGTTTCTTAAGAGGACATATTTGGATTAAAAAACAAGGTATAGCTGGTTTCTCTTCTGCATTTTTATGTGAGATCTTAAACTATATCTCCACAGGTTTACTGGACTTCATGTTTTAATATTTTTTCTCTTTGATTAAAAAAATTTCAGTATCAAAATCTATTGTGAATATGCTATTAAAATTTAAAACAAAAGTATTTTTACCTCTGAGTCACATACTATGTAATAGAGTTATAGACAGGTTAATGACTATTTCAATCTGTGTAAAGTGTGCAATGATCATGCCTAAAAGTCACTTCAGAAAATTAGAGAAACATGACAATGTAGAAGGGACAGCAAAAACACTACACATTTGAATATAAAGTAGAATTCATAATAAAATGCATCTGAATACTTGTATAATTACTCAAAAGCATACTGGACCCTGTTTTTTACCAAAGCATTATAAAAAAAATTAACTGAAATTGACAGTGAATTGTTTTAAGTAGCACTTCTAAGATTTCATTTACATACTACTTTCTTCTCCCTTGATGATGTCTCTCCACCACCAATATACAGGTCTTACCTACCATTTCTATACATTTTCCATTCAATAAACTTTAAAAGCATGTATATGGCAACAACTAGCTCTAAAGATAACCCTACAAAATCCTTTCAGGCCTTTAGATATGTAACATATCACCATCCATAACATTTTTTATCAATCAAAAAATCAGGTTATAAAATGTATTTTGGCAGCAGAGGGACTTCACTTGTTCCATAACTGTCTAAAGATTGTCTTGCTACTAGCCATGGTAATTTTTTTCCTCTTTCCTTTTTTCTCTGCAGTGCTTCTAAGTATAGTGACAGTGCATCAGGCTTTCCTAGTCTCAGCGCAAGCTCAGTGAAAATCTGGGAAATGTAAGTGGAAACATGAGAGACCGCTTTATTTGGCAGTGCTTACCCCCCCTCAAAAAAAAAAAAGTGGGGGGCAGGACAAATGGCTAAGCAGTGTTTGGACCGCAGGATGAACAATCAATAGGCAGAAAGCAAGATTGAGGCTTCCTCAGCTTTTGGATCGACAATCGACAGCTGAGAGGCTATTTTTTGCTATGGTTGACTAAATATGGTCAGGGAAGAGAGAGGCACAAGAGAGCCTGTTTGCCTGGGAGTGCATGTTTCAAATGCTTAGCTGCCTATAAAGCTGTAACAGTTTAGCCAGTGGTCACTGAGGAAGAATATAAGTTAGCCTCGTAGTGACCATGTGGAAGTCCTGACCTCGCTTGCAGACTTGACCTCTGGATGTGACAAGGTAGCTTCACTACAGCTCTACTATTTAATCCTGGAAACTAAAAACCAAAAAAAAAAAAAAAAAAAATCTAAAAGCAAGAAAGATGCAGACTATTTCCTAAGAAGTCAGAAGAACCCAATGTATTCTGGAGGGCAAAGAAAAACAGGGTGAATGTTTACAGTTATTTGGGGGGAGTAAGGTGTGTTTTGGGTTCTGTTTTTGTTTTTTTTTTTTTTTGTCTTTTTTAGACTATAAAATTAACTTCTGCAACTTTTTCCCCTCTTCTGAAGCATTTCATCTGACAAGCTAGGTTCATTTTCTTGGCCTTTGTAGCAACCTTTTTTGATTGCTTAACTTTCCCTATATAACTGTGCAAGACTGTTATATGACATTCCAAATCAAATGGCCAACACTGATTCAATTTTAGAGTTGTTTTTGTTGGTGGTTTTTGTTTTTGTTTTTGTTTTTGGTAAAGGGAAGAGGGGAGGAGAGGGAAAAGTAAGCTTGTTTTTTGTTTGCTCGTTTGTTTTTCAAATTTATCTTAAAAGGTGAGGTTCTGTGTTCACTGATACATCCCCTTCCTTCACCGGGCTCATGAAAAGAAATGCTGAATCAGCAAATAGAGTGAACGAACAATCAAGATGAGATGGCTGCTGTTGATGTGATTCTCTAGGTTACTACCTTTCTTCCTGCTGCAAATGCTGCATGACACTAAGCTTACAGGTAACAGAGCACCATAAGGCCTGTACTTTTAAGGATGCTTATGACTTTCTGCATGCTTACCTATTATTGACTCAATATATGTTCTCATTGTTAAATTAAATTCTATCTAACCATAGCCTAATTTCACAATTCAAGTTAAGAGCTAATGTAGTGTAAAAAGGAATATTGTTCAGATACTATGGCAGTAACTTTTTATCTTAAAAATGTACAAATACATTATTGTCATTTACATTATTAAAGATTTAGTCATTATTGTTTCAGATTAAGTGATGATTTTGCATCTCTAGTAAGTCACATCCTGCTTCCAAAGTATACTTATTTTCTAAAACTATTAGCTTCTATTTCAAGGTTTAGTCAACCAAGAAACTTGGCAGATCATAAAATACTTTTTAATGCTTACTAATAATTGGCCACAAAAATAAATCAGAACGTGCATGGTGTAATTCTAATGCTGCATTGCTGAAACTGCTGTAGTGCTGGGCTATCTACTGCTACATTCTGATTTGCTCTCTATAAGCTGCACTAGCTTTTTATCACAAGCTGCAGAAATTCTACTATCCCTGCCCTTTTTTTTCCTCCTTTGACAAATCTGAAAATTTCTTGAGGTTTTAAATTAACCTTCTAATACCACAATAACTGAAGGCTACTTACCAACTATAATTTCTTTTCATTCTAAACTATCAAGGTAAATAAAACCCAGGTGCTCACAGACTAAAACCTTTCAGTTCTTTGAAGTGATACTTTCTAAAAGTTGACGATTCTGACAGTTATCCTTTATACTAAAAAGATTAAAGAATCAAAACAACTTAAACTCACCAAAATTAGATATTTCTACATCTATTTGAATTTGTATTCAACTCATATTTGTATTTAACCCAAAGAGAAGCATCAAAGTGCAAACTTCAGGTAAGGAACTAATAAAGAAAAAAGAATGACAAATTTTCAAATGATCACGAGTTCTTATCTGTGACCTTATAAAACACTAACAAAAATTCATAATCTTTAAAAAAGTTCAATTCACCCACACTCATCCTGGTTTTTCTCCTTGTTGTTTCAACTTCTAGAGTCAATATCAGAAATACTTATTGGTTAATTTGTTAGGTTTTGAGTAAGATATCTAGTTTGTAAAAAAAAAATTGAATTTAATTAATTACTATCTACCTGTAGGATCTAGAAGCAGACTACAAAAAAAGAAGAAATTCACTCTGAAGACTGAAGAAACACTAGGCTGATCTTAAGTTTCCGAAATACACTCTGTAACACTACACTGATTCTTTGAATCTCTTGCAAAAAGAATCAAACCAGGACAAAGTTCAACAGATAACTGGTCAAATGCTTAGGAATGTCTATGTCCACCAAGAATATGGAACCATTAATGCCATGCTTCAGGTAAACTTGTTACAAAATTTAGTCTTCGATAAATTAGTCTCTGCAAATGATTTACCATTGCTCTACATTAGTAAGCTGAATGTTTCACTAACAAATAAGAAAATAAAATATTTCATGTTTTTACAGCTAACAACTTAGTAATACCTACTCAGAGTACATACTTCTTTATGTACCCATATGAACATACAATGCTATGGAATGTAAAGAAGTATGTATTTTTGGTAGGCAATAAACCACCAAGGGAGAATTAAACTGAGCTAAAAGAAGCTCTTGCTTCTTTCTACGTGAATGACCGTCATATGGTAAATTAACCTAGTCATGAACAGATGACCTTTGGCAATACTAACACCAAAAAAAAAAGGTTATCTACTACTGATAGATAGAAACTATCCCTAAGGTTTTTATTTCATGAAGGAAAAGAAGATCCAGTGAAGTAGATTTCAATTATCATGAAACTCCTTTTAAATCATCTAAGTTTAAAACAGACATCTTACATTTTTAAATTAGGCACTCTCATTATTAAAATTTGACTGCAAAAGGGAAAATAGTATTACTAGCACAAAAGAATGAGGAATACACATGACCTATTTTCTGTCTCCACAATTTAATCTTAAGTATATCTCATTAGTAGGGCTCACTGATTTGTACAGAAAAATAAGATACTAAGAGCTGGCTTCATTCACATAATAAGCTATTTCTTCTCATTTTGATAAATGTATAATTAATATTAGAGGAATTTCTGACCAAAAGTTTTGTTGTTTTAAAAAGGCTTTCTTTTTTGACAGCTACAAACATAGTGGCCCTTGTCCTTCCTTCTCAAGTTTATCAGGGTCTTAACCCAAATCTCTACTTTAAATGTGAAGTTAAAACTTAAAATTAATTAAAATGTAAGATTTAAGCATGAAAAATGACAAAATTCTGGTCCACAGCTGTAAGTCAGCAGGGTATATTGGTAACAGACTACCAAATATTTAAAAGAAATTAATTTATCTGTATTATCTTCGAATTTGCTTTCTCCAAAGAGGGCATGTAAAATGAAAGCACTATAGTCAAGAACCAATTTATACAGATCGAAGAACTGTTTTTATTGTACTATGCAATTACAATTCAATTTCTCTAAACTTGATCAATCCATTGTTTAGAAATATCAAAATACTTTTATTTCACACAGTTTGTATATTATTTATAAAAAATTCCAAATAATGCTCTTAGCAAAATTTATAAGCAGTACCTGTTTTAAGCTACTAATGACAAAGTTAGAAAATAAGAGTAATATTCACATATTCTAACCATTTCTTACTAAAAGTATTATTTCAACTGAAATATTTACACATGTATAAAAGCATAATATTTTAAATTTTTTGTATCAGAAATTGAATGGAAATGACTAAGTTTAACTATAGTTCATTTTCTGTTTAATAAGACTAGTTAATACAAAGATGATTTTCATTTTATCAGATTATAAAGAATGAGAATGACTTACACATGGCATCATATGTGTTACTGCATGTTTACTGGAAATTATAAAAGGCACATAATTTTAAAATTCTACACTTTCAAAGAAATTAGTTCAAAGCTTAACTCACATAAGCATAGCCCTTCTGATCATCCACAAAACAGAATGGCAATGATTCATGTTCTATTTGGTAAGTTTACCTGTATAGGTCCTAAATACCAAGAACTCAAAATATATACCTCAAAAGTAGAGGTTCTTCTATAAAAATACTCAAAGCTTATTACTCTACTTGTGTTTTATAATAAACAGTTATATTGGTCATTCTATAGGTATACAAGTTGTTTAATAATCCTTCTCAAACATCCTAGCAACTAAGACTCTCTTTGCTATAATATTAAGACTATATAAATAATCCTTAGAAAATAAAATGACAGGCTATTCATTTTTAAAAGTAAAATTATATGCTGATTCTGGTGCTTGCGAGTTTAACTTATCTAAGAGTATTTTCAATCACTCTAAAATGTCACATCTATCACTTAGATCAGCTGTTCATTTTTAACTGAGTACATATTAAACTCTGGGCATCTGCTGACACTGGTATAACTCAAACATTTCAACTGTCTCCCTGACAGGGATAACAGATGCTGACATTATCAAATGCTGTACTATTTTTTTCCCATGGCCTCTCCTTGCCCCGATATGGCCAGTATATGAAACTGAACTGCCATCCAAAAACACACTTGAGCAACTGGATCTGCTAAACAGCTCCCATATAACTAGTAAAAATAGAAGCCAGTATTATTGCTATCTTCAGCACTTAAGTTTAGGCAGTTTAACACCTGTTTCACTTCTACTAGAAAAAATGATGAAAAAGAATTGTAGTTAATTTCACCAGCAGTATGATACTTACCAACCAACAGACGCAGAATATACTTAGTGTAAGAGTCATTTGCATACTGCCTGAATTAGCGTTGACCTCTCAGTTTAAAATAGTAACTGTAAAGAATATTTCTCTACTCTATATTTCTCTGAGAGCACTTAACTTTATAGGCAAATTATAATTTATCAAACTTTTATTTTATGCAAGAAGACACCCCTCTCAAGACATTGAAATCAACAGTAAAACCACATTATAACAAAAATTTACTCTGATTTTTCAAGTATTATCCACACAATAGATTTTAATACTTGTATCCATGGATTGTAACTAACCACCATGTATTACTAAGGCGATAATGAGAAGTAACTTGGCAATCTGTACCCAAAATGACAAAGAACTTAGTCAAGGAAATAGACCTTTAAAAGGGTTAAATTACTAAGCTATGATTAGTAACACCACGTAAGCAAAAACAAAGAAAAACTGGCATGCATGGTAGTTCCTTTCGACACAAGTCCAAGCAATACACTGAATACACATGTGATCTATTTATAAATCAAAGGGCAGAGGTACTTTCTTAAGGCCACTGATATTCCTACACCCATCAACAATTTGCTATTAGCCCTCAACTATAATGCTAAAAGAAGCAGTGGCAGTAGAAGGGGGTGACTAACTGAACTCTTCCCCAACCTTTTAGCTTAACTATTTATCTGGTTTGCTGCCTAGAGATAAATGGAAAACATTACTCTAAAATACATCAAGGTCTATTTGTTCCTTTAAATACTATTGGTTTTGAAATAGCTTATTGTCTACATGTAAGAATTAAGCAAAGACTTCGGCTGTGGACAAGATTAGAAAAAGAAAAAGAAGCAAAGATGTTGAAAACAAAGACGTACATTGATCATTCCTTAATGCAGTAATGTGTTAAAAGGAAAAGATTTTTAAACCATTAAGCGCAGGAAAACAGTAGGAAAGTGACTTCAAAATGGAAAATTTGACATTCAGTGACTGAAGCATTGGTATGATAATTTCTAACACTTGTAGAAGGTCCATGACTGTAATTTTACCAATGAAAAGCATTTAACTGTTTTGGATTCCAAACTAGCAGCACTACAATGCTTTGCTAGAGCTGGTAAAATGGAACCAAATCGCCTCTTCAATGGATTTGGTCCCCTTCAACCAGCTGTAGCTATGCATTGATTACTACGGGACAACCAACGTTTTCATTTGTGAATATCAATTACTTGCCAACTAATTTCAACTTATTTACATTATGCAGACTGTGATTATAATCAAATAACTTGTTACTGTTAATTCTACCTGGAAAAGCTAGAATGGTTAAAGATGTTTATAAAAAGCTTTATGAAAAATGTATGGATGACTTAAGGATTTCAAATAAAAATTTTACTTATTATGGTCTCTTGGTATTAAATTTCTTATCCTTCAGAAAAGAAAAGAACTGGTAATAAAATGTAGGCTATGCTTCATAATAACAACAACAACAAAAACTTCCTTCAAAGGAAGAAAATATCTGGAAAGGTCACCTAAAACCCACCTGAACACATAATGGGATTGTACAGTGTGGTTTACATGGATGTGTGCATATTTAAATTAAAGAAAACTGTAACATTATATAACACTCTAGAAATGTTTAGTCACTATCTTCCATAGTATTGGCCTTTAATTTTACCGCTATTTACCTGAATGTTAGCAGGTAAGGTGAAAAAGATGATAACTGTAGAATATCTTGTGGAGAGGCTTAAAACAGTTATCTAGTTCTTCTGACCCTGAATCAAAGGTTTTTAGTCTTCAAAAAAGAAAGAAAATGCTAAGCATCACTACTTTTACTCATGAAATATTTCACCTCTCCATATTTGTTTTCACAGCTGTAAAATGAAGAACTCTGCTAACAATAAATACTATGACTCTCCTCACTGTCTTCTTTGTCCCTTATAAAAAATATACACACAATATTCTCCTTCAGTGGGGATAAACTGAAGTAAAGAAAAAAAGTGACAATTACTCTAACATCCGTATAATTTTCTTAATGATTGCAATAAAACTATAGATAATTTAATATTATTTAATAGAGACAAACATTTCAGCAATTAATGAAGATTACTGAAGACAAGAGTAGTTTAAAGACCCAGATGTTCACACATTCTCAACTCCTGACCACTCCTCCATTTCAAAATGAACATCATTCTCTAAAAGACTGTGGGCAAAAGGAGACATATATAAATATATATCTTATCACTTCATTCAAGATCTTCTTCCTCCTATTAATTACACCTCAGTCACAGAAAGTACATTTGTGTATTACAAGGAATATGGTGTTTGAGAGTAGATGCATGAGCATACATTAGAGAAAACACACTCTAAGTATCCTATTACCGAATAGACTCAGCTATATTTTGTAGATAGCACTCAGCATGTTTACAGTTGTAAGGAAAGCATTAAACACCAAAATACAGTACAGCTTATCAAATCTTCAAATAGCCAACATAGTCTTGTTTACAGACCATATTTCAGAATTTAAAAAGTAAAAAAAGCATCACAACATTCGAGAAGGAAAACTATGAGTTGCTCACATATTCAGTAAGATTTGTAATATGTGTCTTTGTGGGAATTAGTAAGCAAATAAGAAACGCCTGTGAAATTATCTTAGTACCAACCTAAAAACAACATATATCACATCAGGTGATTCACTCATATTTTACGTTTACTTTTCACATTCAATTTCTATTCAAGAAAAATTCGTAAATACTATATAAACTTTATAATTATATTATTGTTACCTGTACTTCCAAAATACCTATCGATTGTTTTTGCCAGCTCTGCAGAGAATACTGCTGACTAATTTATTTTCATGCCTGTAAGGGAGCTCTAAAAACAGCTAAAAATGCAGCATCTTTACAGAAAGTACCTAAGTAACATGCTGATTATGCTACTCCAAAGAAATTCAGTTTTCACTTTTATCAGCAGAAATAATTTCTACTCTTACTTTAAATCCAAAATTTTACCTATATACTAAGAGATGATAAATATGGCTAAACTCTAGATGAAAACATGCCTATAAATATTAACTATCAGAACAGACAAACAGCATTGTTCTTAGTTAAGATTTCTCAAAAAAAACAAAACTGTATTAAAACATGGTGTAATTTCTACTTAAAATGCTCCAAACTTTATAAAGCACAACCAAAGTACTCAGGGTCTCATAGTGAAAATTTATATTCCCTTCCACAATTCTAAAAGACAACAATAAATGGCTTTGTAACTCTTTTCTCTTAATGTGTTTCAGTTACTATCATACTATGAGAAAACATCAAGATCAGCTTTGAAATCTAGACTCATATTGATCTGCACCTTTGAAATAGAGACTTCAAAGGACAGTCTTCAAAAATATAGGACATCTAGACACTTCATCAGGTTCTGGAAATAACAACGTGCTATATCTGGTTTTCTTTTCTTTTCTTTCTTTTTTTTTTTTTTTAGAGACAGGGTCTTGCTATGTTGCTCAGGCTGTAGTGCAGTGGCACGATCATACCTCACTGCAGTCTCAAACTCCTAGGCTCGAGCAATATTCTCGCCTCAGCCTCCCAAGTAGCTGAGACTAAAAGTCTGTGATGCCACACCCAGCTGATTCTTTTTTTTTTTTTTTTTGATACAGTCTTGATCTGTAACCCAGACTAGAGTGCAGTGGTGCAATCTCAGCTCACTACAACCTCTGCTTCCTGGGTTCAGGTGATTCTCATGTCTCAGCCTCCCGAGTAGCTGGAACTACAGGTGCGCACCACTACACCCAGCTGATTTTTGTATTTTTAGTAGAGACAGCATTTCACAATGTTGGCCAGGCTGGTCTCAAACTCCTAGCCTCAAGTGATCTGCCTGAGTTGGCCTCCCAAAGTGCTGGGATTATAGGCATGAGCCACCACGCCCAGCCTAATTTTTTAATTTTTTAGAGACAGGGTCTTGCTACATTGCCCAGGTTGATCTCAAGCTCCTGGCTTCAAGCAATCCTCCTGCCTCAGCCTCCTAAGTCGCTGGGATTACAAATGTAAATCACCACACCCTGCTGGTTTTCTATAGTATAAAGGCCAAAAAGACTGGTTGTTATTTTTAATTCCGAGTACACTAAAAATGGCACCTTCTGTCTTCTGACATCACTGGACAGTATAGGGGGGGAAAAATCAACCTTAAGAAAAAGAAATTTGATATGAAAAAAAGAATTCAAAACATCCCAATTTGCAATTACAACTGGTAATATAAGCTGTGTCATCTGATACTCTTCAGTGTCCAATTAAAATCACACTCTATCTGGCAATCTATAGTCACAACTACCTAAAAATGTCTTAAGGAAGTAGGAATAAAGAAGGCATGTAGCTTTAACTGAAGCACTACTTTGTTAAAGAATAAAAGCATTTTTTTTTAAATGTCACCTGACACCAAATATCTGGTTGGAAGAGGTGCTGTTTTAAATTTTCAGGGGAACCCTCAAGATTTATGCAAGAATTGAAAAAAATAAAAGTAAATTTTCTCTTCCTTGTATAGGCTTAGCATTATTGAATATACTATGCCTACTCTCAATAAAAATGAAACAACTCAAAATATTTAAAAGATACTTGTTTCCTAAGCACTTCAATTCTCAGTTTATACTAAACTTTATGATTTCATATTCCCTCAATAAATCCTAAATTCTCTCAATAAAATCTTTTTGACCATTGTAATCTGAAGTAATTGCTGTTTGAATTCCTAACACAGTTTCTCTACAGAATTCATTTTGTAATTGATCATATAACATCTTGTGATATTTAACAGTGTGCTCACTGTCAAAGTAAGACTAACATTTATTGAGTGCCTTGTATAGCCAGAGCATATGTAGGATGAACAGATGAATATGAATGCCCACAATGTAAAGAGAAAGACAGAAGTGCACATAGTAATAAACAGCACTAAGCAGAGTATATAGTAAGTATAATAAATAAGAACACAGAGGAAGGGCGCGGTGGCTCACGCCTGTAATCCCAGCACTTTGGGAGGCCGAGACAGGCGGATCACGAGGTCAGGAGATCGAGACCATCCTGGCTAACGTCGTGAAACCCCGTCTCTACTAAAAAATACAAAAAAAATTAGCCGGGCATGGTGGTGGGAGCCTGTAGTCCCAGCTACTCGGGAGGCTGAGGCAGGAGAATGGCGTGAACCCAGGAGGCAGAGCTTGCAGTGAGCCGAGATTGTGCCACTGCACTCCAGCCTGGGTGACAGAGCAAGACTCTGCCTCAAAAAAAAAAAAACAAAAAAAACAAAAAAAACACACACAGAACAAGGAAGTATAGAGCAAACAAAATAATTCCAGTGATGACACAGGAGGTAGCTCTGGAAGAAAGACGGTTAAGATAAAGAAGCGGGATGGGGCATCCCAAAGAAAGAAAATGCTCCAAAAAATAGAAGAAGAAAGCAGACAGCATATTTTAGGAAAGGAGAATAGACGATGGGCAAAGCGGGCTGAGGGATTGGATTAGCAGGAGATAAAGTTAAACAGACTCAGGACACACAGAATATGGGTCTGAATGCCAAGCCAAAGTGTGTAGATTGTATTCTATGTTAACAGACAAAAACTGAAGTTGGGAAACAGGGGAAGAGAGCCATTTAGACCTATGCTTTCAGAATGGATAATTTGTAAATGTATAAAATTTAAATCAAGAAAAAGACTGAAATCAAAGAAAAAAATTAGAAGAATAGTATAATAGTCTAGGTAAATGTGGTGAGTACTTAATTGGGTCAGCAACAGTGGGAACAGAATGGAATGGGTTGGAAGGATTGGTAGAATGAGTAAAATTTTAAAACTAGTTGGAAGCTAAGAATTGGTGAGAGAGCAAAGATAACTCTAAGCAATGAAGCAGCAAGAGGAATGAGGTATTGACACATTCACTGCCCATGTGTTTTGGTCTTGCTTCACAGACAGACCATAATACAGAAAAGGTGATGTAAAGTGGTTTAACAGTTATGATTCTAAAGTCACCTAGACCTTGCTCAAGTTACAGCTGCTTCAGTAATCAGCTACGTGTTCTTGAATAATTAAATTCATCTCTATAAGCCTCATATTCTTCACGTGTAAAATGAGGATATTAACACCTGCCCCAAAAAGCTGTTGAAAGGATTAAGTGAGATGATGCATGTGAAGCACTTTGCAGAGGCTGGCATGTGGAAAGTGCTATCATAATCTTCTGTTTGAAGGGCAGGGAAATATAATACTACTGTCTTCTTCACAATGCCAAAATCTGAAGTGTTCAAATATTTGCAATTTGGAAAAAAAATCAAGATGTGATCTAAAATATGATCATTCATTTTGTCCTACAATATATACCCACTGTTACAGTTACCAATAAGCAGTAGCAATAAAATCCTTTTGTTTCCTGTGGTCACCCTCTAGTGGTGATCCTAAGAAGCTAAAGGAAACATGATATAAAAATACAATAAGGAACCAAAGAATAAGTGTTCAGAATAGATAAAATTATCAAAATAAAAATCAAAGTGAAGATTTTTCTTAGTCCAGGTATACAGGTTTGACTCAAACATAAACAGAAGACATCCAATGCAGAATTTCCTAAAATGCTTAGGGTAAAGTTGTTCCAAAAAGTGAGTTAATGGAAATCTCTAAATTAAGCAAAGCTAAGCATTTTCCCATTCTGTGGGACACCGCAGATCCTTCATAAAGAATGTGATTCTCCAAAAGGAGTCTTTCTCAAATGTCAACCAGCAAATACTTTTTTCAGTAGAATACTATTGCTGTAACAATGGATGAGGGGATAGCTATACTAGAAGTTTATATAACTAATTACATTATTAATAAGGAATTAGGTAACTTAGTATTTATTTAGTCTTAAGTTTTAAAAAATAATTATCGTGCAAATGGCAACATGAAATTAGAGGACACCCAGATAATTATTTTGAAGAAACATAAATCTCAAAATAAAATGCATTTTAATTAAATCTTTAGAAAGAAACTAGTATTCCTGATATTTTACAACCACATTTAATATAAACTTAAATAATCATTTCATAATATTTGTATTAGATTAACAACCAAATAATCATCATATAAAACTAAAGGCATAATATTCACAAAACTTTAAAATGATTTAAAATACTAAAATAGCCAAAATTATTTCTTCATCAGTATCAGAAAAAGAGAATCAACAGTAGGAAAATATTTTTGAATTGCACCTAAAATAGTAAGGGGTGACATACCTGGGATTTCCCCTTAGTGCAGCATGATGCAGAGCATTAAATCCATTATTGTTTGTGATGGTAACATCTGCTCCAGCTTCCAAAAGAACTGCTAGGATATCATCACGTTTCTTACTTATTGCATCATGAAGAGGGGTATCACCTTCAGAATCCTTTAAGTTTAAAGAAATTTTCATTAGTTCTTCAATTAATTATCCCATCTAATAGTAATACTTACACCAAATGCTAAGCAAACAGAAGCAGAGACCACATCCAACAAATACCAATAAAAGAGCACTTTCTGTGATAACTACAAAAATATAGGCAAAGGCTGGGCATGCTGGCTCATGTCTGTAACCCTAGCACTTTGGGAGGCTGAGGCGGGAGGATCAGCAGAGGCCAGGAGTTCAACACCAACCTGGGCAACATATAGAGACCTTGTCCCTACAAAAAATTTTAAAAATTAGCCGGGCACGGCGGTGTGCACCTATAGTCCTAGGTACTCAGGAGGCTGAGGCAGAAGAATGGCTTGAGCCCAGGAGTTCAAGGCTCCAGTGAGCTATGATCATGCCACTGCACTCCAGCCAGGGTGACAGAGCGAGACTCTATCTCCAAAAATATAAAAAACAAAAATACAGGCAAGAAACACTGGCCACATTATAGTAAGGAAAGACATACTCAAATCTAGTTGGAAAACAAAATAAGCATGCTGGAATTTTTTTTTCTTTTTTTTGAGACCAAGTTTCGCTCTTTCACTCAGGCTGGAGTACAATAGCGCGATCTCAGCTCACTGCAACCTCCACTTTCCGGTTTCAAGCGATTCTCCTGCCTCAGCCTCCCAAGTAACTGGGATTACAGGCACCCACCACCATGCCCAGCTAATTTTTGTATTTTTAGTAGAGACGGGGTTTCACCACGTTGGCCAGGCTGGTCTCAGACTCCTGACCTCGTGATCTGCCCACCTCAGCCTCCCACAGTGCTGGGATTACAGGCGTGAGCCACCTTGCCCGGCAAAGTTCTTTTTTTGTAGAGATGGGGGTCTCAGTATGTTGCCCATGCTGGTCTTGAACTCCTGTGCTCAAGTGATCCTCCCACATGAGCCTCTCAAGGTGTTGGGATTACAGGCATAAGCCACCACTCCTGGCACATGCTGAAGCTTTACAAAGCAAAAAGAAAAGAAAAGAAGTAGCCTCAAATATAACTAATGACAAAAACCAGTGAAGTGATAAAGCTGCCCCCCAAATTTTATAAGTTTAAAATGGCCTTAATTGTCATACCCTGAAATTCCATACCAAACCTACACCATAACAATGAATTGAAAGTCGGTGGCTTTCAAACTTGGCTGCTCATTAGAACCTGCTGGGGAGATCTTTTAAAATCTGTTGTACAGAGGAAAAAAAAGAGAAAAAAAAATCTGATGTCCAGGCTGTTCACCATACTAAATCTCTAGAGGTGAGAGTGAGGCATGAGTAATTTTTCAAAGCTCCACAGATGAACATCTTGTGCAGTCACAGGTGAGAAACATTAATCTAAGCGTTTTCAAAGGGCAGCAAAGTGGCTAGTTAGCCAAAGGTAAAACAATTGTAAATTAAAATTTAGCAATCTCAGTCTACCATTTTTTCAAGCTGACTACTTTTTACATTAATCAATTGACTTAGCAGTAAGTTTTTATTCATTAGCAGTCATGTACAGACATGAATAATTTAAATTTCATTCATTTCATAGTTGAACAGATGCTATTCTCAGTAAAGTCATATACAACCTGGCCTACAGCATATACTACAGTTGCCAAATTCAGTTTGCCACTTGTTTTTTGTTTGTTTTATTCTTTTTTACTAGACATATTTCCTGCATGGTTTGTCTCCCCAGTCACTGTCCACAGGATTCTGAGAAGCTACAGGAATATGAAAGTGCAAACACCAGACCCAGCTTCATCTCCAACACTGAGGAAAGGGACTGTACATCATGGGGCAGAGCCCTATGCTCCCCTAAGCCATGTGGACAAAGCCTAGAAAAAATGATATCCCAGGATATTACACATTGGAGCCACCTGTTTTTGTAAATTAAGTTTTATTGGAACACAGCCACACCCATTCATTTATGTATTATCTATGGCTGCTTTCATTCTGCAATGAGAGTTAGATAGTTGTGGCAAAAGCCAATAAGCCACTATTATCTGTGCCCAATATAGAAAATGTTTGCTAATCCCAGGAATATATTCATCCACCTACATAAAGAATTCCTGCTAGGCATGGTGGCTCACACCGGTAATCCCAGGACTTTGGGAGGTGGGAGCAGGAAGATTGCTTGAGACCAGAAGTTTGAGACCAACCTGGGCATTTCTACAAAAAATTAGCCAGGCATGGCAGCTCACACCTGTAGTCCCAGCTACTCGGGAGGCTGAGGTGGGCCCTGAAGGTTGAGACTGCAATGAGCCATGATCACGCCACTGAATTCCAGCCTGGGCAACAGAGCAAGACCCTGCCTCAAAAAAAAAAAAAAAAAAAAAAAAAGAATTCCTAACCCAAGTTCAATCCAACCATCTACCATCTACCTTCTACTCCTGTATCTGGCGGCACTAAAAATCTGTAGTGTTCAACCTGAAACGGGCTTCTAACATGATTGGAACACCCTTCTGCAGGTCCCCAAGTCCTTATCACTCTTCTCAATTACTCTTTCTCTACCCACCACTCTCAACAGATGAACTTGTCTCCCATTTCAGACAAAAAACGTCAGCAGGTATAAATCACCTCTCCTTACAGATTAACACCCCCCCAATTCTTCCCTCATCCTCCAATCCTGCCTCCCACTTACAAGGACATACTCTAGATCCCAACAGTTCCAAAACAGCTGCACTTCAAAAACCTTAATTTCTAATAATTATCTAGCTGAACAAAATCTATTCTTTCAGTTCTTCTCAAGCCCTCATTCCCACTACTACTGTTCTTTATTTCTTCTCTGAGATCTATCCAATCCAGCAACCAATTCCTGGATGCTGTAAATTATCTAAACTACAAGCAGCTTATGATTCTAACCACTGCCCTACTTTTTAAAAAATCATTATTGAGTTTCCAATGGAAACAAATTATGTTTTACATATTCAAATAGTATTTCAGGGAACACTTTTATTTAAAAATAATATGTTGTTTCAAGCCTATTCGGTTAAGGAACCTAAAAGTTGGCAAATTAGATTCAGGAGCTACAAAATTACTAAGTATAGAAACTTTAATCAAACAGGTGCACAAAAGACAAGTTGCTTAGTAACCAAACTAAGCAGAAAATGGACACAGACTACATTTTCTATATATTTGTGGTTTAATTTATCTGGTTATAAAACTGTAGCTGGGGATAATCATTTCTTAGGCAATCATTGCTTCAAAAATTAGATCCTACTGTAAATCAACTCTAAAATCCTATACATTTTCCAAAACAGAAATCTCCGAAGATTACACTAACGACTATTCAAAGTCCCTAAGCTACAATAAAAGCTACAATTAAAATAATTTAAATAGTTATGAAGTAACTATTATGAAATATAGCCTATTACACTTCTTTAAGCTGTTGAGCTCACTGTCATGATCAATAAAGTTAAATCCATTCATAAGCTGATATTTTTACAAAGAAGTCCTCATTCTCCCTGCCCAATCAAAACCCAATCTATTGGCATTTTCCCTAAAAAAAAACAACTTTTTAAAAAAGAAATAGCTGCCAATTTTGTAACATCTTACGCCTTTGGTATCATTTACTATGACATATGAGAACGGTAACAAAGGAATGCTTACCATAGAACTTAATGTTTCCCTTTAATAGGATCCTAGCAATACCTGCAGGATGTGTTTCTTTAAAGGTTTTACCTGGAGACTGGGATGACAGCCAAAGTCCAATAAAGTCTTCACAACTTGAAGATGACCTTTATTGACAGCAATATGAAGTGGTGTCTGTCGGCGCTTGTTTCGAGCATTCAAATCAGCACTACCTCGATGTAGTACTTCTATAACAGCGCCTTCATCTCCAAAAGCTGCATGGTGAACTGCTCTATCACCATCTTTATCCTAATCATTAGTATTGAAATGTGAATTAGTGAATATTTTAGAAAGAAAAAAACCTTGAAGCTATAATAATATACCAAGAAGCAGATTAATTTGAGAAAAGGCAATGTAGGAAACAACAAAATAACTAGAACTTGACCAGGTGCAGTGGCTCATGCCTGTAATCCCAGCACTTTGGGAGGACAAGGCAGAAGGATCACTTGAGGCCAAGTAAACTGTAAATGTGAGTAAGATTTCCAACAATACCAATCTGGGCAACATAGCAAGATCCTGTCTTGTAGAGAGAGCCAGGCATGGTGGCACCCACCTGTAGTCCCAGCTACTTGGGAGGCTGACACAGGAGGATTGCTTGAGCCAAGGAGTTTCAAGTTACAGTGAGCTATGATCGCACCACTGCACTCTGACCGGGGCAACAGAGTGAGACCCTGTCTCTATAAAAAAATTTTTTAAAACCTAGAAACTGACTTGAACAGTGACTAACTCCCAAAGATAAATGATAAACTTAGATCATTTTATATATATGTATTTATTTATTTATATATATACATTTATATATAATTTTATATATATATATATATATATATATATATATATATATATATATATAAAACCAACAGCTTGAACTTTCAGCATTCCTCATTTATCAGCCATGATGGTAAGCCAATTTTTTTTGACATTTAAAAATTTTTACAAAGACCATTTTTGTTGTTGTTGTTGTTGTTGTTTTTAAAGAATCAGGGTCCTAGGCCAGGCGCAGTGGCTCACACCTGTAATCCCAGCACTTTGGGAGGCCAAGGCGGGCGGATCACCTGAAGTTAGGAGTTCAAGACCAGCCTGGCCAACACGGAGAAAACCCGTCTCTACTAAAATTACAAACATTAGCCAGACATGGTGGCACATGCCTGTAATCCCAGCTACCCGGGAGGCTGAGGGAGGAGAACTGCTTGAATCCGGGAGGCAGAGGTTGCAGTGAGCTGAGATCGGGCCACTGCACTCCAAGCCTGAGCGACAGAGCAAGACTGCCTCTCAATAAAAAAAGAATCAGGGTCCTGTTCTGTCACCCAGGCTGGAATGCAGTGGCAGTCATAGCTCACTGCAGCCTTTAACTCCTGGCCTTAATAAATTCTCCAACTTCAGCCTCACAAAATGCTGGGATCATAGGTGTGAGCCACCGTGCACGTCCTACAAAGATGACACAAAAAGTAAACTAAGATGAGTTGTGTGATTGAAAAAAAAAAAAAGAATGCCAAACAATGTGATCTCAACTGGCTTTAATGGGGAGCAATTTATCAACACATTAAAACTGGTTAAGTGATGAGCATACATTTTTCTGTATATTCGAGAACAGAAAAAAAATTAAATACACCATTAAAAGATAAAAACGAAGCATAAACTACCAAAATTCCATATATCAAAAATTCCAAAACTATTTCAGAAGAATCAAATAGATTTGCCTCACCTCCTGTAACAGGCATATTTCTGAAGAAATGAGAAGGCAGGAAAGACCAAATTGCTTAAATTTTTTAAAACTAAAAGAAGGTACTTTATAAAGGGGAAAAACTGCCTGCACTGCGCCATGAAGGTAGTATACATAGCTTATACCAAAAAGTATGAAAAGAAGTCTCACTGCCTTGCCAGAAGCAGATGGAAAAGGGTAGTAGGTATAAGCGTATTGCATTTATTCCAATACTGCATTGCAAATTTTAACACCCACCAAGACCATGTGTCTGTCCCTGATCCTGGTACTCTAAGACTTCCTCCATCCAAAGCAGTGGTTTCCGATTCCCAATACCACTGTGCCAGCCCCTGGTGGACTCCCTAGTTTTGCAAGGGGTCTGACAATCCATATGGCACCCAGGATTATCTGAACTACTTTCAAAGAAAGCACAGATAAACACTGTTATGATTAAATGCACTTAAATAGTTCATTCAAAACAGTTACAGAACTCAAAGTAGTTTTTGGTCTTTGCGTATTTTCTCAAACAGGTATTAAAGGTAAAAGCACTCATGTAGGAATCCACAACAGTAGGGACCTACAACTCAGGGATATTTCTACCTTACTGATATTTCCAGCTGAATCAGTTTTTGTTACGTATCAATTTTGAGAAAGGAACTGGCAAACAACCACATCTAAGATTTAAGATTCAACTCTTGTGCCTTTTCCCTGGGGGTCTTGTGGTTAGGATTTGGCACCTCTCTCAACTCTTGTGCCTCTGAGTAGCATTATATTCAAACATCCCAGAAAAACAAGTGTTTTAAAAAACAAAACAAAAATAAGATATATATGCATGTATACATAAGTTAATCTCTCTAAGTTAATCTCTCTAGTAACAGATATAATTCAGAATCTTAGAGTTAAAATCTTCCTAACTTCCAGTCTTTTTTTTTTTTTCTGTTACAGTTTTTAACCCTATTTTGTGATTCACCTTCCATTAAAAAAGGGAACATCAGGCCACTAACACTGTATGGTTGTTAGAAAATCACTACTGAAACACTTAATGCAGGCTGTCAATAATTTACATAAAAATAAACACCAAAGAATTAAAAACTGATATGTTTGTCAAAAGGAAATAAATAAGAATAATTTTTAAATTATGGAAAATACACACGCACACTAGAAAATTACAATTAAATATAATTAAATTTACTTCCAGGTTTCTCTTCTAAATTAGAAAACTGCAGTTATAATAAAATCTTAACTTGTAAGTTTTGTTGCTTTCTTCTGAATCCATCTTAAATACTCCAAATAAACCTAAAACACAGCTCATGTGCCTGTCCTGTTCCTAGTGCCAAAAGAGAATTTCAAGGAACAAGGTTACAGCTAACCTCTATAAGATTATCTCAAAGAATTTCATAAAGAGGCCTCAAATTAAATCTAAAACGGATCGTGTTTCTTTCTATCCCCCTGCCCTATTCTCTCTCCATTTTCCAAAACCTGCTCTTATTTAGTATTGCCTATCTTAGCTGATAGAACTACAGACCATATGGTCAACAAAATCAGTATCTGTAAGTCACAGTCAACTGCTTCCTCTCTGTGACCCTCTATGTGCAATCACCAAACTCTACAGCTTTTACTCCTCAATTTATGCTCATATCTATTCTCTTTTCCAACTCTACCACAGACTAATTCAGGCCTTCATTCTTACTCACCTGGATGATTACCACAACTCAACCTCCCTTCACTTTCTTATCCCAATCTATTCTTCACACCAAAGTCATAATTCTTTCTGTAAAACACAAATTTTATGTTTAAACCTCTTCAATGTCTCTCTACTATGTACAAAACAAATCTCTTTAGAGACCTACGTCTGTGAACCATTCCAGCCTCGCCTGCTGCCACAGTCCCCTCAGATATCAGGCTCCAACTTATCAACTTATGGGATCCTATACATTTTCATATGCTACTCCCTAGACCTGGAGTGCTCTTTGTCGTCACCCTCTTGGACTGGAGACTAGATATCTCATAAAACTCAGCTCAGGCATCACTTCTCCTGTGAAATTTCCCCTGACTCTCACAAATTTATTATACCATTTCTCACACTATAGTATAATTATTTGTTTGAAGTCTTTTTTACTTGGCTGTGGGCTTCTTGGGGGCTATGACTGTGTCTTAGTCATCCTTATTTCCAGGAGCTAGCACAGTGATTATTAACTAGTAAGAATAAAAATGGGTGTTGAATATAATCCTTAAATAACCATCATGATTTTTTAATATTTTTATTGCAGCAAAATATACATAAAGTTTACCATCTTCACCATTTTTAAATGTACAATTCAGTGATATTAAGTACATTCATATCACTGTGCAACCATCACCACCATCCATCTCTAGAACTTTTTTCATCTTGCAAAAGTGAAACTCTATACCCATTAAAAACTGAGAAAACTGAAACTCTACACCCTATTCCTCCTACCCCCCCATCTCTGGAAACCACCATACATTCCACTTTTTGTTCCCATGATTTTGACTACTATCTATACTTCTTAGTGGAACCATACAGTATTTGTCTTTTTGTAACTGGCTCACTTCACTTAGAATAATGGCCTCAAGGATCTTATGTGTCAGAATTTCCTTTCTTTTTAAGTTTAATGATCTACCATTATAAGCACATACCACATTTTGCTCATCCATTCTTCTGTCAATGGATACCTGGGCTGCTTTCATGCTTTAGCTATTACGAATGCTGCTGCTAAAAACACAGGTGAACAAATACCTCCTCAAGACTTCCTTTCCAATCTTTGGGATATATATTCAAAAGCAGAACTGTTGGATCATATTGTAATTCAATTTTAAATCTTTTGTGCAACTGTCATATTCTTTTCAGCAGTGGCTATACCATTTTATATTCCTATGAACAGTGCAAAGAGTTCTAATTACTCCACATCCTCACTGACAGGTTTTTTCTGGTTGTTTTGATAACAGCCACCCTAATGGCTGTAAGGCAGTATCTCACTGTCATTTTGGTTTGCATTCCCCTAATAATTAGTGACGTTAAACATCTTTTCATGTGCTTATTGATCATTCATACATATTCTTTGCAGAAATGTTTATTCAAGTCAAAAGGAGTTTTTTAGGTTTTCTTGATGTAGAGTTTTAAGAGTCTATATATATTTTGGATTTTAATATCTTATCAGATACATGATTTGAAAATATTTTCTCCCATTTCATAGGCTGCTTTTTCTCTCTGTTGACAAATGTCCTTTGATACACGTTGTTTTTAATTTTCATGAAGTCTAATTTGTCTGTTTTTCTTTTGTTGACTGTACTTTTGGTGTCATATCCAAGGAATCACTGCCAGATACAATGCTGTGAGGTTTTTGCCCTCTTTTTCTTCAAAAAGGTTTATAGTTTTATATCGCACTTTTAGATCTTTCAGGTATTTTGAATTTATTTTTGTATATAGTGTTAGGTAAGGTTCCTACTTTATTCTTTTACATATGAATATCTAGTTGCCCAAGCACCATTTGTTTAAAAGATTGCTCTTTTCCCATTAAATTGTCTTGGACCCCAAAAAGCAATTGACCTTAATGCAAAGGCTTATTTCTGAATTCTCAATTCTCTTCTTTCAGTCTTTATGTCCACCCTTATGTTAGTAATACACTGTCTTGATTACTGTTGCCTTGTGGTAAGTCTTGAAAGTAGGAAGAGTGAGTCCTCCAACTTCTGTTCTTTCTCAAGATTGCTTTGGCTGTTTGGGGCTCTCTTGAGATTCCTTATGAATTTCTGGATAGATTTTTCTATTTCTGCAAGAAACATCTTTAGGATTTTGACAGAATTTCATTGAATATGTAGATCTCTCTGGGTAGTACTGACATCTTAACAATATAAATTTTCTAATCCATGAACATGGGAAGTAGTTCCAGTTATCTGTCTTCTTTAATTTCTTTCAGCAATATTTTGTAGTTTTCAATGTATAAGTCTTATCTCCTTCGTTAAGTTCATGCCTAAGTATTTTATTCTTATGCTATTGTAAATGGAGTTGTTTTCTCAATTTCCTGAAAGATTCATTGTTAACAGATTGTTCAATTAACAGACTGTTCATTGTTAATGTATAGACATACAACTGATTTCTGTGTTTTAACTTCGTATTCTGCTAAACTGCTAAATTTGTTCTAAAAGTTTTTTTGTTGAAATCTTTAGGTTTCACTAAGATCACTGCAAACAGAGATAATTTTTATTTCCTTTCCAATTCGGATGTCTTTTCTTTTTCTTGCCTAATTGCTCTGGTCAGCACTTCTAGTACTGTTAAATAGAACTGGTAAAAGCAGGTATCCTTGCCCTGTTCTTATAAGAAAAGTTTTCAGTCTTTCACCATTGAATATCATGTTCACTGTGGGTTTTTCATATATGGCTTTTATTACATTGAGGTAATTCCCTACTATTCCAAGTTTATTCAATGTTTTTATCATGAAAGGGTGTTAAATTATGTCAAATGCTTTTTCTGGTCAATTGGAAAGATTATGCAGTTTTTCCCCATCATTTTGTTAATGTGGCATATTACACTAATTGATTTTCCTATGTTAAACCATTTTTAACATTCCAGGAATAAATCCCATTTGATCATGGTGTATAATCCCTTTATCATGCTGCTGAATGTAGCTCACTAATATTTGGTTAAGGATTTTTGCATCAATGTTGATATGGTATATTGGTCTGTAGTTTTCTTGTAGTGCCTTTTTCTGGCTTTGTACTGGTTTTGCTGGCTTTTTAGAATGAGTTAGGAAGTCTTCCCTCCTCTCTAATTTGTTGGAAAAGTTTGAGAAAGAATATTAGTTCTTTTTTAAATGTTTGGCAGAAATCCCCCCTGAAACCATAAGGTCCAAGGCTTTTCCTTGTTAGGAAAATTTCAACTATCGATTCAATCTCCTTACCAGTTATAGGTTTATTCAGGTTTCCTATTTCTTCATGATTCTGTCTTGACAGGTTTTGTGTTCTAGAAATTCATCCATTTCATCTAGGTTATCCAATTTGTTGGCATATTGTTCATAGTACTCTCTTATAATCCTTTTTATTTCTGTAGAATTAGTAGTAATGTACCCACTTTCATTTCTGATTTTGGTAATTTGAGTCTTCTTTTTTCTTAGTCCATCTAGCCAAAAAATTTGGGTTATCTGACAAAGTCTAGTATTGTTCCCTACTACTAATCTTCTCCATTTGAAGCAGTTTTTTTTTAATTAAATGATGAAACTACCCCAAACTACCCCAAATGTCCTTATAACTTAAGCAGATGTACTATGTTTGGAAACTCATAATAAAGACATATTTTTAAAAACTCATCTCCCATCCAAATCTCCATACCTTTACTATTATACTTCATCAGTGGGGGAAAAAAATAGAGTCCACGGCAGATCCAAAATTAGCTCACCTATATCAACATACCTAAGATATCATAGTCCTTGATGCCTTTACCTATACGTTAAAGAAGAAACAGAATGTAATCCTACTGAATTCAGTAGGTCAATATATGGAGACAATCAACTTTCCAAAAGAGCTCTTTGAGGTTTCCCTAAGAAAAAGAAATAGGAAACAAAATATAATCTTATCACATGTTCCAAAGGTATGCTATGTACCAAATAATTGTTTGATAACAGCTTAAATCAACCAAAAACTCTGCAATAGTCATCTATGCTACGGGCCAGCAACTTTTCTGTGAAGGGCCAGAAAGTAAATATTTTACTTTTTACAGGCCATATAGTCTCTTATCGAAACTACACAGCTACTTTACTGTCACACTAAAGGAGCCACAGACAGTAAATAAATGAATGGCTGTGCTGTGTTTCAACAATACTTTACAATACAGATGGAGGGCTGGATTTGGCCTGCGAGCTGTAGTTTGCAGACCCTGATCTATACTCTCTTGAGCCTACTTCCTAATGCATATAAAAAAGAAAGGTTACCAAATGAGATAACTAGAGAACAAAATATATTATTTCCTTTATTCTTCTGCTAACTCCAAAGCTTTTAATAAAATCAGATTTTTAAAAAATCAATTATTACCATTTTTAGGTGTAATAAAGTTTTTTAACATTTTCAGGTGTGATAAAGGTGAGAAACTTTTTAAAAGAGCCCTTACGTTTTGGAATACATATTAAATATTTACTAATGAAATAATATGGTATCTACCTAAATCTGCTTCAGAATAATTCAGTAGGGGGAATGGGAGGAAAGGTGTATAGATAAAACTGGCTATGAGTATTAATTGAAGTGGGGCAATGGGTACATAAGATTCATTATACTATTATCTCTACTTTTGTATATGTTTAATATTTCCAATGATAAAAAAGTTGATAAAAAAACAAATCACTTTATAAACAGGCTGGCAAATTATGAATGACAAATCTAAGTGCATCTGCAAAATTAACTATTTTCTCCACTTTAGCACTACTGACATTTAAAGCCAGATCACTGTTGTGAGAGCTGTCCTGAGCTCTGTAGGACATTCAGTAGCATCCTTAGCTTCTATCCTCTAGATGTCAGCTGTACCTCCTCCACCCACCCACTTGTAACAATTAAAAATGCCTCCGGACATTTCCAAATGTCCCTTGTGGAGCCTAAATGCCCCCAGCTGAGAACCAATGTATTAAACAAACTATATAGTTGTTTAATAGGCAATGTTAATTCTTATATCCTAGAAAAATTAAACTTTGATGAACTTTTGCTTTAGTCTTGGGCTGTAGTCTTGTTTGAGGTAGGGTCTCACTCCTGCCACCCAGGCTGGAGTGCAGTGGTGCAATTTCAGCTCACCACAGCCTGGGCTTCCTGGGCTCAGGTGATTCTCCCACCTCAGCCTTCCAAGTAGAAGAGACTATAGCTGTGTGCCAGCACACCTGGCTAATGTTTTATATTTTTAATAGAGACATGGTTTTGCCACGTTGCCCAGGCTGGTCTTGAACTCCTGGGATCAAGCAATTCATCCACCTCAGCCTCCCAAAGTGCTTGGATTACAGATGTGAATCAGTGCATTTGGCCGATATTTATATTTTAACTCAATTTTTCAATATAGTTTTTCCTTTACCAATTGGGAAACTGTGTTCTTAATATCCCTTTTCACACTTCTACAAACCGCACCTGCTTATAATGAATTTTAAAATAAAAAAATGCACAAAATGGAAATCCAAATGAGGAATATGGTAAAAGTCCCATGTATCTCACCGTTCTAGTTAGCAGTCAGTTTGCAAACTTAAAAATACATTATTTGGCTGGGCACGGTGGCTCACGCCTGTAATCCCAGTGTTTTGGGAGGCCAAGGCAGGTGGATCACGAGGTGAGGAGATGGAGACCATCCTGGCTAACACGGTGAAACCATTTCTACTAAAAATACAAAAAATTAGACAGGTGTGGCGGCGTGCGCCTGTAGTCCCAGCTACTCGGGAGGCTGAGGCGGGAGAATGGCGTGAACCCGGGAGGCAGAGCTTGCAGTGAGCCAAGATCGCGCTACTACTACACTCCAGCCTGGGCGACAGAGCAAGACTCCGTCTCAAAAAAAAAAAAACAAAAAACAAAAAACTATTTATAAATATCTAGACTACCAAGACTCACTTCAACTCCCATCATACCATGTTTATAGTATTAACTAACTGTTTGTTTTGTATTTGAGTACAATTAAGAAAAAAAGAGGCTGGGCGCAATGGCTCACACTTGTAATTCCAACACTTTGGGAAGCCAAGGCAGGAGGATCACTTGAGTCCAGGAGTTTGAGACCAAACTGGGCAACATAGTGAGACCATCTCTTTATAAAAATTTTTAAAAATTAGCCAAGCATGATGGCACACACCTGTAGTCCTAGCTACCTGGGAGGCTGAAGTGGGAGAATTGTTTGAGCCTGGGAATTCAAGGCTGCAGTGAGCCATAATCATGCCACTGCACTCCAGTCAGGGCAGAGCAAGACCCTGTATCAAAAAAAAAAAAAAAATCTGGCCAGGCATGGGGCTCATGCCAGTAATCCCAGCATTTCAGGAGGCTGAGGTAAGCGAAATCACTCGAGGTCAGGAGTTAGAGATCAGCCTGGCCAACATGGCGAAACCCCAACTCTACTAAAAATACAAAAATTAGCCCAGCGTAATGGTGCACATCTGTAATCTCAGCTACTCGGGAGGCTGAGGCACAACAATCACTTGAACCGGGAGGCGGAGGTTGCAGTGAGCCAAGAACACTCAACTGCATTCCAGCCTGGGCAACAGGGGGAGACTCTGTCTCAAAAAAAAAAAAAAAAAAAAAGGAAAGAAAGAAAATTACTCTTGAAAAACAGTGCCAATTTCATTCCTAATTCCACAGCCGCAAACCCATTCTGCAAAACCTCTCATGTGAACAAAAATCTCTAGAAACGCAAATATATGAATAATCCCATGCTGCCAGGTTGGTGATTAAATTCTGAATCTGAAAGCAACTTTAAAAAGAAACTTAGGCAAAAAGAAATGTGGTTTTTCAGCTTCTTGCCTTATTAGCTGTAATCAGAAGGACTTTGGTTTTTCAGTAGTTGTTGCTATTGGAGTTTCTGGATTCACTAAATTAAAAATCAGATATTCAACTCAAGAAATTTCATACCATTCCACCAAATAAAACTAAAATAATAAGAAAATAAAGTAATTATATTCTATATACAAAACACTAAAATTAACTTTAATTACCAAAACAAAACTTGTAACACACACTAGGTTCCTAAACTTACAATCAAGAAAGATGCAACTTAAAAATTACTAGTGCAAAAGTAACATCAAATTATATAATCTCATTCATAAAGACATCATAGTAATAAAACTATTGTATAGTTCATAGATATCTAATATGCTAATTTAAAATTCAAGTTCTTAGGCGCGGTGGCTCACACCTGTAATCTCAGCACTTTGGGAGGCTGAGGCAGGCACATCACTTGAGGTCAGGAGCTCGAGACCACCCCGGCCAACATGGCAAAACCCTGTGTCTACTAAAAATACAAAAATTACCCAGGTGTGGTAGCAGGCGCCTATAATCGCAGCTACTGGGGAGGCTGAGGCATGAGAATCACTTGATCCCAGGAGGCAGAGGTTGCAGTGAGCTGAGAACACGCCATTGCACTTCAGCCTGGGCAACAGAGTGAGACTCTGCCTCAAAAATTAATTAATTAATTAATTAATTTCAAGTTATTTCTAGGCAGCAGAAAATTCCAACATTATAGATGACCTGTTTACCCTTAAAAACCACAGGCTCTTTAGTAGCTGTCCAACAATTCAAAATACATACAATTAGAGAAAAAAGAAAAAGTAACATAAGACTAGAAAAGGCTTCTCTTTTCCAATATGCATCTTTTTAAATTTTTTAATTAGTAAAATCAGGTTGATCCACCAATTTAGCCCTCAGCAATTCAAGTCCTCATTAAGCACTCACAGATGAGAGTGTTTTTTAGACAAAATTGCAACATTCTGCCTAATTTAAATTTGCTAGAATTTGATTTATTCTAAATAATCTTGCACTATACTAAAATAAGTGTGATTCAAATACATTTTTAGTAATGAGTAGTTAAGTAAGACAAAGCAAGACATCCTTCACAATAGAGATACAGAGAGATCCCCAGTCAAGACTCCAATGATATTAAGAAGTGTTTCTCTTTTATAAGAATATATTCTAAATTAAATGAAGCATATATACACACATATGGTGATAAACATGCATTATGAACTCTTCAAATATTCACATTAAGGTCAAGAAACAATAAAACTTAAAAAATGCTAATTCAGTTATGACAAAACAACAACAAAAAAAGTTTCCAACTGTCACAGAGATCAGGAAAGATTCTGACCCAGTGGATTTATATTCCTCGTCCTTCAATTTCCCTAGTATGATTCTTGATTCTTGGACAAGCCCACCTTTAGCTCCTAAAACATGATGGTTACACCACAGTAATATGAAACTCAACTCCTATCTTTACCTAGGACTATGGCTAAAATATAAAGGATCACAGAAAGACAAGAACTGTTTCAAGTTGCCTCTGTCAGATTTTTATTTTCAATCAGAAAAGCCTTAGTTGGATACTAAATTTCAAAAATAAAAACAATCCATCTCATGATATAGAAGTATTATTTCTAGGAAATAAATGTTTACTTAAAATATTTTTCAAGTTTACTTACCTCTGCTTCGACATCCACGTTTTGCTTCAAAAGTAACTTCAAAATGTCAACATGTCCATTCTGACTAGCAGCTTGCATAGCTGTGTGGCCAGCACATTGCCCATTTACCTACATTTTTTAAAAAAAAGAATGAAAGAATGAATGAATAATCAGAAACAGGCAATATATACATACGGTGTAGGTTTAAGTCTAGTATACTGTATGATTCCACGAGAATAATTTAGGTTGGTGTTCCATATATCATAGTTCAGATAACTACAGACTTCTTAATTTTGAGAAGGGAAGCAAGCATTGTTTTAAAAAACAAAAGTTTCATTGTCCAAAGAGTTACGAAATAACTGTTAGGCAATCTGCAAAGTTGAAAGAAGGGAGAAAGAAAGGAAGTAAGTTAAGTTGGTTTTGTATATATATTTCTTTTTAGATTAATCTCTGAGTCCATGGTTCAATGAAAAAAAGCACTGAAGTGAAAAGAAAACTTTTAGAAAAGATATTAGCTGCTAGGGATAAATAAATTCAATTCAACAAAAATACCAAACATCAACTTGCAGGCAAACTGCAAGGACAATAAATAAGGATATATAAATAAGTTAGCAAGGTAGTTATATACAACTATTATAAAGCAGTAATTTCCAACCTTTCCTTCACTTCAGATGTTGTGGACATGTATAACTAACCCATGGACATACCCAAGGCCAAGTGCAATTCTTTAATTCTACCCCTTTTACATCCCATCCACAAAATCATTAAAGATAGTTAAAGATGGTAGCTTGGCCACATGTTTATATACTATCTTTCCTGAAACCACACTAAAATGACAATAAAATAATTTAAAAGGTAAAAATCCATAAAGATAAAGGGAGAACATTAGAAAACAAGAAAAAGTAACACATTTGTGAAAGAGAGAAAACAAATGGAAAAGCATTATCTGACTTTAGAGAGAACAGGAAGCCACAGTGTAAAGAGCACAGGGAATCCCAGACAAACTCAAAGCCTACAAACACAAGCACATCATAGGTAACAAGGGGAGCCTCAGGTATAAGTCTGATGTGCAATGGCCACACTCCAAGCCCACTACTCAAACTCAAGGACAGAACACTAGCTGCCTGCATCTCATCCCTAGACAGGAAAACTTGAACAACTGTAGAGAATAGATTGCTATAGGATGGTATTTAGAGATCCCCCAAAACTCTACATACCCAATCACCATAATGCAAAGTCAACAAGTCCAAGTGAGGAGAGCTATCAATCAGCTTGTTAAGGTCCTATTGAGATATGAATGGACAACCAAGGATTGGAGATTTGTCCCCTCTTATAGAAGAACAAACAACCAAGGATTACCAGACATCTAAGGAATGGCTCTGACGTGAAAAAAGTAACTTAGAAGAGACAAAAACTTAAGCAGGCACAAGAAAATGTTTTCTTATAAAGACCTATCATTAGTATGTTCAGTAAGGAAAGACATGACATTGTATCCTCTTTAAATACCAACATGATACTATCAAAAGGAATGTGAAAAGAGCAACCAAGAAAAGCTTGAAATTTAAAACTGATGGAATAATAAAAACCTTGGAAAAAGGGTGGGAAAATTAAGTTAAGGAACCTCTCAGAAAAGGAGTGGAGGAAAGAAAAAAAACAGGAAAAAAAAAGAAAATTCGATGAATAGTCCAAGAATAACCAATAAAATAACTAAAGAAAATTTGCAGATATGAATGACATGATTTCTAGTTTTAAAAAGTCAAACACCTAAAGCAATAGATGAAAAAAGATCCACATCAAGGTGCATCATTGTGCAAGTTCTTAATGCTAACCAAGACAAAATATCATCATGCTTGAGAGAAAAAACAGCGTACATGTAAGATCAGGAATCAGAATGGCTTATATCTTCTCAATAGTAATTCTGAAATTATTCTACAGGAAAATGACTTCTAACCTAGAACTCTATTCCAATCTAAAACTTAATTGTGAAGTTAAAAAAAATTCAGATATTAAAGGTCTATTTCCCATGCATCCTTTCTCAGAAGCTAATAAAAACCTTACTTCACCAAAAAGAGAGAAAATGTAGAAACAAAAAGACAGGGGATACAGAAAACAAGAAATCCAACACAGGAGAGAAGAGAAGGGAACCCTCAAGCTGATGGGTGAGAAGACACTCCAAGTGGGCATCCAGTGCAGAGGACCCTGTTCAGACGGAGATTATCAGAAGGCCTAAGAGAAATGTCTCCCAGAAGATGAAAATGAACACATTTCATCTGTTGTACCTAAATGTCTCGAGCAATTGAGGTATGTTACAGTTAAAGGGGAATTTAGGAAGAAATTAAGTATAAGAATACAGATTACTAACAAATGAAAAAATATAAAAATTACATGTAAGGTAAAGAGGGACTGGGAAAGACCACAAGTAACTTTTAGGAATGAAGGAAATATTCTACATCTTAATAGAGGTGTGGACTACGTGGGTGGTATGCATTTGTCAAAACTGGCTGATCCACATATTTCACTGTATGGAAATTATACTTCAGCTTTTTAAAAATGACAACTGTGAACTCCAATTAAAACAAAAAGTTAGGCAGGAAAACATAATCTAATATACTCCACAGCATGGCTATGAATGTCATTTATATAACATACACAACTAATTTTAATCCAAACAAAATTACAATATAACTACATGATGAAGCTAGAAACAGTATGTGTGTGTCTTGTGGGCATGGGATGGAAGTGGTGAAATAAAGCTAAATCCTCACCTTCCACTGTGAGGTATCAAAAGATCCAGGAAAGGAAAAGGTAAAGGAAAGGAAGAAAGAAAATTAAGACATTATAACAGAGGTATACTGGTATGTTACTGGAAAATGTAGAGGTAAATATGAAGGCTATCAGCCAGCTAAGAATAGCTGCCTCTGTAGAACAGGAAAATAGGGGTGAGAAAGAGGAGATGTTATTTTTCATAACAAATCTTATAGAACTGTATTTTCCTTTAAATTTTTAGTACTATAATGTTCTTAAAAAATAATTTTAAAATAATTTAGTAAGTAAATGAAGAAAAAACTTAAGTACAGTAAAACCTAAATCTGCTTGACTGGAATACAAAGGAAATCCGACTATCTTTCAAACACAAAAAATACTTGGTACTTCAACATTTGAAGCAAATTATTTTTACATAGCTCATAACCAATCAACAAATTGCTGTGCTGTATTGCTACAATTGATTTCTCTATAATAAAGCTAACATGTCGAGCTTATAGGAGAAATAAGACATTAATACTTTACAATTATAGATCTCATCTTCAAACTGTCTAGCATACTTAAAAACAAACAAACATCCAAAGAAAGGTATGGCAACAAAAACCCTTACAACACAGTGAGAATGATTCAAATTGTCACTCCAACTACAACTTCTTGGCTGACACCGAACGTAATACTGGTGCCAGCAAGGTATCAATGCCAAAGCCAAAGCACAATGACTAGAATCAAAACTGCCCACTTAAAAGATAGCTTGAATGAATGGCAAAAACACAACATAACCTAGGAAGAGTTATAAAATATATGGCCTTTAATTCATCTGCCTTATAAATTGTGAAATAGTCAACTATCACTGGGGTGGAGAGGAGTTACATTAAATATTTTGAAAAGAAGGATTGAAAATTGCTTATATACACATCTGCTATGTACTCACAAAAATTAAAAATAAAAAGAAAATTGCTTATAAAATTCACTAAAATATACTTAGAAGATGTCATAAAATGATGTTTACATGAGGAAAAAAAAAATCGCTGAATTTCCCAAAAGGATACTAGTCTTTAAAAACCAAAATGTAAGTGTGTAAATCATAAAAAAGGTCATAATGTTAAATACAAAAATGTCTGGTTTTTTTAGAAATGCACACTGAAGAATGTCTGATGTCTGCTTTAAAATACTTCACAAAAACAAGAAAGAAGAAATAAATGAAGCACATCTGGCAAAATCTTAGTAATTGTTGAGGATAAGGTTCATTATACTATTCTACTTTTTGTATGCTTCAAAATAATTTTTAAAATGCTCACATCCACATCTGGTCTTTTAAGCAAATCTTCCACTTTAGCAACATCTCCATTGGCAGCAGCCTTAACTAATTCTTCATTGAGGTCACCAGATTCTTGGGTTTCAAATAATTTCTTCAGGAGTTGTGAGAGTCTTTCTGTAAAGCATCAAATAAAGCTGCTAATATAGGAGGATCTCAAACCTTAACTACTAAGAAACAAGTATTACCCAATATTTCTATAATCTTTTCCTATTTTATTCTTTCCATCATTAATGTTATTTTTCTACCCATGCAAGTTATAATCACTACTATAAAAAGCTGTATTAAATGCAAGCCCTTAAGTATTCCAAGTTTTCTCCAATTCATGTATATCAAATTATAATTTTAGAAAAAGTAGTGCATTATATACTAATAATAATTCAAGATTTAAAAGTCATCATAAGAAGTTTATGAATAAACACACTACCATGGGAGTACCACAATGATACAAACTTCCTTTCAGGTTTTAAGGACACTACAGTGACTCTCAGAGCTCAATACTACAGACTTTAAAATAATTCAACAGATTAATGGTTATGATCAAAAGCAACAATCTCTGTAATATCTGGGGACATAGTTTAGGGTCAAACCAATTTTCTTTAGGTTGAAACTGGACATCTAAGTGCTAATAACTTTCAGTAAGTGCCAAATGATTGGTTTTGACAAAAACAACAATGAACCAGGGATGAATATACCTAAACCCTTTCATAAGATATTTTTTTCTAAATAGTATCAATCAATACAGAAGCTACAAAGCTCTAACTCCTTAATTCTTGGGGTACTTATTATAAAGCAGAGAAATCACAAAATAGGGCAAGGGACAAATGACAAAGTGGGCCAAGTCCACATAATTTGAGAGTAGGCTATTAACTGTCCTTCACTCTTTTACTTTGTATGTAGTCAACCTACTATGGTGTCATTTAACCTCAAGGTAAAAATAAACACTGGATTTAAATGTTAAGCATACTAGCAAATTACAGCAGGAAAGAATAAACAAAAAGGCAGAGGAAGCAGAAAGCAGGACAAAAATAAAATTGGAAGTCACTTTATGTTTTCCTTTTGTTTCTTACTATTTATAGTTATAGTTCTATCTCCTTTTCTGGATGACAACATGTACACACAGTAACTTGTATTATGTTGTAAAATGAACTGAGTCTGTGTATACAAAGCTGGAGCACAGGAAAGAAAGACTATGTGAAAGAGTCAACTCAAGCATCCAGGATGTTCACATTTTAGCATAGTTTCTAGTCACGGTAGCATGTATAACAACTCATTAAATGGTAAGAGAAAAAATAACTGATATGTAAAAATATACAGGAAGGAAAGCCATCTGCTAGCAATAATGTTGGAAATACAGAAAAAATAAAGAAGTCTAAGAAAGTGATGGTTCTTTGGCAGAAAACAAAAGTTCTGACTAAAGAGTAGAATTCTGAATTTTAGGAATCTCAAATTTGATGTGGAAAATCCCCTGATATGCCCAAGAAAAAGCACACATTTTATGGAACTTCTCCAGGGAGTACTTCAGCCAGAATAAAGGTTGTTCAACACATTATAAAAAACAAAAATTTTTAGTGAAAGTTTAAAAGGTGGTCAACATTCAAGTAAGGCTGTGTAATCTGGGACAAAGCCAAGCACATGTACAACATTATCTGTATATGAGAACTGGGGAATTAGCAAAGGTTTTAATGTAAACCACATTACTCTTAAAGAAACACAATATAAAACATACCACCAGATGCATTGCTAATGGCTGATCCTGCAGATGCCACCTTGGAAACTGCTGCTGGATTGTATGTCCAAGATGTTCCACAAACTTCCACCTTTAAATCACTGTCTGAATAAATCTGTTGTACTCGGCCAACTTTACCTAAAGTCTTGGGGAAAAAAATAGATTCATGTTTCCAAGTCTAAAGTATATACCATAAAGTCAATCACTAGTTTTTATATGCTTAAAGTAATGATTTTACTTATTACTAATGAAAAAACTTTCAAAGGATAACCATACTGAAATGGGTTATTTGAATAAGTACAAATGTTAAAAAATATCTTTTAAAATAATAATAAAACTACTTCCACAAGAATATGAGACAAATCATGATAAAGTCTATCCTATTCATACGAGTTCATAAACATCTATTTTGATGTTCAATCCTTACTTCTGAAATCTGTAAGGTACATTTTGAGAACTTGCAACTCAAGTAGTCTAAAATCTATCATCAATATAGCCTGAAAAAGAAAATTGGATTTCTAAAAAAAACAAAAAATAAAAAAATAAACTAATTTGGCCAAGAAGGGCTCAAGCTTACATCTATGTTTAAACCCTTTTTGGAATCATCTGATTTCTGCCAGTTCCTTTCCTTCCCTTCCTCATATTCCTAAACCTGTTCATTTTCCCAAAATTTTATTCCATAGGTTTTCACTCTTCTTCGTTGAAAATTCAACCCACTTTGACAACTATCACCTTTTTTTTGAAAACACAAAATTACCGCTCACCCCCACATACACATACTAATTCTAATTTTTTAACAGCCTATTAGACATTTTCACTTGGAATTTTCCATTATCATCTCAAACTCTATGAGGCTACATTCTTTGTTTTTTCCCCTCAACTTTTTATTATGGAAAATTTCCAAGAGATACAAAAGTAGACAACAGCATACTGAATCCTCATGTACCCATCAACCATTTGTAACAATTATCAGCTCATGGCTAATCTTGTTTCCTTTATTCCCCTACCCATTCTCTCCTCCAGTATTATTTCAGTATGTACCTCCAAACAATAAGAACTCTTTTTTTGATAACATATTCTACAATGCTATTTATTATCAACTCACCCAAAGTTACAATAGTTACATATCACAAAATTCCAGTGTTCAAACTTCCAATTACCTCATAAATTATCAATTTTTTGTTTGTTTAAATCAAGATCCACATAATCAATTTTTTGTTTGTTTAAATCAAGATCCACATAAAGTCCACAAGTACATGTTTTTCTTTGCAAATTATTTGTTGAAAAAACAGTTCTTTATCTTACAAAGTTTCTTACCATTTGAATTTTACTAATTGGTGTAGTTTTAATAACTCGTCAGCCCTCTGTATATAGTCAGCAAGAACCCCTTCAAGTTGGCTCCTAGGTCCTTTTAACATGGTCCTAGAAACCAGTGACAGCTTCCTTGTTACCTGGTACGAGGCTCATTTTGTTCACCTCTTGTCAAAGAGTCAGAATTAGCCATTTCTCCAAAAAGCCTTGGCTCTTTATTGAGAAAGGCTGCTTGAAAACCATAACCTGGGCACTAAGTTTGGTTATTACTAAAATGGTCACAGTGGAGGCATTTTCATGAATACAGCTAGGAAATAGGAGCTTTTGTTTGGGACATTTTTTTGTTTTGTTTTAATTTTACTTTAAGTTCTGGGATACATGTGCAGAAAGTGCAGGTTTGTTACATAGCTATACATGTGCCATGGTGGTCTGCTGCACCTATCAACCCATCATCTAGGTTTTAGGCCCCGCATGCATTATATTAGATATTTGTCCTAATGCTCTCCCTCCCCTTGCCCCCCACCCTGACAGGCCCCAGTATGTGATGTTCCCCTCCCTGTGTCCACATGTTCTCATTGCTCAACTCCCACTTATGAGTGAGAACATGTGGTGTTTGGTTTTCTGTTCTGTGTTTGTTTGCTAAGGATGATGGCTTCCAGCTTCATCCATGTCCCTGCAAAGGACATGATCTCATTCTTTTTTTATGGCTGGAAGAAAATTTTTGCAATCTACCCATCTGACAAAGGTCTAATATCCAGAATCTACAAGGAACTTAAACAAATTTACAAGAAAAAAACAAACGACCCCATCAAAAAGTGGGCAAAAGATATGAACATACACTTCTCAAAAGAAGACATTTGTTTTGTTTTTAAAGAAGCATAAATCATACATTCAAACACTCTTTTCATTCAAATTCAAGACTACAGGGTTTTTACTTCACCTCCTCTATATTATATCTGCATCTCCTTTTACAACTCTGATAATTCTGATTCTCAAAGTCAAAGGAGTAACAGAATTATCACACAAGTACTCATTTGTTTTTTGGTACATCTAACAATCTCGGAATAACAATATCAACGCTACTACATGCAATAAGATTTCTGAAAAGTGTTAAACATTTAATTTCCATGCAGTTCTTTAGGGTCTATTCTTCCTATGAAGATATAAAGAAAAATTAACTGTGTTTAAAAAATTACTTGGAATTTTCTCTCTACATGGTTATGCTAACAGAAACACACTTAGTTTCATTTATTTCATTTCATTTTCCACTTTGAGGAGTTTCCTTTTTAAATTTAACTTCGTTTTACAATTGTATTAAATATGTATGTGATTTCAAATCAAATCTATAAAACAAGACATATTCAAAGAGGTCTCCCTTCCTTCTTTGCCCCTTATATCATCCTATTCCCTTTTTATATAGGTAACGCTTATTTGTAACTTCATAGTTTATCATTACATTGTCTGCTTTAATATAGTTTGTATTGTCCTAATAATTATATATTATATATATGTGTGTGTATATATAAAAATAAATATAAATATATATTTATATATTATGTATTATTTATATATTATATATATTATATATTTATATATTATATATAATATATATTTATATATTATATATATACATATATATTTATATATATATAAAATCTCGACTTGGTTCCCTAATATGTGCAATACTGAAATTAGTCATTCATGTGTCCTTACTCTTTCCTAATATTTTGATCTAAAATAATAATATTTAGTCCCAGTTAATACAACTAAAAGGCAAACAGCATATTAAACTTTTCATGTGCTCAATTTCCACCCCATTTTTTACAACTAAAATTTACATTGTTAGAACATATAATTGTTATATATTCTACCCTTTCCTTTACAACATTCATTTAATCTTAGTTTAACAAATCAATACATATTCCATGATCACTAGTCCTTCACTTGATGTCTCTACAGTCGTTTTGGTTGTCTGAAACTCATTATCTAGCAAATTACTTAGAAAGGACTCATGGGAACAAGAATTCTCACATATTCATAGCACAGTTATACTTGAAAGTTAGTTTGGTTACATATAAAATCTTCAGCTTATATTCTTTCCTTGAGTATCTTAAATGCGATCTCACTGTTTTCTGGCATAAAACACTGAGATGAGACTTTTTTCTTAACAGCAAAATAATTTTCTTTCCTTTAGCACCAATAACCTGTCTGGTCTTTTTTCCTGGATACTTTCTCTCATCTTGAAGATTCAGTTATTTTACCAGAATATAGCCCAGTGTTTGCTGTTCTGGGTCAGTTTTCCCAGGTATGCAATGTGCCCCTTCAAAATTTAGTTTCAAATTGTTTTCTTAATTCCAGGAAAATTTTTCTAAAATTACAAATTTTCATATTTGTTTCATTTCATTTATTTGGGTTTAGTTTTCCTTTCTACAAGGACTCTCTTGTAGAGAGAGAGAGAGAGAGAGAGAGAGAGAGGCTATTTAATGTTTACTTCTTTCTCTGAAATACTTTTCACCTTTCCTATTTTTAAAATTTTCCTGCTTTTTCACCTTCTATTTCTCTTAGCCATTATCTCTTGCATTTATTTGCTCTGCTCTGTGTTCCTTCCAGCTTAGTCTTCACTTATAAAATGACTTTTTCACTTCTTTTTAATTATGTCCTAAGTTATATCACCTAATTTCTGATTTCATTCTCTTACACTTTTTTCATTTTCTTAATTTCTTTTAGCTCATTTTTCGTTTTTTTGCAATTTTTTTTAAGAGTCAGTCTCACTACATTAGCCCAGGCTAAAGTGCAGTGGCTATTCACAGGCATGATCCCATTACTGATCAGCACGAGAGTTTTGACCTGCTCTGTTTTTGATTTTGGGCCAGTTCCCCACGCCACAGGCAACCTGGGGTTCACCCAGGAGGTCACATCCTTGCCGAACTTAGTGCAGACATCCACACTACACCCAGAGCTCTTGAAGTCAAGTGATCCTCCTGCCTCAGCCTCCTGAGTAGCTGGGACTACAGGTACACACTACTGTGCCCAGCCTTTTAGCTCATTTTAAATTATAAAAGTACAGTTTTCATCATTTTTCTGCACGTATCTTTCTGATATGCCTTTTTTTTTTTTTTTTTTTTTTTTTTTTTTTGAGACAGGGTCTCACTCTGTTGCCCAGGCTGGAGTGCAATAAGTGTGATCTCTGCTCACTGTAGCCTCAACCTCCTGGGCTCAAGAGATCCTCTCACTTCAGTCTCCCAAGTACCTGGGATTACAGGCACACACCACCACACCTGGCTAATTTTTGTATTTTTAGTAGAAACAGAGTTTCACCACGTTGTTCAGGCTGGTCTCAACTCCTTGGCTCAAGCAATCCACCCATCTTGGCCTCCCAAAGCACTGGGATTACAGACATGAGCCACCACGTCTGGCCTGATATACTTTCACTATCTGTAGAGAAGTTCTATTCCTTATTCCCTTTTTTCAATAATAACTGTGTATGGGAATTTAACCATGATCCCTTCTAAATTTTATCTGGACCTTCTCCTTCCTTTGTCCCTACTGTCTCCGTCCTACTAAATTTTGTTTCTATTCCCAGCACTTTCTCCTCAAAGTGAGGCTCTGCCTTGGAAGGGAGCTTTGGCTGGTTAGTTTTGAGTTTAAAGGCCCACACTAGTTCCATCCTTTCTGACTTTAGCATGGACCTATTTTCTCATCCCAAACTGGAGTCTTCAGGAACTCTCTCAGGTTCAGGTGCTGCTAAGACAATTGTCTACCACACTAGCCAATGAATATTTGCTAGCTGTTTTGGAGCTTTCCTGTTCTCGGATCTATCAGATGCCTCATTAATTCTCTCTGCTCCCATACGAAGAGATGCAGACTCAATAGCTGTCAGTGGTTTATCTCTACTCATTCATATTTAGGGTTCAACAGGTTACTCTGAAACCTAGTTTTGTTATAGATGTTTGTGGCTTTTTTGGTTATGCTAATCTAATTGTCTATTTTTATCAAAAAGGATTTGATAAGACACAAAATCTGTAACACCACTACTGGAATCCCAGAATTTCCCTTTAGAATTCTCTAGAGGTTTTATCTATATAGCAGTTTGAAATGGCAGAAAGACTGCTTAGGTTTTGAAATAAGACAGGTCTGCGTTCAAAATCCAGTTCAGAATCGCACCTCTGATTTCCTCATCTTTAAAATAAGGATGCTATAACATCACCCTCTTGTAATATTGTATGTATATGTGTACGGCAGCTACAAACTGTGAAGTGTCTTTGAATAAAAGCATCATAACAACAGAGATTTTATTTTTTTGTTTTGTTCACAATTATTCACTATTTTTTCTGTATTGTTCACTATTGTAGCCCTGCCTAATAGGCATATTATATGTGCTAAAATACCTACTTAGGGAATAAGGCAGAAAGGACAGAAGGGCTAATGGAGGGTCAGGACAACAGGAAGGAGGGACTAGGCAGGATGGGAGGGGATGAGATGGGGCAGGAGTTGGGGCTGGATGGGAAGAGAAGGAGGTGCTGGCCAGGAGAAGAGACCGAACAATTACAGTAGAGTGGGGGTAATAGGATACTAAGAGGGATGTGAGATGAAGTACATGGGACAGGATGGAGGCACTGAATGGGACTGGAATGGAGGGACAGGCAGGACAGGAACTGAGAGGCTGGATGAGACAGGAGATGGGAGTACGCAAGGTGGAGAACTACAGAGGAGGACACAGCAAGGTGGAGGAGGAAGGGAAACAGAAGAAGGAAGCATAAGGGATGGCAAGGTGACAGAGTAATACCAAAGGCAGGGACAGAAGGACAGAAGCAAGGGATACAGACAGGGAAAGGGAAGGATGGTTGAAGAGAGGGCAGAACAAGCAAATTTGTTTGTTGTTGATGAACATTTGACGAAAAAATGACTAAATAAAAAACTGTAGCTCTTTGGGAACAAATTCACTCTATGAAAGCACACACATTTCTGAGCTGCTCTTTCATACTCAAGTTTTAAAGAGGCAGGCCCCCACATCAGGAAAGCTGCACTGGTCCAGCACTGCTAGAGACCAGATGGGCATAGACCTATATCATTCTGGGGTTAAGTATCAGAAAAACCACTGCTGACTTGCACCACACAACATTCTCCAATAACCACTCTATCAAAAAATATTAAATATTAACTGTAACCTTTTCTGGATCTTCCCAGGCTAATTTAACTGGGATAAATTAGAAAACAAAATGCACGAGTATGTCTAGGTGCAAATGGAGAGTACAATTCTAAGAAGTTTTATGCCAATTTAATTTCTACATTAATTTACTTTTAAAAATGACATAAGTATATTGTAATTTCTAGCCCAGAATTATTCTAAACATACTTACTGGAAGCATCGCTTCAGCCCATTCTCCATGTCCTCTTTGTAGAAGTTTAATTCGTTCCAGGTCATAACAAACTTGTACAAGATCACCCACTTGAAACTGCGAGGTGCCTCCTTCTGCACCCTGAGCAGCATCTCCACTTCGGACAATGTTCGCTTTAGTGAGAACAGCAGGATTGAAGGTCCACCTACAAGAGCAAAGCTAAACCTCAAAATGGGTAGCTTTGCTTAATTTTAATACAAAATTCTTAAACAGTGAAGATCAAAAGAGTAAGGCAATCCTTTGCAATTATATCCTGAATGATTTGTGTTTATTTATATATACACAAATACATATATATTGATACATTGTTTGTTTTCTGTTTTGTTTTTTTTTTTTTTAGACAGAGTCTTGCTCTGTCACCCAGGCTGGAGTGCAGTGGCATGATCTCGGCTCACTGCATGATTCTCCTGCCTCAGCCTCCCAAGTAGCTGGGATTACAGGCGCATGCCACTGTGCCCAGCTAATTTTTGTATTTTTAGTAGAGACAGGATTTCACCATGTTAGCCTGGCTGGTCTCGAACTCCTGAGCTCAAGTGATCTGCCTGCCTCAGCCTCCCAAAGTGCTGGGATTACAGGTGTGAACCACCGCCCCAGCACCTCCTTTTTATAATTTTAATATACAAATTTGGGGAAAGAGTCATCCATAATCTTACCACCTTAATACAAGTGTAAATACTTTGGTATACGTTTGTCTATTCTCCCCTGCATGTTTTCAAAACTGTTATAAAAGTAATATACAATTATTGTTAAAAATTCAAACATTTCAGAAACATGTAAAGTAAAAGTTCCATTTCACACAAACACGCTGGATCACCATTCCCATCCCACTAGAAACCACTATTAATATTCTACTCTGTGTCCTTACAGACATTCTATCAATACACTGAATGACATTCATAATCTAGTTGTTTTCCATAAATGGGAATATTATATACATATATATGTATACGCAGACATAGGGACACATACATATATTTTGTGACTTTTTTTTCAAAGAATGCATCTTGGAAGATTTATTTTTTAGTGTCACAGATACAGACCTATCTTAAATAGGTCTAAGAATACAGACCTAAATTGAATAGACCTTAATTCAATTTAACTGCTACAGAGTATTCCATCACTTGGATATACACTAATGTACTTAACTATTCTCCTATTGACTAGCATTTAAAGTGCTTCCAAATTGTCACCAATATGTACAGTACTGTAAAGACCATTCCTGCGTATACATCTTTGTGCACATGAGGTCGGTATTTCAGTAGAGATTCTTAAAAGAACTATCTGATCAAAGCATACATTTGTTTACAATTCCAATAGAGCCAAACTGCTGTACAATGAGTGTACCATTTCCCCACACCATTGCCAATTTAATGGATAAAAATATTATCTAGTTTTAATTTTCCATGCATGGATATTTACCATAATTGTAATCATTGTAGCAAACTAATTTGAATGCTGATGTCTTTATACAGGCATTTTCCACGCTGCTATCATCTTCAAAATAATCGTTTTAATGACTACTTAATATTCCATCAAATAGATGTACCACAATTGATAACAGAACACCTACCCTAATTCCACACTGAACTCCAAGAGTAAAGGTTCCCTTGTCAAGTAAGTTTCTACAATATTGGCATATTATATCCTCTTCTCCTTAGTCCAAATGGTTATTAGCATATAAAAGCCTGTTTACTAACTTTCTGTAACCACACAAGTAAACTGTTCTTTGTTTGCTTTATTTTTTCTTTTTTTGATACAGAGTCTCACTCTGTTACCCAGGTTCAAGCAATTCTCCTGCCTCAGTCTCCCAAGTAGCTGGGATTACAGGCATGCACCACAACGCTCAGCTAATTTTTGTATTTTTAGTAGAGGCAGGGTTTCGCTACGTTGGCCAGCCTGTTCTCGAACTCCTGACCTCGGGTCAGGAATTTTAATATCAGTGTGTCAATTTCTGCAAAAAAAAGTACCAGGATTTTGATAGGGATTACACTTAATCGGAAGATTAGTTTGGGAAATACTGCCATCTATTGTGGGTTGAATTATGCCCCCTTCCAAAATATGCTGAAGTCCTAATCCAGGTATCTGTTAATGTTACCTTATTTGTAAACAGGGACTTTACATATGTAATCAAGTTAAAGTGAGGTCATACTGGATTAGGGTAGGCCCTAAATTCAATGTTTAGTGTCCTTATAAGAGAGTCATGTACCGACACCCACCAAGAAACACAGACTCACAGGGAAAAAGGTCATGTGAAGACAGTGGCAGAGAATATAGAGTGATGCATCTACAAGCCAAGGAACAAAGATTGCTGGGAACCACCAGAAGCTGGGAGAAAGGCATACAACAGATTCTCCCTGAAAGTCTCCAGAACAAACCAATCTTGCCAACACCCAGACTCTGGACTTCTAGCCTCTGATACTGTGAAAGAATAAATCTCTGTTAAGCCACCCAGTCTATGGTAATTTGTTATAGCAGCCCTAGGAAACTAATATACCATCTAAACAATATTAAACCTGATCTAAGAACATGGAATGTTTTGTCATTTATTTAGGTCTTCTTTAATTTCTTTCAACAATGTTCAGTAGTTTTCACTGTACAAGTCTTGCATCTCCTTGGTTAAATTTATTCTTAAGTATTTTACTCTTTTTGATGCCATTATAAATGAAATTGTTTTAATTTCATTTTCATATTGTTCATTGTTAGTGTACAGAAAGACAACTGATGTTCCTATATCAATCTTGGTTCCTGCAATCTTGCTGAACTCATTTATTAGCTACAATAGCTTTTGTGGATTCTTTGGGTTTTTCTATACATGGTATCAGGTCATCTGTAAGCAAAGTTAGTTTCACATCTTCTTTTTCTTTTACTTCTTCCTTTTATTTCTTTTTCTTACCTAGTTGCTATGACTAGAACCTCTGGTATAATGTTGAACAGAAGTAATAAAGTGGACATTCTTGTCTTGTTTCTGATGTTACCGGGTAAGTATTCAGTCTTTCATCATTAAGGATGATGTTAGCTGTGGTTTTTCATAGATGTCCTTTATCAAGCCAAAGAAGTTCCCTTCTGGTCCCAGTTTGTTTAGTGTTTTTATCACGAAAGGGTGTTGGATTTTGTCAAGTACTTTTTCTGCATCTACTGATATGATCATGTATGCTCGTAAGATTTGAATACAATCAGGCCTAATGCTATACCTAGGTAAGCAACTTAATGTTAACTTTTCTTATTCTATATAATATCACTTCCCCAAAGAACCTCAGGGAATTAGTTTCTTTATGTACATGTCAGTAAGACAATTATTCAATTTATTGATTTTTCTTTAAAATACTATAAACATACTAAAGTGGATTAGATATGTTTTGGCCCAAATAAAATTAAAAAGACATCCCTAGCCTCCAAGAAACTTGCAATCTAGAAATCAAATGAATTTTAATAGGTAAGAGTAAACCTAAATAGATGAAGAGTATATGCATATATAATACTATGGAGAGTAAAAGGAGAGAGGAGGTTCGCAAATCATATAAACTCAGTATTTATAGGATGTAGAGGAATTAATCCAGGTAACAAGGGAGAAAAAGAGGAGCAGGCATTTTACTTAAAGGGAGTAGTATGTTAAAAGGTACATAAGTGAGGAAGTGCATACAATTTTATACCGCTGATAAGGATTAGTATATGTGTACATATCTGTGGCAACGCCAAAATCTCAGAGTAGAAACAATCTGGCTTCACTCTCCCCAACAGAAAATCGAAAAAAAAAAAAAAAATACCCAGCACCAAGATTATCACCAGCAATATCCCAGAACTCAAGTCTGAAGCTGAAATGATCCCTGGGGCCAGAGACATGAAAAACGCCAAGCAGATAATAAAAGAAACGAATTTCTGTATCTGCAACATCCTTCCCCCTATCTACCAGGCACAAAGCACAGAAAATTCCCCCAGGAATCACAGTCTCTACACTGGAAAAAGTGAGATCAAGGCAGAGAGCCAGCTTCCTACCAACTTGGGTTCCCTTGCAGGAAAATCATTCCTGCCTCAATCCACAGGAAGCCTTATGAGTACCTGCAGGAAGAAAAATCCCTAAGGGTAGCTACAGTCAAAGAGAAGAGACAGGACTAGCAAACCTAGCCCTTGAAACTCTGCTCTTTATCTTAGCCAAGAGAGACATCAAATCAGAGTGGCTGTTCAGCAGCACTATACTGCAGGAGGCACACATTCCATGGGTCTTCTGGCCATAAATCCCTAACCAGACTTCCCACATAGCCAAGGTACCACTTTTGGGATCCACCCCCACTCCTTCCCGCCCAATTCAGGATGAACAGAGTTCCAAACATTTGTGACACCCAAGGCAAACTTGGGCTTAAGGCACCATTTAGCTCTGAAAAGGAGGCAGGCAGCAATCTATAATTTAGGGGATTCAACAGGCAATTGCAAAGAACTTCTAAGCAAGTATGCCCTAGAAAGACCAAAATAAGCAGACAGCAAAAACTGGGAAAAAAAAAAAAAATGATCTTTCAATACGAAGCCATATAAGGCAGATAAGAAAATAAACAGGAAGCCAATGGACAAAGCAAAGTGCCAATGACCAACCCTAATAAGGCAGCAATATGTAAGCTCTCAGTTAAAGAATTCAAAATAGCAGTTCTAAAGAAACTCAGTTGAACTCTAAGATAACACAGAAAACCAATTCAGGAATTTATCAGAGAAATTTAACAGAGATGGAAATGATGTTTTCAAAATCAAACAAAAATCCTAGAACTGAGAAATGTATCTGTTGAAATGAAAAATGCATCAGAGGCTCTCAACAGCAAAATTAAGCAGTGGAAAAAAATAAAAACAGTGGGACTGGATATAAGCTATTTGAAAATACACAGAAGAGAAAAAAGAATGAAAAGGAATGGAGAAGGCCTACAAGATATAGAGACTAACTTCAAAAAAGCAAAACTGAGTCAATGGCATTCAAGAGAGAGTTGAGAAAGAGCAAGGGGTAAGAAGCTTATTCAAATTACAACAGAAAACTTTCCAAATCTAGAGAAAGATAAAAGCAAAAACTATAAAAAAATAAATATCAATGTACAGCAAGGTCAGAAATCACCAAACAAATTAAATCCAAATAATAACCAAATAGAGCTGGGCGCAGCGGCTCACGCCTGTAATCCCAGCACTTTGGGAGGCCGAGGCGGGCGGATCACAAGGTCAGGAGATTGAGACCATCTTCGCTAACATGGTGAAACCTCGTCTCTACTAAAAATACAAAAAAATTAGCCAGGTGTCGTGGCAGGCGCCTGTAGTCCCAGCTACTCGGGAGGCTGAGGCAGGAGAATGGTGTGAACCCAGGAGGCGGAGCTTGCAGTGAGCCGAGATCGTGCCACTGCACTCCAGCCTGGGTGACAGAGAGAGACTCTGTCTCAAAAAAAAAACAGAAAAACAAATAGACTACCCCAAGACATATACTAATCAAACTCTCAAAGGTCAAAGACAAAGTAAGGATCCAAAAATAAGCAATAGAAGAGAAGGAAATAACACATAAAAGAGCACCAATTCATCTAGCAACAGACCTTTCAGCAGAAACCATACAGGACAGGAGAGAGCAAGATGACATATTCAAAATGCTAAAAGAAAAAAACTGGTAATTAAGAATACTGTACCAACCAAAACTTTCCTTCAAACATGGAGGGGAGATAAAACCTTTCCCAGATGAACAAAAGCTGAGGAAATTCATCACCATCATTTCTTATAAGAAATAGTAAAGGGAGTTCATCAATCTAAAAGAAAAGGATAGTAATATGCAGAAAGAAAACATGTGAAGATACAAAATTCCCTGGTAAAAGTAATTACACAGACAGATTCAGAATACTCTTAATACTACAATTACGTGTAATCACCTCATAACTCTAGCATAAGACTAAAAGACAAACTTATCAAAAAAATAACTACGGCAAACAGTTAAGAGATAGGCAATATCAAAAGATGTACACAGAGACAACAAGTCACAATGTGGAGGAGTTAAAAAGTGTAGAGTCTTTTAGTTTTCCTTTGTTTGATTTTCTTTGTAATCAAAGTTAAGACGTCACCTGTTTAAAATAACTTGTTATATCTATAATATAGGGTCCAGCCCTACTGGGCCTGTGGGTTTTTTTCTTCGTGGGCGGAGACGAGAGATCATAGAAATAAAAACACAAGACAGAGAGATAGAAGAAAAGACAGCTGGGCTTGGGGTACCACTACCACCAAGACGCGGAGACCGGTAGCGGCCCCAAATGCCTGGCCACGCTGTTATTTATTGTATACAAGGCAAGGGGGCAGGGTAAGGAGTGTGAGTCGTCTCCAATGATAGGTAAGGTCACACAAGTCACATGTCCACCGGGTCACACGAGTCATGTGTCCACCAGACAGGGAGCCCTTCCCTATTTTGGTAGCCGAGGCAGAAAGAGAGAGAGGACAGCTTACATCATTATTTCTTCTACGCATTTTTCGGAGAGATCAACAGCTTTAATACTTTCACTAATTCTACTACTGCTATCTAGAAGACGGAGCCAGGTGTACAGGGCGAAACATGAAAGTGGACCAGGAACGTGACCACTGAAGCACACCATCACGGGGAGAGGTTTAGGCCTCCGGATGGCTGCGGGCGGGCCTGGCTGATGTCAGATCTTCCACAAGAGGTGGTGGAGCAGAGTCTTCTCTAACTCCTCCGGGGAAAGGGAGACTCCCTTTCCCGGTCTGCTAAGTAACAGGTGCCTTCCCAGGCACTGGCGTTACCACTAGACCAACGAGCCCTCTAGTGGCCCTGTCTGGGCGTGACAGAGGGCTCACACTCTTCTCTTCTGGTCACTTCTCACCATGTCCCTTCAGCTCCTATATCTGTATAGCCTGGTCTTTCCTAGGTTACAATTGTAGAACAAAGATTATTACAATACTGGAATAAAGAGTAATGCTACAAATTAATGATTAATAATATTCATATATAATCAAATCTATACTCCATTTCTAGTATAACTATTATAACTATTCTTATTCTATATATTTTCTTTATTATACTGGAACAGCTTGTGCCCTCGGTCTCTTGCCTTGGCAACTAGGTGGCTTGCCGTCCACATATAAGATGTTTTTTGTAAGCTTCATGGTAACCAAGAAGAAAAAACGTATAGTAGATAAACTGAAAATAAGCAACACAGGGCTGGGCGCGGTGGCTCACACCTGTAATCCCAGCACTTTGGGAGGCCGAGGAGGGCGGATTACGAGGTCAGGAGATCCAGACCAGCCTGGCCAACATGGTGAAACCCCCTCTCTACTAAAAATACAAAAACTAGCTGGGTGTGGTGGCACGCGCCTGTAGTCCCAGCTACGCGGGAGGCTGAGGCAGGAGAATTGTCTGAACCAGGGAGTCGGAGGTCACAGTGAGCCGAGATCACACCACTGCACTCCAGCCTGGTGACATAGCGAGACTCCGTATCAAAAAAAAAAAAAAAAAGCAACACAGGCTGGGTGCAGTGGCTCACACCTGTAACCCCAATATTGTGGGAGGGTGAGGCAGGAGGATTGCCTGAGGCAAAGAGTTCAAGACCAGCCTGGGCAACATCGTAAGACCCCATCTCTACAAAAAAAATTTTTAATGACCATGGTGGTGTGCACCTGTAGTTCCAGCCACTTGGAAGGCTAAAGTGGAAGGACTGCTTGAAGCCAGGAGTTCAAGGCTTCAGTGAGCCATGATCATGTCACTGCACTACAGCCTGAATGACAGAGTGAGACCTTGTCTCAAAAACAAAAAATGATAAAATTTATTTAAAAAACACATTAAAACGTACTACCAAAGAAAATCACCTAACCACAAAGGAAGAGGGCAAGAAAAAAAAAAGGAAGAGACGAGTTACAAAACAACCAAATAACAAGTAACAAAAATAGCAGTAGTAAATCTTTACCTATCAATAACAACAATGAATGTAAATGAACTAATTCTCCAACTAGAAGACATAGAGTGAGGCCGGGCACAGCGGCTCACACCTGTAATCCCAGTACTTTGGGAGGCTGAGGCGGGAGGACCACCTGAGGTCAGGAGTTAGAGACCAGCCTGACTAATATGGTGAAACCCCATCTCTACTAAAAATACAAAAATTAGCTGGGCTTGGTGGAGGGCACCTGTAGTCCCAGCTACTCGGAAGGCTGAGACAGGAGAATTGCTTGAACCCGGGAGGCGGAGGTTGCAGTGAGCCAATATCGTCCCACTGCACTCCAGCCTGGGCGACAGAGTAAGATTCCATCTCAAGAAAAAAAAAAAAAGGCATAGAGTGGCTGAATGGGTAAAAGAAAATTGTTTAAATGACCCAACCCTGTGCTCCCTACAAGAAATTCATTTCACCTATAAAGACACATGCAGACTGAAAGTGAAGGGATGGAAAAAGATATTGCACACAAATGGAAACCAAAAAAGAGCAGGAATAATTATACTTTTATATCAGATAAAATAGACTTTAAGTTAAAGACTGTAAAAACAGACAAAAGTCACTGTATAATAATAAAGTGGTCAATTCAGCAAAAGGATATAACAATTATATATGCACTCAACACTGGAGCAACCAAATATAAAACACAAACATCAATAGATCTAAAGGGAAAGATACACTGCAATATCTTTAACAGTAGGGGACATTTCAACATTTAACTTTCAGTAATGAACAGATCATCAACTAGAGAGAAAATCAACAAAGAAACATCAAAGTTAAACTACAATCCAAACCAAATATACATAATTGACACTTACAGAATACTTCATCCAACTGCCATAGAATACACACTGTTCTCATCAGCACGAGGAACATTCTCCAAAAGAGACCACATATTGGGCCACAAAACAAGTCTCACTAAATTCAAAAAAGTTGAAATGGTATAAAGTATCTTTTCTGACCACAATGCAATAACACTAGAAAGAAATTAAACATTATCCTGAACAATGAAAGCGTCAATAAAGAAATTAAGAAGGAAATTTTAAAATTTCTTGAAACAAATGAAAATGGAAACACAACATATCAAAATCCATGAAATACAGAAAAAGCAGTAGTAAGAGGGATATCTATAGCAATAAACACCTGATCAATAATTTAACGCCAGATGCAGTGGTTCATGCCTATAATCCCAGTACTTTGGGAGGCCAAGGTGGGCGGATCACGGGAGGTCAGGAGTTCAAGACCAGCCTGACCAACATGGAGAAACCCCATCTCTACTAAAAATACAAAATTAGCTGGGCGTGGTGGCACATGACTGTAATCCCAGCTACTCGGGAAGGCTGAGGCAGGAGAACCGTTTGAACCCAGAAGGCAGAGGTTGCAGTGAGCTGAGATCGCGCCATTGCACTCCAGCCTGGGCAACAAGAGCGAAACTTCGTCTCAAAAAAATAATAATAATAATTTAAAAAGTAGGAAGATTTCAAATAACCTAACAATACAGCTCAAGGAACTAGAAAAGCAAAAACAAAGCAAATCCAATAGTAGAAGGAAGAAGTAATAAAGATCAGCAGAAATAAATGAAATTGAGACAATAAAAAGAGAAAATATCAACAAAATGAAAAGCTGGATTTTTCAAAAGATAAACAAAATCAACAAATCTTTAGGTAGACCAACTAAGATAAAACCAGAAGACCCAAATAAAATCAGAAACAAAAATGGGGACATAAATGATACCACAGAAATGTAAAGGATCATGACAGAATATCATGAACATCTATATACCAACAAATTGAAAAATCTAGAAGAAATAGATAAATTATTGGACATAAACAACCTACCAAGATTGAGACATGAAGAAGTATCAACCCTGGCCAGGGGCGGTGGCTCACCTGTAATCTCAGCACTTTGGGAGGCCAAGGTGGGCGGATCACTTGAGGTCAGGGGTTCAAGATCAGCCTGGCCAACATGGTGAAACCCCATCTCTATTAAAAAATACAAAATTTAGCTGGGTGTGGTGGCACATGCCCATAATCCCAGCTACTTGGGAGGCTGAGGCAAGAGAATCATTTGAACCTGGGAGACGGAGGTTGCAATGAGCTGACATCGTGCCACTCCAGCCTGGGTGACAGAGGGAGACCCCATCTCAAAAAATAATAATAATAATTTTATATATATATATATATATATATATATATATATATATATATATATATATAACTTGAACAGACCAATAATGAGTAACAAGATCAAAGAAGTAATAAAAATATCTCCCATCAGAGAAAAGCCCCAGGGCCTGATGGTTTCAATGCCAGATTCTACCAAACATTTAAAGAACAAATATCAATCCTCTCAAACTACTGTTGCTTTTACTGGCCAGTCGAGGTGGCTCAAGCCCCCAGCACTTTGGGAGGTCAAAGTGGGAGGATCACTTGAGGCCAGGGGTTCAGCGCCAGCCTGGGCAATATGGCAAGACCCTATCTCTACTATAAAAAAAGTTTTTAATTTAAATTTTTAAAAAGAGAAAAAAAGAAAATGGCTTTTCGGATGCTGACAAGAACACACGAAAAGGGGAACACCTGTAGACTGTTGGTGGGACTTTAAATTAGTACAGCCACTATGAGAAACAGTATGGAGGTTCCTCAAAAAACTAAAAACAGAACTACCATATGATCCAGTAATCCCATTGCTGGGTGTATATATACCCAGAAGAAAGAATATCAGTATGTCAAAGAGAGATTTGTACTCCCATGTTTACTGCAGCACTATCCACAATAGCCAAGACATGAAATCAACCTAAGTGTTCATAAATAGATTGAAAGGATAAAGAAAATGTGGGCCGGGTATGGTGGCTCATTCCTGTAATCCCAACACTTTGGGAGGCCAGGGGAGAAACATCACTTGAGACCAGGAGTTCAGGACCTGCATGGGCAATACAATGAGACCCCTTCTCTAAAAATAGAATAGAACAGGAGGTACATATACCCAAAGGAGTATTACTCAGCTATAAAAAGAATGAAATCCTGTCATCTGCAGCAACATGAATGGAACTGGAGGTCATTATGTTAAGTGAAATAAGCCAGACACAGAAAGACAAATACCACATGTTCTCACTCATATGAGGAGATGTAAAATGTGGATCTCATGGAGATAGAAAGTTGATTGGTGGTTACCAGAGGCTGGGAACAGTAGGAGAAAGGGGGGGATGAGTGAGATGGTAAATGCGTACAAGACTACAGCTAGATACGGGGAAAAAAATCTAATGTTTGATAGTACAGTTGGGCGACTATAGTTAACAACTTGTATAGTTCAGAACAGCTGGGGAGAGGAACTGGAATGTTCCCAATGTAAAGAAGGGGTGATGTTAATACTGATGGTTGCCCCAATTGCCTGTTTGATCATTATACATTGTATGCATGGATGAAAATATCACATGTATCCCAAAATATGTACACCTCTTGTGTATCAATAAAAACAAAAAATAAGAGATGACCCTGGAGATATGCACCAAAGGAGTTTTAATGTAAAACCCTTCCTATTCAGGGTAGACTGATATAGTCCAATACGAACACAGAACTTTTAAGCTGTATTCAGACCTAATAGTGATATAATGTATTCTCCTCTTGAAGGAAAAATAGTGTACAGAACACTGTATCATAAACATCCTCATATAAATTCACATACACACACAAGACACACACACACACACACACACACACACACGTAATTCTTATCATTTGTTTCTCTCCACCTTACCAATATATATTCTGGATTTTTACTTACCATCTAAAAGCTAGCTTTAATGAGTATTTGGTTGTATCACTTTATTTGCTTTCTCTAAGACTTTTCTCTATATTAGTTTTATTTGTCATTGTCAAAAATTGAGAGATATCACCCACCTATTGCCACTTGGATACTGTACTACAATGTCATGATCTTCATCAATGCCACAAACAGTTCCAGTTGTAGTTAAAGTCTCAAACATTCCATCAGTCCATCCTCCATGACCATGCTGCAAAGACTGTACAATTTCGAGGTCGAGATCTATATTTACCAGGTCACCAATCTGCAATCCACCAGGATTCCTGTTGCCATTCTGCTCACCTGTAATTTCAGAGGCAATTGAATAAAGGGAGAAAAAAACCTCACAACAACAGGCAGCTGCATTATCTTTAAATAACATGTAGATATTTTAGTTTCAGGTACCATCTAGTTTTAAAAGGTCTTGAGAATTCCCTATAAGTATAAAATTTTAGAACTAGAAAGCTTTTTTTAAAAAAAGAAAAAAGCCAAACAGACTCAAAAATTGAAATAATATGAGTTATAACAAAGACTGAGTAAAAGTAGAGTCTATAAAAGACTATTCAACCTTGTATCAGAACACAAAGTTCCAGGTGTTGAAAATACTCACTTTTATGCCTGGATAACTTACTATCACTGCATTAGAACCACAATAACTAACTAGAGAATATGAATGAAAGCCCTGGAATTATTTTTTCCATTAAGTGCTTAGTACTATCTTATTTTAACAAATGGTTCCTGTGATTCTTGCCCTAAAGAGCTTTTTAAAATATGTCAAAGCTTATTCCCTAGATTATTTTCAAAAGCTAGTTCTGAGATGAATTCATGATCATGAAACACTATACTGAGATCCAAAATATGCATGTTGATTTTGCATTTTTCTTATGAAAGCAAAACACAAAACAAGAAAGCTTGTTTTGTGAAAGCAAGATAGATGAGCTCATTAAAAAATGTAAATTTTTTTATGCATTCTCCTTTTTTAAAAAAAAATTAAGGTATACTGCAAAAAAAACAGCACTTTTTGCGACAAAGGCAAGTCAAATGATTTGGAAGGAGAAACACAGTTCACATGAGAAAGAAAACCATTCAGAGAATAAAGATCAGGAGAGTGTGGTAAATGTTCATCCAGGCAACAATAAATCTACAAAATGAAGGTAGTTTTGGTTTTCTTGTTCCCTTTTTTTTATTTTAATGATACATGAAATTACATATATTATCTTAATCTTGGAGCTGTACTTAGGAAGACAATTTGACAAAAATTCTAAGGAATTTTTAAGCACAAAAGTGTCAAATCCTATTCTCAATAGTGTATAACATACAATTGTTGTAATCTAATGCAAAATTTTTCAACAATATAATTTGCAGTTAAAACATAAAAGTTTCAAATGTATATTATGACATAAATGGCCAATGAATTCTCAAGACATGACAACTCTGAGTCCAAATAAAGCATAATAAAAGAAAAAATACTTTAAGACCAAAGGAAAGCCAAAAAATTTTTTCTCTAAGTAACTTTAGTGGTAATTAACTTTTCTAACATCCAATTTAAGCATTTTACTGATTCCACGAACTCTGACCCATTATTTAGTAATACTCTCTAATCTTCTCACTCACCTAGCACAGGGCAGTGATCTCTGTAGAAAGAACCTCCCTTGGCATCCTGGACACATTTCAGATCAGACTAAGAAGAAAAGAAACCAGAAAAATCACCCATGAAACTTCAAATATGGCTCAGTATCTGAAACAGGCAAGAATATTCATTCAGAACATACCCAAAACAGAAATCAAGAACAGTCTAGGTCAACAATCACACTAAACACTGCTTTCAAAAGTACTTGTAAAAACTAGAAACCTGATCTTCAGATAGGTCATATTTTATTTACTTTCAGCATTCTTTTAAAGCTCAAAATTAGAATGTCTGAATCTGGCTGTACACGTTGGCTCACGCCTGTAATCCTAGGACTTTGGGAGGCCAAGATGGGCGGATCACTTGAGGTCAGGAGTTCAAAACCAGCCTGGCCAACATGGTGAAACCCCGTCTCCACTAAAAATACAAAAAAAATTAGCCATGTGTGCTGCTGGACACCTGTAATCCCAGATGCTCAGGAGGTGGAGGCAGGAGAATCGCTTGAACCCGGGAGGCAGAGGTTGCAGTGAGCTGAGGTCACGCCACTGCACTCCAGCCCGGGCAACAGAGCAAGGAGACTCTGTCTCAAAAAATAAATAAATAAAATAAAATGTCTGAATCTTATTACATTAGACTAAAATGCTTATAATTAATAAATAATTATAATAGTTTGAAAAACACATGTTAAAAAAGGACAACAAATATCTATTATTGGAAATGTGCACAGCACATTCTTTTTTGTGTGTGTGTGACAGAGTCTTGCTCTGTTGCCCAGGCTGGAGTAAAGTGACTCACTGCAACCTCCGCCTCCTGGGTTCAAGCGATTCTCATGCCTCAGTCACCTGAGCAACTGGGTATTACAGGCATGCACCACCACGCCTGGCTAATTTTTGCATTTTTAGTACAGACAGGGTTTCACCACTTTGGCCAGGCTGGTCTCAAACTCCTGGTTTCAAGTAATCCACCCACCTCAGCCTCCCAAAGTGCTGGGATTACTGGCATAAGCCACCACGCCGGGCCAGCACATTCCATTTTAAAGATACTTTTACCAAAAACAAACCAAAACCTGGAAATTATTCAAAACTAATAGCCAATACAAAGTAAAAAATAACAAAACCAAATACAGTCTTTTGATTCCTTGTCCAGCTAATTTTCCTATTTACATCAATTTTTTTTTTTTGAGATGGAGTCTCGCTCTGTCACCCAGGCTGGAGTGCAGTGGCGGGATCTCGGCTCACTGCAACCTCCACCTCCTGGGTTCAAGCAATTCTCCTGCCTCTGCCTCCCCAGTAGCTGGGAATACAGGCATATGCCACCACACCCAACTAATATTTGTATTTTTACGAGGTTTCACCATGCTGGCCAGGCTGGTCTCGAACGCCTGACCTCAAGTGACCTGCCCACTTCAGCCTCCCAAAGTGCTGGGATTACAAGCGTGAGCCACTGCACCCGGCCTTACATCAACTTTAGTCCTTACTTCGCCATAACCTGGTTAACTAACATTCCTTCCCACTTATCTTTTACAAGGAAACAAATTACTAAGTATCTGAATGGGGGAGGTAGCTGTGGTATAATTAAAAGTACAGAAAATGTGGGCTTAGAGGAAGAACCTTGTGTATACTGTGAAAATTTAGATGTGGATTTACTTAAAAGTGCCTAATAGTACAGGTGTATATAGTAGATGATTAGAACATCTTACCCTATCAAGGAAAGGAGCTCCTCTAATACAGATGCACATGTGCACCTGCAGGTATGCACATGCATGTGCACACACACGCACACTCACACAGTACCCAACTCTTTTATAGCATCTTTTACTGTCATTGAATCCTGGCCAAAGAGACATAGGTGTCAAATTGGTTTTTTGGGATTTTTTTTTTTTTTTTTTGAGACAGGGTCTCTCTCTGTTGCCCAGGCTGGAGTGCACGATCACGGCTCACTGCAGCCTCGACCTCCTAGGGCTCAAGTGATCCTTCTACTTCCACCTCAGCCTCTCAAGTAACTGCGACTACAGGTGCAAACCACCATACCCAGCTAACATTTTTTATTGTTTGTAGAGATGTGGTTTTGCCACATTGCCCAGGTTGGTCTCAAACTCCTGGACTCAAGTGATCTACCTGCTTTAGCCTCCCATGGTGCTGGGATTACAGGTGTGGGCCACCCCTCCCAGCTGTCAAATTGTTTTAATATACTACCCTACCCCAGCAATTTTACTTCTAGGAATCTATCCTAAGGAAATATACCCATAATGTACAAAGGCATATACACAAGGATGCTTACTGACACACTGCTTGAAGCAGTAGGGGAAACAAAATCCAACCCAGGTACCCATCAAGAGATCTCATTAAATAAATAATGGCACAACAACATACTCGGCCATCAATCTATATAAATACCATTCATTTAAGTACCTGAGCACATATAGCACACAGGCTTCATTTGAAGAAAATTAACAATCAGTTGGAATCCTAAAAAATTGACAATTTAAAAACAGGCAGAGGCATGAAGAAAATGAAAAGCTGATAATCACTGCTATATACAATAATAAAAATTGGCAACTAAAGTATTTGTTTAAATTCACATGGCTGGCTTTTAATATATAAGTGGCATGAATTGGTCAGCTGTAGTAGCTCATGCTAGTAGTCTCAGCATTTTGGAAGGCCAAGGTGGGGGATCGCTTGGAACTCAGGAGTTCAAAACCAGTGTGGACAATATAGCAAGACCCTATTTCTACTAAAAATTTTTTAATATTAGTTGGGCATGGTGGCACACGCCTACAGTCCTAGCTACTCCAGAGGTTGAGGTGGGAGGTTTGTTTGAGCCCAGGAGTTCAGGACTTCAGTGAACTATGATTGCACCACTGCACTCCAGCTTGAGTGACAGAGCAAGACCCTGTCTCTAAAAATAAATAAGGCCAGGCGTGGTGGCTCGCGCCTGTAATCCCAGCACTTTGGGAGGCCGAGGCAGGTGGATCACGAGGTCAGGAGATCAAGACCATCCTGGCTAACACAGTGAAATCGCGTCTCTACTAAAAATGCAAAAAATGAGCCGGGCGTGGTGGTGGGCGCCTACAGTCCCAGCTACTAGGAAGGCTGAGGCAGGAGAATGGCATGAACCCGGGAGGTGGAGCTAGCAGTGAGCCAAGATCAGGCCACTGTGCTCCAGCCTGGGCGACACAGCGAGACTGTGTCTCAAAAAATAAATAAATAAATAAATAAATAAATAAATAAATAAAATGGAAATAAATTAAGGGGACACTGGGATACTTTCTCCATTCATTCAGGCCACTGCATTCCAGCCTGGGAGACACAGCGAGACTCTGCCTCAAAAAATAAATAAATAAATATAAAAAATAAATAAATAAATGGAAATAAATTAAGGGGACACTGGGATACTTCCTCCATTCCTAACAAGAACATAGACAGTTGATTTTTAAAAAGGAAATGTAAAGAATTCTTTGAATACGGAATGTATTCAAAATGAAAAGGATGTGAAAGGCATTAATATTTTGGCATTTATTTATTATACTCTATACATTAAATAGCAAGATCAACTTTTTTTGAGATACAGTCTCACTCCATTACCTAGGCTGGAGTACAATGGCGTGATCTCGGCTCATTGAAAGCTCTGCACCCCGACCCTCGTGGTTCAGGTGATTCTCGTGCCTCAGCCTCCCAAATAGCTGGAATTACAGGCACATGCCATCAAACCCGGCTAATTTTTGTATTTTAGTAAAGACAGGGTTTCACCATGTTGGCCAGTGTGATCTCAAACTCCTGACTTCAAGTGATCCACCCACCTGGGCCTCCCAAAGTGCTGGGATTACAGGCGTGAGCCACCGTGCCCAGCCAAGATCAGCGCTTGAACAATGGTCCATGAAATACAAAAACATAGGACAACTCATTGAATAAACCTCCATTATTTTTCTAAACACTTAAGTAATTCAAGGTGTTTCTAAGTCAATCATTTTCAATTATCAACACTATACTTTAAAAAATACCAAGGGGTGGAGAGGAATCTCCTAAAAAATAATTTTAATATTTGTTGTAATTTATACTTTTATATAAGCTACCAGAGCACAGAATACAAATATATCACAAAACCTCATTATAATACCGTCTTCCAGGTCCATCCACGTCAAGGAATGGTCTTACAGATGATTCCCAATCTTTTTGATAGATTTTCGTAAATAAACCCCCTGGACTTACACTGAAAATGGGTCACCTCTACACCACCAATATATAGTAAGGTACTCAAACATTAAACTAAAGGCAAATCATATTTACTATTAAATAGTTTAGAGAAACATAGTAAAAACGTAAAGGTTCTGACAAAGGGAGATGACAAAGGAAAAATAATAAAAGAGCAGTAAGAGCTATTCACCCATCCAACATTTTCTTTCACCTGCTATGGCTCTTCACTACTTACCATGCCCTCAAAGCCAACTCTGTAAAGGTTCTTAGCACCATTATCCCAGAGGACATATGCTGCGCTATGTGGGCTTGATGCACTCCAGTCCTGGATTTCTGTTACCTAACAGAATAGTTTTTGAGAAAAGAAGTTTTTTAAAGGGGAGGGAAGAGCTTAGTTCTTTTAATTATTACATTTAAATCTTAAAAATCATTTCATCTAGCAACCTGTGTAACAGGATCATGAAAAATACTTATTTGCCAAATATGTCACTGCTAACATAGTTAAATTATCATTAGAGCCATATTTTTCCAGAATTATAAGGTAATTTCTAAAACCTCTGTAGAAATTTTTAAATCAAGAGGCTTGGGGATTACAGTGATAGATTATCAGAAAATAGAATTTGATAGAAAATTTAAAATATTTTTATTCTTAAAGAGATTCCTTTAAGAACAGTTTTTTGTTTTTTGGTTTTTGGTTTTGAGATGGAATCTCGCTCTTGTCGCCCGGGCTGGAGTGCAGTGGTGCGATCCTGGCTCAATGCAACCTCCGCCTCCCGGGTTCAAGCTTCTCCTGCCTCAGCCTCCTGAGTAGCTGAGATTACAGGTGCCTGTCACCACGCCTGGCTAATTTTTGTAGTTTTAGTAGAGATGGGGTTTCACCATGTTGGCCAGGCTGGTCTCGAACTCCTGACCTCAGGTGATCTGCCCGTCTAGGCCTCCCAAAGTGCTGGGATTACAGGTGTGAGCCACTACGCCCGGCAAGAACAGTATATTCTTTTAAGCCCATTACTCAATATGAAATTTAAAATCTCTGTAAAATACCCAAAATGATTCAAGATAAACCTTTTTGGTCAACTAAAAATTAACAAGCACAAAGCTCTTGAAGAGCCTTGGTGGCAATGTTCAAGTAGGTCTTGAGTTGCTTTTGCTCCTCCAACAGTATCCCGCAGTTGCAGGCCACCTAAGCTAAAATGGCATGCCTACCATGGAAACCCAGACAACATCTCCAAGCCCCACACCCAACTAGTCTGATTCTTGAATTCACTGGATTAAAAAATATATATATATACTGGGGTTGCCATTGCTTTAAGGCCTAGAATCACATACAGGTTGAGTTTACTTATCTGAAATGCTTAGGACAAGAAATGTTTTAGATTTCAAATTTTTTCAGATTTTGAAATATTTGCACTGTACTTAGAGCATCCCAAATCCAAAAATCTGAAATTCTAAATGCTCCAATGAGCATTTCCTTTGAGCACCATGTCAGTGTTCAAGAAGTTTCATATTTTGGAGTATTTCAGGTTTCAGATTTTTTTATTTGGAATGTTCAACCTGTACACAAAAATGACAAACAGCATTAAACTTGGACCTTCTCAAGTAAACCTGACTACAGCAAAGAGTGGGAAGCTGCACACATGCAATTCAGATTACTCTTCTCCATCTTGATACTTACAATCACAGCCATCCTTCATAGTTACTTAGAATGACAGGCTGAAGTATAACTTTCAAGGTATACACTTAAAAACTATTACTTTAAATAAGATATATAATGACCATTCTTTTTCATCCTGTACTAAATAGTTTTGTAAGCCAGGTATTTTATGATATATTTGTGGAAATAAAAAGGTTTTATGTTTAAGATCTAATGAATCACTTGAAACATATTTTAAATTGTTAGTAATTTAGTCCATTTACTCTTTTAAATTTTGAAATACATTACACATTATAAAATACAGCATATGTAAATTTTTTTTTTTGCTCTTGTCACCCAGGCTGGAGTGCAATGGCACGATCTCGGCTCACTGCAACCTCCGCCTCCCCGGTTCAAGTGGTTCTCCTGCCTCAGCCTCCCAAGTAGCTGGGATTACAGGTGCCCACCACCATGCCCGGCTAATTTTCGTTTTTTTTTTTAAGTAGAGATGGGGTTTCGCCATGTTGGCCAGGCTGGTCTCAAACTCCTGATCTTGTGATCTGCCTACCTCAGCCTCCCAAAGCATATGTAAACTTTAAGGAATAAAAAAATAAACTGAACACCCATGTAATTATTACCCAACCTAAGAAAAAAAATAGAACCAGTACTTTTCAAGTCCCCTATGTCCATCTCATCAATCCCATCCTCCTGCCTTCCATTAGAGGTAACTACCATCCTGAAGTTAAGAGTCCACCATTTACCTTAATTTGCTTTATGATTCCTGCTCAACTAACCACTACATAACCTTCTAAAGTAACAGTTTCTAGCACTCGAAGGTAAAACATGCAATCTGTAGCAAAAAGTTCCTTCTGATTCTAATATATTCAGATTCAACTTCATTTGTTTTAAAAAATGTGATGCTATATTAAGTCTGTATTTTATAGGATGAGTAAAAAAGCATTTGGCTAGCTAAAAAACAAAGACAAATTTTAAATCAAATTTACTTTAAATTTCAAATTACTTGAAATAGAAGTAAGTTCATTAGTCAAGCTCCAAATCATTAAATGAAATTCCTTCATTTGTTAATATGACTTGATTTATTATTGAGGAGGAAACAAAGTGGAGGGCATAAGAAAATAACTACAGTAATTTCACATGTAAGGAACAGCTGTTAAAACCATTAGGTATAATGTTGCCAAGAAACTCTGTAAAGGATACATCTGACAAAATTTGCACCTGTTCATCAATCTTAACATCACTAATAGCAGAATAATCAGACTTTATGTGCCCCTTTATATGATACAATAGAAAATACACAGCATCACATATGAGGTATGTTTGCCAAAATAAAATTGAACCTGAATCTATCTAATCAAGCCTCTAGATCTAACAACTAATTTATAGGAAATACAAAGATTAAAAGAACAAGTTAAAGAAGTTAAAGAATACTATAAAGAATCAATTGGCCAAATAGAATCTGGTTTCTTCAACAAATAAATGGTATTTTTTTAAGTTAATAATTGTTGAAGTTGGGTATGAGTGCATGGGAATTTATTATACTATACTTTCTACTCAAGTGTATGTCTGAAATACTCCATAATAAAGAGCTTAACAAAAAAACAAATATGATCTAGTATACTTAATCATATTTGTAAAACAAACAGCTTTAAAAGACTAACACGTATAGTGAGACTTAAAAAGCCCTTTAAGAATAGGCTGGGCGCGGTGGCTCATGCCTGTAATCCCAGCACTTTGGGAGGTGGAGGCAGGAGGATCGCTTGAACCCAGGAGTTCGAGACCAGCCTGGGCAACACAGCAAGACTCCATCTCTAATATATATTAGAAAAACAAAAAGGAAGAATACACTACATACAATTAACGTGGGTTACATCAGGGGAGTGGGATAAAGCATCCAGCACTGAAGGGGAAAAAGGGATGTTAACTTTCTTCATTCACATACATAGGCCAAAACAAAAAAGTCAGACAACAGAAGTTACACTTGGTCTTAAACAATGTGCTTAACAATGTTACTCTAAAGATTTATTTTATAAAGTTCCCTCACTTGGAGTCACATGTACAAGATGGTTTCATTTCTTTTTCTTCATTTTGTTCTTTTCGTTTGTCTGTTTTGAGATGGAGTCTCACTCTGTCACCCAGGGTGGAGTGCAGTGGCACAATCTTGGCTCACTGCTACCTCTGCCTCCCAGGTTCAAGTGATTCTCCTGCCTCAGCCTCCCTGGTAGCTGGGACTATAGGCATGTACCACCATGCCTGGCTAATTTTTGTATTTTTAGTGGAGACAGGGTCTCACCATGTTGGCCAGGTTAGTCTCAAACTCCTGACCTCAAATGATCCACCCGCCTCAGCCTCCCAAAGTGCTGGGATTACAGGCGTGAGCCACCATGCCTGGCCCTCATTTTGTTCTTAAAACACAACATGTGTTAAATCAAAGCAAACCAAAAATGTAACAGAATGACTCAAAGCCTCAAGAATGCCTTCTTTTATCCCAAAAAAGTGCCAATACAGAAAAAACCAGGAAGTTCCATTTATGTGGCTTCAAACAGCAAATGCCTTCAAAAGCTGATGAGGAAAGATGACTTCCAGCCCCCTCTGACCATATAATTAACTATGAGGAAAAATACACAGTCAATTAAAATTTGACTTCTCACATACTCTTTCAAAAGAAGTTACTAGAATGTGTGTCCTACCAAAAGAGACAGTAAGCTAAGTAAGATATCTAATGGGATACAGAAAACATGAGATCCAGCCAGGAAAAGAGGCAAAGGCATCTTTGTTAATCACAGGGCTTCAAAGGGCGCTTCCAGGATGACTGCTGGGCACCAGGCATGGAAGGTGACCCATCCAGATTGCAGCCGTGTAATATGTGGTGGCCAAACAAGTTGAAAGCTCTTATCCCTACTTCCACTGTACCGTTTTTATTCAACTGTGGATACACTGCCCAAGTGAGCCTGACTCACGTTCTCCAAGTGTACTTGGCTTATTTGGACTATGTAATGATGACATTCCCACTCTCCTCTTCACCCCCATTCCCTGCCACCTAGATCAGCTGAGGTCTCTCATTTCACCACACAGAATATTCTGCTTTGACCTACTCCTAAAACTCTGAGCCCGCTATGCTATCTGCAAAGGATAACAGAGGTAGGTGGGCTCGATAACAGCATAATTGCCCACTGTGCCTCAGAAACAGGTCTTTGAGGGAAGAGAATATAAAACAAGTCAATTCAAATGAAATTTAAATAGCAGGAAAGTTGAGGACATGAGATACTGCTTAGGGAGGGACTGGCCCAAATGCGTTCAGAAAAGCATGCTAGGTAACAAAATGACAATATGAAACCTGAAGGTGGGAAGGTAAAACCTACCTAATGACCCTCTAAGGAACATCAATGCTTACAAAAAGCAAGAACAATCTTTTTACTTCCAGAGAAAAAAGAAATCAAGATTTTAAAAACTGTTACTGGCATGGAAAACAATGGACCAAGAAATTCATTTATAGTAGTAATAAAAAGGTTCTGAACATATAATACTCTAGAATACATAATGAATTCAGAGAAACACTGTACCTTTCCCCTACGTCCATTTCCTCCATCTTGATCTTCCCACTGCCAGTCCACTCCTCGCACCACTCTGGCACCTGCAAAGATTCCTCTGGCTGTAATCTTCTTAGATTTCCTACGAGACTCTAACAGAACCCTAAAAATAAAATTATTTATTTTCAAGTTTATATAAAAATAGGTAACAATAATTTACTTTTTAAAACAAAATTATAAAAATGTTATTTTGAAAGTAAAAAGATTCTTCATTGTTCTGGTTACTACCATAATAGCATGATACAGGAATACCTTTTATATTCCACAGGTGATGATGATGATGGCAGTAGTAGCTGTAATAATAATCACAGCTAACTTTTACTAAGCTTTTATTATATAATATGTAAAAGCACTTGCATAGGAGTAAAGTGTGTTACACTCCTTAAGAGAAAGTTACCGCTATATTATCCACTTTATAAATGAGGAAACTGAGTCTCAAAGAAGTAATGTGCCCAAGGCCACAAAAGTTAAAATGTAATGGACTCCACATATGATCCTAGTCTAAGCATTTCAGGGTATCTGGGTATCACTATACTCTTCACTATTGTAGAGATGGCAAACTCAAATCGCTATAGCTTCTAGGTGAGTAATGACAGCCCAAGAAAGACAGCACTACAATGGCAAATGGCACTTGACCTCAGACTTGGGAAGATAACAGGAAATGGCAGGGACTTTGGTTGACTCAAAAGCATCATCAGTCTAAAAGGTCCAGTCTAAAGGGCTCCATTGCTTCAACAAACTGTTGCCAAGAACAAACGTAAGCCCAGTACTGATAGTCTTCTGTATTGGCGGGGGCAGTGGGGGGAGCAGGGTGTTCTATGAATCCATCAACAGATTTTTGTGTGAAATCACCTGTTTTTAAAAACTAGCCATTATTCCAGCCAGGCATGGTGGCTCACACCTGTAATCCCAGCACTTTGGGAGGCCAAGGCAGGTGGATCACGAGGTCAGGAGATCGAGACCATCCTGACTAACACGGTGAAACCCTGTCTCTACTAAAAATACAAAAAATTAGCTGGGTGTGGTGGCGGGCGCCTGTAGTCCCAGCTACTCGGGAGGCTGAGGCAGGAGAATGGCGTGAACCTGGGAGGCGGAGGTTACAGTGAGCCAACATTGTGCCACTGCACTCCAGCCTGGGCAACAGAGAGAGACTCCATTTCAAAAAACAAAAAAAAAATAGCCATTATTCAAAAATTTAAGAGTACTGTATTGATATGATTTGGTTGTGTCCCCGCCCAAATCTCATCTTGAACTGTAGTTTCCATAATTCCCACACGTCGAGGGAGGGACCCAGTGGGAGGTAACTTAATCATGGGGGCGGTTACCTCCATGCTGTTCTCTTGATAGTGAGTTCTCACGAGACCTGATGATTTTAATAAGGGGCTTTCCCCCTTTTTTGCTCAGCACTTCTCCTTGCTGCTGCCATGTGAAGAAGGAAGGGCGTGTTTGCTTCCCCTTCCACCATGATTATAAGTTTCCTGAGGCCTCCCCAGCAATGCTGAACTGTAAGTCAATTAAACCTCTTTCCTTTATAAATTACCCAGTCTCGGGTATTTCTTCATAGCAGTATGAAAAGGGATTAATATATGTATGTATCGGTAAAATACATCTGTGGTCTGGATTTTACCTACACTAACCTGTTCTCACAGTACTACATACTTACAGAAGATTATGAACCTTGATAAAGATTCTACACTCAAGTATCTGGTCCAGCTTGGTTCTCCAAGACCATGTATCCCTATTGTTCTACATCTTTCTCATTCACATAATCAGAAAGGTTTGGAGATTTTTGTTTTGTTTTCCTAATTTTATTTTATTGTTCTATTCTTTTCATTTATTTACTTATTTTAATAGAGATGAGGTCTTACTATGCTGTCCGGGGTGGTCTTGAACGCCTGGCCTCAAGTAATCCTCCCACCTCAGGCTTCCCAAAGTGCTAGAATTAAAGGCATGAGCCACCCGCCCAGCCTTATTCATTTTTACAGTGTCTTTATTATTCCTTAATTTTAATTGCAAACAAAAGACAAAAATAACCAACTTGTTCAAAATTACTCAGTTAATAAGTGGCACGATTATGATCTACACCAAGAGAGGTATGACTCCAAAATCTATTTATCTACTCCTACTCCTAGCTGCCTCCCTATGACTGGCTGGATTCTCGCTCCTTTGCAGTATCTGTATCTACATGAGAAGATCCCATTACCTAAAACTCCGCCCCCATTAACAATGAATACTCCTCTCTCCTTGCTCCTAAGACACTTAATACATATCTCTAACACAGTCTAAAACATCACATGATAATCACTGACTCATTATTTCCTTTAATTTGTAAACTCCTTAAGAATACTATGTGTCTTATTTATCTTCTAGTGTCCATAAACATAGTAGATGTTGTATAGTCCTAATAAATGCCTACTGACTCAATCAATGAGCCCTACCATTCATCTGATATCAATTAACAGACTAGAAGGCATAGTGAGAAGAAAACAATTGGTATCTTTTTGGATACCCTTGTATTTCCAAATGTAGAGTAGTGCTAACCCTCTAAGCCAGAGAAAGAATAGCCCAGATTACCTTGGAAAAGTACAGACAGCTCCATCTTCAAAGAGCTCTTCTCTTGTTATATGGCAGATTTGGTCCACTTCTATCCTACTATTGGGTACCTCCTGTTAGTAAACCAACTGTCAGAAGCTATTTGCTAATCCTATTTTTAAGGCCCAGAAGTACATAACTTGAATACAAACAAAAACCCTCGGTTGAAGAAGAAAAGGGTTCTCCCTACCTCTCACTTCCCGGTGTAGTAATTCGGTAAAAGCGATGTCTTAAATGATGTTTATCTCCATGATAACACACTGTGCACAAATCATAATTTGTACACTCTGCACACTTCCATCGAATGCCAATGATTGGTTGCTGGCGGCAGGTATCACACATGGTTCCATCATGCTTGATGCCTATTAAAACAAGGACACATGCTCAGATTAATCACAAATTTTATTTATTTGAATATTATTCCTTGGGGGAAAAAAATAAGAACAGAACATTTTACAAGATATTCTAATAAATTAGGAAATAACACTTCAAATTTAACACATATAGCTTCAAGATAATGGATCTCAACTACGTTAATAAATGCGAATTATATATATTTTCCCTCTGCTCCCTTTTTCATTAGTAAGAACACATCTCAGTAACTCTTTCCTCGCTCTCATCCACAAACTAGAACTTAAGTTCAGCACAGAGAAAGAAAGAATCCTTTATCACTAAGGAGATGTTTCAGACTACAAAACCTCAGAAATCTTTGAAAGAATTTTCAACTATTTTCTAGGTAAACAATTACTCCAAAAGAAAAGACCATTTTGCCTTCATGATATCATGGAAACAAACTATCAATTAACCTAAGCATTTACCACCCTTAGATATTGACAAGTTTTTCCCATAGTCAGGAAAAGTTAGAAAATGATTAGGAAGCAAGTTTCCCTATTTTAAAGGAAACAATACACTATAGTGGGGTTTTATCCCCTTAGGAAACAAGAAATAATAAGCTCTAGAAAAAATAAACACTTGGTAAAATGACCTCCACTAAAATTAATCACATGGATGAATGAGACAGACATTAGAACTATAAAAGGTACCAATATAAGTAATGAAAACAACCTTCATTTTCAGGTGAAATAATTGGGGGTAATACTCCTTTACTATTCTATTGTTATATTAATATCACTTGTTCAATAAATAAAAACTAGGATTTTTTTTTCAACAATGTGTGGCTTGTCAACATCAGTGTCACTACTTTATAAACACATCCTGGATGGTCAAGCTCAATGCTGACCAAGCAAGGGCTGTATTATCTGTCCAAAAGTGACACTCTCCTGGATTCAAGTTCTGACTCCGTCTGTATTTACTTTTATGTCCTTGAAAAGGTCGTTTTATCAGAAGTATTTACGTATAAAATAATGTGGGGTTTTTTTGTTTTGTTTTGTTTTGTTTTTTTTTTCAAAATAACTGGAGGGAGGCAGAGGGGAAGTAAAGTGGGATTTAGGTAAAACAAGATTAGCCGTGCTGAAGTTGGGTAATGGGTACATGGGAGTTCATTACATTATCTTCCTCTTTGTATCCATTTAGAACATTTCCATAATTAAATAGAAGAAAGGAGCCCTTTCATTCTCACAACCTCAGTCCCCTTTGGGGAATGTAATATATTCTTTAAAGGTGAGACAACGTGTTCTAAAAATCAAGTAACATGCTACATATGTAAAAACTAGAGTACAAAAGTGGTCATATTACTAATATAATACACTACTGGGTACTTCCCGATAAGAAAGAAAAACAAACCCTATGTTATTCATTTTCTATATTCAGATAACCAGATTCTAAACAAAGGGCCAAACCTGAGTGGTATGCCTGTTTTGAGGGAAAGGGAGGGGAGGGGCAAGGATCAGGAAGGAAGAGGGAGGGAAGGCAGGAAGGAGGGAAGCAAGGAAGGAAGGAGGAAGGGAACGAACACCTGAAAGAACTGGGATACCTAGTGGACTACAAAAAAGCCTGATACCCCAACACCAAATATGTTTTATGTGCAATCCTTCTGCAGTCTCCTGTCACATAAATGCTTGACTGTAGGGACAGAAGATAGTGGACATGAGTGGCTACTGATTCATCCAGAACTATTTCTTTATTACTACTGCAGGCATGCCCTCTGCTGCTTTCAAGTATCACTCTTAGAGCCATGTTCATGCCACTGCACTCCAGTCTGGGCAACTAAGACTCTAACTCAAAAAAATAAAAAAAATAAAAAAAATAAAAAATCACTCCTGCTGCAGTGTGGAGAAAAAAGATATGAAAAAAGTAAAAGTGGCTAGAGAAAGGGAGTCAGATTAAAAGAAGTTAGTAGCAGTCCAGCTAAGATAATGGTAGCTTAAATTAGGGTGTTGACAGTAGAAATTGAGAGAAATGGTTCCAGAGATATTTAGGGCTTGGTAGCTATGGGTCAGGAGACAAAAGATGTAGAGGATATAAATGAGAAAGTCTAAACGAGATCATTCAAGAGGAAACAGGTTAAGTATTAGAAATATTTAGCAATTAAACAGTATAATAAACTGAAATCTAGAACTGCTCTGCTTAAAAACAAGAAGGGAGTCACCAACAAAAAATAAGAATATCTAATAAAAAAATACAAGCCCAGGTCTCCATTGATAGAAACTCGCCTTAGAAACTAAACAGGAAAAAAAATCAGGAAAAGTTCCACAGAAATGATGGACGAGTAGATCTTTCTAAGAAAGGAAGAAATCACAGAAAAGCAGAGTATGTTCAATGAACCAGGAACGACTTTGCTTAGCAGAAACATGCAATACAGCCAGAGACTTGGAGATAAATTATAGAGTTACGCTAGAAATTAACAAGATCAGACATGATTTCTAACCTGTATACAATATGGTAAAACTGCTACCTCAAATGGTAAAAACAAGCGTATGTGATTTAAGAATTTACTTGTATAACTTACTATCCACTTAATATTCAAAATCAACTTAAATACTCTGGGACCAATATTCTCATCTATAAATTAAGAAAACACTTCCTTTCACATGGAAAGAGACATTGTGAGGCTAAATTGTTAGAAACTCCTAGAAACAGAAACTTCATTTAAAAAAAAAAACAGAAAAAAATTAAAGTGATAGGTAAACACACTTTCAAAAACTTTAAAGCAAAATATACATATAAAGAATTATACTGCACTTAACTTCATCTTAATATAGATTTAGTAAATGCACTAGTCATCTATTTAAATAATATCATAATCAGAATCATCACCTATCCCAGACAAATTTTGCAATACTTATACAGAAATCAAAGAGCTTAATAAAAGTTTAAATTTTTTCAGAGACTGTATATGGGGAACATTTAATTATTCATCTGTGAATTAAAAGATTAAAATAAATAAAAACTTCTAAATAGCAATTATATACCATATTACTAAAGTAACTAAAGTAATTTGAAAGTTGGTTTCTGTAAAGATTTGCTTAGGTTCCTTCCTGTTTTTGTTTGTTTTTAGTTTAAAGTGGCATACATGGCATCTCTGATGCTTATACTTCATGTTAAATGCTCCTACTCACCCAGCTGCTTCCTAGGATTAATATACACTCAGTGTAGAAAACTTGGAAAACCACAAAGGCTAATCCCATCAGCACATCCAGGGAATTACCTTTCTAGTTTTTATATTACATGTATTATGCAATTTAGATGCAAAAATGTCACATTGTAGTTCCTTGCAAACTACTTTAAAAATGGTATTTTACCATGTCAGTAATAATTCTTCTACAACATGGTTTAATAATTGTATAGAATTTCCCTCTGTTAATTAACATAATTTACATAATAATAGTCCCATATTTTCAACACTGGTTATGTTAACTTTTTGTCTTTATCTGCCACAAACAAGTATCTTTGAATGTGCCTTTTTAAAACATTGAAGGCAGGGTCAAAGTTTTTGATGGCATTTGAAACACTCTGTAAGTGCCTTCTATAGAGATTGTATCCATTTATATTTCCCTTTCAGCAGTATCTGACTGGCTTTCTTGACACATCTTTAACATGCACTGAAGTAGTATTTTTAATCTGTGCCAATTTGAGAGGAAAAAATTGGTATTTCCTATTTTCTTTTTAAAATTATAAAATTAATAACACACTTATAATAAAACTTTAAACAACTCAAAAGCATACAGAACAAAATGTGAAAGTCCCCCCCACCGTGTACTCCCACCCATTATTAGCAGTTTGGTGGGGGTTTCCAGATTGTTTTCTGGGTACACATTTTCTATGTGTGCTCTCATCGGCATGTGTGTAACTTCTGAGGCTTCGTGCTTAGAAAGACTTTCCTTAAAATGGTAAAATATACTACTCAATTCTTAACCTAGCACTTTTATGTTTTCTCAGCATTGGCTCAGAGCTCCCGGTGCAGGCAGGTTGTGAATCCTGAGGGGAAAGACAGTGACAGACAGACAGACATGGACAGACAAGCGACATCTGCCTTGCCTTTTGTGACCAAACCTCAGAATTCACAGTGTCACTTCCTCTATACTCTATTAATTGAGGCAGTTACAAATGTCCACCCAGGTCCACTGAGGGAGGGAAGCAGCCTCTTTAGGTGGAATGTCATTGTCTCCTAAGAAGAGCAGGTGGGATGGGATGTAGACTGGTGTGGCCATCTTTGAAAAATAACATCCGGCATGCCTCTCCTCCATTTTAAATATACATTTGGTCTTCCAGGAATAGAACTGTGTATAATGCCTATATAAAACAGAGGTATACCTGTATTTCAGTATTAAAGTGTGAATTTTAAAAAACTAATTAAATGGATTGTTACTGTTGGCACTTCTCTTTACAAATGGCAGTTTCATGAAAATTTAATATTCAGTTTAATAGCCCTGCACCAGACAATTATGACAGTTCTTCAAAATCTTTTTGTTTATGGGTTTCACAATTTACCTTAAAAAAAAAAAAAACCACTTTGTGTGACCGAGAATAGTTTTGCAACTAATTTTGTAAACTTTTGGTATTTGTGTTAGAAGCAATAATATAGAAATAATTATAAAATTATTTTTCCAAAATGGACATTATATGGAATTGATTACATATTGATTTAAAGCAACCTCATTGCCAAACACCTGAAATCAGATTCTAATAACTGTATCTGTCTTAGCACAGGAAAGCCGACAAAAAATACCACAATTAATATCAAATACCAATGACAGTAAATGTCCACAAAATGGCTAAGTTTCTGAACAAGGTCTAAAATAAATCTGATTTAGTTCCATCATCACAAAAAAGTAAAATAGACTAAACAAATCAGTATTCACTGCACACTTAGAAGTTTATCCTGAATTAACTGACTGTGCAGCTCTTCAAATGTGACTTGGTTGATGAAAGACGTAGGGAAAATGTATCCCAACTACCCCATTCAACAGAAAAAAACTGTCCAGTTTGCAACCACTGCCTCATTTACATATTTTTCATTTCTAAGTTCATTTTCCACAACATACAATGATAACAGTCATGAGCTCATAATCTGTGTACAGGCTTTCTTTAAAAGGAACCATTTAAACACACATGACAACTGGTTAAAAAAATTCTATAATTCATGGTTTTAAAGAATACCTCAGGAAAACCATTAATGCACACAAAAGCACATCCAAATGCTTTCTTGGTTCCCACACTTCAAATGCCAACAAAGCTACTGAACAGCTGTGAAACAGACTAACACTAAGAATTGAAAAATGTAAACAAAGCAACCCATTCCACTACCAAAATGAGCACTACAGAATTTTTAATGAGAATACAATTAATTGACTTCAAAACAAAAGTTGGTATTTAAAGAAAACATAAAACAGAAGAAAGGGCATTAAATAAACAAGACCAACATTTTACTAATCTCTTACTGTACAGTGGTAGCTTTTTTGTTTCCCTCACTACATCCACCCAATTCATTTTCATCTAAAACCATTAGCCCTGGCAACAGTTTTTCCTTAAAATTTTTATTTCATAAAATTTAATTCCTTAACTGGATCCATTAAGTTCTTTTTTTTCCTTTCTATAGAATACCATATTACCCTAAGGAGTTAATGCCCTTTTCCTTTGCTAGGCTTTATGAAGACATCTGCCGCCGTTAAATGAACCACCTGATGACAGCTTTTGACCCATTCTACTAATACTCAAATGACCATCTGCTCTAAGTTTTAATGGTATCTTGCCTGAGTTTAACAACTTAGAGAATTTGTATAGCTGAAGTATTTTTGTTGGAAAATTTTATGAAAATAGTAAAACATGTTGCTTAAGATCAATAACTACATTCTTCAGAGACCTAATGAAAATAGCTCAAACTCACAAAGCACTGATTTAAGTAAAATGTTAAATTTCTGGGTAGAAATGATGGCTGAAAGAGAAAAGTAGAGTTTTCACTACAAGCAGTTAAATACATATGAAGTGCTTCAACAGAACAAAAATCTCTAAATTATCACTTCGTATAATAGCAAAAGTAAAAAGTAAACAACATAATTGTTCATTAACAACAGAATGGATACATATATTAGGGATACAATGGAATACCAAAAATGAATGTTCAACGGCCACGCAATTCAACATGGACATACCCTTCACCATAATGCTGAATTTTTTTAAATATGGAATACAAAGGCCAGGCACGGTGGCTCACAAGTGTAATCCCAGCACTTTAGGAGGCCGAGGCAGGCGGATCAAGAGGTCAGGAATTCGAGAACAGCCTGGCCAACATGGTGAAACCCCGTCTCTATTAAAAATACAAAAATTAGCTGGGCCCAGTGGTGCGCACCTGTAGTCCCAGCTACTCGGGAGGCTGAGGCAGGAGAATCGCTTGAACCCAGGAGGAGGAGGCTGCCGTGAGCCGAGATCACGCCACTGCACTCCAGCCTGGGCTACAAAGCCAAACTCCGTCTCAAAAAAATATATATATACATATATATATATACACATATATATACACACATATGTATAGAATACAAAATGTTGAAACAATACTATTATTTACAGATATAGACAAATGTGTAATATAAAGAAACTCATGGGAATGATAAAAACTAATTTGTGACAGCTGGTTACCTTAGGCGAGGAGGGGAAAGAATGCAAGTGAGAAATACTACAAAGGGTGTTCAAATGTTATTAGTAATGCTTTCTTTCTAGATGGATTCCCAGTTATTGGTTATATTACTCATTTATTCACTTGTATACATTAAATGTTATGTAATAAATTTTAAAACTTTTTTAAAAAAGAAACAGTCCTTCTAGACTAGTATGGTGCCTAACTATACCCTAAACTTTGCCCAAATTCAAAGATTTCACCTAACATCAAAAAAAATTTATAAGTCAGCTGGGCGCGGTGGCTCATGCCTGTAATCCCAGCACTTTGGGAGGCCGAGGCGGGTGGATCACGAGGTCAGGCGTTCAAGACCAGTCTGGCCAACATAGTGAAACCCTGTCTCTACTAAAAATACAAAAATTAGCCGGGTGTGGTGGCACACGCCTGTAGTCCCAGCTACTTGAGAGGCTGAGGCAGGAGAATTGCTTGAACCCAGGAGGCGGAGGTTGCAGTGAGTCAAGACCACGCCATTGCACTCCAGCCTGGGTGACAGAGTGAGACTCTGTCTCAAAAAAAAAAAAATTTACAAGTCAACCTTTATTTAAATGTAACTACTTATTGTGGCATAACTGTTGATGTCATTCAACAAACCAAGAAATTCTAATTTATGGATTCATTCAACTTTAACCGCAAATCAAATGTAACAAAAAGTATTACAGAGACTAAGGAGGGTTAACCAACAAGAATATCCATCTTATTTTCCCTGAACCATCAAAATATTTAACTGGTTTAGAAATTGCCTCAACTCTAATTAAAATTCCCAGTGAGGGCAAGGCCTTTGTGACCTGCCAGCTGGTTGGTAAAGTCCACATTCCTTTCTCTAGAGAAATACTAAATTAATGAAAATAGGATTGTTGTTATTAATAATACCAGCCACTATCTATTAGTACCAAGCTTGGTTCTTTACACACATTTTATTTAACCTTCCCAACAATTCTAAAAAGTAAGCAATTGTTATCCCCATTTTATGGATGAAGAAACTGAGTCTCAGACAAGTAACCTGCCTGAAGTCACACAACATTAGTAAGTGGCAGGTTCAAATTCAAACCCAACTGGGTCTGATCACAAAACATGGCCTCTTAAAGCACTTCATTCACTCTACCACGGTTTTTTGTGGTTTTTCTTCCGCACCTAGCATGGATCTTATTTAAAGAATAATTACGTATCTAGGGCATCATGTTCCCCCATGCACTCTACTGGATTTAGAGTATAAGTTATTAAATCCTATTTCAATATTCAAATAAATCTCAGACATATTTTAAAATGTTAAAAGACTGGCCGGGTGTGGTGGCTCACATCTGTAATCCCAGCACTTTGGGAGGCCCAGGTGGGTGGATCGCTTGAGGTCAGGAGTTTGAGACTAGCCTGGTCAACATGGTGAAACCCTGTCTCTACTAAAAACACAAAAAAGCAGCCGGGCGTGGTGGCATGAGCCTGTAATTCCAGCAACTTTGGAGGCTGAGGCAGGAGAATTGCTTGAACCAGGGAGGCGGAGGTTGCAGTGAGCCGAGATCGCACAACTGCACTCCAGCCTGGGAGACAGAGTAAGACCCTGTCCCAAAAAAAAAAAAAAAGACTGTCTTTTTTTTTTTTTTTTTTTTTTTTTTTTTGAGACAGAGTCTCACTCTGTAGCCCAGGCTGGAGAGCGGTGGCATGATCTCGGCTCACTGCAACCTCCGTCTCCCAGGTTCAAGAGATTCTCCTGTCTCAGCCTCCCAAGTAGCTGGGATAACAGGCATGTGCCACCACAACCGGCTAATTTTTGTATTTTCAGTAGAGACAGGGCTTCACCATGTTGGCCAGGCTGGTCTCGAACTCCTGACCCCAAGCGATCCACCCACCTTAGCCTCCCAAAGTGCTGGGATTACAGGCGTGAGCCACCGCATGGCCTAAAAGACTGTCTTTTTTAAGTTAATGTAAATAGTGTAGTTGACCACCACACCATCTACTTCCAACTCTTACCATAGTAAGAGTTGCATTAAGAAAATGCATTAAGAAAATGTCTTGAGCTGCTAAAGGATTATGTAGGAAAAAAAGAAAATGTCTGTGAATGTGTCACCCAAAGTTCACAACTCCTTCATACCTTTTCTGTTAGACAAATTATTCTATTTTGGAAGCCTCTGCCAGTCTATTACAAGTATGCATAATGCCACACACATTCCAAAAGAAACAAGTTCTCAAAACTAGACATAAAACTGGCAATTTTAATAATGGATTTGTTTATATTTTTGGCATTTTTTTACATAGGAGTCAAAAAATTAATGAGGTGAAACATAAAATTAAGAAAATACATTTTGACTCCACGTGCGGTGGCTCACGCCTGTAATCCCAGCACTTTGGGAGGCCCAGGTGGGCAGATCACCTAAGATCAGGAGTTTGAGACCAGCCTAGCCAACATGGCGAAACCCCATCTTTACTAAAAATACAAAATTTGCCGGCCACGGTGGTGTACGCCTGTGATCCCAGCTACCTGGGAGGCTGAGACAGGTGGATCACTTGAACCCGGGAGGCAAAGGTTGCAGCGAGCCAGGATTGCACCACCGCACTCCAGCCTGGGTGACAGAGCAAGATTTCATCTCAAAAAAAAATAAAAAAAAGAATTTTATACATTTTGAAATAACTGCACTAACTGGTAAAAACTCATAATTTGATTTTAGAAGCAGAACACCTGTGTACCTTGAACTACTCTGATTTCATTTTACAGGTGATGAATGAAGGCTCGAAATGGAGGGAAAAAAATGACTGACAGACCAAGATTTGAATCTCCACCATTAACTTATTACTTGTGGAGTCTTGGACAAGTTAGTTTATTTCTCATGGCCTATTTTATCATCAATAAAATGAAGCCTAACAAACAACGAGATAAAGTATACAATGCCTGACACATGACTGGAGCTCAGTAAATGTTAATCCATTCCACTAGTTAATAGTCTCAATTGATAAAATCCTTGATTTCCTGGCTCCTAAGCTACTGCATTTTCTACTATCCCCTGCAAAGAAACTGGGGGGTAAGGGATGAGTAAGGCACCATGATGTAAAATATTTCAATTCAAAGCTCTCGGGATTTATTATCACTAGCCCTGCAAAACTGCCACAAATTAAACAATAATTTATTTTAATATTACAAAGTCTCTGCTCCATTTCTTGTTGGTTTAGGAATAAAATTATCATCAAGACAATAAATCCACTCCTGAGGAAACCAAATACTCTTATCGTAAGTGTGCTCTGAGAATATAAACGAATTCTAACCCAAGCAAATATCCATGAAAGTAAATTTGCTTTTAAAAAAGTAATAAATATATAAATAAATAAGTATTCCAAAGCCAAAAATGAATGTCTGGACTATCTGCTGTTTTCCATTTCTTATGACATTATCTCCTCCACTAATTTAAATACTACCTTATCTTGGTTGTGTTCCACAAGTCCATTTTATAAAAGCCAGTTGTTGGCCGGGCACGGTGGCTCACGCCCGTAATCCCAGCACTTTGGGAGGCTGAGGCAGGCGGATCACGAGGTTAGGAGCTCAAGATCAGCCTGACCAACATGGTGAAATCATGTAAAAATTAGCTGGGCGTGGTGGTACGCGCCTGTAATCCTAGCTACTCAGGAGGCTGAGGCAGGACAATCGCTTGAACCTGGGAGGCAGAGGTTGCAGTGAGCCGAGATAGTGCCATTGCACTCCAGCCTGGGTGACAGAGTGAGACTCTGTCTCAAAAAAAAAAAAAAAGCCAGTTGTTTACAATTCAGAACCCATTTTCCCTCAGAAACAAAAGTTTAAAGATAACTTAGGTATCAGACTAGTTCACAAGAACCTGTTTACACTACGTAGTGCTAATCTACAGGCTTACAAAGATAAAAAATGTTGTGTTCCTAGTTCCATCTGAGGAAATGGTTAAATTGCTGTAACTATGTTCCCAGACATGATAAGACAAGCTAAACAAGACAAACCACATAATACACCACCCCTAGAAGTGGGGAAACAATGAAAAAAAAATGACTTAAAGAAGGGGTCCCAAGGAACTAGGATGCAGACCTTTAAAGAGGTGCTATGACTGGCTGATACAGGTGTCCCGGAGGAGGGTGCAGAGTAGAGTTTCGTTGTTGTCAGAAATACTGTAGACCCTCCTCATCCAAAGGGACTACTTTCCAATACTCCCCAACGGATGCCTTAAAGTGCAGATAACAGTGAACCCAACTGCTGCCAACTGGAACAGATTTCTGTTCACATCTTCCACCCACAAATTTAGTGCCGTTTCCATCTTAACTAAGCACTTAGGCACTGTGGCCCTAACTTTTGTAGTTTAAGATGTGACAGCAAAACTAACATGAATTTCTTTTACTTTCTTCACAATTTCATGGATAGACGGTTCATTACTGTAGATCTCAGAATCCTCAGCATAGGATTTTTTCCTCTTTCCCTGAGAACTTTCACCTTTTTACTTAAAGGATGCACTTGATGGCTTCTCTTTGACCTGTCTGAATTGCCAACATCACCGCTCTTCAGCTTTGGGGCCATTATAAAGTCAAGTAAGGGTTATGTGAACACGAGCCCCACAATACCATGACAGTTGATCTGATAAGAGGCAGCTACTAAGTGACTAAATAGGTGGGCAGCATAGGCAGTGTGGGGAGGCTGGACACGGTGACAGATTTGGTCCCAGGCAGGAGAGTTCATCACACTATTCAGAATAGTATGCAATTTAAAATGTATGAATTGTTTATTTCTGGAATTTCTGATTTTATATTTTCAGACCATGGTTGACCTCAGGTATCTGAAAATGAGGAAAGCAAGAGGATGGATAAAGGGGGACTACTGTATGCAAACTAAAATCAAATACTGATAGGGAAATCAACATCCCATCCCAGCTTGCTGGGTGGAATGATACCACACAGGAAAGAGCAAGTCAGATCCCCAATCCAGCCTTCCAGTCTCCCTCTAGTGCCTCCTACTGGCAGAGCCAACAGGGATCCAACTGGCAAAGGAGAAATACAGTGTGCAGAACCAGTCCAGCCTCACAGGGCAGAGATGGGGGTTAGGAGGTGAGTTTAATAATCAGCATACATCCATCAGAAATGCACTTTTTGGCCAGGCGCCATGGCTCACACCTGTAATCCCAGCACCTTGGGAGGCTGAGGCAGGTGGATCACCTGAGGTCAGGAGTTCAAGACCAGCCTGGTCAACATGGTGGAATCCTGTCTCTAATAAAAACACAAAAAATTAACTGGGTGTGGTGGCAGGCGCCTATAATCTCAGCTACTTGGGAGATCGAGGCAGGAGAATTGCTTGAACCTGGGAGGCAGAGGTTGCAGTGGGCTGAGATCGCGCCACTGCACTCCAGCCTGGGCAACAAGAGCAAAATTCTATCTCAAAAAAAAACGAAAGAAAGAAAAAGAAATGCACTCCTTTTATTAGGATCTATGATCTGTCATTTTGAGGTCTCTTTTTGAGCTACAGCATCCAGTAAAACCAAGAATTGAAACAAACAAAACTTAGACTTGACTTACTATTAAACTGAAATTTTCAAAAATGAAATCAAATTGGTCTCATCTCATTTAACAAAAAAAAATATTTTCAGGCTGGGCATGATGGCTCACACTGTAATCGCAACACTTTGGGAGGTCAAGGTAGGTGGATCACTTGAGGTCAGGAGTTCAAGACCTGCCTGGCCAACATGGTGAAACCCCGTCTCTACTAAAAATACAAAATAAGCCAGGTGTAGTGGCAGGCACCTGTAATCCCAGCTACTTAGGAGGCTGCGGCAGGAGAATCGCTTGAACCTGTGAAGCCAAGGTTGCAGTGAGCCGAGATCATGCCACTGCACTACAGACTGGGCAACAAGAGCAAAACTCCATCTCAAAAATAAATAAATAAAAATAAAGAATATTTTGAGAAACAAAATACCAAAATATCATTCTGAAGGTTTAATCCCTTCAGTCTACTCATCCTTTTTCTACATATATTTTTCCATAAATAATTTTTTAGTCTTTCAAAAATGTACTTTAAAAGCACAGTATTGGGGTAGGGAGGGGGCAGAAAAAAAAGAAAAAGCACAGTATCTATGTTAGCCCTTTGAAACTTGCTTTTTCACTCAACATGTATTTGGCAAACACACATCTAATTCTTCCATTTTAACTGCTAATATTTTACTTATGTTTTCATTAGTCTGTATATAAACTTTTAATTCCTCAATTATTATTTTTAATAAACAATATTGCAATGAATTTCTTCATACATATCTTTGTAAATATGTGCCTGAGAATCTCATGAACATACACCTGGAAGATGTTTTCAGCTGCAGAACATGTGTTTTTTGTTGTTTTTTGTTTTTTAATTTACAAGATGTTGCCAAGTTGCTTCTCAAAGTGGTTGTACGGATTTACTGTACCACAAGGCCTGGAGAGTTGTTTCCTTATATTCTTCATTAATACATACTATAATTAGACTTTTAATTTTTGTCAATCTAATTGAAGTGAAAAGATATCTTTTGTTTCATGTGTATTTCCCAGGTTACATGAGTTCGTTGTATGAATAGCTTTAGTTATTAGCTTTTTCAAAGCCAGAGGAATATTTATACTTAAATTTATCTAATCCATTTATTTCCTAAAGGAAAAAGCTGGCTGACCCAATTCTAACTGCTAACTGAAAATTTTCTCCCTTATCAGGTAACATAATTATCCATGACCACATACAAACATAAATATTAATTGGGCAATTTTCCTCATTAAAAAAAAACTTTATAAAGCATGTAACATTTCAGTAATTTGAATACTATTATATGATAGTTGAGCAGATATGACAATGTCACATCTTCTGCTGAGGGCAGAGCTTGTCCTCAAGAGCAGAGCTGGGACTTTGAGCCAATGTGTTTGGAATAAAGAATAAAAGATAAAACGACCCCAGTACTACTACAATAGTAAAGGCTGACCAGCTCAAGCTGGAGGATCTGACAGCCTTATATGAAGCTCAATTACTTGCTTTAACAACAAAAACTCTTTCATGGGACTAATATGTTTTCTTACAAGAAGCTAAATATAATTATATATAATAAACTACCTGTGACATATTGTGTACACACACACACAAACACACAGAGTCCCAAAAACCTATTAATGTCCAACAGTGGTATTACATTAAGTTAATCAAATAACCACAGCATGGACAAGCATAGGACTTCTCATATCCAACATTAAATGCTAGAACAAGGAGGCAGTTCTGACAGAAAAATATTTTGAATCTAGAATTGCATATTCAACCAAATATCAGTCAGGTTTAGGGGTGAGAGAGACAGTGTGGCAAAATAAAGCAATTTTCAGGCCTGCAAGGACTCAAACTACTAGAAAGAAAGAAAAGAAGGGAAGAAAAGGGAAGAAAGAAAGGAAGGGGAAAGGATTTTTCCCCCAATAAAATGAGAAGGGAATGACATGAGATATAGTATAAGCAGCAGTAATAAGAAAGAACTACAATTTTAAATCCAATTAATTATTAATAATATAACTGTGAGCTGGGTGTGGCAGGTCACGCCTGTAATCCCAGCACTTTGGGAGGCAGAGGTGGATGATCACTTGAGGTCAGGAGCTCCAGAGACCAGCCTGGCCAACATGGTGAAACCCCATCTCTACTAAAAATACAAAAATTTGCTGGGCATGGTGATGCACACCTGTAGTTACAGCTACTTGCAGGGTTGAGGCAGGAGAATCACTTGGCTGCAGTGAGCCAAGATCGTGCCACTGCACCCCAGCCTGGGCAACAGAGACTATGTCTCAAAATAAATAAATAAATAAAATAATAATAATAACTGTGACGTTTAATGCAATTTTATGAGCCAATCTTTTTCTTTTCTTTTTTTTTCCCCTCTGTTTGAGACTGGGTCTCATTCTGTCACCCAGGCTGGAGTGCAGTAACATGATCTCAGCTCACTGCAACCTCTGCCTCCCAGGCTCAACTGATCCTCCTGCCTCAGCCTCACCAACAAATAGCTGGGGCTACAGGCACACACCACCATGGTGGGCTAATTTTTATATTTTTTTGTAGAGATGGGGTTTTGCCATGTTGTCCAGGCTGGTCTCAAATCCCTGGGCTCAAGCAACCTGCCTGCCTCAGCCTCCCAAAGTGCTAGGATTACAGGCGTCAGCCACTGTGCCCAGCTGAGCAAATCTTACAACATAAAAAGAAGCATATATTTACAGGAGTATGGTTGGGGAGAAAGGACAATGCAAACAAAAATTTGGGACTAATTTTCCTGAAAATTTACATAAAACCAACACAATGAAAAAGGTAAGAGGTGTGGGGCAGGAGATGGCCGGGCGCAGTGGCTCACGCCTGTAATCGCAGGACTTTGGGAGGCTGAGGCGGGTGGATCACCTGAGGTCAGGAGTTCCAGACCAGTCTGGCCAACATGGTGAAACCCCATCTCTACTAAAAATACAAAAAATTAGGCCGAGCGTGGTGGCTTACGCCTGTAATCCCAGCACTTTGGGAGGCCGAGGCGGGCGGATCACAAGATCAGGAGATGGAGACCATCATGGCTAACACGGTGAAACCCCGTCTCTACTAAAAATATGAAAAGTTAGCGGGGCATGGTGGCATGCGCCTGTAATCCCAGCTACTCAGGAGGCTGAGGCAGCAGAATGGCATGAACCCGAGAGGCGGAGCTTGCAGTGAACTGAGATCTTGCCACTGCACTCTAGCCTGGACGACAGAGCGAGACTCCGTCTCAAAAAAAATAAAAATAAAATACAAAAATTAGCTGGACATGGTGGCACCCGCCTGTAATCCCAGCTACTCAGGAGGCTGAGGTAGGAGAATCGCTTGCACCCAGTAGGAGAATTGCTTGCACCCAGGAGGTAGAGGTTGCAGTGAGCTGAGATCATGCCATTGCACTCCAGCCTGGGCAACAGAGTGAGACTCCACCTCAAAAAAATAAAGAAAGAAGTATGGGCAGGAGTAATTAAAGAGACTGTTTAGTTTTTCTACATGCAAAAAAAACCTAATTTTTCAATCTGTTTGTTAAATATTAAAAGGTAATAATTAGCAGAGCAGAAAAAAAGGTGATAAAATTTCTAACTCACTGGTTAAAAAAAAAAATACAAGAAAACTGGAAAGTTAAAAAGTAAGGTAGCAGCCAGGTGTGATGGCTCATGCCTGTAATCCCAGCACTTTGGAAAGCTGAGGTGGGTGGATCACCTGAGGTCGGGAGTTCGAGACCAGCCTGACCAACATGGGGAAACACGGTCTCTACTGAAAATACAAAAAATTAGCCGGGAATGGTGGGGCATGCCTGTAATCTCAGCTACTTGGGAGGCTGAGGCAGGAGAACCACTTGAACCTGGGAGGCAGAGGTTTTGATGAGCCAAGATCGCGCCATTGTACTCCAGCCTGGGCAATAAAAGGAAAACTCCATTTCAAAAAAAAAAAAAAAAGAGTAAGGTAGCAGTAATTAGAAAAAATGTATCAGTTGTCACAATACATATGAACAAGTTAAATTCCTCTATTAAAAGACAAATGTTCTCAAAGTCAGTGAGGACAATATTTAGCCATGTCATTTATAACAGAAATTCCTGTAACAAATTAATTTAAAAGCTAAAAATTAGTACACAAAGGTATGTATACACAAAGATACTTGTTGCAGTGTTGTTTAAAATGACAAAAAAGAAAACACTATAAATGTCTATCAAAAGAATAGTTAAGTAATATATTTTTTAACTATTAAATACTATGTACCGACCAAAAAGAATAAGACAGATTCTTATGTGCTAACACTGCAAGATGTCCAAGACAATATTCATTTAAAAAGAAAGCTGAAGAACAGTACATATGGCATACCTATATGGAAATACATATATATTTCTCTCTAAGTAGTTAAGACATAAATGTCACCTTATTTTACCATATAGGAAGTACATATTAGATTATTTATAAGGAATACAGAAAACACACGTCAAGTGGAAAAAAAAGAATGAAACAAACTATGTATACAGTAAAACCTTAGCTGTGCAAAAAAGACACACTAGAAAGAAACAAGCAGGGCTCAGTGGCTCATGCCTGTAATCCAGGCAATCTGGGATGCTGAGGTTGAAGGATCACTTGAGGCCAAGAGTTTGAGACCAGCCTGGGTGATACAGCAAGACCTCAACTCTAAGAAAAATAAAAAATAAAAAAAAATTAGCCAGGCTTGGTGGTGTGCACCTATAGTCCTAGCTACTCGGGAGGCTGAGGTAGGCGGATCACCTGAGCCCAAGAATTCGAGGTTGCAATGAGCTATAATCACACCACTGCTCTCCAGCCTGGGCAACAGAGTGAAACTCTTTAAAAAAAAAAAAAAAAAAAAAAAGGCTGGGCATGATGGCTCACAGCTGTAATCCCAGCACTTTGGGAGGCCAAGGCAGATGGATCACTTGACCTCACAAGTTCAAGACCAACCTGGGCAACACGGCAGGACCCTATCTCTACAAAAAAATACACAAATTAGCTGTGCATGGTGGTGCGCACCTGTAGTCCCAGCTACTCAAAAGGCTGAGGTGGGAAGATGGCTTGAGCCCAGGAGGCAGAGGTTGCAGTGAGCCAAGACTGCACCACTGCACTCTGGCCTGGGGGACAAGAGTGAAACTCCAGAAAGAAAGAAGAGAAAGGGAGAAGGGGGGAAAGAGGGAGAGAGGGAGAGAGGGAGGGGGGAGAGAGGGAGGGGGGAGAGAGGGAGGGAGGGAGGGAGAGAGGAAGAAAAGCAAAGCAAAGCAAAAAAAGAATGGTTTTGAAAAGAGCACTGAACAATTTACAACAGGATGTATCACAAAGTTTCATTTCTAAATTGGTTTACATTTCATTATCAATTTTCCCACAAGCAAAGTGTTACAGGTGGTCATGTTTCTGAACCACTATACTATAAAAGAAAAAGAGAATGATACTGAGGAAAAGCAATCAACTGGCATTCATCCCTACTATCTGCCACTCACCAGCTTTGTGACTGGACAAATTTCTTAATCTCTCTGAATCTGAGTTTCCTTTTATCTTGTTTTAGGATAATATCTATCTAATCTCTGATCCAATGAGTCAAAAGCTCTTTGAAAAGTGTGTCTGATTCAGAAAATACTCATCCAGAGACATGGTTCTGCTAGAAAATGGAGATACAAGAATAACACAGACCCTTTCCCTTAAACTAATAATCTAGTGCAAAAGACAATTACAACACAGCATACCCTGCTTTAACAGATGAAAGCACACATGTGGGGATATCACACTAGCTAGCAATTATAGAGGGTGGAGGAGAGACCCTGGTGGGTGGCTACCTGGGAACACATTCAAAAAGAAATAGCTAATCTAATCAGAGGGACAGGCTGGAAAGTATAGGATCGAAAATACACATTAAGATAGCATTACACTTACAAAAAGTACATATATTAGAAAGGTGTTACATGCTCCTTTATTTCAGTTGTACACACTTCTCTTCTCCCCAACTAATAATGCCAATCTAGTTTTAAAGACATGTATTACCAACAAACAATCAAGGCTTGGAATCTGTTGAAAGGAAAAGGAGAAAACAGAAACGCAGGGCATCTCAAGTAGACAAATAGTCACTTAGTACTCTGCTATTCAAAGTGTGTCCTTGAGCCTGCAGTATCTGCATCACCTATGAGCTTATTAGAAATACTCTCGCAGAATCCCAAACTTACTGAACCAGAATCTGCATTTTAAAAGGTCCCCAGGTGATCTGTGTGCTTTAAGTTTGAGAAGTACTGACACAGGGGTCTACTAGTTGATTTCTTGAAGTCCTCAGCTCAACCAAGCTGCAATCTACAGGGACTATTAAGAACTAGATAGACTTTCATAATTTACAACATTGTTTTAGTGGAGGAAATAAAATAAGAAAGACATTTTACAGAAGCCTTTAAAATAGGTAGGATCTATGAGGAAATAAAGTTTTCCTTGCAGATGTCATTAATAAAAAACATTTTGTGATATTTCATCCTTTCCAGGTGTGGCATCCTGCTCCCCAAACATTGTTCCCTCAAATCCTGTTTTTTCCTACGGCTTTGTGTCCTGACAAATACCCCTTTCTACTGTGGTTCTAGAAACAGATCAGAATAGGGGACTCTATTCTGATAAAGAAAAGCTGAGGATTATTAATTCATTTCATTTTTTTAATCCAGGGTCAGCCCTTTTAAACCTTCAACTGAATACAAAACATCTGAGAAGTTTTTCCACGTATGACTGGAGAGGCATTCTTTGCTAGCGGTCAAAGACAAGGACAAAGAACTACCCCCAAAACAGTTTGAATGAACTATGACCAGAAGCTGGTTTTGAATAAAGCTGATTTTCTATACCTCTAACTCTGTATTATCGACACGAAGAATGACAGAACCTTAACAGGAAATCTACATTCATTTTCTCCATTATCTCTGGTAACAATACAACACTGTAGTCAAGTGAACACAAAGCAAGCATAAATAAAAACACATTTTTCTCCAACTCCTATAAAATCAGTGCCTAGATGATAAAAAGTCAACTATACCTACTTGACTACAGACTTTACAAAATTAGTCCAAACTAATTAAATAACATCCCATATAGTCCCAAAATCTTCTTGCTCACTACAAATGAGCCAAATGAATCTCGAAACAAGACAGACGTTATATCACTCAAACAGATACTAAATGCTCCTCTCTGCAAAGTTTAACTATCCTAGACCATAAATTCAAACATATCATGTGTGTCCTGAAAGAAAAAATAAAGCTGATATGCCAAAATATTAGAGACCCGCATACAACTCCCAGACAAAATCTTCAAAATGTAGTGAGAAAAATCGTATCAGAAAGATTCACAATGATCCAACCACTCCAGAATCCTTAACTCCCAGAAAAGTTGCAAGGAATCTTATGCTGAAGGTTACCCATTTCTTAATTCCCAATCATACTGCAATAAATTTTCTATTCATATAATATAGGTGGAACTAGGGAACAAATGATGAATAATCAAAGGCAACCTCAGTTCTCCCTCTGATAAATATAAGGCTTTTTTTTAAATTAAGTACAAAAATATGACACACACAAAAATATAGAAAGGGCTGGGTGTGGTGGCTCACACTTGTAATCCCAGCACTTTGGGAGGCTGAGGCTATGGATCACTTGAGGTCAGGTGTTCGAGACCAGCCTGGCCAACATGGTGAAACCCCGTCTCTACCAAAAATACAAAAGTTAGTCAGGTGTGGTGGTGCATGCCTGTAATTCCAGCTACTCAGGAGGATGAGACAGGAGAATTGCTTGAACCTGGGGGACGGAGGTTGCAGTGAGCCGAGGTCACACCACTGCATTCCAGCCTGGACCACAGAGGGAGACTGTCTCAAAAAAAATAAAATTTTGTGTGTGTGTGTGTGTGTGTGTGTGTGTGTGTGTTTAACACCTATGCACTCACCATGGGGTAGGTTTAATCACAGAACATTACCAAAATACTTAAATGCCCCTGGTGTACTTCCACCAATCGTGCTCTCCACTCCCTTCACCATAAGGATGTCCCACTCTCTTAAATTTAGTGTTTATCTTACCTTTACGTGGCATACTTTTACCACGCATGTACATATCCCTAAACCAATGAGTCTCAATTGGGAGCAATTTTGCCCCCACTAGGGGACATCTGGCAATGTCTGGAGATATTGTGGGTTGCCACAAGGAGGTGGGGTGCTACTGCTGCTAATGGGTAGAGGCCAGGGATGCCTGCCTACAATGCACAGGACATTCCTATAACAAAAAATTATCCTATCCAATTCAAAATGTCAATAGTGCCAAGGCTGCAAAACCCTACCCTAAAATAGTTTTGTTCCGCACTTTAACAGACCGTAGGTTTTCTTTTGCAACTTACTTTATTTGCTTAACATTCTCTTCTATACAGTACTGCACTATACAAATTCATACAACTTATCCAGTCTCCTGCTAAGGTACATTTAAGTTTTTTCCAATTTTCTGTTTTTACATGCAACACTGCTGTGAACATTCTTTTTTAAATTTTATTTATCTCAAAACCATAGTAACTGCTGTGAACATTCTTATACAAGCTTCTATGTGCTCAAATAGAGATTCTCTCCAGGGCAGTGACTTTTAAAGTGTTATTCTTCAACCTCTAGGGAAATCCTCAAGACCCTTTGAGGGACTTCATGAAGTCAAAAGTATTTTCACAATAATATGTAAGATACAAGTTATCTTTTTCATACTGGCATCACATTGCTGGTACAAAAGCAACAGTTGGTAAAATTCCTGGTGACCTAGCCGAGTTAACGCTATAATTAATGAGACATACGAACACCATGTACCTCCTGGTACGATGCACTAACAAGGGCAAAACATCATTTCTATGATATTCTTGCCGAAAATACATAATCTGAATTTAATCATGAAAAAGCAGCAGAAACACCCAATTTGAGAGATAACAAGATTGTTTTTCATTACTTTGACACTGACTAAAGACTGAGGAACTCACCCAGATTGGAAGAGACCACTAAATGCAACGTGTGATCTTGGATGAGAAAAAGAATACTAGTAGGACACTAATAATAACCACTGCATATAATTTGAATAAATAAAATTTGAATAAGGTGTATAGATTAGTTAATACAGTATTACCGTATTAGTGTTAATTTTCTGGTTTTGATCATTGTACTTGCTAAGATATTAACAGCTGAAGAAGGTGGGTAAAGGGCAAAAGGCAACTCTTACTAGTTTTGTAATTTTTCTGGAAGACTACAATTGTTTCAAAAACAAAAGTTAATTTTTAAAATGTTAATATTATGCAAATAAATATCAAGTACTTAATAAATATTGAGTAATCTTATAGAATGTAATAAAATGTCAGTGAACACTGATTATTAAATATTTTGAAGAAAAAGGAAAACACTGAAAGTAGTATTATAGTCCTGGGGCAAAACAAGAGCCAGGAGCTTACAATTTTGCTCAGTTCTAAAAAAAAAAAAAAAAAAAAAACCCTGAAGAATTTAAAAGGTTGAAATTAAAATATATTTCAACAAGTATTTCATATGAAGGTTGGCTATCCTGCTCTTAAAATGTTTGTTAAAAGACCAAATGAACAAGATAAACCACTACATATAACAAATTAATGTATAAAATTATCTTATTAAACTAAGATTCTAAAACAGTTACTTCTGAAAAACATCTACGTTTATATTAAGATAATAAAACTATTAATATGATAGATACACCCCATACTACAAACATATAGATAACATTAATGTCCCTTCAAAAATCACCGTAGTAAAGAATCTGTTACACTTTACCCTAGATACTTAAATTTCCTCATAAAGCTACAATTACTGATACCAAGAATTCCTCCAAATAAGGGTTGTGGTCAGACTTTAGCTTGAGCTAGCACGACAACAAAACTTCAAGGCTGCAGGTAACAAAACAAAACCCTGTCTCAAAAAAAAAAAGAGTAGGCAGAAATTAGGCATAGGCCTCAAACACTGTTGCTGGCAGTTTCAACTCACAAAACGTCTTCAAAAAGCAATTAGTCAACATCTACCAAAATGTTAAATATGTGCAATGTTTTGATGCAGCAATTCCACTTCTTCAGAAATACTCAACACATATACACAAGGATATATGTACAAGGATATATTCACTGCATCATTGTAAAGAAAACATGAAATAATAAAACGCCCATCGATAAAGTCCTGGTTAGATAAATCACCGTATCCAATCACTGGAATACTATGCAGCCATGAAACAATGGAACAATCACCAATATAATTTAGTGAAAGAAACGAAAGTGCAGAGGAGTGAATATAGTTTATTATCATTTGCACTTAAAAGGGGATTAGATTTATAGTATAGTCACACACATGCTTGCCATGCAATAGAGTATTCTGCAAGACTACACAAAAAACTGGTAACAATGGCTGCCCCTTTTTGTGCTGTTGAATCTTTTCATTTTCTTCTAGTCATGTACATACACCCTTTTTAATATTCAAAAAGCTATCTGAAGCCTGGCCTTGTGGCTGACTCCTGTAATCCCAGCATTTTGGGAGGCTGAGACAGGAGGGTTGCTTGAGGCCAGGAGTTCCAGACCAGCCGGAGAAATAAAACGAGACAACTGTCTCTAAAACAAAAATTTTTTTTAATAAATGTTTTTAAAAAGCCAGCTAAGGAACACAATTTTACGAATTATCTGTTCAAAAACTGAGTTGGCTTGTGTTAATTTCTTTATTGCTACTGATAATAACTGTGAGCCCATTCCAAGATTTGTAAGGCTTTGCCAAACTCAATGTCTTAGAAGTAGCTCATTTAGGAATTCTGAAAAGTACCCAATTTTAAATGTGAACTATTTTCTACAGAATCAAGGATAAATATCAAGGATAAATAATACCAAAGATGAATCTATATGAAAATGAATTTGTTATTTATTTTGTGAAAGCAAGCCTTTGGTTTAATCATTTAGAAACTCTAGCGTCAATAACAGACCCCTAAAATTCACTAATCAAGATTCACTAATCAAGGACCCTGACTCACTGCTGGGTGAATGAGTAAGATTCTGACATCACCTTACTGAGACGGACGTTAGTGTAACAAAAAATAACATCAGGTGTCCCCCACGCCGATCTGCCACTTGGAAAAAGTATTTAACACAAAGAAATGGTTCAAGAGCTCAGGATGTTTTTCTCTCTATTGATATAAAGATATAAAATAGAACAATTTGGATGAAAAATCATTCCAGAGTCCCAAGTAACATTTGGCTACTGAACTCCAAGTAATTCTGTGTCACAGGAGGTTAAAAAAAAAAAAAAAAAAGGCATCTCCACAAATCCGAGGTACCAAGGCCCCTTGGCAATTATAAACGGTCAGCTGAGCACCATATGGCAAAGCAAGCCTCCCTTCAGACAGTTATCACTTGGTGGCTGATTAATTTCAATGGCTTATTAGATAGGCCTCTCCAGACCCCTTCCCAAGAGGAGGAGTCGGGTTGGGGGACCTGTGTCTGTTCTCTTCCCGGTGCTTTGTGTCTTCCAGGCTTGAAAGCATCCCGGTGATGGTGCTGCCATCATTTCCCTTGGGGGTAGAGGGTCTTTTCTGAAAGTGTTTGTTCACCCGTTCGGAACCTAGAATTCCTTTGGCGCTTTGCCTTTCCGCTCGCTCCAGCCGGGCGCTGCCCACCAGGTGTCCCACTGCAGACCTCTCCCCGCGACACCGACGCCCACCGCAGCTCGCCCCTTCCCCCCGCGCGCGCAAGCCCTGGCCAGGTGGCCGCGGCTTACCGGTGGGCGCGCTGTCCAGGATGCGGAGGTCGTAAGCCCCGGAGCAGCGGTAGTTGGCAGCTGTGCCGTTGTCCCACACTACCACCACCTCCTCGGGGCTCTCGAAGCTCCGGACGGTGCCCACATGGCCCTCGCCGCCGTCCTGCTTCCCCCACTTCCAGTCCGGGCCGCGCACTACCCGAGCGCCAACCCCTTCCACCATCACCCGGTTATTCCGGGAGTTACTCATCGGGGCCCGGGCGGTGGGCTCCGCCGCTGCCGCCGCCGCCGCCGCCGCTGCCGCCGGGGGGCCCGTGAGGGAGTTGGGCCCGGGCCGGACTCTAGGCGTCGGCGGGGGCGGCAGCGAGCCCCGGGGGACGTGAGAATAACTCACGGGGGCGGCGGCGCGGTCCCCGCGGAGCCCAAAGCCGCTGCCCAGCTGTCGCCGCCGCGCCCCCCGCTCGGAGTGGAGGGCGGCCCGCGGCTGCTCGGAGGCGGCGGCGGAGAGCGGGCAGAGGGGAGGGGGCCGTGGGCGGGGACTCTCCCGCTTCCTCCGGGCTCCCCGGCCAGGCTACAGCGACGGCCGCAAGGAAACCACGCTCTCCCCCGGCCGGCAGCGCGAGGAGCGCAGGGGGCCGGGGGAGGCTAGCCCGAGGGGGGCGGCGGGGAGCAAGCTTAACTGCCGGCCTTTCTGCCACCCCGGCCCCTCGCTCGGGGGCGGGCACCCAAGCGCCGGCGCCGCCTCCTCCCCCGTGGGCAGCGGTGGTACCTCCCGGCGTCCGGCGAGCGCCCGGGCCCTCAGGCCCCCTTCTCTCTGCCCCCGCACCAGCCGCCGCGCTCCGCCCCGCCACAGAGTCCCAGCCGGGCGAGAGCGACTCCACATCCGGGTACCGCCGTACCCAAGGCCGGAGCGGCACCTTCTCAGAGTGTCTAGGAGGGGGATCCTCGGCAATAATAGAGTGGGAAGGCTTCCAGAGAGCCGCGCGATCGCGGGAAGAAAGGAGGAGAAAACTGATCCCTAAGCGTCTCTCCAGGGTCCAAGGAGAGTGCGCATGCGCGCGGTCTAGAAAAAGGGCGGACGGTTGCCCAACCCCAGCCCCGGGCGATGGAGGGGCGGGCCCAGGGGCGGATCCCTGGAGTTGCCGCCCGGTGGTGCCGCGCGCCCAATGAGCTATGAGGAAAGCGGTTAGGCCGTCCTGGAGGCGGGGCTGGAGAAAGTGAGGGTGGGGAAGCTACCCGGGCTGCTGGAGCTGTGCGGCTGTGATGTGGCCAGTTTTTCACTAACTGCTAGTTTTCCTAGGCGAACTAAATGTGAATTAGGGATTCCATATTCTTTTAGTCTTCTTTTTTAACGAAGGTAGAAATACATTCACAAATTCAGGGCGATCTGTATTTGTGTGTAAATTGAAAACATTTCAAACCAGACAGAGCAGGTTAGTAGTGTGTTTTTAAGCTGAACAGCATGGTATGGAATGTTGTGAGCAACGGTAAAGACTTTTAGAAGGTGTGTCTTGACTTTATGCAGAATTAGGGTGATAGGCAGACTCCAAACTTTGCTCATTAATAATTGCCTCCACTCACGAAAAAATTCAGTCCCTAATTACAAAATACAACCTTCAAAGGAAGATTCGAAGACTGTAAGAGAAGTTTCTGGTTGCCGTTATTCAAATGACATTATGCTGCATAGGGTTTAAAACCAGTGTTTCCACAGGCCAGCACTGTTGGCACCGTTAGCATGCATTGTTAGCATAAACTGTTGCTTTTCCTGATAGTCAAAGGAGGGAAATGCTAACAGAATGGATAATCAAGGGAAAAGACAAGAAAACGGACGTAAAATGTACCCAAGGAATTACTATGTACTGAAATAAAATTTTTTTTGTTTGGTTTTTTTTGTTGTTGTTTTTTTTTTTGCTTTGTTTTTGAGACAGGGTCTCACTGTCAGCCAGGCCGGAGTGCAGTGGCGCCATCTCCGTTCCCCGCAACCTCCGCCTCCTGGGTTCAAGGGGTCCGCCCACCTCAGCCTTCTGAGTAGCTGGGACCTCAGGAACGCACAACCACGCCCAGCTAATTTTTTGTATTTTTGGCAGAGATGAGCGGGGGGGCAGTGGGGAGCTTCTTGGGGGATATATCTCACTATTTTCCCTGGCCGGACTGGTCTCGAACTCCTGAGCTCAAGCAATCCTCCCACCTCAGCCTCCCAAAGTGTTTATCCCAGGGATAAAGCCAACTTGATAGTGGTGGATAAGCTTTTTGATGTGCTACTGGCTTCTGTTTGCTAGTATTTTATTGAAGATTTTCGCATCGATGTTCATCAGGGATATTGGCCTGAAATTTTCTTTTTTTGTTGTGTCTGTGCCAGGTTTTGGTATCAGGATGATGCTGGCCTCGTAAAATGAGTTTTACGAAGGAGGGAGGATTCCCTCTTTTTCTGTTGTTTGGAATAGTTTTAGGAAGTACAGTAACAGCTCCTCTTTGTACCTCTGGTAGAATTCGGCTGTGAATCTGTCTGGTCCTGGACTTCTTTTGGTTGGTAGGCTATTACTTATTGCCTCAATTTCAGAACTTGTTATTGGTCTGTTTAGGGATTCGACTTCTTCCTGGTTTAGTCTTGGGAGAGTGTATGTGTCCAGGAATTTATCCATTTCTTCTAGATTTTCTAGTTTATTTGCGTAGAAGTTTTTATAGTATTCTCTGATGGTAGTTTGTATTTCTGTGGGATTGTTGGTGATATCCCCTTTATAATTTTTTATTGCATCTATTTGATTCTTCTCTCTTCTTCTGCATTAGTCTGGCTAGTGGTCTATCTATGTAGTTGATCTTTTTCAAAAAAACAGCTCCTGGATTCATTAATTTTTTTGAAGGGTTTTTCGTGTCTCTACCTCCTTCAGTTCTGCTCTGATCTTAGTTATTTCTTGTCTTCTGCTAGCTTTTGAATTTGTTTGCTCTTGCTTCTCTAGTTTTGTTGGTTTTTTTTTTTTTTTTTTTTTTTTTTTTTTTTTTTTTTTTTTTTTTTTTTTTTTTTTTTTTGAGATGGAGTCTCACTTTGTGGCCCAGGCTGGAGTGCAGTGGTGTGATCTCAGCTCACTGCAAGCTCCATCTCCCGGGTTCACGCCATTCTCCTGACTCAGCCTCCCGAGTACCTGGGACCACAGGTGCCTGCCACCATGCCCAGCTAATTTGTTGTATTTTTAGTAGAGATGGAGTTTCACCATTCTAGCCAGGATGGTCTCCATCTTCTGACCTCGTGATCCGCCCGCCTCGGCCTCCCAAAGTGCTGGGATTACAGGCGTGAGCCACCGTGCCCAGCCTCTCTAGTTATTTTAATTGTGATGCTAGAATGTTGATTTTAGATCTTTCCTGCTTTCTCTGTGGGCATTTAGTGCTATAAATTTCCCTCTACACACTGCTTTAAATGAGTCCCAGAGATTCTGGTACATTGTGTCTTTGTTCTCACTGGTTTCAAAGAACATCTTTACTTCTGCCTTAATTTCCTTATTTACCCAGTAGTCATTCAGGAACAGGTTTTTCAGTTTCCATGTAGCTGTGAGGTTTTGAGTGAGTTTCTTAATCCTGAGTTCTAATTTGATTGCACTATGGTCTGAGAGACTGTTTGTTATGATTTCCATTCTTTTGCATTTGCTGAGGAGTGTTTTACTTCCAATTATGCAGAATAACCAGCTAGCCTCATAATGACAGGTTCAAATTCACACATAACAATATTAGAATTTTAGAATAAGTGCGATGTGGTGCTGAGAAGAATGTATATTCTATTGATTTGGGGTGGAGAGTTCTGTAAATGTCTATTAGGTCTGCTTGGTCCAGAGCTGAGTTCCAGTCCTGGATATCCTTGTTAATTTTGTCTTGTTGATCTGTCCAATAGTGACAGTGGGGTGTTAAAGTCTCCCACTATTATTGTGTGGGAGTCTAAGTCTCTTTGTAGGTCTCTAAGAACTTGCTTTATGAATCTGGGTGCTCCCGTATTGGGTGCATATATATTTAGGATAGTTAGCTCTTCTTGTTGCATTGATCCCTTTACCATTATGTAATGCCCTTCTTTATCTCTTTTGATCTTTGTTGGTTTAAAGTCTGTTTCATCAGAGACTAGGATTGCAACCCTTGCCTTTTTTTGCTTTCTATCTGCTTGGTAAATATTCCTCCATCCCTTTATTTTGAGCCTATGTGTGTCTTTGTACATGAGATGGGTCTCCTGAATACAGCACACCAATGGGTCTTGACTCTTTATCCAATTTGCCAGTGTGTGTCTTTTAATTGGGGCACTTAACCTGTTTACATTTAAGTTTAATATTGGTATGTGTGAATTTGATCCTGTCATTATGATGCTAGCTGGTTATTTTGCCCATTAGCTGATGCAGTTTCTTCATAGCGTCGATGGTCTTTAAAATTTGGCATGTTTTTCAGTGGCTGGTACTGGCTGTTCCTTTCCATGTTTAGTGCTTCCTTCAGCTCTTATAAGGCAGGCCTGGTGGTGACAAAATCTCTCAGCATTTGCTTGTCTGAAAATGATTTTATTTCTCCTTTGCTTATGAAGGTTAGTTTGGCTGGATATGAAATTGTGGGTTGAAAATTCTTTTCTTTAAGAATGTTGAATATTGGCCCCCACTCTCTTCTGGCTTGTAGGGTTTTTGCCGAGAGATCCGCTGTTAGTCTAATGGACTTCCCCTTCTAATGGGATTCCTTTGTGGGTAACCCGACCTTTCTCTCTGGCTGCCCTTAACATTTTTTCCTCATTTCAAGCTTGGTGAATCTGATGATTATGTGTCTTAGGGTTGCTCTTCTCGAGGAGTATCTTTGTGGTGTTCTCTGTATTTCCTGAATTTGAATGTTGGCCTGCCTTACTAGGTTGGGGAAGTTCTCCTGGATGATATCCTGAAGAGTGTTTTCCAACTTGGTTCCATTCTCCCCGTCACTTTCAGGTACACCAATCAAACATATATTTGGTCTTTTTACATAGTCCCATATTTCTTGGAGGCTTTGTTCTTTTCTTTTCACTCTTTTTTCTCTAATCTTGTCTTCTCACTTTATTTCATTGAGTTGATCTTCAGTCTCTGATATCCCATCTTCCACTTGATCGATTCAGCTATTGATACTTGTGTATGCTTCACCAAGTTCTTGTGCTGTGTTTTTCAGCTCCATCAGGTCATTTATGTTCTTCTCTAAATTGGTTTTTCTAGTTAGCAATTCATCTAACCTTTTTTCAAGTTTCCTAGCTTCCTTGCATTGGGTTAGAACATGCTCCTTTAGCTTGGAGGAGTTTGTTATTACTGACCTTCTGAAGCCTACTTCTGTCAATTCGTCAAACTCATTCTCCATCCAGTTTTGTTCCCTTGCTGGCGAGGAGTTGTGATCCTTTGAAGGAGACGAGGCATTCTGGTTTTTGGAATTTTCAGCCTTTTTGTGCTGGTTTCTCCCCATCTCTGTGAATTTATCTACCTTTCGTCTTTGATGTTGGTGACCTTCGGATGACGTCCTTTTTGTTGATGTTGATACTATTCCTTTCTGTTTGTTAGTTTTCCTTCTAACAGTCAGGAACCTCTGCTGCAGGTCTGCTGGCATTTGCTGGAGGTCCACTCCATACCCTGTTTGCCTGGGTATCACCAGCAGAGGCTGCAGAACAGCAAAGATTGCTGTCTGTTCCTTCCTCTGGAAGCTCCATCCCAGAGGGGCACCTGCCAGATGCCAGCCAGTGCTCTCCTGTATGAGGTGTCTGTCGGCCCCTACTGGGAGGTGTCTCCCTGTTAGGATACATGGGGGTCAAGGACCCACTTGAGGAAGCAGTCTGTCCCTTATCAGAGCTCGAACGCTGTGCTGGGAGATCCACTGCTCTCTTCACAGGTGTCAGACAGGGACGTTTAAGTAAGCTGAAGCTGTACCCACAACTGCCCCTTCCCCCAGATACTCTGTCCCAGGGAGGTGGGGGTTTTATCTATAAGTGCCTGACTGGGGCTGCTGCCTTTTTTTCAGAGATGCCCTGCCCAGAGAGGAGGAATCTAGAGAGGCAGTCTGGCTGCAGTGTCATTGCTGAGTTGCAGAGGGCCTCCACCCAGTTCGAACTTCCGGCAGCTTTGTTTACACTGTGAGAGTAAAACTGCCTACGCAAGCCTCAGCAATGGCGGATGCCCCTCCCCCCGACCAAGCTTGAGCATCTCAGGTCAACCTCAGACTGCTGTGCTAGCAGCGAGAATTTCAAGCCAGTGGATCTTAGCTTGCTGGGCTCTGTGGGGATGGGACCCGCTGAGCCAGACCACTTGGCTCACTGGCTTCAGCCCCCTTTCCAGGCGAGTGAACGGTTCTGTCTTGCTGGTGTTCCAGATGCCACCGGGGTATGAAAAAAAAAAAAAACCCTTGCAGCTAGCTCAGTATCTGCCCAAATGACCACCCAGTTTTGTGCTTGAAACCCAGGGCCCTGGTGGCGTAGGCACCGGAGGGAATTTCCTGGTCTGCTGGTTGTGAAGACTGTGGGAAAAGCACAGTATCTGATCCGGAGTACCCCGTTCCTCCCAGTACAGTCTCTCACAGCTTCCCTTGGCTTGGGGAGGGAGATCCACTGACCCCTTGTGCTTCCTGAGTGAGACAATGCCCTCCGTGGGCTGCACCCACTGTCCAACCAGTCCCAGTGAGATGAACCAGGTACCTCAGTTGGAAATGCAGAAATCACCTGCCTTCTGCATCCATCTCGCTGGGAGCTGCAGACGGGAGCTGTTCCTATTTGGCCACCTTGCCAGCCAGCAAGTTCTTAAAATCAACACTTAATCATACACTGCCATATGATCCAGCCATTCCACTCTTCAGTACTTACCCAAAAGGAAAGAAAATACACAAGGAGACTTGAAAATGTTCATGGAAAATGTGTATTATGAAAAAACTGCATGGAGTTCCATTTTTTGTGTACCAAAATTAACTCCTATTGACTTGTTATAACATGTCTGAACAGGATCTAGTTTGAAGCACTAAGAAGGATAAGACATTAGTTTGAAAAGAGTCCCTGGCTGGGAGCGGTGGCTCATGCCTGTAATCCCAGCACTGTGGGAGGCCGAGGCGGATGGATCATTTGAGGTCAGGAGTTCGAGGCCAGCCTGGTCAACATGGTGAAACCCTGTCTCTACTAAAAATACAAAAATTAGCCAGGCGTGGTGGCATGCGCTTGTAGTCCCAGCTACTCGGGAGGCTGAGGCAAAAGAATCACTTGAACCAGAGAGGTAAAGGTTGCAGTGAGCTGAGATCGTGCCACTGCACTCCAGCCTGGGTGACAGAGCAAGCCTCTGTGAGAAAGAAAGAAAGAGAGAAAGAGAAAGAGAGACAAGAAAGAAAGAAAGAAAGAGAGAGAGAGAGAGAGAAAGAGAGAGAGAGAAAGAAAAGAAAAGAGTCCCTATTAGAGCAACATGAATTCTGTTAAAATCAAAGCAGGAACAGCCAGGCACGTTGGCTCACACCTGTAATCCCAGCACTTTGGGAGGCTGAGGTTGGTGGATCACGAGGTCAGGAGATTGAGACCATCCTGGCCAACACGGTGAAACCCCGTCTCTAATAAAAATCCAAAAAATAGCCGGGCGTGGTGGCGGGCGCCTGTAGTCCCAGCTACTTGGGAGGCTGAGGCAGCAGAATGGAGTGAACCCGGGAGGCGGAGCTTGCAATAAGCCAAAATCGTGCCACTGCACTCCAGCCTGGGTGAAAGAGCGAGACTCTGTCTCAAAAAAAAAAAAAAAAAAATCAAAGCAAGAACAAATATCATATTTATGGTGAGGCTTAGATGCTTAGATGGAAGAATGGTGAAATCGATGATGCTTAATGAGACGTTTATGGGGACAATGCCCCAAAGTAATCAGCAGTTTTTAAATGGATAACTCATTTTAAGAAAGGATGAGATGGGCCCATCTGAGGTCAGGAGTTCGAGACCAGCCTGACCAACATGGAGAAACCCTGTCTCTACTAAAAATACAAAATTAGCTGGACACGATGGCACATGCCTATAATCCCAGCTACTCAGGAGGCTGAGGCAGGAGAATCTCTTGAACCTGGGAAGCAGAGGTTGCAGTGAGCCGAGATTGCACCATTGCACTCCAGCCTGGGTGACAAGAGCGAAACTCCATCTCAAAAAAAAAGAAAAAAGAAAAAAGAAAGGACGAGATGATGTAGAAAAGCCTACAGCAGCAGACCCTCCAGCTCAATTTGTAAAGAGAAAAATTAATCTTGTTCATGCCCTAATTGAAGAGGACCAACTATTAACAGCACAAAAATAGGCAATACCAGCCAGGTGCTGTGGCTCACACCTTTATTCCCTCAGGAGGCTTACGTGGGAGGCTGAGGTAGGAGAATGGCTTGGGGCCAGGAGTTCAAGACCAGCCTGGGTAACACAGTAAGATCCAGTCTGTTTAAAAGAATATAAAAATTAGTCAGGTGTGGGTACACACGCCGGTAGCCAGCTCCCACCTACTTCAGGGGCTGAGGCGAGATGATCACTTGAGCCTAGGAGTTCAAGGCTGTAGGAAAGTATGAACCCCCACAAAAAAATATTATAAACATCTCAGTTGGTTCAGCTTACATAATTCCACTGAAAAATTAAAATCAAGCAAACTCTCTACTGAATGGGTGCCAAAACTATTTCACTCACATCAGCTGCAGACAAGAGCAGAGCTTTCAAAGGAAATTTTAAACAAATGGAATCAAGCCCCTGAAGCATTTTCTGAAAGGACTGCAAAAAGAGATGGAACACAACTTTACCAGTACGATCCTAAAGACAAAGTACAATCAAAGCAATGGCTACCAAGAGGTGGAAGTGGTCCAGTCAAAGCAAAAGTGGACCGGTCACAAGCAAAGGTCATGGCAACCGTTTTTTGAGATGCTGGAGGGATTTTGCTTGTTGACTTTCTGGAGAGCCAAAAAACAATAACATCTGCTTATTACAAGAGTGTTTTGAGAATAATGTACAGAAAACCTCACCAGAGAGTTCTTCTCCACCACAACAGTGTTTCTACTCATTCCTCTCCTCAAACAAGGGATATTTTGTGAGCGTTTTGAAGGGAAATCATTAGGCATCCAACTTACAGTGCTGCTTTGGCTTTTTCTTGTCTCCTAACTTCTTTTTGTTTACTAATCTTAAAAAATCGTTTGTTTCCTAATCTTAAAAAATCTTTAAGGCCTATAATCCCAGCACTTTGGGAGGCCAAGGTGGGAGGATCACTTGATCCCAGGAATTCATGACCAGCCTGGTCATGAATAGCAAGATCCCATCTCTACAGAAAAATCAAAAAGCTAGGCAGGCATGGTAGCACATGCCTGTGGTCCCAGCTACTCAGGAGGCTGAGGTGGAAGGATCATTTAAGCCCAGGAGATGGAGGTTGCAGTAAGCCTAGATCATGCTACTGCACTCTGGACTGGGCAACAGAGCAAGGTCAATCCTGTCTCTCTCTCTCTCTTGCTCTGTGTGTGTGTGTGTGTGTGTGTGTGTGTGTGTGTGTGTGTGTATACATATAATATATATATTTTTTTAGATGGAGGCTTACGCTGTTGCCCAGGCTAGAGTGCAGAGACATGATCTCGGCTCACTGCAACCTCTGCCTCCTGGGTTCAAGTAATTCTCCTGCCTCAGCCTCCCTAGTAGCTGGGATAACAGGCACATACCACCACACCCAGCTAACTTTTGTATTTTTAGTAGAGAGACAGAGTTTTGCCATGTTGGCCAGGCTGGTGTTAAACTCCTGACCTCAAGTGATCTGCCTGCCTTAGCCTCCCAAAGTGCTGTGATTACAGGCATGAGCCACCGCGCCTGCCACCAAGAAGTATATATATATATATATTTAAAGGGCACCCATTTTTCTTCTTCTTTAGTGTAAAAAAGACTATTATCAATATGGTTAAATTCCCAGTACCCTCCGTTCTTTAGGGATGGACAAAATGGCTAGAATCATTGCTTACAAAAGTGTCTTAAACTTTATGGAGCTTATGTTGGGAAATAAAGTTTGCGTTTTTAATATTTATCTTTTAATTCCATTTTTCCACAAAGTTTTTGAAGTCTCCATATTCATACAAAGTTTTGTACACAGATGTTCACAACAGCTTTTTTTTTTTTTTTTTTTTTTTTTGTGAGACGGGGTTTCGCTCTGTTGCCCAGGCTGGAGTGCGGTGGCGCAATCTCGGCTCACTGCAAGCTCTGCCTCCCGGGTTCACGCCATTCTCCTGCCTCAGCCTCCCGAGTAGCTGGGACTACAGGTGCCCGCCACCACGCCGGCTAATGTTTTGTATTTATAGTAGAGACGGGGTTTCACCGTGTTAGCCAAGATGGTCTCGATCTCCTGACCTCGTGATCCACCCGCCTCGGCTTCTCAATGTGCTGGGATTACAGGCATGAGCCACCGCGCCTGGCCAGCTTTATTTGTAGTAGTTGAAAACTGGCAAAAATATCATCTGTCCTTCAACAAGTGAATAGATCAGCATCTTGCAGTATAGTCATACAATAGAATAATACTCAGCAATAAAAAGAAATGAATATTGAAACATGCAACAGCCTGGATGAATCTCAAAATAATTATGCTGAGTGAAAGAAGCTAGACAAAAATAAAGTACCTACACTCTGGAGGTTGATTGATGAATGAGAAAGACAGTCACTGCACCCCAGAAACTTATAATCCAGTGGGGAATCAAGACCAATACTCAGGTACGTACAATTCAGAAGGATAAGTGTATTTGATGGGAATAAACCCAGAGAGCGTCACCTAAGTCCATTTTAATGGATCAAAGAAATATTTTTAACCAAGGGTTGAAAGGTAAGTACAAGTTGGCCAATTCACTCAGGAGGTGAAAGTAAAAAAGAGAACTCCAAATTTCTAGGTAAAAGGGACCACATACATGAAAGCCCATTGGCAAAAGAGGGGGAAAGCATGAAACACTGGAGAAACCAAAAGATCTGCATGGCTTCAACAAAGAACAAGAGAGAGAAGTAGAGGTCCTGCAAGACTGTTGAAATTTATCCTAATAGCAATGAGAAGCTATTAGAGTTTGAAGGAGGGAGTGACATGATCAAATTCGGATTTCACAAAAAGCAATTTAGTTGCATTATATAAATAATGAATTTGAAATGAATGAGATTTAAGTCAGAGAAATTGTTTGGCAGACCATCAAACTAATATTGAGAGAAGATGGTGACCTGGACCAGTGCAATTACAGCTTTCTGGCTTGGGCAACCAAGTGAAAGGGTAGAGCCATTCATTGAGACAGAGAACAACAAAAGCACGGTATGGTTGGTTTTTTTTAGACAGAGTCTTACTCTGTCTCCCAGGCTGGAGTGCAGTGGCGTGATCTCGGCTCACTGCAACCTCTGTCTCCTGAGTTCAAGCGACTCTCCCGCCTCAGACTCCTGAGCAGCCAGGACTACAGGCGCACACCACCACACCCAGCCAATTTTTTTTATTTTTAGCAGAGACGGGGTTTCACCATGTTGGCCAGGCTGGTCTTGAACTCCTGACCTCAGGTGATCCACCCGCCTCGGCCTCCCGAAGTGCTGGGATTACAGGCATGAGCCACTGCGCCCAGCCCAGTGTTAATTTTTTTAAACGTAATTTGGAAGCTTGGAGGAGAAATATGAGCCGAAGAAAGGAAAACATGAAAACCAAAAGGATCTAAAGGACACAGGAACAAAGAAGACACTGATGACTTTGAAAAGAGTAATTTCAGAAGCTTCATGGTGGCACAAATCAGACTACAATAAATAGATTGAAGAATGAAGGAATTCAAGGAAGGTAAGATAGTGCAACCACGCTGGCATAGATGGCTAGTTCTTGATCCAATATTCATTCTTTCCAACCATCTTAGTCCATTTGAGCTGCTATATCAAGATACCTTAGTCACAGTTCTTGAGGCTGCAAAGTCCAAGAGCAAGGCACATAGATTGCTGTGATCTGAATGTTTGTCCCCCAAAAAATGCATGTGTTGACACTTAATCTCCAATGTGATAGTATTAAGAAGAAAGTCTTTAGCAGGTGATTAGGTGATGAGGGCAATGGGATTAGTGCCTTTATAAGAGAGGCTTGAGCTGGGTGCAGTGGCTCACTCCTGTAGTCCCAGCACTTTGGGAGGTTGAGGCAGGCGGATCACTTGAGGCCAGGAGTTCGAGACCAGCCTGGCCAACATGGCAAAATCCTGTCTCAACTAAAATTACAAAACTTAGCCGGGCATGGTTGTGGGTGCCTGTAATCCCAGCTACTTGAGAGGCTGAGGTGGGAGAATCAATTGAACCCGGGAGGCAGAGGTTGCAGTGAGCTGAGATCATGCCACTGCACTCCACCCTGGGTGACAGAGTGAGACTCCTTCTCGAAAATAATAATTATCATAATAAGAGAGGCTTGAGGGAGCCCTTTTGCATCGTCTACCATGTAAGAACACAGCAAAAAGGTGCCATCTATGAGGAATGGAGCCCTCATCAGACATCAAGTCGGCTGGTGTCTTGATCTTGGATCTTGGACCTCTAAGCCTCCAGAACTGTGAGAAATAAATTTCTATTGTTTATAAATTACCCAGTCTAAGGTATTTTGTTATAGCAGCCCGAACAGACTATGACGCCATCTTCCTCACTAACCAAGCCCAGATTTGTTGAGGGAAGTACCCAACTAATAACTATCTTTCCCAAAGACCTATAGAGGTGATGTTGCCATGTGACACAGTTCTATATAATCAGATATATAAGCAGGTCATTGAGTGGGCTGTCTGAGATAGCTCCTTAAAGAGGAGATCACCTCTGCAGGCACCTGCCTGAGATGCAGTTGAAATGATTGGGGGAGTCATAAAAGTAACCACACACTGAGCAGCAGAAAGAAGCAGCCAGGGACACTGACGACATTCTTTGAGTTGTGGCCACAACCCTGGGATACCTGCCATTAGACTTTTTGTCACATGAAAGAAGAAGTCCTATCTTAGGAAGAATAAACTCAAGTTTTATATACCACAATAGAGTGACTATCATTGGCAACAATTTATTGCATATTTTTAAATAGCTAGAAGAGCAGGTTTTGAATGTTCCCAACACAAAGAAATGATAAATGTTTGAGATCGTGGATATGCTAATTACCCTGATTTGATAATTACACATTGTTTACATGTATCTAAATATCACACTGGACCCCCCAAAATATGTACAATTATTATGGGTCAATTAAAAGTAATAAAATGAAAAAAGAAGAGGCCCTATCTTGATGAAGTCCCCTGTGTAAGCAATATGCAATTTCTGTCTGATATCCTACTCTTTTAAGATATTGGTGATGATGTGGAGAACGGGTGGACCAGTAACTACAGGAAGACATTGGATTAGGGATAGTTTTTTGTTTTTTTTTGAGACGGAGTTTTTTTCTCGTCTCCCAGGCTAGAGTGCAATGGCACCATCTTGGCTCACTGCAACCTCCACCTCCCGGGTTCAAGCAATTCTCCTGCCTCAGCCTCCCAATTAGCTGGGATTACAGGTGCCCACAACCATGCCCGGCTAATTTTTGTACTGTTAGTAGAGACGGGGTTTCACCATGTTGGCCAGGCTGGTCTCGAACTTCTGACCTCAGCCAAGCCGCCCACCTCGGCCTCCCAAAGTGCTGGGATTACAGGCGTGAGCCACTGCGCTCAGCCTAGGGATAGGTTTTTAAGACAAGAAAGACTTAACTTTATTTAATTGCTGATAAGAGAGAGCCAAGGGCAGGGAAGCGGTTGGGGGTGGTGGGTAGTTGAAGGTACCAGAGAATGGAAATGCTAACTGCATATTAGTTTCCTATTGCCTAGCAAATTGCCACAAATTTAGTAGCTTAAAACACATGTTTATTCGCTCTCAGTTTCTGTGGGTCAGGACTCCAGACACAGCTTAGCTGGGTTCTCTGCTCACAGTCTCACAATGTTGCAATCAAGGGGATGGACATGGCTTTAGTCTAACCTGAGGTTCAGGGTCCTCTTCCAAGTTCATGTGATTGCTTGCAGAATTCATTTTCTTGCAGCTGTAGAACCCGTGGCAGCTTGCTTCTTCAAGGCCAGGAAACCAAAGAGTCTCTGACTTCTTTTTCCATTCCTGACCTCTGGACTCTATTTGTTTTTTGAGACAGAGTCTTGCTCTGTCACCCAGGCTGCAGTGCAGCTCACAGCTCACTTTAACAAATTCCCTGGCTTAAGCTATCCCCTCACCTCAGCCTCCCAAGTACTTAAGACTACAGGCATGTGTCACCATGCCTGGCTAATTTTTCATTGTTTTTGTTTGTTTGTTTGTTTTTTGTAGATAAGGGAGTCTTGTTATGTTGCCCAGGCTGGTCTCAAACTACTAGCTTCAAGCAATCCTCCCACCTTGGCCTCCCAAAGTATTGGGATTACAGGTGCAAGCCACCACACCCAGCCAGTGTTAGTTATTGCAAATTAAATTGTGGGCCAGGCGCAGTGGCTCACACCTGTAATCCCAGCACTCTGGGAGGCCGAGGTGGGCGGATCACTTGAGGCAAGGAGTTCAAGACCAGCTGGCCAACATGGTAAAACTCCCAACTCTACTAAAACACAAAAATTAGCCAGGTGTGGTGGTGCATGCCTATAATCCCGTGGTGGTCAGTCCCTTTAATCGCAGCTACTCAGGAGGCTGAGGCAGGAGAATCACTTGAACTTGGGAGGTAGAAGTTGCAGTGAGCTGAGTTCACACTACTGCACTCCAACCTGGGCAACAGAGCAACACTCTGTCTCAAAAAAAATAAATTGAACTGCGAAGTCTCCTAGGAGGGTTTACTTTCCAATGCCCACTTAGCATGGGGCCGTGGAGAATAATAAACAAGGAAGCATCTTCCAGAGTGTGGAGCCAAGGGCCAGAGAAATAAGTGCAAAAGTGTTCATCCTTGAGAGCAGAACCAGGATGTAATCCCCCAGAACTTCCCCCACTGCCAAAGTGAATGATCTTCACAATAACCACCTAGAAGGATTCTGATTCTCCCATTTATATGGACTTTGCTGTGAGTCTCACATTTTTCACTGAACTTAGGGTTTTAATGCAGTGTATCTATGTAGAAGCATGTGGGAATCATTGTTACGGGGGGAGTGAAGGGATGCACAGGCAATGATCTCAGTCAACATTTAATAATGTTCCAGGGACTAATGCATCATCTCAATCTACATAGCCACTCCCTGAAGTTTATACTATTATGATGGAGTCAAGTAGCTTGGTCAAGGTTACACAATAGGCAAGTCTTAGAGCCAGGATTCAAAACCGTGGGGACTACCTTCAGAGCGTTCACTCTGAACCCTATCATCTTTTATAATTACGGAACTCTATTGGGCATGATGAGGGACATAGAAATCTCAAAGAGGAGACAAGGCAGATACACAAATTCAGGACAAGATAGTGTTTTATCTAATGCAGGTGACATTGAACTGTTTTCATTCTGTCGGAACGTAGACAGATTTCTCTCATTAACCATTTTTTTTTCAATAGAGATGGGGTCTTGCTATGTTGCCCAGGCTGGTTTCAAACTCCTGGGCTCCAGCAATCCTCCCACCTCAGCCTCCCAAAGCGTTGAGATTACAGGTGTGAGCCACCACGCCCAGCCAATCTTTTTTAATTTTTATTTTCTAAAGGGACAGGGTATTGTTCTGTCACACAGGCTGGAGTGCAATGGTGCCATCATAGCTCACTGCAGCCTCAAACTCCTGTTCTTGGTGATCTTCCCACCTCAGCTTCCCAAAGCACTGGAATTACAGCTGTGAGCCCCCATTCCCAGCCTCTTTTCCATTCTTTTTCAACTTAAATGAGTTGCCTTGCTTCAAAACTGATTTTAGCACATCTCTGAAGTGTTTCATATGACCACTCCACACTTGAAAACAAACTGTTTGAGAGTTAACAGACAGGGTGTTTTCACAGATGCTGAGGTGGCCAAAAATATTTCTCTTTTAACTACTTATGATCAGAAAGTTACATCTTTGCATGAAGATGAAATAGAGAAGATTTATATTGAGGTTTTATTAAAATAATGGTATCTCAATCATTGCAGTTAGAACCTGATAGTTTTCCTTCCTTCCTTCCTTCCTTCCTTCCCTCTCTCCCTCCCTCCCTCCTTCCTTCCTTCCTTCCTGTTCAACTGTCTTTCAATCTTACACAAAGTGTGTCTTTGACTTTCCCCTCGGGAAGGAGGAAGAGGAAGCTTTTATTTACTTTATGTTTGTCCAGTTAGGTTATAGTCTGTAAATTAATCCCCTCCAGAGGAAGATAGTCTCAAATGACTCCAGTTACCTTAGAGGAAGGTAACTTATCTCCTATTATGGATACGACTTGGCTGTCAAACCCTGAATCTAATAAACACAAATTGATAATGATGGAAGCTTTAAGCAGATTTCGACTGCAGGCTCCAGTGGTAAGTCTAAACAGTACAGATGGGGAGTGGGGACTAGGGACCACAACCTCATCTGCCCCCTTAACCACTAAGCCTTCAAATAATTCAACTTGCTTCTTCACTAGGACTCCACAGGCGGTCTCACATATACATTCCTCCTTTCCAACATGACCTTTCTGCCTTCCACATTTTACATTTTTTCATCTTGAAGTCTCCAGCTTCAGTTCCTAAGACAGAATGCGCCTCCAAAAGAAATGAATCAATTGAAAATCAAATTGTTAGTGTTAAAATTAGGGCCACAAATAGTGCAATAAGTATTAGAACTGAGGTTGGGGTCACAATGGTTTATTAATAAATAATTTATGACATTCGTCTTTTTTTTTTTTTTTTTTTTTTGAGACAGAGTCTCGCTCTGTCACCCAGGCTGGAGTGCAGTGGCACAATCTCAGCTCACTGCAAGCTCCACCTCCCGCGTTCACGCCATTCTCCTGCCTCAGCCTCCCGAGTAGCTGGGACTACAGGCGCCCGCAACCATGCCCAGCTAATTTTTTGTATTTTTTTTAGTAGAGACAGGATTTCACCATGTGAGCCAGGATGGTCGCGATCTCCTGACCTCGTGATCCGCCCGCCTCGGTCTCCCAAAGTGTTGGGATTACAGGTGTGAGCCACTGCGCCGGGCCAACATTTGTCATTTCTTATAACAATCCATATAGACTAATATATATATATATATATATATATATATATATATATATATATATATTTTTTTTTTTTTTTTGGATGGGGGAGACAGAGTTTTGCTCTGTCGCCCAGGCAGGAGTGCAGTGGCATAATCTCAGCTCACTGCAACCTCCGCCCCCACAGTTCAAGCAATTCTTGTGCCTCAGCCTTCTGAGTAGCTGGGACTACAGGCATATGCCACCACGCCCGGCTAATTTTTGTATTTTTAGTAGAGATGGGGTTTCACCATATTGGCCAGCCTGGTCTCAAACTCCCGACCTCAAGTGAGCCACTCGCCTCAGCCTCCCAAAGTGCTGGGATTACAGGCATGAGCCACCACACCCGGCTGACTCTAATATATTTTTTAATTGAATGTAACCTAAAATTTTTTTCATTAAATGTATATGTTATGATTTTCAGTTTTGGCATTCTCTTCAAGTATAAACCACTCTGTATTCCTTCTGATTTCTGTTACTGATTTGACATAGATTTGAGGAAGATAAGGATATAGTCTGTATCCTATCACAGATAGAATTTTTTTTTAAGGTTAGTCAAGTGAAGCAGTGGGAGTAAAGAAGAAACAAAGAAATCTGTTTCTTCCGTAACTGGTTGTGATCAATTAGTTGTAAACACCACTGTACTCAGATCAGCCACAGATAGAATGTTACTTTAACCAAAAATCAAAAATAAAATATGAAAAACATTGCTAAGAGGTTTAATTCCTCCTAAAATCCCTGAGGGAGTTCACATAAAAGAGTTATGCTCTGGGCTGGGCAAGGTGGCTCATGCCTGTAATCCCAGCACTTTGGGAGGCCAAGGCAGGAGGATCCCTTGAGTTCAGGACCAGTGTGGGCAATAAAGGGAGACCTCATCTCTTAAAAAAAAAAAAAAGTTAAGCTCTGAATTTATGTTTAGCTTACTTTATAAACAGATGTGGATTTATAAAAAAACAATTATAGCCGGGCACAGTGGCTCATGCCTGTAATCCCAACACTTTGGGAGGCTGAGGCGGGTGGATCACGAAGTCAGGGGTTCGAGACCAGCCTGACCAACATGGGGAAACCCCGTCTCTACTAAAAATACAAAAATTAGCTGGGCGTGGTGGCGGGTGCCTATAATCCCAGCTACTCAGGAGGCTGAGGCAGAAGAATTGCTTGAACCCAGGAGGCGGAGGTTGCAGTGAGCCGAGATAGCACCACTGCACTTCAGCCTGGGCGACAGAGAAAGACTCTGTCTCAAAAAAAAAACAATTATAGATATGTATATACACATGGTTTAATATACATACATATATTACTTAGCTCTGTTGACTGAGAGGCCCTAAAAGCAGTGATATCCAGTAGCAGTGAGTACACTCAGAACCCACATCTTGGTTTCTAAATATCATTCTGCAATAAGAATAAGGGAAACCAGGGATCCTTGGTGACATGGCTCATTCTAGGCCTGAGATAGGGAAAATACAAGATGAGCCTGGAGTATCAGCCTCCACAAAGTATCAGAAAGTAAAGAATTGCTTAAAAAAAACAAAATAATGGGGCATGTCAAAGGGACATAAGCCAACATAAGAGAAATTCCAAAGGCAAAAGCTGGAAGAATTCGAAAAACAAAATAATATAGTTTTGGATTATGATCCAACTATAAAGTAAATATACATTGAGTCTATACTGATATAAATAAAAGATTGGATAGATAAATAAATGGGGAGAAGAGACAAATATTCCTCGCAAAAGAATTCCAAATAATATATATATAGATACTCCCTCCTCCAGGAGGTAGAGCTTAATTTCTGCTACCTCCGTCTTAAGAGTGTGCTAGACTTGTGACTCTCTTCCAAATAGTTACTTTACAGTGCAGAAACCTGGCAAACAACTGCTTTAGCCAAGAGAGGAAGGTGAACATTCCTGGTGATGTCATGTGGCTATTAGGTACACCTTCATAGGATGTGATAAGAAAGGCATTTTACCTTTGAGGTATCCTTTCCAAAAACCCATAACCACTCCAATCATGAGAAAAAATATCAGACAAACCCAGATTGAGAGGCATTCTACAGGATACCTGACCAGTTTTCTTCAAGCATGTCAAGGTCATAAAAACAAGGAAAGAGGCAGGCATGGTGGCTCATGCCTGTAATTCCAGCACTTTGAGAGGCTGAGGCAAGCAGATCACGAGGTCTGGAGTTCAAGACTAGTCTGGCCCACATGGTGAAACCCTGTCTCTACTAAAAATACAAAAATTAGCAGGGTGTGGTGGCAGGCGCCTGTAATCTCAGCTACTCAGGAGGCTGAGGCAAGAGAATTGCCTGAACCCAGGAGGTGGAGGTTGCAGTGAGCTGAGATCCTGCCACTGCACTCCAGCCTGGGCAAAAGAGCAAACTCCATCTCAAAATAAAAAATAAAAATAAAAACAAGGAAAGACTGGGCCGGGCGTGGTGGCTCATGCCTGTAATCCCAGCACTTTAGGAGGCCGAGGCAGGTGGATCACGAGGTCAGGAGTTCGAGATCAGCCTGGCCAACATGGTGAAACGCTATCTCTACTAAAAATACAAAAAATTAGCCAGGTGTGGTGGTTCGTGCCTATAATCCCAGCTACTCAGGAGGCTGAAGCAGGAAAATCGCTTGAACCCAGGAGGCAGAGGTTGCAGTGAGCTGAGATCACGCCATTGCACTCCAGCCTGGGCAACAGAGCAAGACCCCGTCTTAAAAACACACACACACACACACGGAAAGATTAAGAAGCTATCACAGACCAGAAGAAACTAGGAAGACATGACAAGTAAATGCAATGATAGACCCTGAATTAGATTCTAGAACATTAATAGAAAACTAGTAAAATTCAAGTAAGTCTGGAGTTTGGTTAATAGTAATGTATCAGTGTTAGTTTACTAGTTTTGACCAACACTCCACAGTAATGTAAGATATTAATGAAGACAACCAGGTGATCAATATGGGAACCCTGTACTATCTTTGCAACTTTTCTCTAAGTTTAGAATTATTCAAACACTTTCAAATTTATTTAAAATATATTTTTAAACATAATTATACTCTAAAAGAGCATTTTTCACCCTACCCACAAGCTACAGTTTTATTACAAATGCCTCTTGAAAATGAATAATGTCATACATACACAATTGCTTTTCAAAGATACCTGAGTTTCTTCCTTCACAACTTGGTATTTTCCCCAAAAAATATTCCCTTGACACACATCTCTCCCTCCTCTCCCCAAATTCTATCAGATACTATCCCAGTCACAAAAATAAGTTTTAGTAAAATCATAATTTTAAAGCTTCTTTAGGCTGGGCACGGTGGCTCATGCCTGTAATCCCAAAACTTTGGGAGGCTGAGGCGGGCAGATCACTTGAGATCGGGAGTTCAAGACCAGCCTGTCCAACATGGCGAAACCCTGTCTCTACTAAAAATACAAAAATTAGCTGGGCGTGGCGGTGTATGCTTGTAATCCCAGCTACTTAGGAGGCTGAGGCAGGAGAATCACTTGAATCTGGGAGGCGGATATTGCAGTGAGCCAAGATCGCACCATCGCACTCCAGCCTGGGCAACAGAAGGAGACTCTGTCTCAAAAAAAAAAAAAAAAAAAAAAAAAAAAAAAAAAAAAAACTTCTTTAAAATGTTTAAATCTTTCAAAAAAATCTCTTACAGGAAAAATAACTTTTTATTACATGAAATTTCTAATATATACAAATTTAGAAAGACTAGTACAATGAATGTCCATGTACCCCAGTACCATCACTCAGTTGCAGCAACCTTGTTTCATCTCAATCCACACCCACTTCTCACTAGATTTCTTTTGTTAAGATAATGGCTTCTCACTTTGTTGCCCAGGCTGGAGTGCAGAGTGCAGTGGCATGATCATGGCTTACTGCAGCCTCGAACTCCTGTGTTGAAGCAATCCTCCTGCCTCAGCCTCTCAAGTAGCTAAGACTACAGGTGCACACCACCATGCCTGGCTAATTTTTTATTTCTTATTTTTTGTAGAGACGGGGTCCCCCTCTGTTCCCCAGACTGATCTCAAACTCTTGGCCTCAAGCAATTTACCCCTCTCAGCCTCCCAAAGTGCTGGGATTACAGGCATAAGCCACCGTGCCAGGCTTGTAACTCCTTAACTTCGCCAAATATCCAGTGTCTTCACATTTCTCTGATTGTCTCAGGTAATTCCATTTTTTTCTTCTGTTTGTTTGCTTTGAATCAGGATCCAATCATGAGTTACACATTGCATAGACCTCTGATTCTACAAGTTCCCCTTCCACTTTCTAAAAAAAAAAAAATTATTTGAAAATAATGTATTTAATAAGCCAGATTGTTTGACCTATAGAATTTTCCATATTCTGGATTTTCCTAATTACATCCCTGAAGTGTTGTTTATCTCTGCAGGATACCCTTAATTTCTGGATGATCATGTGTTCCTGATGGTCAGATTGATTCGGAGAATTGTCATCCTCATTCACCTATTTAAAATGTCCCCATTAGCTTTTATGGCATAAACAGCTATTGATACTCATTTACTAGACCTATAATTATTTTATTAAAGGTTACAACATAGTGATATTCTATTTCTACCATTCCTTCATTTTGTTAGCTGGAATTCTTCTATGCAGAAGAACTTTCCTTCAAAGCTATTTGGTTATCCTGAGGTATGATTGATATAGAAAAGGCAGGAAATGCTGGTTTCTTTCCCTTTATTTAGTATTATTTGGACTAATGAACAGGTTCCATACTATCCTTCAAATGTGACCAAAGTTTTCTGCAAAACGTCTTATAAATCTTTTTTTAAACGTTTTATTCTTAGATATCTCATATTTGGGTTGCTAGTATAAATGTGTATACATAAGCTTTTCCATTGTTTAGTTAGGAAAATTTTACTTTGAAACTTTTATCAATGACAACAATATCAAGGAAGACTTATTAGAAATGAGAAAATTTTAAGTCAGTGCTTCTCAAACTATATTAAAGGGTCTGTTTTTGTGTAAATAGGAGTGAGTTTTTAGAAAAAAGTAAAAAAGGGCCGGGCACAGTGGCTCATGCCTGTAATCCCAGCACTTTGGGAGGCCAAGGAGGGCGGATCATGAGGTCAGGAGTTCCAGACCAGCCTGGCCAATGTGGTGAAACCCCATCTCTACTAAAAATACAAAAAAAAAAAAAAAAAATAGCCCAGCGTGGTGACGTATACCCATCGTCCCAGGTACTCCGGAGGCTGAGACCGGAGAATCACTTGAACCCAGGGGGCAGAGGTTGCAGTGTGCAGAGATCGCACCGCTGCACTCCAGCCTGGGCAACAGAGCGAGACTTCATATCAAAAAAAAATTTTTTTTAAACTCTGTTTCTGAGATTTTTAATACTTCCCATCTATTGAGGCCAGTATCTAAAATATAATAAAAATTAATTACCGACTTATATGATTTCATATGGTCCTTTTTTTCTTCACAGACAAGGTCTCACTCTATCACTCAGGCTGGAATGCAGTGATATAATCATAGCTCACTGCAGCCTCAACCTCCTGGGCTCAAGCAATCCTCCCACCTCAGCCTCCTAAGTAGCTACCATGCCTGGCTAAATTTTTTTTTTTTTTTTGAGACGGAGTTTTGCTCTTGTTGCCCAGGTTGCAGTGCAATGGCATGATCTTGGCTCACTGCAACCTCCGCCTCCTGGGTTCAAACGATTCTCCTGCCTCGGCCTCCCAAGTAGCTGGGATTACAGGCATGCGCCACCACTCCCGGCTAATTTTGTATTTTTAGTAGAGACAGGGTTCCTCCATGTTGGTCAGGCTGGTCTCAAACTCCCGACCTAGGGTGATCCACCCACCTTGGCCTCCCAAAGTGCTGAGAGCCACCACACCCAGCCATGCCTGGCTAATTTTTTAAAATTGTTTTTGTAGAGATGAGGGTCTCACTATGTTGACTAGACTCGTCTTGAACTCTTGGCCTCACCTCATAACCCTCCCAATGGGTCGGGATTACAGGCATGAGCCACTGCACCCAGCCCCACATGGTCCTTTGTCTACTAACACCAAGGAAGGTGCCTGAACTTGAACCTGTCTTGCCAGTAACTCACCCAAGATAGTTGGCCATAGTTTTGGTTAACTATTGATGCGTAAGAACTCAGCCAAAACTTAGTTACTTAAACAACAATGCATAATTCGCTCTCAGATTTTTGTAGGGTGGCTGGGCTCAACTGGGCAGTTCTTGCTTGATGTCTCTTGTGTGTTTGCAGTCAGATGACATCTGAGGCCAAAGTCATCTACAGATTTCACTGGGCTGAACATTCCAAGGTGGCTTCTTTACTCACATGTCTGACACTTCAGCTGGGTTGGCAGAAACAGTGGGAGCTGACCAGCTATTTTTTTCTTTCTTTTTTAAAAAAATGTTTTATTTCCATAGGTTATTGCGGAACAGGTGGTGTTTGGTTACATTAGTAAGTTCTTTAGGGGTGATTTGTGAAATTTTTGGTGCACCCATCACCCAAGCAGTATACACTGCACCCAATTTGTAGTTTTTTATCCCTCACCCCCTATCCACCCTTTCCCCCTGAGTCCCTAAAGTCCACTGTGTCATTATTATGCCTTTGCATCCTCATAGCTTAGCTCCCACTTATGAATGAGAATATACAATGTTTGGTTTTCCATTCCTGAGTTACTTCACTTAGAATAAGTCTCCAATCTCATCCAGGTGGCTGCAAATCCTATTAATTCATTCCTTCTTATGGCTGAGTAGTATTGCATTGTATATAAATACCAGTTTCTTTATTCATTCACTGACTGATGGGCATTTGGGTTGGTTCTATATTTTTACAATTGTGAATTGTGCTGCTATAAACATGTGTGTGCAAGTATCTTTTTCGTATAATGACTTCTCCTCTGGATGGATACCAAGTAGTGGGACTGCTGGATCAAATGGTAGATCTACTTTTAGTTCTTTAAGGAATCTCCACACTGTTTTCCATAGTGGTTGTACTAGTTTACATTCCCACCAGCAGTGTAGAAGTGTTCTTCGTTCACCACATCGATGCCAACATCTGCTATTTTTTATTTTTTGATTATGGCCATTTTTGCAGGAGTAAGGTGGCATCGCATTGTGTTTTTGATTTGCATTTCCCTGACCATTAGTGATGTTGAGGATTTTTTCATATTTTTTTGGCCATTTGTATTTTTTCTGTTGAGAATTGTCTATTCATGTTCTTAGCCCACTTTTTGATGGGATTGTTTGTTTTTTTTCTTGCTAATTTGTTTGAGTTCATTGTAGATTCTGGATATTAGTCCTTTGTCAGATGTATAGATTGTTAAGGTTTTCTCCCACTCTGTGGGTTGTCTGTTTACCCTGCTGACTGTTCCTTTTGCTGTGCAAAAGCTCTTTAGTTTAATTAAGTCTCAGCTATTTATCTTTGTTCTTATTGTGTTTGCTTTTGGGTTCTTGGTCATGAAATCCTTGCCTAAGCCAATGCCTAGAAGGGTTTTTTCAATGTTATCTTCTAGAATTTTTAGAGTTTCAGGTCTTAGATTTAAGTCCTTAATCCATCTTGAGTAGATTTTTGTATAAGGTGAGAGATGAGGGTCCAGTTTCATTCTCCTACATTTGGCTACCCTGCACCATTTGTTGAATAGGTTGTCCTTTCCCCACTTTCTTTTTGTTTGCTTTGTCAAAGATCAGTTGGCTGTAAGTATTTGGGTTTATTTCTGGGTTCTCTATTCTATTCCATTGGTGTATATTCTTATTTTTATGCCAGTACCATGCTGTTTGGTGACTATGGCCTTATAATATATAGTTTGAAATCAGATAATGTGATGCCTCCAGATTTTTTCTTTTTGCTTAGTCCTTCTGTGTTAGGTAAGTCTCTTGAAGGCAGCAGATAGTTGACAGGTGAATTCTTATCCATTCTGCAATTCTGTATCCTTTAAGTGGAGCTTTTTTTTTTGAGATAGAGTCTCACTCTGTCCCCCAGGCTGGAGTGCAGTGGCGCCATCTTGGCTCACTGCAAGCTCCACCTCCCGGCTTCACGCCATTCTCCTGCCTCAGCCTCCTGCGTGGCTGGGACTATAGGCGCCCGCCACCATGCCCGGCTAATTTTTTTGTATTTTTAGTAGACACAGGGTTTCACCGTGTTAGCCAGGATGGTCTCCAACTCCTGACCTCGTGATCCGCCCACCTCAGCCTCCCAAAGTGCTGAGATTACAGGCGTGAGCCACCGTGCCCAGCCTAAGTGGAGCATTTTTTAGGCCATTTACATTAAACATTAGTATTGAGATGTGAGGTACTATTCCATTCATTGTGCTATTTGTTGCCTGTGTACGTTTGCTTTTTGTGTTTTTTAATTATATTTTTGTTTTATAGGTCCTGTAAGATTTATGCTTTAAAGAGGTTCTGTTTTGATGTGTTTCCAGGATTTGTTTCAAGATTTAGAGCTCCTTTTAGTAGTTCTTATAGTGCTGGTTTGGTAGTGGCAAATTTTTTCAGCATTTGTTTATCTGAAAAAGACTGTATCTTTCCTTCATTTATGAAGCTTAGTTTTGCTGGATACAAAATTCATGGCTGATAATTGTTTTGTTTAGAGAGGGTGAAGATAGGGCCTCAATCTCTTCTAGCTTGCAGGGTTTCTGCTGAGAAATCTGTTGTTAATCTGATAGGTTTTCCTTTATGGGTTACCTGGTGCTTTTGCCTCAAAGCTCTTAAGATTCTTTCTTCCTTCTTAACTTTAGGTAACCTGATGACAATGTGCCTAGGCAATGATCTTTTTGCAATGAATTTCCCAGGTCTTCTTTGAGCTTCTTGTGTTTGGATGTCCAGGTCACTAACAAGGCCAGGGAAGTTTTCCTTGATTATTCCCCCAAATATGTTTTCCAAACTTTTAGATTTCTCTTCTTCCTCAGGAACACCAATTATTCTTAAGTTTGGTCATTTAATATAATCTCAGATTTCTTAGAGGCTTTGTTCATATTTTCTTATTCTTTTTTCTTTGTTTTTGTTGGATTGAGTTAATTCGAAAACCTTGTCTTTGAGCTCTGAAGTTCTTTCTTCTGCTTGTTCAATTCTATTGCTGAGACTTTCCAGAGCATTTTGCATTCTATAAGTGCATCCATTGTTTCCTGAAGTTTTGATTTTTTTTATTTATGATATCTATTTCACTGACGATTTCTCTCATTTCTTGTATTTTTTTTTTAATTTCCTTAAATTGAGCTTCACCTTTCTCTGGTGCCTCCTTGATTAGCCTAATAAGTGACCTTCTGAATTCTTTTTCAGGTAAATCAGAGATTTCTTCTTGGTTTGGAGCCATTGCTGGTGAGCTAGTGTGGTTTCTTTTTGGAGGTGTTGAAAAACTTTGTTTTGTCATATTACCAGAGTTGGTTTTCTGGTTCCTTCTCATTTGGGTAGACTCTGTCAGAGGGAAAGTCTAGGGATGAAGGCTGTTGTTCAGATTATTTTGTCCCACAGGGTGTTCCCTTGATGTAGTACTCTCTCCCTTTTCCTATGGATGTGGCTTCCTGAAAGCCAAGCTGTACTGACTGTTATCTCTCTTCTGGATCTAGCCACCCAGCAAGTCTACCAGGATCTGAGTTGGTACTGGGGTTGTCTGCACAGAGTCCTGTGATATGAGCCATCTGTGGGTCTCTCAGCTGTGGATACCAGCACAGTATTTGGAGTGTCTCCTGGGTCCTACAGGAGCAATCCACTTTCTCCAGAGGGTTCATGGGTTCTCTCAACTTTCTGATTTATTCCTGGAGTAGGTCTAGAGCAAAAGTTCACGAAGCGAGACTCCACACACTGCTGCCCAAGTGGGAGCTGCAATCTAGTCCTATCTCCTGTCTGCCATGATCCTCCATGGGGTGATCCCCCCCAATTTACTGCCTTTTCATGAGCTAGGGCCAAAGCTCTGCAATTCTCATCATCTGGTCTTTTAGGCTACCAAAATTGAGATAATGAGGACACAGAGCTATTTTTCCTCTCCAGTAGCAGCTGATGGAGCAGAAAGCTCCTGATCAGGTATTTCAATATGAGCAGCCTCACAGCATGCTGGTTCCAGAGGAGTAGGACTTCTTACATGGCAGTTGGTTTCCCTAGAGTGCATGTTGTGGAAGGCCAATTTGGAAACCACAAGACTAGTTTCAGAAATTTCAGTGTCATTTCCAACTCCCTTTATTGGTAAAGCAGATCACAAGGCCAACCCAGATTCAGCATGGGAGGATACTATGCAAGAGAGTTGTAGTGCACCGAAAGGCCAACATTGAGACTAACTCCCAAGGACCCTGGAGAAGGAGACTCCTGGAGAAGAAAGAAACTGTGGAGACAGAGATGGGGGAGCTAATTAAAATATACTGAGCAGGAGTGGGTCTTTCAGAAATTATGCAGTGTAGAGGTCTGTGGATCCACCTATTTCACACTACCTGTTCCCCATGCCCTATCCTCCCTACTCCCAGCATGAAACTCACGTATTCACCACCAAGAGATCTAGCATTTGTGCACTTTCTGCAAAGAGGACATTTGCAATGAAACTCCCAGTCCAACAATTCACAACTCTGCTAATCTCTTCCTCTCTGGTCTGTTACGTAGGCAGGGAGGAGGAGGAGGCACCTAGAGTGATGGCTTTGGGCGATTTGGCCAGCTCAGACATTTCTTACTAAACCCTGGAGATCTGTGTAGATCCACAGCTTTTGGTACTTGACTCCTCTGTGCATGGATATGAACTGCATTCACCAATTCCAGAGAAGGAGGGAAAGCACTACTTAACATCTTGTTACACTGGGCAAGGCCACAGCTGCAAACAAGCCTGCATTATAGCTGTTTGTGCTCCTATTAAAAATTTTCTCCAAATTTCATCCTGTAAGGAATGTGACTTAATGAATTTCCTGTGTAATTTAAAAAATGGAAAATGGGGCCAGGTGTGCTGGCTCACACCTGTCATCCCAGCACTTTGGGAGGCCGAGGAGGGTGGATCACTTGAGGTCAGGAGTTCAAGACCAGCCTGGCCAACATGGTGAAACCCCCACCTCTACTAAAAATACAAAAAAAAAAAAAAAGGAGAGGGGTGCAGGCATGGTAACTCATGCCTGTACTCCTAGCATTTTGGGAGGCCAAGGTGGCAGGATTACTTGAGCTCAGGAGTTCAACATAATGAGAACTTGTCTTAATTAAGCTTTTTTTTTTTTTTTTTTTTTTTTTGAGACAGAATCTTGCTCTGTCGCCCGGGCTGGAGTGCAGTGGTGCAATCTCAGCTCACTGCAACCTCTGCCACCTGGGTTCAAGCAATTCTCCTGCCTCATCCTCCCGAGTAGCTGGGATTACAGGCGCGTGCCACCATGCCCGGCTAATTTTTTTTGTATTTTTAGTAGAGACGGGGTTTTGGCATCTTGGCGAGGCTGGTCTTGAATGCCTGACCTCATGATCCACCTGTCTCGGCCTCCCAAAGTGCTGGGATTATAGGCGTGAGCCACCGCGCCTGGCCCAGAGTTCTTTAATTTATTAATTAAATAATTTATTTTCCATCTGGAAATTTAATTTATTCCAGATGGGCTTGGTGGCTCAGGGTTGTAATCCCAGCACTTTGGGAGTCTGAGATGGGGGGATTGTTTAAGGCCAGGAGTTCAAGACCAGTCAGGGCAACATAGTGAGACCCTGTCTCTATGAAAACAAAAACAAAAATAAAAAAATAAGCTGGGCATGGTAATGCACACCTGTAGTCCCAGCTACTCAGGAGGCTGAGTGGGGAGGATTGCTTGACCCCAAGACTGATTCAAGGCTGCAGTAAGAGGTGTTCAGACCATTGCACCCCAGTCTGGGTGACAGAGCAAGACCCTATCTCAAAAAATAATAATAATAAATATAAAATATTCCTATAATAGATACATTGGTGGGCAAAAAAAAGAGCCATTAATATTTATTAATCTTTAAATGATTTTGTAGGACCCTTTTATATTCTCTATTAGGTTTCTATTGCTGCACAACAAATTACCACCAACTTAGCAGCTTCAAACAACACATTTCTTATCTAGCAGTTCCCATGGGTCATAGGTCCAGGTACAACTTAACTGGGTCCTCTGATCAGGGGCTCACAAGGCTGAAGTTAAAACGTTGACCATGCTGTATTTTCATCTGGAGATTTGACTGGGAAAGAATCTCCTTCCATACTCATTCAGGTTGTTGGCAGAATTCATTTCCTTGCAGTTGCAGGACTCAGGTCACCAGTGTTTTTTGCAGTTGTCTGATGGAGGCCACCCATAGATCCCAGAGGCTGCCTACAGTTCGCTGCTATGTGGCTTTCTCTGGGGCAGTTCACATGGCTGCTTCCTCAAGGCTGAAAGGACAGTCTAGCTCCAGTCTGCTAAGGAGTCTTATATAACATAGTATAATCACAGGAGTGTTGACATCCCATTACCTTTGCTATCTCTATCGTATTGGTTGGAAATGAATCACAGGTCCTATACACACTCCAGGAGAAGGGCACCAGGAGGCAGAGATCACTGGGGGTCTCCTTAGGGTCTGCCTACCACACATTCTCTGTGCAATTCTGATTTCTCCTTTGAAATACAAATAGAATTAGAAAAAAAATGACAAAGAGCTTCATGAGCATTTTATACCAACCTATAAAGGACAACTGTGCTGCTTTAGGTCTGTTGTTTCAGGTACAGACTTGATCAGGATTTTTAAAAATAAACAACTTCCTGTATAAGCACTGTGCTAAAATCGCAGAAACTAGGACCATATCTTGGTTTTTGTGATAATGCTAGCAGAGTACACAGAAGAATAAACGTAACAGCATTGGATTATAAAGACTAGGGTGAGGCCAGGCGCAGTGGCTCACACGTGTAATCCCAGCACTTTGGGAGGGCAAGGCAGGAGGACTGCTTGAGCCCAGGAGTTCGAGACCAGCCTGGGCAACACAGAAAGACCCCGTCTCTATAAAAAAGAAAAAACTTAGCCAGACATGGTGGCATGGGCCTGTGGTCCCAGCTACTTGGGAGGCTGAGGCAGGAGGATGACTTGAGCCTGGGAGGTCGAGGCTGCAGTAAGCCATAATCACACCATGGCATGCCAGCCTGAGTGACAGAGCAAAACCTTGTCAAAAAAATAAAAAGAAAGAAAGAAAGATTATGATACCAAAGTGACACAAGTCGTGAGCTCTTGTGAGGAAAGTCATCGGCTTTATCCTCTTTAGAGTTAGATTGCTGGGGTGGATATAAAAGATAGGGTCTGGCTGGGCGCAGTGGCTCATGTCTATAATCCCAGCACTTTGGGAGGTCGAGGTGGGCGCATGATTTGAGGTCAGGAGTTCAAGACCAGCCTGGCCAATATGGTGAAACTCATCTCTACTAAAAATACAAAAAGATTAGCCGGGCGTAGTGGCAGGCACCTGTAATCCCAACTACTCAGGAGACTGAGACAGGAGAATTGCTTGAACCCAGGAGACAAAGGTTGCAGTGAGCCAAGATTGCACTACTGCACTCCAGCTTTTGTGACAGAGTGAGACTCCATTTCAAAAAATAAAAATAAAAATAAATAAATAAATAAAATGTGGGGTCTGGAAAATCTTTCTTTCTTAGAAATTTATTTCCTAGTTCTGTAGAAATGGTAGTATTAGGTATTCTCTATCATTTAATAATATACTTGTGGACTAAAAGATATAAGTGCTGTATAAAATCAGCCAATTAGGCCAAGTTCAGTGGCTCACGCCTGTAATCCCAGCACTTTGGGAGGCCGAGGCAGGTGGATCACCTGAGGTCAGGAGTTCAAGACCAGCCTGGCCAACATGGTGAAACCCTGTCTCTACTAAAAATACAAAAATTATCTGGGTATGGTGGCACATGCCTGTAATCCCAGCTACTTGGGAGGCTGATGCAGGAGAATTGCTCGAACCAGGTAGCCAGAGGTCGCAGTGAGCCAAGATCGTGCCACTGCACTCCAGCCTGGCGACAGAGACTCCATCTCAAAAAAAAAAAAAAAAAAAAAATCAGTCAATTATGTTAAACTAGCATATCTATCTTTTTTGTGTTTGTCATTGGCCTGAATAGAAAGGCCTTATATATTTGAGACAAGGTCTCACTCTGTCACCCAGGCTGGAGTGTAGTGGTGTGAATATCCCTCACTGCAGTCTTGAACTCCTGGGCTCAAACGATCCTCCCACCTTAGCCTCCCAAGTAGCTGGGACTACAGGCATGCACTACCACACCTGGCTAATTTTTAAATTTTTTGTAGAAATAAGGTCTCAGTATATTGCCCAGGCTGGTCTCAAACTCCTGGACTAAAGCAATCCTCCCAACTTGGCCTCCCAAAGTGCTGGAATCAGAGGTGTGAGCTACTGCACCTGGGCAAAAATTGATTTTTTGGGGAAAGTATTTGAATGAATTTTGTTTAGTATTGTATTTATCCAATAAAGTATTTCAAGGCCAGGTGCAGTGGCTCACGCCTGTAATCCCAGAACTCTGGAAGGCTCAGGCGGGCGGATCACTTGAGGTCCGGATTTCTAGACCAGCCTGGCCAATATGGTGAAACCGTCTCTACAAAAAATACAAAAATTAGCTGGGCGTGATGGTGCATGCCTGTAATCCCAGTTAACTCGGGAGGCTAAGGCGGAGGTTGCAGTGTGCAAAGACCACACCACTGCACTCCAGCCTGGGCGACAGAGAGAGATTCCATCTCAAAAAAAAAAAAAGAGAATTTCATTAGTTTACAAAAATTAAAAACATAAGCATATTCTAAGCAAGTGTCTTAAAAAATTTTGAAGCAATGATTTCATTTTCTTTGTTTCTTCATCACAAAGGTAATATTTTTAATGTAGCATTGTAATTCCCAAAACAGGTTTTGGAACCACCCAGTCTTTGGTTCAAACCCCACTCATTTGCTATGGAAACTTATTTCACTTGATATTTGCTTCTATCTTCAGACCCTTGCACATGCAGTTCAATCGTCCTATACAAACTCTTCACCTTCATCTCTTCTTATCTAGGTCTTTGCTCACATCTCTGTCAGGAAGTCTTTTCTGATCTTCCCTAGGCTGTTGGATGTGGCTAAGTTGCTCCATTACATGCTTGAGGTAAACATTTGCATTCTTTTTGACTGCCCAGCATCTGAACCTTCATCTGTGTTTGGGGACTTTTCAACAAATGAAGCAGCATGCATGTCCCCCCACAGACACTGAAAATGCCAGATATTTGTTTTCCTACCTCCACAGCTGGGAGGAAGGTGAGATACAACCTAGACTGCACCAGTCAGTTCCATTCACAACAGACTTTGAATAAATAAGGATACAGTGAAATTAAGAAGCAGGGATAATCCATTGTAGTGAGGGGGCAGAAGTGGTAACACCCTGTTTCCAGAGGCAACAGTGTCAGGGATTTAGAACACAGCCTTGTGCCCAGCATAGCTGGTCTGGATGCCAAAAACCATGCAGTGTAGCCGAGAGAGAGCAGGAGTATTGTCATCACAGGACCAGCACCACGACTTTTTTTTTTTTTTTTTTTTTGAGACAGTCTCGCTCTTTCGCCCAGGCCGTAGTGCAGTGGCGTTATCTGGGCTCACTGCAAGCTCCACCTCCTGGGTTCAGGCCATTCTCCTGCCTCAGCCTCCTGAGTAGCTGAGACCACAGGCACCCGCCACTGCACCCAGCTAATTTTTTTTGTATTTTTAGCAGAGACGGGGTTTCACCGTGTTAGCCAGGATTGTCTCGATCTCCTGACCTCGTGATCCGCCCGCCTCGGCCTCCCAAAGTGCTGGGATTACAGGCGTGAGCCACCGCGCCCGGCCTCGCCACGACTTTTAAAGGCATTGTTCCCAACTTCTAAGCCTTGTTCTCTGGCCCTTCTGGAGTTTCATCAGCTATCACATACCATTGTAATAAATTTCCTTTCTGCATATGGTAAGCCCAAATTGACTTTTGCTGTTTGCTACTAAGAACCCTGTGTACCTGCTGCATCTGGAACCATCCCCAGACACCACACTTTTTGTAATGTAACTGCTTACTCCTCTGTTGCCACACTAGACTCTAAGTATTATTATGATTGGATCCTCAGTGCCCTGTAATCACCCAAGAAGACACTGATTGAATGAATGAATTAAACTTTCTGAGCTCTCATTTCCTCATGTATAAATTGGGAATAACAGTTACTTGGTTTTTTGGGTTTTTTCAGGCAGTTTCCCTCTGTCGCCCAGGCTGGAGTGCAGTGGCATGCTCTTGGCTCACTGGAATCTCCGCCTTCCCGGGTTCAAGCAATTCTCCTGTCTCGGCCTCCTGAGTAGCTGGGATTACAAGCACCCACCACCATGCCCAGCTAATTTTCTTGTATTTTTAGGAGAGATGCGGTTTCACGATGTTGGTCAAGCTGGTCTCGAACTCCTGACCTCAAGTGACTCAACTGCATCGGCCTCCCAAAGTGCTGGGATTACAGGCGTGAGCCACTATGCCCAGCCAAAATAGTAGTTCTAAAGAAAGATGGAGAATGTTTTTCTAACAGGAAATAAACTTGGACAACCTCCATCTCAATCATCTCATTTTACAGACAAGGAACTGAGGCCCCCAAAGAGTAAATGATTTGCCTAAGTTTGGTGGATAAGTTCAGAGCTGTTTTTTACTCCTAGGTCAGTACATTTTCTACACACCATGATGGCCATAAAATATTATAGGCATCAATGTTTGTATCCCCCGCCTCCACCTTCACATGTTGGAGCCCTAGCCCCTCAAGGTGATGGTATTAGGAGGCACGGCTTTTGGGATGTAGTTAGGTTTAGGCGAGATAATGAGGACAGGGTCCCTATGATGGAATTGGTGCCTCTAAAAGAGGAGGAAGAGACATCAGAGCTTCCTGAGAAGCCATCTGCAAGGCAAAAGAGGGCCCTCACCAAAACCCAACCACATCGGTACCCTGATCTCAAACTTCCAGCCTCTAGAACAGTGAGAAATACATGTATGTTTAAGTCACCTAGGCTATGGTATTTTGTTATAATGCCCAAGCTCAGACAAACATTTTATTCGATAATACTTTCACTTTAAACTTAAACTGGGCCAGGCACAGTGGCTCATGCCTGTAATCCCCGTGTGTCCAGAATTAGTGGGTTCTTGGTCTCACTGACTTCAAGAATGAAGCCGCGGACCATCGCAGTGAGTGTTACAGTTCTTAAAAGAGGGGCGTCCAGAGTTGGTTCCTTCTGATCTTCGGATGTGTTTGGAGTTTCTTCCTTCTGGTGGGTTCGTGGTCTCCCTGGCTCAGGAGGGAAGCTGCAAACCTTCGCAGTGAGTGTTATAGCTCATAAAGACAGCGTGGACCCAAAGAATGAGCAGCAGCAAGATTTACTGCAAAGAGCAAAAGGACAAAGCTTCCACAACGTGGAAGGCGACCCCAGTAGGTTGCCTCTGCTGGCTCGGGCAGCCTGCTTTTATTCCCTTATCGGCCCCACCCACATCCTGCTGATTGGCCCATTTTACAGAGAGCTGCCTGGTCTGTTTTACAGAGAGCTGACTGGTCCGTTTTGACAGGGTGGTGATTGGTACATTTACAATCGCTGAGCTAGACACAAAATTTCTCCAAGTCCCCACAGAGCACTGATTGGTGCATTTACAAACCTTGAGCTAGACACAGGGTGCTGATTAGTGTGTTTACAAACCTTGAGCTAGACACAGAGTGCTGACTGGTGTATTTACAATCCCTTAGCTAGACATAAAGATTCTCCAAGTCCCCACCAGATTAGCTAGATACAGAGTGCTGATTGGTGCATTTACAAACCTTGAGCTAGACACTGAGTGCTGATTGGTGTATTTACAATCCCTTAGCTAGACATAAAGGTTCTCCAAGTCCCCACTAGACTCAGGAGCCCAGCTGGCTTCACCTAGTGGATCCCACAGGGGAGCCGCAGCTGCCCACCAGTACTGCCCCGTCAGCCCCACACTCCTCAGCCCTTGGGCGGTGGATGGAACCCGGCTTGGCAGAGCAGGGGGCAGCGCTCGTGGGGGAGGCTTGCCCCGCAGGAGCCCACAGTGGGGCGGGGGGTGCGGCTCAGGCATGGCGGGCTGCAGGTCCTGAGCCCTGCCCCGTGGGGAGGCAGCTGAGGCCCAGCAAGAATTCCAGTGCAGCGCTGGCGGGCTGGCACTGCTGGTGGACCCGGGGCACCCTCCACAGCTGCTGGTCTGGGTGCTAAGCCCCTCACTGGCCAGGGCCGGCGGTGCCAGCCGGCGCTCAGAGTGCAGGGCCCGCCGAGCCCACACCCACCCGGAACTCCCGCTGGCCCGTGATCGCGGGGCACAGCAGCCCCGGTTCCCGCCCACGCCTCTCTCTCCACACCTCCCTGCAAGCAGAGGGAGCTGGCTCCGGCCTCAGCCAGCCCAGAGAGGGGCTCCCACAGTGCAGCAGCGGGCTGAAGGGCTCCTCAAACGCGGCCAGAGTGGATGCCCTGGCCTGAGGAGGTGCTGAGAGCGAGCGAGGGCTGCTAGCACGTTGTCACCTCTCACCAGCACTTTGGGAGGCCGAGGCGAGTGGATCAGGAGTTCCAGACCAGCCTGGTCAACATGGTGAAACCCTGTCTCTACTGAAAATACAAGATTAGCTGGGTGTGGTTGTGCATGCCTGTAATCCCAGGTACTCGGGAGGCTGAGGCAGGAGAATCACGTGAACCCGGGAGGTGGAGGTTGCAGTGACCCGAGATCTCGCCATTGCACTCCAGCCTGGGCAACAAGAGCAAAACTCTGTCTCAAAAAACAAAACAAAACAAAACAGAACAAACTTAAACTGAAATACGCATGCATTTATTGGTAGGTAGTGCAGAAGGCTGGTGCAGGGGTTATGAAGAATGCTATGAAGTTTCAAGTATGGCAACCAGCATATGCATTCACGTTTGCTATGTGTGCTCAGGTGTGAGAGCCAGAGCGTGAAAATTACTTCTGCTCACGGGGAGTCCAGTATATACACTATCTTGTCCTCTCGGGAACTCTATAAAGTAGAAATTGTTACGCTACAGATTATTAAAACAAGAAAAAAACAGGCTCAGTAAAGGTAATTGAATTATTTTGGGTGCTGCAGCCAACCACCAAGTTGCAATGACCAAATCGGAGCCAAATAAATTGCTCACTTCTGGTCCGTCTCATGTCCCCATCTAAATTACATCATTAATTTACAATCCTTTGGCATTTTTCATAATCTAGACAGCACTTTCCCTTCTTTCGTCTGTTTAAGTCTTGCCATTCTTCCTACCTCTCTGAGGAAGGAGTTCATAAGAGTAGGAATAGGCTATTAAATTCTAACCATTTCAGATAACCATAAGTATCCTGATTTATCATATTGCCATAAATAAGCCTAGGAGACCCTACTTCATAAATGGTTTCTTGTCTGTACATTAGGTAATCGGTGTGAATTTCCATAAGTCTCTAAATTCAAAGCATTAATGAACCACAAATAGGCTTTTAACAATTGAATCCCGGTTGCTATTCTTGACCTTTTCATTTATTTTCAGAGACCACTTCTCATTTAAGTGACACTTAGCAACTAAAAAGATTCACAGAGTGATTCAGAGTCGAGTATGATGTCCTCACTGTTGAATGCTCATAGAATATTTTTTCTCTTTCCATAGTCTTGAGGACCAACGCAAACGTCTAGAGGATGTGGGATTCTTACCTGCTAACATATCTTTGGCATTAACTCCCCAAATCTTTGAATGCAAGGCACGCTTACCTGACACCCTAAACTGCTAGTTTAGGGACACCCGCCGCAGAGCGGAATCGTTCAAGGTCACTGGGGCTGCAGGTGCGGGGCCTTAACCAGCGCTGCCGATCCGTCAGCTCTCGGCCCACCCTTGGGGATCCCCATCGCCCACTGCGACCTAGCTGGGAGAACCCAGTCCGCCCGCCCTCCCGGTGGCCGGTCTTGGAACCGCGCTTCTGGAAGGTTCCTGAGTGGCTGGCAGTGGGGGCGGCTCCAGGAAGCCGGGGCGGAGCGGGCGGCGTTGGAGTCTCGGGCTACGCCTCCCTGGGCCGCTCCGCCCCGCCCGTTGTCGGAAGCCGCGCTCCGCCAGGCAGGAGACACTGTGGTCGGGAGTAGGCAGCGGCGCCGCGTCCGCTCTCGCCCGCTCTCGCCCGCTCGCCAGCCGGCTCTCCTCCCGCCGCAGGACCCGCGCGCCGCGCTCGGGGGCCATGCAGCGCCTGGCCATGGACCTGCGGATGTTGTCCCGGGAGCTCTCCCTCTACCTGGAACACCAAGTCCGGGTGGGGTTCTTCGGCTCGGGGGTGGGCTTATCCCTTATCCTGGGCTTCAGCGTCGCTTATGCCTTCTACTACCTGAGCAGCATTGCCAAGGTGAGCCGGGGGTGGCGCAGGGCCGCGGGCTGCTGGGCCAGGAGCTAGGGTAGCAGGCGCGGCGCGAGGCTGCGCGGCCAGGGGCGGTCGGCAGCCCCGGGGATAGGCGGCGAGCTGCTCCCGAGCGGCAGCCCCCAGCGCGCGCGGGAAAGCCAACAGGCCCCGCCCGTTCGCCCGCCCCCTGGGGGTCCCGGCCGGGTGGTCCTCGGAGCGCAGCCTGAACCCGGCTGACTTCTGCGCTGCGGCGCTGCCCGGTCACCGATCGCGAAGCCGGCGGCGCACTCGGGAACGCCGTGGCGCTTTTGAAAATGACTCCGGGCAGGGCACGGTGGCTCACGCCTGTAATCTCAGCACTTTGGGAGCCCGAGGCGGGTGGATCACCTGAGGTCAAGAGTTCGAGACCAGCCTGACCAAAATGGTGAAACCCCGTTACAATTACAAAAAATTAGCCGGGCGTGGTGGCGGACGCCTGCAATCCCAGCTACTCGGGAGGCTGAGGCAGGAGAATCCCCTGAACCCGGGAGGCGGAGTTAAAAACAAACAAACTCCCTTATCGCGATTCTCGCCTTCCCCTCGGGGCATTGGCGAAACCCCCGTTTCAGTCCTCTGTGACTGTGAATTTTTTGCGTCAGCCCTCCAGAAAGAGTTGTAATCGGAGGAAGCGCGCGCGCGAGCGACAAGTCTTTGCCGGTTTCTGGTTTACGGTTGGCAGAAACTTTGCTCTGGGCCCTTCTCTGATACTGCTTTTCCCTTCAGAAACCCCAGTTAGTGACCGGGGGTGAGAGTTTCAGCCGCTTCCTTCAAGACCACTGTCCCGTGGTTACAGAAACGTACTACCCGACGGTCTGGTGCTGGGAGGGTCGAGGACAGACCCTGCTTAGACCTTTCATCACTTCGAAGCCCCCGGTGCAGTACAGGAAGTAAGTGAATTTCCGTTTTCAGTCATTTCTGCAAAATCACAGGTTGTTTGTTTGCTTGCTTGCTTATTCCCAGTTCTTGGTTAATAGAATCTGCTTTAGGAAGTATATAGAACAGAAAGAGGGAATGAAAATGGAAGGTACGTCCCCGGCTCCACCCCCAGCTGCAGGAAAATACCCCAGCTGCAGGTATTTGCCTCCTGGTCCCCGCCCTAACCGCCAACCTGATGTAAATGGTTTATTTTTAGGATGAGAGAAGTGTTTGGGGATTACTGTCTCGCAGTTTGTCATACATCTGTCAGAAAGACCCAGATCTTTTGATGATCTGCATTCATTCATTGATAAGTAGCAGATACTGGGGGGGGGGGTGGGGTGAGAAGGATGCCACTTAATTTGGGTTTTGGGCGATTTATTGGTGTAAAATGACTTCCTATTGACAGGCAAATGGGATCTTGATGATAATAGCTCTTGATGTGTTAAAGATACGGTCCAGGATTTATCAGGAACCAGATTTAAATGGTGCCTGTTATTAATTTCCCTTAGTCATCTATCCTTCTGGAGTTTATTTTGTTGCCTGGAACTTGCACTGTTTGTTTGGGAAAATTCTGTAAGTTCATGAATACTATGTGAGAAATAATTTAAATTATTTCAGAAGAAAATCTTGAAGTATACTATACAAGGAGACTGCATTATTGAGTCCAAAGAGCTAGAGCAGTGGTCAGAGATTAGATCAGCATTTTACTTACTCAGACTTCCCTGTCGCATTAGTTGAGTGACCTCAATCAAACAAGGGTTAAATGCTGGATGTTTTGGAGTAATGAGTAAGTATTCATTTATCTTAATAATTAGCAGTTCATTTTTATATACGACCTTGTACGGAGGTTGCTGGAAATACTTGATGGTACTAATCTTCATAAAATCCTTCTAATGAAAGAAAATGATATGTAGATCGAGATATGGGTGTGTGTTCGTGAATGCTGGAAAAATGTTATTTTTTGATGAGCAAATAATGTCATGTGTTTAGAATTAAAATTAAGACATGACTTAAAACATGTAAATAGTAATGTCTTCTGAATTATTCCTTTCAGTGAACTTATTAAAACTGCAGATGGAGGACAGATTTCACTGGACTGGTTTGATAATGATAACAGTACGTGTTATATGGATGCCAGCACCAGACCTACTATCTTATTGTTGCCTGGCCTCACGGGAACAAGCAAGGAGTCATATATCCTTCATATGATCCATCTTAGTGAAGAATTAGGATACAGGTACCAGTAAAAGATTTCTTTTTTTTCACTTGATCCATTCCAAATGAAGTACAAATATATCTACATGTTTGTTTCAGAAATACTTAGTACTTCTTGCATAGAAAAGCAGTCCCTTAAATTATTATTTTTCTCTGCATTCTTTTTTTCCTCTTTCTTTTCAGGAAGATGCATAACTGAATCATCTCACAAGAAATGTCACTTAGCATAGTAGACACTCTGCAGATTTAGGCTGAGTTAATGAATGAAATTAGAATCATCTGAGCATTGACTGAGCCCTTCCCCCCATCCCCACCCCAATGGAGAGTGTGTTATGGAGGGAGAACAGCAATTACAGACCCCTGAGAGAGTACACAGTGGCCGTCATGCCACATTCTGGGGCCTGGATTCACTAATCTTGTCGCCCTGGCTCAGCTCCCAAGTGCAAAAAATATTCAGAATCAGCTTGTAGGTTGTCCCTATTTATCAAAGGTGATCTCTGCCTCTTCTGACCACCTGAGTTTGCAGGTGCACTTGGCTAGTCTCCAGTTGTTGATGCCACAGCTTTTCTGAGTAACCATTATTAAGCTCAGTCACCAGGTACAATTTAATTTTTTGCAAGTGATTAGCAACTTTGAGTTTCAAGTTCAGCTCTAGAATCTTAGAGTCATTATAAAAGGTACTGCTTTTTTGTGCCTCAGCTTTTTTTTTTAGCTGATAATTATTGTAATGGAACACTCTGTGAGTTGTATTTAAAGTAGAGTTGTATCTTTTGTTAAACTTGAAACACTTGTGTGAAAAGCTGATGGTAAGTTTACCTTAAAAAAATAATTTTAGGCTGGTCACAGTGGCTCATGCCTGTAATCCCAGCACTTTGGAAGGCGTAAAGCCGGTGGATTGCTTGAGCCCAGGAGTTCGAGACCAGCCTGGGCAACATGGTGAGACCTAGTCTACAAAAATTAGCAGGGCATGGTGGCATGCACCTATAGTTCCAGCTACTGACAAGGCTGAGGTAGGACGATCAGTTGAGCCCGGGAGGTAGAGACTGTAGTGAACCATGATCGTGCCACTGGACTCCAGCCTGGATGACAGAGTGACACCTTGGGCAAAAAGAAAAAAAAAAAAAAGGAAAGAAGAACATTTTGATGTTTGATGTAAAGGGGAAAATTCCATGATAGCTAACTTAATTTTAACAAGTTAATTCTGATCTTTTATAAATAATAGCCTATTTTGTCCATGAAGTAACATTCTCTCAAGAACTATGATGTTCAAGAATTATATTCAAGAAATTTGCTTAGCAGTAGCAGGAATTCATCATTATTCCATGTTTAAGCACCATACAGTTAGATGTGAGGCTTGGTTCCTTTTTTTTTTTTTTTTTTTTTTTGAGGCCAAATCTGGCTCTGTTGCCCAGCATGGAGCGCAGTGGCATGATCATGGTTCACTGCAGTCTCTTACAGGCGTGAGTTAATGCTCCCAGCCTGGTTCCATTTTTTTTTTTTTTTTTTTTTTGGCTAAAACTTAGTCATGCTCAGAAAGTACAGAAGATCATAATGCCTTTTGTACATATTTAAATTACTGCTTCTAGATTTGGCCTGAGCTGTCTCTCAAGACTTAGAACTGCTTTTAAAAACAACGTGGGCCAGGTGCAGTGGCTGACGCCTGTAATAACAGCACTTTGGGAGGCCGAGGCAGGTGGATCACTTGAGGTCAGGAGTTCAAGACCAACTTGGCCAACATGGTGAAACCTCGTCTCTACTAAAAAATACAAAAATTAGCCAGGTGTGATGGTGGGCACCTGTAATCCCAGCTACTCAGGAGGCTGAGGCAGGAGAATTGCTTGAACCTGGGAGGCAGAGGGTGCAGTGAGCCAAGATTGTGCCATTGCACTCCAGCCTGGGCAATAAGAGCAAAACTCCGTCTCAAAAAAAATAAAAACAAAAAAATTTGGGCCAGGTACAGTGGCTCACGCCTGTAATCCCAGCACTTTGGGAGGTCAAGGCGGACAGATCACAAGGTCAGGAGTTCGAGACCAGCCTGACCAACATGGTGAAACCCTGTTTCTACTAAAAATACAAAAAAATTAGACAGGTGTGGTGGCACATGCTTGTAATCCCAGTTATTCGGGAGGCTGAGGCAGGAGAATTGCTTGAACCTGGGAGGCAGAGGTTGCAGTGAGCCAAGATGGCACCACTGCACTCCAGCCTGGGCGACAGAGCGAGACTCTGTCTCAAAAAAATAAATAAATAAAAATAAATAAATAAAAACAATGTGGTTGAAACTCAAGGACTGAGTCTTATAAGCTCTGGAGTTGCCAGTGCACATACCTTTTGTCCATTGCTTATAAAGGTTGCCAGATTTTAGCCGGGTGCAGTGGCTCACAGCTGTAATCCCAGCACTCATCCACAGGCTGAGGCATGCGGATCACAAGGTCAGGAGTTCGAGACTAGCCTGGCCAACATAGCGAAACCCCATCTGTACTAAAAATACAAAAATTAGCCAGGCATGGCAGCGCGTGCCTATAATCCCAGTTACTCGGGAGGCTGAGGGAGAATCGCTTAAACCCGGGAGGCGGAGGTTGCAGTGAGCCAAGATTGCGCAATTGCACTCCAGCCTGGGCAACAAGAGCGAAACTCTATCTCACAGACACACACACAAAATTACAAAAGCAGAAGCTGCAGGGCCTCTTGAGGCCCAGGCTGAGAACTCCCACAGTGCTACTGGTCAAAGCAAGTCACATGATCAGCCCAGAGTCAAAGTGTAGGGAAATAGACTCTGCCTCTTGATAGGAAGAGCTTCAAAATATTTTTGCAACCTACCACAGAAAGCCAGGTAGTTTTAAAGACCACTAAGAATAAAAATAGATCTGGAAGTTTGGCGCAAGGCTGAGTTGAGTCTTTAGGTACCAAAATGATCTAAGTCATTGGTACTGTAGCATGGGATCTAGCAGATAACAGGGTTTGTGAAAAGCTGTGTAATATGACGGAATGTGTTTGGGCTTTGGAATCAAGCTGGATTCAAATGTTCGAACTGCCACTTTCTAAGGGACCCTGGCCAGTTAATTTAAGTTCCCTCATCACAGCGTTCTCATCTACTTCACAGGGTTTAGTTAGAGTGTGTAAAGTAGGCCAGGTGTGGTCGCCCATGCCTGTAATCCCAACACTTTGGGAGGCTGAGGTGGGTGGATCACTTGAGGTTAGGAGTTCGAAACCAGCCTGGTCAACGTGGTGAAACCCTGTTAACCAGGCATAGTGGTGTGCGCCTGTAATCCCAGCTACTCAGGAATCTTAAGACACGAGAATCGCTTGAACTTGGGTAGTGGAGGTTGCAGTGAGCTGAGATCGTGCCACTACACTCCAGTCTAGGAGACAAAGCAAGGCTCCATCTCAAAAAAAAAAAAGTGTAAAGTACTTGGTTGGGTGCCCTGCACAAAGTGGGTCTTTAGAAAATGTTTATGTCAGCCAGGCACAGTGGCTGACGCCTGTAATCCCAGCAGTCTGGGAGGCCAAGGTGGGTGGATCACCTGAGGTCAGGAGTTGAAGACCAGCCTGGCCCACATGGCGAAACCCCATCTACACTAAAAATACAGAGAAAAATTAGCTGGATGTGGTGGTGGACACCTGTCATCCCAGCTACTTGGGAGGCTGAGGCAGAAGAACTGCTTGAACCTGGGAGGCAGAGGTTGCAGTGGGCCGAGATGGTTGAACCCGGGAGACAGAGGTTGCAGTGAGGTACTGCACTCCAGCTTGGGTGACAGAGCAAGACTCTGTCTTAAAAAAAGAAAAAAAAGAAAATGTTTATGTCTTACTTCCCTCATCATCTATTCCCTGGCCAGGGTAGAAAATGTTTTATAGGCCGGGTGTGGTGGCTCAAGCCTGTAATCCCAGCATTCTGGGAGGCCGACGTGGGCAGATCCCCTCAGGTCAGGAGTTGAAGACCAGCCTGGCCAACATGGTGAAACCCCGTCTCTACTAAAACTACAAAAACTTAGCTGGACGTGGTGGCGGGTGCCTGTAATCCCAGCAACTTGGGAGACTGAGGCAGGAGAATCGCTTGAACCCAGGAGGCGGAGGTTGCAGTGAGCTGAGATCGCACCATTGCACTCCAGGCTGGGCGACAGAGCAAAACTCCATCTCAAAAAAAAAAAAGAAAATGTTTTATAATTCAAAAGAATGAGTACAAGCAAATCTACCTCTTGGGATAGAGAAACATGTAGTTTCCTTGTGGGAGTATATAGATGTTACCATGTCTGCTATAGATGAGAGTTTCAGTATCTTCAGTATGAACATCCCTGAGGCGCAGGGTGCACTTGCCATCCTGTCCCAGTTACTATTTGTGTAAAGGTTGAAGGTTTAGGGAGAGTCATGAATTATGTCAGGTCACCAGGGAACTGTCAATGATTTACTGGTGAGATACGAGATATGATTTAGACATTAGAGAGAACCTAACTCCCAGCGTATGGTCAAAGGAGACATAATGGTTTATTGTTGATGTTAAACCATTGTTTTTTCCCCTCTACCTGAAAACTAACAAAGTACTTTTCTGTTAAGGTGCACTAATTCAAAATTCAGGATGGATGGGATGGAAACTAGGCTTAAGTTTGTTTAAGATAATTGTGAGCAAACGCTTTACTATGTAAGTCAAAGGTAAATAGAATGAGGCTAGGCATGGTGGCTCTGGCCTCTTATCCCAGCACCTTGGGAGGCCGAGGCGGGTGGATCACTTGAGGTCAGGAGTTTGAGACCAGCCTGGCCAACATGGCGAAACCTTGTTTCTACTAAAAATACAAACAATTAGCCGGGCATCATGGCATGCACCTGTAATTCCAGCTACTTGGGAGGCTGAGGCAGGAGAATCGCTTGAACTCGGGAGGTGGAGGTTGCAGTGAGTCAAGATCATGCCACTGCACTCCAGCCTGGGCAACAGAGTGAGACTCTGTCTCAGTTTTTTTAAAAAAAGGATAAATAGGCTGGGCACGGTAGCTCACGCCTATAATCCCAGCACTTCGGGAGTCCGAGGTGGGCTGATCACGAGGTCAGGAGTTCAAGACCAGCCTTGCCAATATGGTGACACCCCCTCTCTACTAAAATACAAAAATTAGCCAGGTATGGTGGTGCGTGCCTGTAGTCCCAGCTACTCAGGAGGCTGAGGCAGAAGAATCACTTGAACCTGGGTTGTGGAGGTTGCAGTAATCCGAGATCGCACCACTGCACTCCAGCCAGGGCGACAGAGTGAGACTCTGGCTCAAAAAAAAAAAAAAAAAAAGTTAATAGAATGAGATGGGAAATGTTTGGCCTGCCTACATGAAGATAACCTGTCCATCTTCACTGGTGGATTGAGTATGTACTCTTTTGGATAGTTCCTGCCCGCAAGAGGAGAAAGTTGCTAAGCCAGATAAATTCTTTCAGATTTTATTAATCAGTTATGTCTACCACCTCCTGGAAGGTAAATAAAATAAGAGAGGCCAGGAATGCCAGGTGCAGTGGCTTATTCCTATAATCCCAGCACTTTGGAAGGCTAAGGCAGGAGGATTGCTTGAGCCCAAGAGTTTGAGACCATCCTGGACCACATAGTGAGACCCCCCATTTCTACCAAAAAAAAACCAAAACTAAATAATAACAATGAATAATAATAATAAAAGACCAGAAATATGTTTAGAGAGAAGCCCTCTTCATGGAAACCAGAAAGCTGGAGAAAAGGCAGTTTTCTCTAACAATTTATACCTATATGATTGATAAAGTAGTTAGAAACTTTACCATTCATTCCAAAAAATCTCCAGTAATATAGCCTAATAGGTATTATTTTATGTACATTAATAATATCTTGTTTTCTTAAATCCTTTTACCATTTTCTGAATTGATTTCCAGTACTACAACAAAAACAAGGAGAAAGGCCAGGCACGGTGGCTCACGCCTGTAATCCCAGCACTTTGGGAAGCCAAGGCAGGCGGATCACAAGGTTAGGAGAGTGAGACCATCCTAGCTAACACGGTGAAACCCTGTCTCTACTAAAAATATTTTTTAAAAAAACTAGCCGGGCGTGTTGGCAGGTGCCTGTAGTCCCAGCTACTTGAGAGGTTGAGGCAGGAGAATGTCGTGAACCCGGGAGGCAGAGCTTGCAGTGAGCCGAGATCGCGCCACTGCACTCCAGTCTGGGCAACAGAGCAAGACTCCATCTCAAAAAAAAAAAAAAACAAGGAGAAAAACAGTAACTCCAACAAAATCTGAATCATCTTTTGACTTTTTAAAATTGAGAGCCATTATTACTAGGGGGGAAGAAAAAGAAAAAAATTTAAAATTTAAAAAAATAAAACCGAGAGCCTTCATTTACCATTGTATTCCACCCCCAACTAATATTAACAAGAATGACCCATCCAGAATTATACAGTTGTAAGTTCATTGAAATCTAGGTCAGTCATAAGTATTTTGGGGCTGCAAAGTACAATATCAGAACCTATTCCCAAAGAGCATACAGTCTAGTTGAAGTGGCAAAGACTGTGCAGCAGCAGCAGGGAAATGTACATCAGAAAGGAGCAAGATTGGCTGTAAGTGACAAAAAACTCAAAATAGTAGTGACGGTATAAACTTATTTCTCTCATGTAAAAATCTAAGAAGGTAGATCACGGCTTGTATGGCACATGTCAGTGTCAGGAACCTAAGCTGCTTTTATTCTTAGGTTGGTGCAAAAGTAATTGTGGTTTTTGCCATTAAAAGTAATGGCAAATTTAATGCCATTAAAAGTAATGGCAAAAATAAAAGTAATTTGCCATTATGTTTAATGACAAAAACCCCAATTACTTTTGCACCAACCTAACATGTTGCTTCATAACATGGATGCTTCAGCAGTAGCCATCACATCTGCATTCTAACACCCAAGAAGGAGAAAAAAAGCAGGAATAGGAAAGGTACCATCTTCCTTTAAAGATGCAGCCCAGCAATTGTGCACACCACTTTTGCTTGTATCACATTGGCCCGCTCTTGGCTGCAAGGGAAGCTTGAAAATTAAATCTTGGCCATGCATGATGGCTCACGCCTATAATCCCAGCACTTTGGGAGGCTAAGGCAGGCGGATCACTTGAGGACAAGAGTTCGAAACCAGCCTGGCCAACATGGTGAAACCCCATCTCTACTAAAAATACAAAAACTTTAGCCTGGTGGCGGGTGCCTGTAATCCCAGCTACTTGGGAGGCTGAGGCAGGAGAATCGCTTGAACCCAGGAGGCGGAGGTTGCAGTGAGTTGAGATTGCTCCATTGCACTCCAGCCTGGATGACAAGAGCGAGACTCCATCTCAAAAAAAAAAGAAAATCATATCTTTATTTTGGACAGCCATGTCCCAATTAAAATTGGGAGTTCTGTTGCTGAGGAAGAAGGGAAGGATGGATATTGGGAGATGACTAGCAGCTCGTGCCGCTGAGTAGTCAAGAGTTGGCAGTACTGGGATTCAGAAATATCAGAAGAGCCAAAAGGGTCATTTTATGGAGGGAAGGAGTAGATCAGCGGTGTCACATACAACTTAAAGGAGAAGGAGGATGAATAAAGCAAAACATGAGAATCTCAGTAGAGCGATGAGGAAGGAAGCCAAACTGCTGGATAGATGACCTCAGTAGACAGAGCAGGAATGGATCACCCATTCGATGAGTTTGACAGAGAAAGGAGAGAAACAGGACAGTTGTTAGAAGAGGGCAAAAGGATCACTCGAGGGATTTTTGCAAGATTGTAAACTTGTGTTTTAAGACATTTCTTACTGTCTTGTTACTTTATTTCCTACTTAGAGAAAAAACTAATTTTTTGGTATGGTTTGACAGAATTAGGATCTCTTATTCTTCATTGCAGAGCCCACCTACTGGTAGCAAGGATGTCACCGTTCATCATTTATATTCTTGAGAGACTCAGTGTAGGAGATTATTTAAAAGTTGTTAAAATTTGCTTCTAAATGTGGTACTGGCTGGGCACAGTGGCTCACGCCTGTAATCCCAGCACTTTGGGAGGCCAAGGCCGGCGGATCGCTTGACGTCAGGAGTTCGAGACCAGCCTGACCAACATGGTGAAACCCCATCCCTACTAAAAAATACAAAAATTAGCCAGGTATGGTGGCCCCCACCTATAATCCCAGCTACTCGAGGGGCTCACTGCAACCCAGGAGGCAGAGGTTGCAGTGAGCCGAGATTGTGCCACTGCACTACAGCCTGGGTGACAGAGCGAGACTTAGTCTCAAAAAAAATAAAAATAAATTTTAAAAAAAAATGTGATCCTGAGAATATTTTATGTAGAGGAAGTAGCAAGTAAATGTCATTTGAAGTTATCATAGCTCTAGATGCAATTTAGCTTTTCCTGCAGCATTAGAGGTGCCTTGGTGGGGGACAGGGGTGGAGAGTCTAGCTACAGACTTCCTGAGGGAGGAGAGATGAGAGAGGCTGAACTAAGGAAAACGAGACAGCAAAACAAAAGGGTTAGTTCTGACCACGCTTTCCCTCATCTAAAAGCAATGTCTTAGATAAGAAATCATTTTAAATTAACACCAGAATATTTTTTTCTCAGTAACTCATTTTGTTGTTGTTAAAATAATTTGGTTTTTAAACTTTTGGGAATAAGGCAGTTAACTGATCATTTGTGAGACTAGCCAGATTGAGTAATGCATGTTAGAAAGCACTGAATGAAGAGGTTAGCTTCTTTCTTGGTATTCCAGAAAAAGTTATGGTGGAGACTGACAAGTGGTCCCATTCTCTAGGGCACTAATTGTTAGCTGTTCCACTGCAACATGGCACCTCAATTAAACCTTCAGGGACAAAGCTCTTTTTATCAGAGTTGGCATGCCCTCAAAGGGTACTCTGTGTTCAGAGCACCCGTCTTCTTTGGAAAAAGAGACCTGAGTGTTACAGCTTAGGTAGTGCTGGGCAGTGAAGTGAGGTGGTTAAGTGGATTCTTGAGTCGGATCTGCCTGGGTTCAGATCCTAACTCTGTCATACACTACCTGCCTACCCACAGACAAATTATGTCATTGCTCAGCACCTGTTTTCTCATCTGTAACAATACCTAGACCTCACAGGGTTGTGTGGATTGCGTGTAATGTGTATAAAGAATGTTGACTAGTACAGGGCCTATGGCAAACATTTTGTTAAGTGTTAGCTATGAAACCTTAAGAAGTGAATTAGGACCATTGTATGGCTTAGGAAAGAGCCCCACTGTTGTAATCTGGTCAGATTAAAATGAGATACTGCCTACGCCTTACTGTTATTAATACGAAGAAGATGCCACTCCAAGAGAGCCCAGAGACAACAGTGTGCCTGGCAAGCCAAAGGGTAGTACAGAGAGAAGGAAGGAAATGTCTTGCTAAGGTAGAGTGGCCGCTGGAATCGACATTGTCCTGTAATCCATGTCTCTGAGTTTGTTTTGGGTAATATAGTTTCCAGCAGTGACTTGTGACACTGGAGTAACAACTGTTACTTACAAGCACTATAAATTTAGAGCACTTTGCTTATTAAATAGGGCCAGTTCAACTGGGTGTTTTATTGACAAAATCTGCAAAAATACCAAAGAGACACAGCTAGAAATCAAATGAGTGAAATGAAATATGAGAACATCAGAAAGCAGCTGAGTAAATTTTAGGATCACAGCTAAAGCAGAGAAGGGAAACGACTGCAATAAAATAGAATAAGATCACTGGAAGAATTAGCCATGCTGGTTGTATCATTCGTTTCCAGCTTCCTCACGTTAAAGACACCTTTGACTCTTTTCCCTTGTGCCCACTGGTTTTGAAATATACCTAAAAAATAAACTGCATTAATTAAATATTAACTTGCTATTCTTTTTTTAAAAAAATTCATAGGGCCGCTTAGAACTTATGATCAGCAAGAAATAACCAGAATTGCCACTTTGGTTGGTTACAATTAAATTCAGCTTTGCTGAGTGCCTGCCACATGATAGGCCCCATGCCAGGCATTATATATAGGTTATCCTACTTAGTATATATCCAGTTCAAGATACATATTATAAACCCCATTTTACCAAACAAAAAGCAGAAATTACTAACAAAAGTTAGTAATTTGATCAAAATTAGCTGGTGTGTGACAGGGTTAAGATTGAAATGTAGGGCCGGGTGCGGTGGCTCACGCCTATAATCCCAGCACTTTGGGAGGCTGAGGCAGGTGGATCACCTGAGGTCAGGAGTTCGAGACCAGCCTGGCCGACATGGTGAAACCCCGTCACTACTAAAAATACGAAAATTAGCCGAGTGTGGTGGTGGACGCCTGTAATCCCAGCTAGTTGGGAGGCTAAGGCAAAAGAACCGTTTGAACCTGGGAGACAGGTTGCAGTGAGCTGAGATTGCACCATTGCATTCCAGCCTGGGCAACAAGAGCAAAACTCCGTCTTAAAAAAGAAAAGATTGGAATGTACAGGCTTATTACAGATAAACATATGATTTCTGTGAGGCTTTTTGAAATGTTGATAGTTCCTGAAAACCCTTCTTTACTACTATTTTATACCCTTGGATGCCTTAGGCTCTTAGCTTGGGAAAATCTAGCTCTTCCAATCCCATGATTGTTGCTTAATATGATAATGCATACCTGTGATATCATTGGGACTCAGTTTTATCAGGGAAATTCAAGACATGACAGGCAAATAAATCATGTTTCCTACTCAGATAATAGATTTTATAGGGAAAGAGTTGAAACGGGAGATAATGAGGTTCCTGAATTATGAATTGACTTTCAGTGTTCTCCATTACCATATGATAATCATGAGTTAGGCATGTAATAGTGAATAATATACTCACATTAATTACTGCGTTTGATTTCTGAAGCATCTTAGAAAAAGGTACGTGAATTATGTTCATTTGTTTTACCACCTTTATGACCTTAGTAAGCTTGGAAATGTTTAGATAGCATCATTTCTTGAAAAGAATGTGTATTCTCTTGTTGGATGTGGTGTTCTGTACATTTAAATTTGGTTACTATTGATAATGTTTTTCAGACTATAGCTCACTTTTATCTTTTATCGATAGAAGCATTTTAAAATATAGTTGTAGATTTTGTGTTTCTCCATTTAATTCTATTAATTTTGCTTCATGTATACGGAAGCTCTGTTAGACACATACACATTTAAGATTGTTAGTCTTCCTATGAATTAACTTTTTATCATCATGAAATGTTCTTCTTGACCTCTTGTCATGAAGTTTGCTTTACCTGATATTATCATAGCCACTTCGTTCTTTTTTTGCTGAGTGTTTGTGTGATATATCTTTATTTACACTTTAACTTTCAGAGTATCTATGTCATTGTATTTAAAGTGTATTGTAGATAGCATGTAGTTAGATCTTGCTCTTTTTTTTTTTTTTTTTTTTTTGAGACAGAGTCTCACTGTTGTCGACCTGGGCTGGAGTACAATGGCATGATCTCGGCTCACTGCAACCTCCTTCTCCCAGGTTCCAGCAGTTCTCCTGCCTCAGCCTCCCAAGTAGCTGAGATTACAGGCACCCACCACCACACCAGGCTAATTTTTGTACTTTTAGTAGAGACGGGGTTTCACCATGTTGGCCAGGCTGGTTTCAAACTCCTGACCTCAGGTGATCCACCTGCCTCGGCCTCCCAAAGTGCTGGGATTACAGGCATGAGCCACTGTGCCCAACCAGATCTTGCTTTTTTTTAAATCCTGTCTGACAATCTCCATCTTTTAATTGAGGTTCTTATTCATTTACATTTAATGTAATTGTTAATGTGGTGGATTTTTTTGTTTTGTTTTTGAGACAGTCTTGCTCTGTCGCCCAGGCTGGAGTGCAGTGGCATGATCTCGACTCACTGCAAGCTCCGCCTCCTGGGTTCAAGCGATTCTCCTGCCTCAACCTCCTGAGTACCTGGGATTACAGGCACCTGCCACCACGCCTGGCTAATTTTTGTATTTTTAGTAGAGATGGGGTTTCACCATGTTGGCCAGGCTGGTTTCAAACTCCTGACCTCAAGTGATTTGCCTGCCCCGGCCTCCCGAAGTGCTGTAATTACAGGGGTGAGTCACCGTGCCCACAATTACATGTATGTTGTTTTTTTTTTATATTGTTTCACAAATCACTGAGGTTCTACTTTTTTTGGACCTTTTTCCTCTTATCCTATGTTCGAGCTGCAATTTGCAAATCCAGTGAATTTTTTATTTCAGATTTTATATTTTTTTCTAGAATTTCCATTTTAATAAATTTTATTATGCTGAGATTTTCTTTTTTTTTTTTAAATTCTTTACAAGCTCCCCCACCCCACCACCCTTAATGTCCTTGAGTTATAGTAGCTACTGTAAAACTTCATCTGCTAGTTCTAACATCTGGACAATCTCGGGACCAGTTAGGTTATCTCTTGAGTGTGGGTCATGTTTTCCTGTTTCTTCATGGTCTAGCAATTTGGGGTTGTGTTCTGGACAGTTTGAGTGATCCATTGTAGAGACTCTGGATTCTGTTATACTTTTGCAAAGAGTGTTGCTTTTTGTTTGCTTTATTAGATAGTTAACTTGGCTGCACTCAAACTTCAAACTCTCTCTCCTCTGTTGTAAATTGCAGTTGAAATCTTTGTCCAGTTTTTTAGCCTTAATTGGGTTGCTTGTAGTGTGTTTCACATATGTATAGATGAGGGATCAACTAGAGATTTGGGCCCAGCTTTTAGTCAGAATTTACTGCTCTTTCTCTGTGTATCCATTCTAAGATTTTTTTCTGCTTGTTTTTCAACTTCTATTGTTGCCCCAAACTGTTTTAATAGTTCTTCAAGCCTGTGAGACTGAGCATTTCCCTTTTTTTTTTTTTTTTTTTTTTTTTGAGACCAGATTTCACCCTTGTTGCCCAGTCTGGAGTGCAATGGTGTGATCTTGGCTCACTGCAAACTCCGCCTCCCGGATTCAAGCAATTCTCCTGCTTCAGCCTCCCAAGTAGCTGGGATTACAGGTGCCTGCCACCACGCATGGCTAATTTTTGTATTTTTAGTAGAGACAGTGTTTCACTACGTTGGCCAGGCTGGTCTCGAACTCCTGACCTCAGGTGATCCACCCACCTTGGCTTCCCAAAGGGCTGAGATTACAGGCATGAGCACTGTGCCCAGCCAAGAGACTGCGCATTTCTATCCAACTTTTATTTATCATTGAGTAATACCCAACTACTGCCTTCCCTCAGGTAAAAAAAGGAGAAGCTGTAAAAATTGAAAACTCACCCAGTATGATTTTCATTTTCCTAGTGTCAACTCCCATTCAGTTTCTGCATGCTTTTTGTTGTCATTGTTGTTCTCTACTGCCTTTATATTTTTTCAAGAATGTATAGTTATTATTCCATGGAAAGTTTGGCCCTAAAGGATCTACCTGGACATTACTAGAGGCAGAACTTCCTTATCTTTTCTTTACCTGGAATTCAGAGCCTTATGTTTATTTTTGTCCTAACCTGTTTTTCCATTCTTATTTTCTATTGTTACTGTCCGTGTAACCACTTCTCAACTGATAATTGATTTTTCGTCCCTTAGAACATTTAATACATACTCACCTTATATCTTTGCTTGGATTACTCCCTTTACAATGTATCTCACACTTGCCTTTTGCTGGAATCTTTACTGTTTTTCAAGTCCTAACATAAGATCTGTCTACCTTTTATGAAGCCTTTCTTAATCAATTTTGCCCATCCTGACCTCATAGGGTTTTATTGTCTATACCACTCCTTGGACATTGAATCCTATACTGTCTTGTTTTTTGTTGTAGTCACTCAACTGAAAATATGGTGCAAATCTTTTCAATCTAACTAGATTGTACCCTCCTTGAGGCCAGGAACCTTATGTTGATACTTTATTTCTCTACTACAGGCTCTAACTCAATCTTTAGTTCAGTAAATATTATTGAATGAATAAATGAGTTATTCCAATATTAATATTCATGTAAAGTGCTTAGAACATGATCTGGCACATAGTAAACACTAGTAAACAGTATCTGTTGTTATTATTATTACCTGAAATCAATCATATGACTAGCTGATCTCTGAATGTTCCTCTCATTCTACCCTTTGCTGATTATCATTTCTATTGTTAGACTTGAAGATTTGGGGAATCTTAGAACTGAAATATTTCAGATTGCCTGATAAAATTACAGATTTGGAAACTAGGCCTAGACAGGTACTCACAACCCATGGAAGTTTCACTGCTTTTCTTAGGTGCCCAAGCTCAGAGTCTGCTACTTTTTTTGTTGTTTTTGTTTTTTGAGACAGGCTCTCCATCACCCAGGCCGGAGTGCATTGGTGTGATCACAGCACTGCAACCTTGACTTCCAGGGTTCAAGCCTGAGCAGATTCAAGGTTCTCTGGTCCATCTCACTGTGACAGTGGTTCTCATCCTAGGGGCCGTTTTTCCCCCAGGGAACATTTGGCAATGTCTGGAGACATTTTTGGTTGTTATGCCTGGGGCATGTGCTACTGGCATCTAGTTGGTAGAGGCCAGAGATGCTGCTGAGTATCCTATAATGCACAGGACAGCACTGCTACAAAGAATTATTTGGGCTGAAATGTCCATAGTACTAAAGATTGAGAAACTCTGTGCTATAGGTAGTCTCTTCCTTTTATTTAACCTTCATTAAAGGACACCCACCTGTTTCCCTGGTTAATGGGTTATCTTGTCACAGAAAGTTCTTCTTACCAGATCTGTTCTTTATTTGATATTTCTTCTCTTTATGTTTTCCTTGTTTTGAGGGAAAAAAATTATATAGTTCAAATATGTAGGAAAAATATGCTTTGCAGAACAATTTCCCTCATATACACGCCCTTTAGAATTGTTTGAGGTAACTGTAAAAATTAATTGGAGAGAACTGTTACAGAAGTTTAACAGAGGCGGCTGGGTGTGGTGGCTCACGCCTGTAATCCCAGCACTTTAGGAGGCCAAGGCAGGTGGATCACGAGGTCAGGAAATCGAGACCGTCCTGGCTAACACGGTGAAACCCTGTCGCTACTAAAAAAAATACAAAAAATTAGCCTGGCGTGGTGGTAGGCACCTGTAGTCCCAGCTACTCGGGAGGCTGAGGCAGGAGAATGGCTTGAACCCAGGAGGCGGAGCTTGCAGTGAGCCGAGATTGCGCCACTGCACTCCAGCAGGGGCAACAGAGCAAGACTCTGTCTCAAAAAAAAATAAAAACAGGCTGGGCACAGTGGCTCATACCTGTAATCCCAGAACTTCAGGAGGCCAAGACGAGAGGATTGTTTTGAGCTCACAAGCTCAAGACCAGCCTGGGCAACATAGGGAGACCCCGTCTCTACAAAAAGTTTAAAAATTAGCCAGGCATGGTGGCATGCCCCTGTAGTCCCAGCTACTCGGGAGGCTGAGAATCACATGAGCCCAGGAGGTTGAGGCTGCAGTGAGCCGTGATTGTGTCACTGCACTCCAGCCTGGGCAACAGTGAGACCTTATCTCTAAAGAAAAAAAGAAGAAGAGGTTAACAGATTTTTCAATGCCTTAGGAATAGTAGTTTCACAGCCAGCCCTTTTAGTTCAGTGTTCCCTGATGACTGTCAGAGTAGCAAAGGGGTTAAATGAAAAGAGCTGGTTGCTCATCCCCAGCTGGAGTGGGAGAAAGGGCAGGATGGCAGCCTTCTTTCTGCCGTCCTCTGTAACTGCTTTGCTTCCTCATTCTTCCTTATCTCTCTGCCCCACGTCCAAGGCTTTAAGTATACAATGATGACTGCTACTGATTGAACACTGTTAGGATCAAAGCCTTATGGAGTGGTGAGTACAATTCGTCCTCTAGCAAGAGCTACCAGAACTATGATCCACTTTCCAAAGTTGCCTGAAGGAAAGTGCAAATATCCCACTCTGCAGTTTAGAAGAAAATCCCAGATGTACAGGCTGCTTTTTCATGAGTTTGCAGATCATCTTTTTCTTTCCCGTCACTAGTGTTCTTGCCTTCTCTCACTGGCAGTCACATGATGACATCTTGCTCCAGAAGCCATTTTAATCCTTATTTAATGTTTGTACTCTAAAGTGGTTCTTTTCTGAATGACTGGGAGCTTCAAGTTTCAAGATCATAATTAACTTTAGCACCGGTTCCTGTGTGACTTAAGTGCTTATGCAAGTAAATACAAATGGCCAACTGAAATCTTATTTATATCAAGATATCTTGCCATTGTTTTTAGCAAGAAAAGATAAAGGAGTCACTGAGACTACTCTGACTTTTCTGTATGTATTTACAGTTTATTTAAGATTTCTCTGGCCAGGCACAGTGGCTCATGCCTGTAATCCCAGCATTTGGGAGGCCAAGGCAGGAGGATCACTTGAGCCCAGGAGTTAGAGACCAACCTGGGCAACATGGTGAGATCCTGTTTTTACAAATAACTTATAAAAATTAGCCAGGCTGGCCGGGCACGGTGGCTCACGCCTGTAATCCCAACACTTTGAGAGGCCGAGGCAGACAGACCACTTGAGATTAGGAGTTTTAGAACGATCTGACTAACATGGGGAAACCCCATCTCTACTAAAAGTACAAAAATTAGCCGGGCGTGGTGGCACGTGCCTGTTATCCCAGCTACTCAGGAGGCTGAGGCAGGAGAATCACTTGAATCTGGGAGATGGAGGTTGCATTGAGCCGAGATCATGTCACTGCACTCCAGTGTGGGTGATAGAGCGAGACTCTGTCTCAAAAAAAAAAGAATAAAAATTAGCTGAGCCGTGTTGGTGTGCACCTGTGGTCCCAGCTACTCAGCAGGCTGAGGCAGGAGAATTGCCTGAGCATGAGAGGCTGAGGCTGCAGTGAACTGTGACCGCGCCACCGCACTCCAGCCTGAGTTGCAGAGTGAGACCATGGTCTCAAAAAACAAAAAGATTTATCTTAGGTGAGTTAATAAAATGTAATATTTCTAGCTTTTTCTCAAATAGGATTTCTGAGGTTTCTAAACATTTCTCTTCTTTCAACTGGGCCTAATAAAATTTTCTATATGGCTTTTCAGTTGCAAGAAAATTCCTTTGCAAGAACATAGCCTGCATACCACATTAAATGAAGCTGGTGTGCCTTGAGATCTAAACTCCCTGAGAAGAGACTCAGAGTTGTGTATGTTCTATACAGCAGTAGGTTCTTTGTTGCTTAGAACCTGTACAGTGCTCAGCAGCACCCTGCAAGAAGAGATTTGGAATCTTAAATGGCCTTGGTTGGTTGAATAGGTAATCAGACAAAAACTAAATGAATTTTAATTGTTATGAATATAGACTCACTAAATCAGTGAGAACCTGTGTAGACACAAATCAAGATTTTGTCTAAGGATGGTAAAAATACATATCTGGGCCTGTGGCTGCCTGAAAGTTAAATGAGAGTTACATATTTTAAATACTGAATAACTTTTGAAACCAGCACGACACTACAACTACCATTATTACTAATAGCTAACTTTCACCGAGTACTTACTTGAGCCAACATTGATCTAAACCCTTTACATTGATCTGAGCCCATTTACCCAGCAGATGCAAACAGGATCAGAGAAAGCACAAGGTCATCTTTCCTCCCTAGGTCAACTGAACACTAAGCAGTAGCATAATGGGGCCCATCCCACCAGCTCAGGTGCCAGGCTCTTTGTGGCTCACCTGTGATGTTTACACCTCATGTAAAATTCTGGTGTCCATGTTTGCTGAGCCTTAAGAGAACAAGAGCTGTTTCTTAGAATATAAATAGATACGTATGAATGTTACAAATGCAATGGGTAGAGGATATATATTTTTTCTTTGTTTAAAGCAAAAACAAGGCCAGACGCAGTGGCTCACGCCTGTAATCCCAGCACTTTGGGAGGCCGAGGTGGGCGTATCACCTGAGGTCAGGAGTTCAAGACCAGCCTGGTCAACATGGTGAAACTCTGTGTCTACTAAAAATACAAAAAAAAATTAGCCGCGCATGGTGGTGGGTGCTTGTAATCCCAGCTACTAAGGAGGCTGAGGCAGGAGAATCGCTTGAACCCTGGGAGGCGGAGGTTGCAGTGAGCCGAGATCGCACCATTGCACTCCAGCCTGGGTGACAAGAGCGAGACTCCATCTCAAAAAAAAAAAAAAAAAAAAAAAGCAAAAACATTTAAATTTGACTTGTATTTAGAATTGTTTTAAAAACACTTGTTGGAGGCCCACGTATGTGCGTAGGAAGAAGTTGGAAATAGTCTACTCTTGGTAGGAAAAATTAACATCACTTCAGTATACAGTTTTCTAATTTGAACCCACATGTGGAATTTAGAGAACTGGAATTTTATTTTAGTGCATTGCATTTAGATGAAATTGCCAAACATTACAACTACAAGACAGATTTTTAAAATCTTTTAGTGCTCTAAATCAGTGTCAGTAAGATGACTTTAATATTATATCATGAGCAAGAATCATGTGTAAAAATAACAAAAATTGCTTTCCTGGTTTTTAGATGTGTGGTTTTTAACAACAGAGGAGTGGCGGGGGAGAATCTCTTGGTAAGTAAATTTAAATGACAACAGTCTTAACTTTTTAAAGAATCATTTCTAGTTTTATAACAAAAAGCATATTCTTTTTATTTAAAATAACTCTGTTTATGTAAGCAATACAAATTTATTATACAAAAATACAGATATGGAAAAAAAGGAAATTTACAAGACCGATAATTGTATAACCAAGGAAATTCCCTTAGTCTGTGTTCATTCAGATTTCATATATAAATAAAATATATATAATATATTTCTATTTTTATAAAAATTAAGATTCTATTTTGTAACTAAACTTTTGTACTTACTACATTTTAACATCGATAGTTATTCACCTACATCATTTTTTTTCTACCCTCTCAACCCAGCTTTTCCTGACTCTGGGAAGAACTGGGAAGAGAAGGCCTCATTTTTAATGCAAAACACATTTTCCTTAAAAATTAACCAGTGCAAAACAAATTAACTAATACAGTGATTTTTTTTCCACTTATGAAATTTACATTTGTCATGAAACAATTTTGTATGTCACATGCCTGTTTGCCAGCTGAAGTTTACATGGTGGGAATGTTATTGAAACCTTTTAAAATTTATATCAGGTCTTTTTTTCCCCCTCTAATTCTGAGTTTTTGCTAGGATAGATCTTTCACCTCTTAGAAAATCACTCTATCTGATCTTTAAATCCGTGAGTTGGAATGAGAAATATTCCACTTGCTAAAATTTTCTTCAGCTTTTTAACTTTTTACAATCTCAACAGGTCAAAGGCAATTCTACTAGAATTGAAAGAAACTTTTTTTGGGTCATTGATAGAGAATGACATTAAGACTATAAATAAGTCATGCTGGAAATAAAAATTTACAATCAGGTCACAAATGTCAACACTTTATAAGAACTTGGGAAGTAAAAACCTCTTGTACTTGGCTTTACAGTGACTTAGGCACTGGAGGAAATGAAGATCAACACGATTTCGAAAGCAAAAGTTGCAGAGTGTTATGGTCTTACTCAAGTGCCTTGTAATAAATAGCTTGACGTGAAGGTTCACGTTTTCTCATTCAATCCAGCCCTTTAGGAATCTCGTAGACAGATAGTACTCTAAAGGGAAAGATTTGAATGTGTCACTGTGGCCCTGGCCCAGGCAAATCATTTTGAGCAGCTCCTGTCTGCTGTGCATTCTTCCAGGACACAAAGCCGGGGGGGAAGACATGGTCTGAGGCTCTCAAGGAAATAATGTGCTGCAAAGCCAAGCTCGTTAGTTCTTTATGAAGTGAGGGACAAAGATCTGTTCATTCAGCAGAGCCGTGGTATGTGCCTGTTAAATCGGGCACTGTGCAAGCCAATAGGGTGAAGATATACATATTAATGAGACACAGCCCTAATCTTTAGGAGCTCAAACTTTAGTTGTGGGAGAGACAGTCAAGTCCATTAAAATATACACAGTGCTAAGTGTTTAACAGTAGCCTTTGTTAAGGCTACAGAGCACAAAGGGAAAGAGTAACAAAGCGCCTGGGGGAGGTGGGAGAGCTTAGAGAGGAGGTAGCGTTCTGAGTTGGATCTTGAAGGCTGTGGTATTGAACCTCCAAAGCGGGGAGAGAGGCTCTCTCAGCGCAAAGACCAAGGTATTATAAAGTGCGTACAGTAGCAGCTACTTACTATGGCTGGATGATGATGATAATTTTATCTAATATTTATGTAATCCGTAGAATGTATCAGTTATGTCTTTTCCTATTTAATCTTCAGAAATAGAAACAGCCCAACAATTTAGGTAAGTATAGCCCCCATTATCCCTCATTTCCTTTTGGAGACAGGGTCTTGCCCTGTTGCCCAGGCTGGAGTGCAGTGGCACAATCATGGCTCACTGTAGCCTCGACCGCCTGGGCTCAAGTGATCCTTCCACCTCAGCTTCCCAAGTAGGTGGAACCAGAGGTGTGTGCCACCATGCCTGGCTGATTTTTTATTTATTTATTTGTTTGTTTTGTAGAGATGGGGTCTCACTCTGTTGCCCAGGCTGCTCTTAAACTCCTGGGCTCAAGCGATGCTCCCAAAGTGCTGAGATTCCAGGTGTGAGCCACTGCACCTGGCCCCTGTCCTGCATTTTACAGATGAAGAAAACAAGACACTGGTAGGTTAGGAACTTACCCCTCCCAACAAATGACAGAGCCAGGATTCAGACCCAGGTGATCTATGTGCTTATGTTTTTGACCATTATGTTTTATGCTTTCTTACTTTTCTGGAAGTGACAGGAATTTGCTAGAAGGGTAGGGCCAGAATCACATGTAGACTCCTAAGAACCTGGTATTGAATCATTGATATTTTGAAGCAAGGGCATAATTTGATCATGGTCATGTTTTAGAAAGAGAACCATGGCAGTGGTGTGTAGGAAAGAAAGAGATGGAGGGGAAGGAGGCTGGAGGCTGGAGGCTGGGAGGCCAGTTAGAAAGCAGTTACTACAGACCTACATGGAGTTTGGAGTTTGAAAGCAGACGGAGGGGGAATAAAGACGAGAGAACAAAAATGAGTAGTATTCAAGGGGAAGAAAATAGTATTAGTCGTATTGTGGGAAGTAAAGACAAGGGAGTCTAGGGTAATGTTTCTAGCTTGGCTGGCTGATGGAAGATGCTGCTATTTGCTGAAATAGGAAATTTAGAAGAATTTGTGAGATTATGATGTAACAAAGATAACAGATTCCATTTTAGATGTTTAGGGTGCTTTTAGATAATCCCGGTGGAAATTTTCAGTAAGTTTTTGGATGTACTGGACTGGCCTTCAGGAGAAATAGGCAAGCAAGAGAGAGACAGACTGAGATTATCAGTGTGCAGGTAGAAGTTGAAGCTCAGGAGTAGCTGAGATTAGTTAGGGCACGTGTAGAGTGAAAGGGGAGATTGGTGGTTAGAAGCTTAAGAAACAACAGGCTGGGAGTGGTGGTTCACACCTGCAATCCCAACACTTTGGGAGGCCCAGGTGGGAGGATCACTTGAGCCCAGAAGTTGAAGACCAGCCTGGGCAACATATGGAAACCCTGTCTCAAATATATATGTGTGTGTGTATATATATATACACACACACACACACACACACACACACATTTGAAAAAGAAAAAAAGAAACAACAAATAGGAAGGAGGAGAGAAAAAGAGGAGAAGGATACTTTAAAAACATACTCTCCTTAGTATTTAAAGTTAAATTAGAAATTTGCTTTGAAATAGTACAGCAACCCAGTAATTTTCAGCCCATAAGCTTTAATTGTATTTTTGAAAAACCTCCAGGAAGAATTCACTGAGTTCTAAGTAACGTAAGAGTAGCTGGGTCTCTGGAGTCTTACACAGTGTGTCAGTTAAATTTTGATTAACTAGTACCCCCCAGCAAATATGTGTCTCAAAATAGCTAATAACACACTAAGCTGTTAGAGTTACAGTCTGGCAGGCAGCTTGGGTTTATGTAGCAGAAAGTACCTCGGACTCAGAAGTCCCAAGTTCAAGTTCGGTTGTCACCACTAACCAGCTATAAGTGATAAAGTACAAGTCAAATAACCTTTCTGTTTCTCTTTTTCTTAACTGAATATGATAATGTGTACTTGCCACCTCACAAGGATGTTTCAAGTTCACATGAAATAATAAACATGAGACTGGGCACGGTGACTCACACCTGTAATCCCAACACTTTGGGAGGCTGAGGCGGGTGCATCACTTGAGGCCAGGAGTTCGAGATCAACGTGGCCAATATGGTGAAACCCTGTCTCTACTAAAAATACAAAAAAATTAGCCAGGTGTAGTGACACATACCTTTAGTCCCAGCTACTTAGGAGGCTGAGGCAGGAGAATCATTTGAACCCAGGAGGTGGAGGTTGCAGTGAGCCAAGATGGCATCACTGCACTCCAGCCTGGACGACAGAGCAAGACTCCATCTCAAAAACAAACAAAAAGAAATAATAAACTTGAAATATCTTGTAAGATAAAGCTTTTTAGGGCCAGGCACAGTGGCTCATGCCTGTAATCCCAGCACTTTGGGAGGCTGAGGCAGGCACATAACTTGAGCCCAGGAGTTCAAGACCAGCCTGGCCAACATGGCGAAACCCCATCTCTATTAAATTAAAAAATAATAAAAAATAAAAATAGGCCAGGCGCGGTGGCTCAAGCCTGTAATTCCAGCACTTTGGGAGGCTGAGGTGCGTGGATCATGAGGTCAGGAGTTTGAGACCAGTCTGGCCAACTTGGCGAAATTCTGTCTCTACTAAAAATACAAAATAGCCGGGCATGGTGGCACATGCCTATAATCCCAGCTACTCGGGAGGCTGAGGCAGGAAAATCATTTGAATCCAGGAGGCAAAGGTTGCAGTGAGCCCAGATCGTGCCACTGCACTCCAGCCTGGGCGACAGAGCGAGACTCCGTCTCAAAAAAATTTAATTAAAATTAAAATTAAAAAAAGTTTTTTATAACCCAAGGCATAACTACTACTGTATTAACTCGTTAGATCATTAGGGTATAAGAAGTATACATTTAATTAATTAGTTTACTTCCTTGAATTTCTTTTTTAAAGTACTTGTTCTAAATGGACATAATTACCTTTGGTTATTCTACATCCTTATTACTCTTTTTTGAGTTGGATCAAAAAATGAGATGCTAATATCGATTATTAGAGCTAACGTTGATATTTAGATCCCTTGATAATCCTGCTTCTTTCTGTCTTCAAGCTAAGAACAATTACTGTTTCATACTAGAGGAACTCTGATGTTTATTTATACCTCACCTTGTTCCAGAAATAATTTAATGTAGCTTAGACCCAGAGTAAGCGAGACTTTAGGGTAGGCATAAAAAAGAACAAAAGATGAATCAGCAGAGATCAAACAGGAAGGAACTGTCTCTAACAGAAATTAGCTCACAAGAACTAGCAAAGCTGAAATGAAATTTAGGGTAAGCAGTTCTCCTAGGAGTGGCAATGTTAGAGATATACTTAGAATTTATAGAGATTACTATGGCTCCTACAAAGGAGAATAAGGAAGTAGAAATTTTCCACTGCCATTCTGTCCTCATTTCCAATTAGTTATTGTAGGATTGAGGGAAAGCCCAAGGCCTTTCTTATTAGGAAATGAGCATCCTATACACCTTTTCTCCTTGGGTCTGTTTCCTGCAGGAGACAGACAGTCCTAGTCTCAGTAGAGCAAACCTCAGATATTCCTGTAGGGTTCTAGGAGCCTTGGAATAGACAGGACTTTTTCTTCTACTCTGCAGATTGGTTTTCAAGGATAGGAATCCAAGCTACCCACAAATTCTCTAACATTGTTGATTACTTTGTAAACTTAGTTTAGGAATAATTTACAAATAACTCAGCCAAGATTTGTTGAAAGCTATTTTTAGTTATAGGATCTATAACTAAAAGCTACAAATTTAGTTATAGATCCTATAACTAATATTCAAAATAGGCAAATCTGTAGACACAGAAAGCTATTTTTAGTTATAGGATCTATAACTAAAATTATAGATCCTATGTAAAGTTATAGGATCTTGGGTTCCCTATTTTTAGTTATAGGATCATGCAGACTTCTGTGTTCCTAACCCAGTAAGAAAAGCATCCTAGCCACTTTGGAAAATAGTCTGGCAGTTCCTCCAAAAGTTAAAATAGAGTTACCATATGACCCAGAAATTCCTGAAATGAAAATATATGTTCTCACAATAACTTATACATGAGCCAGGCACAGTAGCTCATACCTGTAATCCCAGCACTTTGGGAGGCAGAGGCAGGAGGATCACTTGAGTCCAGGAGTTCAGGACCAGTCTAGGCAACATAGTAAGATCTTGTCTCTACAAAAACAAAAAATAGCCAAGTGTGGTGGCATGTGCCTGTTATACCAGCTACTTGGGAGGCTGAGTACAGGAGGATTGCTTGAGCCCCAGGAGTTTGAGGCTGCAGTGAGCTGTGTTTGTGCCATTGCACTCCAGCTTGGGCAACAGAGACCCTGTCTCTAAAAAATAAAAATAGGTTGGGCACGGTGGCTCATACCTGTAATCCCAGCACTTTGGGAGGCTGAGGCGGGTGAATCACATGCTGGCTAACATGGTGAAACCCTGTCTCTACTAAAATACAAAAAAATTAGCCAGGCGTGGTGGTGCGTGCCTGTAGTCCCAGCTACTCAGGAGGCTGAGGCAGGGGAATCGCTTGAACCCGGGAGGTGGAGGTTGCAGTGAGCCGAGATCACGCCACTGCACTCCAGCCTGGCGACAGAGCAAGACTCCGTCTCAAAAATAAATAAATAAATAAATAAATAACCAAAAACAAAAAAGTAAAAAAACCTGTACATAAATATTTACAGCAACATTATTCATAATAGCCAAAAGGTAGAAACAACCCAGATATTCATCAACAGATGAATGGATAAGCAAAATGTGATAGCTCCATATCCTGGAATACTATTCCACATTAAAAAGGAATGAAGTCGGCTGGGCATAGTGGCTCACGCCTGTAATTCCAGCACTTTGGGAGTGCCCAGGCGGGCGGGTCACGAGATCAGGAGATCGAGACCATCCTGGCTAACACGGTGAAACCCTATCTCTACTAAAAATACAAAAAAAAAAAAAAAAATTTGCCAGGCGTGGTGGCAGGCACCTGTAGTCCCAGCTACTTGGGAGGTTGAGGCAGGAGAATGGCGTGAACCCAGGAGGCGGAGCTTGCAGTGAGCCAAGATTGTGCCACTGCACGCCAGCCTGGGCAACAGAGCGAGACTCTGTCTCAAAAAAAAAAGGGAATGAAGTCTTGAATGCATGGGCACTTTGAAAGCATTATGCTAAGTGAAGAAGCTCATCTCAACAGGCCACACATTGTATGAGTCCATTTATATGAAATATTCAAAATAGGCAAATCTATAGACACAGAAAGTAGATTAATGGTCACCTAAGGCTTGAGGTGGACGATGATTGCTAATGGAGGTTTCTTTTTGGTGTGATAAAAATATTCTTAAATTATGATGGCACAACACTGAATATATTAAAAACCATTGACTTCTACATGAATTATGGTATGCAAATTACATCTCATAAAGCTTTAAAAAGAAAATCCTCCTTTAGGTGCTTTCTAGTTCAAGTTAGGGCTGGCTCAGCAGGTAAGGGAGGGCCAAGAAAGTCAAGCAGAAGCTGGAAAATAATTTAAAGCAGCACTGCCCAAAATGTATCCTGTGGACCAACTCTTTTCCTCAGGGTACCTGACTCTAGTCCCAGACAAGATAAGGAGCTGAGATAGAATGTCAGCCAACTTAAGGCCGGATGCGGTGGCTTATGCGGGTAATCCCAGCACTTTGGGAGGCCAAGGCGGGTGGATCACTTGAGGCCAGGAGTTCGAGACCAGCCTGGCCAACACGGTGAAACCCTGTCTCTACTGAAAATACAAAAATTAGCTGGGTGTGGTGGCGCATGCCTGTAATCCCAGTTACTTGGGAGGCTGAGACAGGAGAATCACTTGAACCCAGGAGGCAGAGGTTGCAGTGAGCCAAGATCACACCACTGTGTGTAGCCTGGGCTACAGAGCAAGACTCTGCCTTAAAAAAAAGTTAGTTTTAAAAATGGACAAAAATTTTATGTATTTATTGTATACAACATGATGTTTTGAAATATGTATACATTGTGAAATGGCTAAATCAAGCTAATCAACATATACATTACCTGAGAACATTTAAATGAGTAAATGATTTACCTAAGTTTGGTGGATGAGTTCAGAGCTGGTTTTGACTCCCAGGTCAGCACTTTCTACACATCATGATGGCTATAAAATATTGTTGTAGACCCAATGTTTGTGTTCCCTGCCCCAGCATTCATATGTTGAAGCCTTAACCCATCAAGGTGATGGTATTAGGAGGCACGGCCTTTGGAGGTAGTTAGGCTTAGGCGAGATCATGAAGGCAGGGTCCCTATGATGGAATTAGTGCCTGTAGAAGAAGAGGAAGAGACATCAGAGCTTTCTCCCTCCACCATGGGAAGACTTTCAAGTATATAATACATTGCCATTAATGATAGTCACCATGATGTACAATAGATCCCTTGAACTTATGCCTCCTGTGTAACTGAAATTTGGCTGAAGTGATCTGCCCACCTTGGCCTCCCAAAGTGCTGGGATTACAGGCATGAGCTACCAGGTCCACGGCCTGTAAATTATTTTTTTTTAAATAATGGTTAATATACTTTAAAAGCACATAAACCAATTTCAGTTCTGTACACTTTTTAGATAAGCTGACTTTTTTTCCCTCATCGCAATATTTCCTTAATGAGAGAAGCAGCTTGCTGATTTACATTCTGATGCCAGCAGCTTATCCTGAACTGGCATTTTGAATGGCTCTACTTCAGAGGTCCACAAATCCTCAAAGACAAAACAAAACAAAACCACCTCAGGCTGGGTGCGGTGACTCATACCTGTAACGCCAGCACTTTGGGAGGCCAAGGTGGGTGGATCACGAGGTCAGGAGATCAAGACCATTCTGGCTAACACAGTGAAACCCTGTCTCTACTAAAAACACAAAAATTAGCTGGGCGTGGCAACAGGCGCCTGTAGTCCCAGCTGCTCGGGGGGCTGAGGCAGGAGAATCGCTTGAACCCAGGAGGCAGAGGTTGCAGTGAGCCGAGATCATGCCACTGCACTCCAGCCTGGGCAACAGAGCGAGACTCAGTCTCAAAAAAAAAAAAAAAAAAAAAAAACCCACCTCATTCCACAGATGAGGACACCTCTGGAGAAGTGGGGTGACAATCAGAAGTCATAAAGCTGATGAGTGGTCTCACGGCAGGAACTCAGGCTGTGCAGCCTGGTGTCTTGACCTTTCAGTACTGGCTTCCAGTCAAGTCAGCCTGAAAATCTGGGGATAGATGGAAGGAGGGTTTTCAGAGAGAGGATCGTCCCTCCAACCTCAGATTCTTTGGGGTTAAGGACTCAGGTTTAGAGAAATCTGTTTTTGTTTTCTACTAGCTTTTCCATGGAAGCTAGTAGTGTAGGAGGGACTTAGAGTTCTTCCCCCACCCCATCCCTCCAGTTCCTCCACCCCACCCCACTGTGGGCCATTTTCTGAAGAAGGCATTTAGAAAGGATTAAAGGACCTCCCTGATAGCCAGAGGGAGGAGGGGTATAGAGGTCAGGGCCAGCCAAGGCACAATTCAGTTTCAAACTTCTACCTTCAGGCAGTGCCTTTCTCACATGCAGTACCTCCCTACTGGACATATTGTTGCACCCAAGTCGGCCCTTTCCTAAATGCTTCAAAAATAACCTGTTCCTGCTCCCCTTACCTTCCTCTATATAACAACCCAGGAAGGCTGGTCTCAGCCAGGTGTAGGTGTGAACACATTTAATCCTTGAGAATTTTCTCCCAACATTGATAGGTGCAGTCCAATAATAACAAAAATTTTAAACGTAGAAGATTGTGACCAGGTGTGGTGGCTCACACCTGTAATCCCAGCACTTTGGGAGGCCAAGCCAGGAGGATCACTTGAGCCCAGGAGTTGGAGACAGGCCTGGGCAACATAATGAGACCTTGTCTCTACAAAAAATTTAAAAATTAGCTGGATATGGGCATGGTGGCACGTGCCTGTAGTCCCAGCTACTCAGGAGGTTGAGGCAGGAGGATCGCTTGAGCCCAGGAGGTTGAGGCTGCAGCGAGCCATGATCATGCCACTGCACTGCAGCCTGGGCAACAGAGCAAGAACCTAGCTCAAAAAAAAAAAAAAAAGTTCAAAATAAAAGAAAGAATGTTTTGTTGAATAATGGAAGAGTTTTAGAAATAATAATTTAATAGCTAGGTATCATGCTTAATATGTGTCAGGTGATCCTGTAAGGTATGAGATGTTTGGGAGTACTTCCCCATACACTTCAAGGAATCCAAGAGTTCAGACCCATATAGAACTGGATTTCCCTTCTCCCAAGTCACTCAAGAAAGGTTTTACCATTCTTACCACTGCAGCATCCTCCTTGGCTTAGCTCTCACCCTACTTATTCTCTTGTTGCAGAGGTTCTCAACTCTGGCCACCCATTAGAGTCCCCTGGGAAGCATTGAAAAATACTGATCCCTGGCCAGGTGTGATGGCTCACACTTATAATCCCAGCACTTGAGAGGCCGAGGCGGGTGGATTGCATGAGGCCAGGAGTTTGAGACCAGCTTGGCCAACATGGTGAAACCCCTTCTCTACTAAAACTACAAAAATTAGCCAGGCATGGTGGCAGGTGCCTCTAATCCCAGCTACTCAGGAGGCTGAAGAAGGAGAATTGCTTGAACCCAGGAGGCGGAGGTTGCAGTGAGCCGAGACTGCCACTGCACTCCAGCCTGGGTGACAGAGCAAGATGCTGTCTCAAAAAAACAAAAAACAAAACAAAACAAAAAACAGCTGGGCGCGGTGGCTCACGCCTGCAATCCCAGCACTTTAGGAGGCCAAGGCGGGTGGATCACCTGAGGTCGGAAGTTCCAGACCAGCCTGACCAACATGGAGAAACCCCGTCCCTACTAAAAATACAAAATTAGCCAAGCGTGTGGTGGTGCATGTCTGTAATCCCAGCTACTCGGAGGCTGAGGCAGGAGAATCGCTTGAACCTGGGAGGCGGAGGTTGCGGTGACCTGAGATCGTGCCACTGCACTCCAGCCTGGGCAACAAGAGCGAAACTCCATCTCAAAAAATATTGATCCCTGAACCCCATCCCCCAGAGATTCTGATTCATTTGGTCAAGGGTGGAGTCCAGGTATCTGTAATTTATTTTAAATAAACACTTCTTGGTGAGTCTAATGTACAAACAGGGCTGAAAATCCCTGGGAGGTGATGAGTAGTCCTGCATGTGATAGCCTCCATGACCCAGGTGAGTCACGAGATTTGCCTCTTAGGAGCCTGGACTGAAAATAATTCCTGGCTGACCTGCTCTAAGCCACTAACAAAACTGCTCATTTATTGGTGTAGCTTGTATAACCTGACATCATGAGCATGCACGGCTGCCATCTGGAGCGCTGGCAGGAATGTGACACAGAGGCCAGCCTCAAAGCTGGCCAGGATATTTCCTGGGGCCCTTTGTTTTATGGGTAGTTGATTTTTAAAATTAGCAAACTCCCAGGCAAATTTAGACAATGGTCATTTAATATGTCTATCAATGACTGGGTGAAATGATGGTTCATTAAACTGCTGGTTTTATTTATGTGCAAGTAATTTTTCTTCTGTCTGACTCATTATTTAATTAACTCATATTCCAAAAATAAAATCAATTTTCCTAGGGACAACTTAGGCAATTTGTTAGGTACTGGACAGGGGATGGGTGGAATGAAAACCACATCACACTGTAGAGATCAATTAAGGAGCATAATTAGTCCTATTTTAAAAGCATTGTTCCTCTTGGGGAGGCCCACATCCACACAGGAATCACAGACTTCATTTAAATGCATCTTATCCAATATTTGAGTGCAAATCATTAAGTACTTGAGAGAGGAATACTCAATGAAATATTCTAAGATCCTGATGATCATCAAACATTACAGTTAATATGAAACGTAAATGATTTTTTTACCAGGCATTCGTGTGTCTTTTTCAGATTTCACTTTGCTGGACAGAAAACTAAAATTCTCGATAGCTTAGTTCAGCATTGGAAGTGCGGTAACCCCAGCCCTGAAAGAGAAGGATTCTGAGTTATGGCTTCCACTGCAGAGTAGCAAATTAATCTCCTCCAAGAATAGCTAGGGAGAGTCTGGCTACCTGATTAACAGAGGGAATTTTAAAATTTGAGTCTAGGTCAAAAATTGTTTTTTTAATGAAAAGAATTTTAAATTCTGAAACAGATTTTCTAAATCTGGTACAAGAAAACTGTCAGGAGAAATCAGCTTGTCAGCTTTTAAGAAGCCCTTAGTTGATTAAGAAGGATAAATTAGATGTAGTCCATAGGTAAATATAAAATATATGCTTTATTGTTTTTCTATTATATATGAATAATAGTAATTAATGATATTTCATTCTCTTCAATGCATCTTTTAAAACTAACCTCTTTCAGCCATTAAATTACTGTTGTTGGCCAGGCATGGTGGCTCACGCCTGTAATCCCAATACTTTGGGAGGCTGAGGCAGGAGGATTGCTTGAGCCCAGGAGTTTGAGACCAGCCTGAGCAAAATAGTGAGACCTCATTTCTATAAAAAATAATAATGATAATAAATAAATTACTGTCATTGCTCTCTGATCATAGTCACAGTTGGATAATTTAAACAACCTTGGCTTGTAATTATCATCAAATTATTCTAACTTATTGAATGTTTATGTCCAAATATCTGCTGGAAGTGATATATCTTTTGGATTTTTTACATTTTTCCCATCCTCATCCCACCCAGAAGGAGTTTCACCACCCAGCAGAATCCTCCCAGGTCTTCCTTCGTCTCTCTTCTGATTAGATGTGATTTCATCTACCAGAAGGATAGCTGCCAGTTGCATTACTAGCCCGAGTAACAGAATTTAACCAGAGTTTTTTGTCTAAAAGGCTTCTAGTTGTATCTTCAGGCCTGGAGACAGTTTCTGCAAAGCCTATCAATTCAATATACTGCCCCATAAATGTCTTTGCTGTGTATTCTGGGTGATTCTTTAATGGGTCCCAAGTTCTGTAGGCTGTGCTTATTTCTAACTTCAGCTCCTGTGAAGAAAGAAGACAGATGATGTTTCCTGTTGGAACCCATCAAGCAGCAAGCGGCTGTGCGATAGAACTGCATAGTTGTGTATATCAGAACTTATTAGTTAATCAGGTCTCCTCCCTTTTAGTCCTGTGTGTCAGTTCAGTTTGACAAGGGTTTATTAACAAAGCTAGAGGTGAAAAGACAGTGATAGAGACTCACATGGGATAGGGCATGGAGCAGGCTGGACAGGGCAATTAGCAGGATTGAGAACAGCTGTGAGGTCCTAAAGGACAGGGGCCAAGTCTCACCTGTTGTGACATTTATTTATTTTTTTGAGACAGGGTCTAACTCTGTCACCCAGGCTGGAGTACAGTGGCACGATCTTGGCTCACTGCAACCTCTGCTTCCCGAGTTCAAGCAATCCTCCCACCTCAACCTCCCAAGTAGTTGGGATGACAGGCATGTGCCACCACACCTGGCTAACTTGTATTTTTTGGTAGATAGGGGGTTTCACCATGTTGTTCAGACTGGTCTCGAACTCCTGACCTCAAGTGATCCACCCTCCTCAGCCTCCCAAAGTGCTGGGATTACAGGTATGAGCTACCATGCCCAGCCTTCTTGTGACATTTATTCCATGCACAATTTCAACAGGCAAGGTTGACAGAGAAGGACACCAGGCAGGTGAAGGTCACAGGTGGCAAGGATATTAAGGGGCCTAGCAGGCAAGAGAACAGTATCCCATTGGTCTGCATCTGTACATTTGGAGAAATAATAAAATACAGAGCTGGAAGGATTGCTCGGCGTCATATTGTGGAAAGTCTTGAATGCTTGGCAGAGGCTTAATTCAGTAGGCAGTGAAAAGCTAATGAGAAATTTTAAGCAGAAAGACTGTCATGATTACAGCTGCAAGTGTTCATTAGGAAGATTAATCTGATAGTGTAGATTAATGATGTAGGATTATGAATGATTATCAAGAAAAACTGGGAGTTAACCAGTTTTGTGGCAGTCCAGGTGAGAGGCAAAAAGGCCTTGTAGCAAAGACAGCTGGTGCTACATCCTTACCCCCTTGGCACTTACCATTCCCACGTATGCCTTTTTGAGGGCTTCCTGCATCTCTGTGACTGGGGGCCTTCTCTAGCCATCGGAGCCTGCTGGAACTGCACTTAGGGCAGACCAGAAGTACCGGGGCGTTAACATCCTCCAGGATAGGCTTCAACCAGTGGCTAAAAGGGAATTGGTGGATAAATAGCTCATTTGCCACTCAGTGGGGATCATTGTAAGCCTTGTTCAACAGTCTCCCAGACTATCCCAAGGACTTGAGTCCCAGTTGCCCACAGCCATAAACTGCCTGGTATCATTTTCTTATTGACTTCCTGCCTTTCCTGACTCACTCTGCCACTCTCCCGCGGGTGCTTCCTGGTGTCGCCTTCCATATGAACTGCTGGCACTCACATCCTTGCTTCAGGGCCCCTTTTGAGAGAATCCAACTTACCAGCCCTGTACTCGAGAGGAGTTTCCTTTCACTGAGGAGGAAGAAGCTACAGGATTGGGCAGTTTATCAGCTGTGCAGTTAAGGGAGAGGGAGAATGCCATGTCGCCCACAATTTTAACTAGGAAAATATAAGTGCCATTTATAGGGAAATGGGAAGTTAGGAGAAGCGTTGGGAGTTTTCATGAAGAGGAAAATGGGTTAATCTTCGTGCATGTTGAGTCTGAAGTACTGGTAGAACATTACAGGGCAGCTGCCTGCTGGAACTTGGAAATTTGAATCTGGAGCTGAGGATGAAAGTGACAGTGGAGGTTTAGGTTCAGTCACTGGGGAGAGGTGATTGATGAAGATAGGGGAGTAGATAAGAGCTTCAAGAACTGGGTATTGACCAGAAAATAAGCAGATACAAGCCTAAGACAAAACTTTTGGGAATGAATACCTACCTGCATTTGGGGTTGGGGGAAAAGTGAGAGACTGGGTAGGAAATGGAAAGCTAGCAGAGCCGCCAGGGGAGGAGCTAGCAGGAGGCCGACTATGATGGAAAGGTTCTAGATTTGCTGAATCTCAGAGTTCTGGAAACTGTCGATCTTTACCATTGGATCATTATGTATTGAGGCATAAGGAGCTTTATATAGTTTATTTACTCATTTTGAGACAGAGTCTCAGTCTGTCACCAAGGCTGGAGTGCAGTGTCATGATCACAGCTCACTGCAGCCTCTACCTCCCAGTCTCAGGTGATCCTCCACCACACCTGGCTAATTTTGGGTGTGGGTTTTTTTTGTTGTTGTTGTTTTTTAATTTAGAGACAGGGGTCTTGCTGTGTTGCCCAGGGTGCTCTCAACTGCTGGGCTCAAGCGATTGGCCCACCTCAGCCTCCCGAGTACCTGGGACTACAGGCATATGCCACTACACCTGCCTAGCTTTACATATTTTAACATTTTAAGTGTCTATTGCAGTGTAGCACAGCTGGGGCTATACGGCTATACTATTATAAAAGAAAATAATATGTCAGATTGTATAGTGCTTTATCTAGAATGAAGGCAGTGCCAGAAATCCACACTCCTTCATTGGCAATATTATCAGTGTTGATCTTAATGCAATCTATTTGGAGAAAAACGTTTAGGGAAAAATCAGCCCCTATATCTGAGGGTACCAGATAATGATTTATTCACTGTATACCTCATGGAACCCTGGTGCTTTACAAGAATTAGGTTCTTATTACAAACATATAACGCAGGCTCTGCTACTTTGTGACCTTTGGCAAATTACTCAACCTTGCCAGGCCTTAATTTCCTTATGTGTAAATAAGGAACCAAGTGACATCTATGGTCCTTTTGACACAAAGATTCTGTGATCCTAGCAATTTTCCTTAGGGCATTTTTCTTATGCCCTAACTCTGTATGTGTCTATATGTATGCATTCTTACATATACACATATAGTTAAAGCCTATATAATAAGAATATATATTGGGGACTATTCATAAATAATTCAGAAATTTTAAAGCTGTGCAGTGTGAATAGACTCACCTGCAATAAAAATGCTGAGTAAGGATGATTTCATCACCCAGGTTCTCATGACAAATTCTGAAGTCACTATGAATGAGCATAGTAGAAGATATTTTCTTTTCTTTTTCTTTCTTTTTTTTTTTTTTTTTTTTGAGATAGATTCTTGCTTTGTTGCCCAGGGTGGAGTGCAGTGGTGTGATCTCGGCTCACTGCAAGCTCTGCCTCCTGGGTTCGTGCCATTCTCCTGCCTCAGCCTCCTGAGTAGCTGGGACTACACGTGCCTGCCACCACACCCGGCTAATTTTTGTATTTTTAGTAGAGATGGGGTTTCACCATGTTGGTCAGGCTGGTCTCGAACTCTTGACCTCAGGTGATCCACCAGCCTCAGCCTCCCAAAGTGTTGGAATTCCAGGAGTGAGCCACCACCCCTGGCCACTAGAAGATATTTTCTATTTAGATTTTACGTTGAATTTGTGCCCCCCGCCCCTTGTGATTGACGTGCATTCAATCAAAAAGTATTTTTTTTAAGTGTCGGAGCATAGTCAGTTAGTAGCTGTTAAGATGTTACAGGAGTTATTTAACCTCTCTAAATTCAGTTTCCTCATTTATAAAATAGATACACTGGGATCTTCCTCAGGGTTTTGTGGACACAAATTTAATGATCCAATAAATGTTAGCCATCGGAAATATTGTCAGGTTAACGTTTTTCTTTCAGAGAGTCATGTTTGCAGATTCCAAAAGATGCCAGTAGGGAATAGGCTGTGTTTTAGGGATGAGTTTAATTGAGGCAATTGTTAAAAATTATAATTTTCGGCTGGGCGCGGTGATTCACGCCTGTAATCCCAGCACTTTGGGAGGCTGAGGCGGGCGGATCACTTGAGGTCAGGAGTTCAAGACCAGCCTCAACATGGAGAAACCCCATCTCTACTAAAAATACAAAATTAGCCAGGCATAGTGGTGCAGGCCTGTAATCTCAGCTACTCGGGAGGCTGAGGCAGGAGAATTGTTTGAACCTGGGAGGCGGAGGTTGCGGTGAGCCGAGATCTCGCCATTGCACTCCAGCCTGGGCAACAGCAGGGAAACTCCGTCTCAAAAAAAAAAAAAAAAAAAAAAAAAAAGGGTGTGGTGGTGGGCGCCTGTAATCCCAGCTACATGGGAGGCTGAGGCAGGAGAATGGTGTGAACCCAGGAGGCAGAGCTTGCAGTCAGCCGAGATCGCACCACTGCACTCCAGCCTGGGCGACAGAGCGAGACTTGTCTCAAAAAAAAAAAAAAATGTAATTTTCTCAGGCTACTCATTAGTGATTGAACAGTGGGTGATACAAAACTTTCCTAGCATGATCATGGTTAATTGACATAGTGAAATTGGGTGGTGTAGATAACTAGTTTCCATGTTTTCTTAGAGTAATGTTACCAGATTCCTCTCCTTGTTATTAAATTTCTGGTTATTTTTTCGCACATATACTTAATTCTGACACACACACTCACATATATTCTACCGAGAGGATTGCCCCCTCCTCCCAGATCTCAAGTGAAGCATCCGTGATGCTTTTCTGCTATAAACAGAGCCCTTATTGATGACATTCACATGAAAACCATGTGTTTAAATGTGTTATATATTGAAGCATGGTCAACTTTACATATTTTAATATTTTAAGTGTCTACTGCAGTGTAGTACAGCTGAGGCTATCTGTATATACATACTATTAGAAAAGAAAATGTTTGGCCAGGCACAGTGGCTCACGCCTGTAATCCCAGCACTGTGGGAAACCAGGGCGGGTAGATCATTTGAGGTCAGGAGTCCCAGACCAGCCTGGCCAACATGGTGAAATCCTGTCTCTACTAAAAATTCAAAAAAAATAGGCCGGGCACGGTGGCTCACACCTGTAATCCTAGCACTTTGGGAGGCCAAGGCGGGCAGATCATGAGGTCAGGAGTTAGAGACCAGCCTGGCCAACATGGTGAAACCCCATCTCTACTAAAAATACAAAAATTAGCCAGGCGTGGTGGTACGTACCTGTAGTCCCAGCTACTCAGGAGACTGAGGCAGGAGAATCGCTTGAACCCGCGAGGCAGAGGTTGCAGTGAGCCAAGATCGCGCCACAGCACTCCATCCTGGCAACAGAGCGAGACTGTGTCTCAAAAATAAAATAAAATAAAGATTAGCTGGTGCACACCTGCAGTCCCAGCTACTCAGGAAGCTAAGGCAGGAGAATTGCTTGAACCCAGGAGGCAGAGGGGTACTAGTGAGCTGAGATTGTGCCACTGCACCCCAGCCTGGGCGACAGAGCAAGAATCCATCTCAAAAAAAATAAATAAAATAAAAATAAATTTAAAAATAAAAGAAAATATTCAGTTAATAAATTAGACCGTAGATTGCTTTATCTAGAGTGAAGACAGCACTAGGAAACCATACTCTTTCATTGGCAGACAGCACTCAAGGTGGAGAAAACAGTTCCCCAGTTAGAAATGAGCTACAATTTAAAATTTTGGGGATTTGGGGTACACTATTGAAAAGCCCCTTTTGCTTTTTTTTTTTTTTGAGATGGAGTCTCACTCTGTCACCCAGACTGGAGTGCAGTGGCGTGATCTCAGCTCACTGCAAGCTCCACCTCCCGGGTTCACGCCATTCTCCTGCCTCAGCCTCCTGAGTAGCTGGGACTACAGCGCCCACCACCACACCTGGCTAATTTTTTGTATTTTTAGTAGAGACAGGGTTTCGCTGTTTTAGCCAGGATCTCCATCTCCTGAGCTCATGATCCACCTGCCTTGGCCTCCCAAAGTGCTGGGATTACAGGTGTGAGCCACTGCGCCTGGCTGCTTGTTTGTTTTTTAATAAATAATGATTTTACTTGGGAGGCCAAGATGGGAGGATTACTTAAACTCAGGAATTTGAGACCAGCCTGGGCAGCATAGCAAGATCCTGTCTCTACAAAAAAATAAAAAATTTGCCAGGCATGGTGGTGCATGCCTATAGTCCCAGCTACTCAGGAGGCTGAAGCAGGAGGAGCACTTGAACAAGGAAGTCGAGGCTACAGTGAGCTGTGATCATACCATTGCACTCCAGCCTAGAAACAGAGCAGGACCATGTCTCAAAAAAATTTTTTTTGGCCAGACGTGGTGGCTCATACCTGTAATCCCAGCACTTTGTGAGGCTGAGGCAGGCGGATCACTTGAGGTCAGGGGTTCAAGATCAGCCTGGTCCACATGGTGAAACCCCATCTCTACTAAAAATGCAAAAATTAGCCGGGCATGGTGGTGGGTGTCTGTAATCCCAGCTACTCAGGGGAGTGAGGCAGGAAAATCATTTGAACCTGGGAGGCAGAGGTTGCAGTGAGCCGAGATCACATCACTGCACTCCAGCCTGGGCAACAGAGCAAAACTCCATCTCAAAAATAATAATATTTTTAAAGTTACTTTGGGCCAGGCACAGGCTCACACCTATAATCCCAACACGTTGGGGGGCCAAAGCAGGTGAATCACTGTAACCCAGGAGTTCAAGACCAACCTGGACAACATAGCAAGACCCCCCTGTCTCTACAAAACATTTTTTTAAAAATCTGTTTGTGGTGGCCTATACCTGTGGTTCCAGCTACTTGGGAGTTTAAGGTCAGAGGATTGCTTGAGCCTGGGAGGTCGAGGCTGCAGTGAGCTGTGATCATGCCACTGCAATCTAGCCTGAGTGACAGTGCAAGACTCTGTCTTTCCAAAACAAACAAAAAAAAAGGTTATTTTGTCTTTGAGGGTACAGGTTGTTTTTTGTTTAATAGAAAGCACAGTTCTCTGCTTTTTTTCCTAAACTGCTCTGGTTAAGTTGGAGACACGTTTGAGTATGGTACTTTGTTTAATTGAAGGTATTTGTATTGGTCTTGCCCCATCTGCATCAAGCCTTCCTTGCATGTTCATGGTCTTTTTGTTAGTGCCAACTCTAACTGTGCTGACTTTAAATGGCATGTATGTGCGCTGCAAGACAGGAAAATGATAAATTATTAATACTACAGTATGTGCAAACAAAGGTTATTTTCTCATATGTATGACTCCTTGCTCCTGTTTACATTTCTGCATTTTACAAATCATTAACCTCACATTGTAATTTTTGTGCTTTACTTGTCACTACTTCCAGACGCCAAGGACTTATTGTTGTGCTAACACTGAAGACTTGGAGACAGTTATTCACCATGTACACAGCCTGTACCCTTCTGCTCCTTTCCTGGCAGCAGGGGTTTCAATGGGAGGGTAAGGTTTTCCCTTTCTAAAATAATCTCTGAGAGGGAAGCTATTTTATTGGCTGTCTCTTTGAGAGGACTATAAGCTAGCTGTATGGACACTTTTTAAATAAATGTCTGATTATGTTTATCATATTTTATTAAATGCGGTTGATTGAATGAACGAAGGAAGGAAAGAATTAATTCAGGTGAATTTTAATATTTTTCTTAACTACGGGTCTCTGTGACTGCGGATTTTGTGAGCCTGAAGGTTTGTCTGAAGCCCATGAAGTCGATTGCATCACTCACCGGCTGCCATGTTGACCTTCTGATTCCTGACGCACTCCCAGCCATCCCTGGAGCTGCGTTCTGAAGCTGAACTTGTAGCATGACTTTCATCACTCCAGTTACAGAAATAATCACTTATTGCTCTCTCCAGCTGCAGTGGCCTTCAAAATTATTTTTCCCCAGGTGGTATTTTGTTTTGTTTTGTTTTGTTGCTGGGCAAATGGAACTACTGTGGAGTGCTCTCCTAGAAACTGAAATTTTGTTAACCCCCTACTCCAGCTGTTATTTTAAGCATACGGATATTGTCATTTGTGCTGCTTGCAATTACTTTGGGGCTTATTTGGAACTTTCCTATTTAGGCTTATTTCTACTAATTGTTTTTGGGGTTTTTTTTTTTGGTTGTTCTAGTGATGGTGAGCTTAAGGAAATCCAAAATTTTTATTATCGGGAATTTTACTAAGCTTTTAGATTCCTGAAGCCATTGTCCAAAACTAGTTTTTTAAATCAGCAAATACTGAAGATAGAAAATGATATTTTTTCATAATTTTATAATTGGTTTATCTGTCATTTCAGTTTTTAGAACATCTTGAACATGAATCACTTGAAAATGAATAGCATTTTTCTATAGCCAGTGGCTGTGAAAAAGAAAAAAAATTTTAATTTTTTTAAAAAGATAATGAACAGCATTTACAAATGATAGACTCTAAAAAACAGGCCTTTAACCACAGCTTTTTAGATTCTGATAAACATAAAACTAAGAAGAAAAGAATACATTTCTTCCATTAGCATGGAAGGTCTGACTTGACCTACTAAAGGAAGAAATCTCAATCAATGGAGAAAACCCACGCAGACTCTCTGAATTGTGCTTAATGGACGGAGTTTAGCGTCACTTTCCTTTCCCCCATAATGTGAACCTTAAAGGACTGGGTGAGAGCTGAACTTTTCCCTTAATCATATAAACGCATGGCTTTTCTAAAGGCCGGAGCTTACATACACAGGTTCAGATTCTCTATTCAATGCTCCTGGGAAATGTCTATTCGTGCCGCATTGAAGCCTCAGTGCCTGAAGGCAGAACTTGACCATTAGCCTTTACAGCTGGTTGAACATTAATGTCTTGTGAACTGTTAGACGGAAGCACCCCTTCTAGTTGCCTAGCACTGTGACACGATCCCAAGTGGGCTTACCACTTGGGGATGTGTTTTATATCTTGACACATTTTTTCTTATGGAGATGCAACACGCAAAAACAGTCCATGGACGATCCTTATGCCCAGTGCCCCATGGACTGGGGTAATCCCTGTGATAGAGCCTATGATGCCCCTGGGGCCAAGTGCCAGCAACTCATGGATCATCTCGTTTCATCAGTGTCACCCCCTCCCCTCTCTCTCCCAACTCTGATTATTGTGTACCAAATCTCAGACATCACTTATAAATAGTTGGTATCTCTAAAAGGTGGGCCAGGTGTGGTGACTTACGCCTGTAATCCCAGCACTTTGAGAGGCTGAGGCAGGCAGACAACCTGAGGTCAGGAGTCCGAGACCAGCCTGGCTAACATGGTGAAACCCCCCATCTCTATTAAAAATGCAGAAATTAGCCGGGCATGATGGTGCATGCTTGTAATCCCAACACGCTGGGAGGCCAAGGCGGGCAGATCATCTGAAGTCAGGAGTTCAAGACCAGCCTGGCCAACATGGTGAAACCCCCATCTCTACTAAAAATACAAAAATTAGCTGGACATGGTGACGCATGCCTGTAATCTCAGCTACTCAAGAGGCTGAGGCAGGAGAATCACTTGAACCCAGAAGGTGGAGGTTGCCATGAGCTGAGATCGCACCAGTGCACTCCAGCCTGGGCAATAGAGCGAGACTCCGTCTCACACACACAAAAAAAGGCCAGGCGCGGTGGCTCACACCTATAATCCCAGCACTTTGGGAGGCCAAGGCAGGCAGATCACCTGAGTTCGGGAGTTCGAGACCAGCCTGACCAATGTGGAGAAACCCCGTCTCTACTAAAAATGCAAAATTAGCTGGGCATGGTGGTGCATGCCTGTAATCCCAGCTACTCAGGAGGCTGAGGCAGGAGAACTTCTTGAACCCAGGAGGCAGAGGTTGCGGTGAGCCTACGTTGTGCTATTGCACTCCAGCCTGGGCAACAAGAGCAAAACTCCATCTCAAAAAAAAAAACAGTGGAGTTTATGTTTTGTGGGTTTTTTTGTTTGTTTGTTTTCTTTTGAGATGGAGTCTCCCATTGTCACCTGGACTGGAGTGCAGTGGTGCGATCTCAGCTCACTGCAACCTTTGCCTCCTGGGTTCAAGTGATTCTCCTGCTTCAGCCTCACGAGTAGCTAGGATTACGGGCGCCCACCACCATGTCCAGCTAATATTTGTATTTTTAGTAGAGAGGGGGTTTTGCTATGTTGGCCTGGCTCAAACTCCTGACCTCATGATCTGCCTGCCTCAGCCTCCCAAAGTGCTGGGATTACAGGCATGAGCCACTGCGCCCGGCTGGAGTTTATCTTAAAAAACAAGCAACAAAAAAACAAAACCATATTACTGTTATTACACCTGAATAAAATTAACACTAATTTCAAACTATCATACAGTATTCAGTAAGTGTTCACATTTCCCAAATAGTCTTGTTTGCTTGTTTGGTTTTAGTTTAGTTAGAAGCCAGGAAAAGTCTATACATTGAGATTGGTATGCTTTTTAAGTCTCTTAATCCAGGGGTTATTTCTCTTTTTTTTTTTTTTTTTTTTTTTTAGCTTGTAGTTTTTTTCTTTTGGTGAGAAAATAGGGTCCTTTTCCTATAGAAGTAAAACAGTCTTTTTGGGGATAACATCTTAGCATCATTTTGCTGCTGAGTAATAACCAAGACGTATTCCACCTGCTTGGTCATATCTACTTCTGAATCTTCCTAGTCCTGAGTTTCCCTTCAAGGCCTTCTAATTTGTGCATTTTACCAGCCTCCCAACAATATCTGACCTCCCATCAAAGAGTAGGGCCACCAAAACTAGGACTCTAGAATGAACCCTTTGCAGAAGAGTAAGCATTGTCCTATATATGGTTTGGTGAATCACAATACTGTATACAGATAGTTCAGTTGTTATGAAGGATCATTTTCAAAAGCTAAATGTCCACTTTCCATCTAAAACTTCATCATATTCACCCCAGCAAGTCATTTGAACTGGAAAAAAGAATGAGGGGGAATTTTAAGCCATTTCTCCTATTTCAAAACATGGACAATTGAAGAAATCAAGTACAAAAAATATAATGAGAAACAATTAGGATATCATCCTGTTACTAGGCAGCATTAAACTTTAGATTTTCAACATTGTGTATGTAGATTAGACATGATTATGGTCTCTCTTACCAAAATAGAATTAGCATAGAATCAAGAAAATTAGTAGAACAAAAAGAACAGAAGAAAATATGTGTTAGGAAATAAGGACAAATAACAGGAATAGAAAGAGAAAACAAGTTACTTTAGGGGTCAGCTGTTCTACCACAACTCAGAAAGTCTAGACTAGAGAGCAATTTAGAAACTTGCCACAGGGTGCAAGGATCCTTGGCAGCTAGGGTAGTGATCCAGACCAGTTAACTCACAATCTCTCAGGGTAAGACCTAGACATCAGTAGTCATTTACAAACTCCTCAGGAGCTAGAGACCAGCCTGAGCAACATAGTGAGACCTCATCTCTACAAAAAAAAAAAAAAAATTTTTTTTTTTTTTTTTAATTAGCTGTGTTTGATGGCGGACACGTGTAGTCCCAGATACTGGGGAGGGTAAGGTGGGAGGATCACTTCAGCCCAGGAGATCAAGGCTGCCCTAAGGTGTGATTGTGTCACTGCACTCCAACCTGGGCTACAGAGCCTATCTCAAAAAAAAAAAAAAAAAAAAAAAGGCCGGGTGCAACGGCTGTAATCTCAGCACTTTGGGAGGCCAAGGTGGGCAGGTCACTTGAGGTCAGGAATTCAAAACCAGCCTGGTCAACACAATGAAACCCCGTCTCCACTAAAAATACAAAAAATTACCGGGGCGTGGTGATGCATGCCTGTAATCCCAGCTACGCGGGAGGCTGAGGCAGGATAATCGCTTGAACCAGGGGGGTGGAGGTTGCAGTGAGCCGAGATCGCACCACTGCACTCCAGGCTGGGTGACAGAGCAAGACTCTGTCTCAAACACACACACACAAAAAAAAAAAACTCTAGGTGATTCCAGCATGCAGTCACATCTAAAAACCACTCTTAGGGTGGATTTCTCTTATGTTTGACTTCATAGGATACATATATAAGGAATAACTATGATTTGTCCCATTTACCACATAGTTGACTGCAAGACAAATAAATATATGAATATAAGGAAAGAATGAAGATGCTTGCATGCTTTTCCAGGATAGAGGACTTAAACACTAGTTTATATTTTTCTTCTCCATAGTTAACATAAAGTCTGTAGTTAGAAATGGATGTCTTCTGTGATACAACAAATTAATCACTGAGTTTCCTGTTTCTCCCCATTTTAGAATGCTGCTTCTAAATTACTTGGGCAAAATTGGGTCCAAAACGCCTTTGATGGCAGCTGCAACTTTTTCCGTTGGTTGGAACACCTTCGCTTGCTCAGAGTCATTGGAAAAACCACTGAACTGGCTACTTTTTAATTACTATTTGACAACCTGCCTTCAGTCTTCAGTTAATAAGTGAGTCATCTTTAAAATCTGTTGTCTCCAGGGCCGGGCCCGGTGGCTCACGCCTGTAATCCCAGCACTTTGGGAGGCTGAGGCGGGGGGATCACGAGGTCAGGAGATCGAGACCATCCTGGCCAACATGGTGAAACCCCGTCTCTACCAAAAATACAAAAAAATTAGCTGGCCGTGGTGATGTGTGCCTGTAGTCCCAGCTACTTAGGAGGCTGAGGCAGGAGAATTGCTTGAACCCAGGAGGCGGAGGTTGCAGTAAGCCGAGATCGTGCCACTGCACTCCAGCCCGGGTGACAGAGCAAGACTCCGTCTCAAAAAAAAAAAAAAAAAACTATTGTCTCCAAATGATTACATGCCCCAACAGTAAAAAAATTTAAAGCGTAATACTACCAATATATGTATATGTGTTTATACACTGAATAAATTTACTACTGTACCAAAATATTATCTTTGTTGTAAATGCATATAAATAAAAAATGTAAGTATAAGTTAAAATTTAAGCATAAGTTAAAAATATAGCTAAAAGTTGTAATGTTTTCCTTCTGAACCCCAGTGGATTGTCTTGTACAACCCCTGAAGTATGTGCCCCATTTTTAGTGAAGGTACACTATTGAAGGTTACTATTCTAATCACCATTCTAAATTATTCTAAAAGACTAAAAATGTTAGTATGGAATGTGTTAAGTGGTGTGATGGGCTGTTTCCCTGGATTTTCTACTTGTTGCTAATCTTAGTAATACCTAAGTCTTTCCTGGATAGTAATGTAGTAAGTACTTTCATTGCTGAATAATACAGCTCCTTGAGGGTGTGCTTATGAGCATAGTATGTTTTAGAGACAGGAGAATGCAGTTCACTTAGATAATCTCAGCCCTCACAGCTCTTATACTACCAAAATACTATCTTTGCATTAGTTTTCTCTGGAATTGTTTGTGTATTTTCTTTTTTTCTTTTTCTTTCTCTCCCTCTTTTTTTTTAAGACTGGGTCTCTCTCTATTGCCCAGGCTTGAGTGCAGTGGTGTGATCATGGCTCACTGCAGCCTCAGCCTCCTAGGCTCAAGTGATCCTCCCATCTCAGCCTCTCAAGTAGCTGGGACTACAGGCACATACCACCACACCTGGCTAATATTTTATGTTTTGCAGAGATGAGGTTTTGCCATGTTGCCCAGGCTGGTCTCTAACTCCTGAACTCAAGCAATCCATCCACCTCAGCCTCCCAAAGTGCTAGGACTACAGACGTGAGCCCCCCGCCCAGCAGAGATATTTCTGTTTGCTTATTTCTTTCTTTAATTTTTTTTATTTTTAATTTCTGTGGGTACATAGTAGGTGTATATATTTATGAGGTACATGAGATATTTTGATACAGGCACGCAATGCTATAATCTTTATTTTTTTATGACTGTTACGTACTTTTAAGTGAATTGATGAATATAAACTTTAAAAGTACTGTTGATTTGCACATGACTTACTGAAAACCTTAGTTATCCTGGAAGTTGACATTAAACACTGGATTAGATTTTACCAGGCCAGGCAAGGTGGCTCATGCTTATAATCCCAGCACTTTGGGAGGCCGAGGAGGGTGGATCACTTGAGCCCAGGAGTTTGAGACCAGCCTGGGTGACATGGCAAAACCCCATCTCTACCAAAAGAAAAAAAAAACCCACAAAATTGGTGGGGTGTGGTGGTGCACACCTGTAGTCCCAGCTACTCTGGGGCTGAAGTGGGAGAATCACTAAAGCCCAGCAGGCTGAAGGTGCAGTGAGCCGTGATCATGCCACTACACTCCAGCCTGGGCGACAAAGCAAGACTCTGTCTCAAAAAAAAAAAAAAAAGTACTTGAAGAAAATATCTTCAGCACAAACATTATTATTCTAATCCTGCCGTACCTGATTAAGCAAATATTTATTGAGTGCCAACTTTGTGCCCTGTGGTAGGCTGTTTAGTAATTTGTTTTTAAGTCCTTTTAGTATGATGGAGTAGGAATGATCTTGATTTTTACTTCCGAAATTCTTTTGTTCCAGGCACCGACATATGTTTGTAAAACAAGTTGATATGGATCATGTCATGAAGGTAGGAGAGAAACTTTATGTAATACTTTTATTTCTTCTTTTGGGCAAGACTAGATATAATTTGTTTTTGTGTTTCAGGCTAAATCCATCAGAGAGTTTGATAAGCGATTCACTTCAGTCATGTTTGGATACCAAACAATTGATGATTATTATACTGATGCCAGTCCGAGTCCTAGACTGAAGTCAGTAGGAATTCCAGTATTGTGTCTAAATTCTGTGGATGATGTTTTCTCACCCAGTCATGGTAAAATTAACATATTTGTATATATTTTGACATGAATCAACTTTTAATATATTGTTATTTTTAAGGAAATATAGTAATAAGAAAATGTGTCATTTCCATTATGATAAAAAAACTAGATACTCATAACACAGTATCTAAATGTCTCAAATCACTTAAATATTTTCACAGACCCTTATCTAGTCCATTGTGAGAGGCTCAGAACAAATTATGACTCACTGTTTTGCTCATTCTCATTTTTATAACCTTTCCTTCTTACCAAATACACTGTTCTTTGGACAGATTATGTTACAGTCCTTTTGCCTCAGGAGAATATTGTTATCACTTGCCTCTTCTTCCTGAGATTCCTATAAAGAAGAATTTGAAGTTTTTCTTCCCTTTTAATCTGGAAGAGAACTTGAGACTTTATAAACACAGTGGCTTTGAATATCTCAATTAGTGAAGCATATTTGGACTAGAAGGTCATATTTAAAGAGAAACATCCTTTCCTTTTCCCTGGAATACTGTATAAAAGAAAATTAATTAGCTGGGCATGGTGGTGTGTGCCTGTAGTCCCAGATACTTGGGAGGCTGAGGTGGGAGAATCACTTGAGCCCAGAAGTTTGAGGCTGCAATGAGCTATGATCATGCCACTACACTCCAGCCTGAATAGCAGAGTGAGACCCTGTCTCTTAAAAAAAAAGAAAATTATTCAGAAATAAACTTTCCTGCTTTCTTTTTCGCTCTGTCGCCCAGGCTGGAGTGCAAAGGCACGATCTCGGCTCACTGCAACCTCCGCCTCCCGGGTTCAAGCAATTCTCCCTCCTCAGCCTCCCAAGTAGCTGGGATTACAGGCACCCGCCATCATGCCTGGCTAATTTTTGTATTTTTGTAGAGATGGGGTTTCACCATATTGGCCAGGCTGGTCTCAAACTCCTGACCTCAGGTAATTCGCCTGCCTGGTTCCCCCAAAGTGTTGGGATTACAGGCGTGAGCCACCACACCCAGCCTAAACTTTACTGCTTTCCTTTTTTTTGTTTGTTTTTTTGTTTTTTGAGATGGAGTCTCACTCTGCCACCCAGGCTGGAGTGCAAAGACACGATCTCGGCTCACGCCTCCCGAGTTCAAGCAATTCTCCTGCCTCAGCTTCCCAAGTAGCTGGGATTACAGGTGCCCGCCACCATGCCTGGCTAATTTTTGTATTTTTAGTAGAGATAGGGTTTCACCATGTTGGCCAGGCTGCTCTTGAACTCCTGACCTCAGGCGATCCGCCTGCCTCAGCCTCCCAGACTGCTGGCATTATAGGCATGAGCCACCACACCCCGCCAACTTTCCTGCTTTCTTAAGTCAAGAAATATGAAATTTGATAACAAAGATAAGGAGCAGCCTGGCCCACGCAATGAAATTCCACCTCTATTAAAAATACAAAAATTAGCTGGGCATGGTGGCATGTGCCTGTAATCCCAGCTACTTGGGAGGCTGAGGCAGGAGAATTGCTTGAACCAGGAGGCGGAGGTTGCAGTGAGCTGAGATCGTGCCACTGCACTCCAGCCTGGGTGACAGAGTGAGACTCTATCTTGGAAAAAAAAAAAAAAAAAAACTTTTTCTCTCTTTCCCCTCAATGCATTAAAACCATTTTCCCCAAATACTTCATTTAAAAAATGATTCTGACTATAAACATAACACATATGTTGTGAAATTTTCAGAAAATCCCCAGTGTGTGTATATATATATATTTTTAAATTACCTATCATTTCTCTAGGAGATCCTATTTTATTGTGTGATTTATGTTTAATCACAGGTAATCTTAGAAGCTGAAACTTACAGCCTTGACCACAATTTAGAAAATGAAACTCTGAACTTTAATATCAGTTGACTTACATGGTGATTGTTTTAGCATATTTTCATTGGATTAAGGAAGTCCAGTATTTCTCTACCCGTTTTTATATTTCACTGCCCTTTTTACCAATAAAAAGTTCCCAACATTTTAACCTTACCCACTTGGGTGAAGTTTGAACTCATTATTTCCTATTCTTTCCCAAGCCTTTAAAATAGTCTTGCCGCAATGAAATAGTGGACAATTGTCTGCAGTCTGAGAGAACAGGCAGCCAGCATCTTTCACATGCCTCAAATGTGGCCCAGCCTTTTGTTCTTCTGATATGACTGTAACTCTCTGTTAGAAATTTCTGAATGTATCCAGAGTGTGAAGTTTAGGCTCTTGATAATTCCTTTAGAGGCAAATGAAACACTCTAAATGTTTGGTGAAAAAGGAAAAGCAAAAATAGTATCAGCCATTCCCCCTTAAGTTCCCACACCTGATCCCAAGATAGATGTTCACTTTTAGGTGTTCTTTCTTGGGACGGACGTGGCTAGCTAAGGACGTGAACTCAGGACCACTTTTTGATAAGAACTTAGCTTGTTGAGCCTTGCTTTAGGGCTATCGGTTTATTCTTTAGAGTGTTATGAAGGGTCAAATTTAGAGCACTGTCTAAACAGTCAATTTGTGGAAGGGCCCCAGTTCTCTTACAGTGAATTTTAGCTTCCTTTTTCTTACAAGGGGGTGAGGTAGAGAAGCTGTTACCTTTAATTAGCTCATTTGCCCCTAAAACTCAGCCCAAGTTGTGAAGTTGTAATTATTGCATCAATCACATTATATATATATATTTGGAGACAGGATCTTGCTCTGTTGCCCAGACTGGAGTCCACTGATACTACCATAGTTTACTGCAGTCAGGCCGAGCGAAGTGGCTCACGCCTGTAATCCCAGCAGTTTGGGAGGCCGAGGTGGGTGGATCACCTGAAGTCAGGAGTTCAAGACCAGCCTGACCAACATGGTGAAACCCCATCTCTACTAAAAAAAAAAAATACAAAATTAGCTGGCCGTGGTGGGACACACCTGTGATCCCAGCTACTCAGGAGGCTGAGGCAGGAGAATTGCTTGAACCCCGGAGACAGAGGTTGCAGTAAGCCAGCCGAGATCACACCATTGCACTCCAGCCTGGGCAACAACAGTGAAATTCCATCTCAAAAAAAAAAAAAAAGTTTACTGCAGCCTTAAACTCCTGGGCTCAAGCTGTCCTCCCACCTCAGCCTCAGCTAGGACTACAAGTGCATGCCACCACACAAGGCTTTTTTTTTTTTTTTTTTAACATTTTTTGTAAAGACACGGTCAGTCTCGCTATGCTGCCCAGGCTAGTCTCAAACTCCTAGCCTCAAGAGATCCCCCCAAAGTGCTGAGATTACAAGCATGAGCTACCACACTGGCCTCAACCATGTTATCTTAATTAGGGAGATAAGATTTGGCAGTATCTGAAATCAAAACACTTCTCATGCCAGGTTTTGATCCATTAGAGACCTTATATCAAAACATTTTCACTGACCTCTAAGCATGGGAGAAAAAAAAAACTTTAATTCATATCTTTTAAAGGTTATACTCAGGCCAGACAGGTAGCATACGCCTGTAATCCCAGTGCTTTGGGAGGCTGAGGCAGGCAAATCACTTGAGGTCAGGAGTTCTAGACCAGCCTGGCCAACATTGTGAAACCCCGTCTCTACTAAAAATACAAAAATTAGCTCTGTCACCAGGCTGGAGTGCAGTGGTGCGATAGTTCACTGCAGCCTTGGCCTCCCAAGTAGCTGGGATTACAGGCGTGCACCACCATGCCTGGCTATTTTTTGTATTTTTAGTAGAGATGGGGTTTCACCATGTTGGCCAGGCCGTTCTTGAACTCCTGACATCATGATCCACCTGCCTCTGCCTCCCAAAGCACTGGGATTACAGGCGTGAGCCACCACACCCAGCTCTTTTTTTTTTTTTTTTTTTTTTTTTTTTGAGATGGAGTCTTGCTCTGTCGCCCAGGCTGGAGTGCAGTGGCATGATCTTGGCTCACTGCAGCCTCTGCCTCCCGGGTTCAAGCAATGCTCCTGCCTCAGCCTCCCCAGGAGCTGGGATTACAGGTGTGCGCCACCACGCCCAGCCAATTTTTGTATTTTTAGTAGAGATGGGGTTTCACCACGTTGGCCAGGATGGTCTTGATCTCCTAACCTGGTCATCCACCTGCCTCAGCCTCCCAAAGTGCTGGGATGACAGGCGTGAGCTCTTTCTTTTTTTTAGTTGGAGTCTTGTTCTGTTGCCAGGCTAGAGTACAAAGGTGTGATCTCGGCTCACTGCAATCTCCGCCTCCCGGGTTCAAGCGATTCTCCTGCCTCAGCCTCCCAAGTAGCTGGGACTACAGGCACGTGCCACCACGCCCATCCAATTTTTGTATTTTTAGTAGAGACGTGGTTTCACCATGTTGGCCAGGATGGTCTCGATCTCTTGACCTCGTGATCCACCTGCCTCAACTTCCCAAAGTGCTGGGATTACAGGCATGAGCCACCACACCTGGCCTCTCTCTTTCTTTCTTTTTTCTTTCTCTCTTTCCTTTGTTTTCATTCTCGTTCTTTCTCTTTTTCTTTTTCTTCTTTTTGTCTTTCTCTTTCTTTCGTTCTTTATTTTTCTTTGCTTTCTTCTTGTCTTCCTTTCTTTCTTCTTCCTGTCCTTTCTTTTCTTTCTTTCAAGATGGGGTCTCACTATGTTGCCCAGGCTGGTGTCGAACTCCTGAGCTCAAGTGATCCTCTCACTTCGGCCTCCCAAAGTGCTAGGATTACAAGCATGAGCCACCATGCCCAGCCACATCATGTAAAGTTAATCAAAATAATACCTAATGAATTTCTAACTCTCACAAAGATGCTAAGCTTAGTTTTTTCCCCTGCCCTAACACTTCAGTGGGAATTTTATAGCCTATTATGAGGATTCACCATTCCTTGAATTGTCTTACTTTAATTTCTCAAAGTAAGACTTGATGTATACTTTTGTGTTATGAAGAACAATCTTGGATTGATTCTTCCCAAAATGATTGTGCAGACATGACCATATATATGAACTGTTGTAAGAATATAGTTGATATAAGGTAGACTCATTCCATTTAACTATGCTCATTACATATATTTATATAATGGTGTTTTGATTTCTGTTTATTAGACATGATAAAGGTATATGCTTTTCCTGACAAAAACATAATGATTATATTTTTCTCTCTCCTTCTTCTCTCTTATTGCCATGTTTTTTTTGGTCTGAAGCTATTCCAATAGAAACTGCTAAGCAAAATCCTAATGTTGCTTTGGTCCTTACTTCTTATGGAGGCCATATTGGTTTTCTGGAGGGAATCTGGCCAAGACAGTCCACTTACATGGATCGTGTCTTCAAGCAATTTGTGCAAGCCATGGTTGAGCATGGACATGAACTCTCTTAACATGTAGTTCTTTGGGTGCATTTTGTCTGAACCACAATTGTGAAGGCAGCTCAGCTTAGTGCACAAATTTTAACTGTTGTATATAAAGCAAATAAGCCAGCAGATGGGTGAAGAGGTCCAGAATGATATGCAAAAACTACTTTTTAGAGAAACAAAACAACTTTGTAGCAACAAATTAAATATAGTATTAGATTGTTACTTACGTAGATTTTATTTTTACTATGCCTTACCAAGTACATCCTTAAACAAAGTAGTATGTACATGAAATTGCACTTAACCAAAACTATTGTGTAAAACAAATTTTAATTCCTCAGGGTTTTAATTTAAACTAGTATTTTTTTAGATTATTTGTTTTAGGTGATTTAATGGTACTTTAATAACTACTAAGAAATATTGGCTATTTCAATGTAAGTTATAAGGTGGTACATTCCTAAGGGTATTTATAGTTGATGATAACATGAAAACTGAAATAAGATAAAATACAACGTGCTAAATCTTTTATGTATTCTAACTTTAAAAGACAAGTGCAACAAAGTTAGACTGACTTCTATATGTGCTCTTTTACTCTGATAATATTAAATTAGGACTAACTTATGTTTTATAATGATTATAATTTACATGCTTATTTTTAAAATAGTATATGTGGACACATATATATCATTATATTAAAATAAATTCTACCATTTTAAATTGGTCCTTTGTGAGTTTTTATCTGCTAAAAGGGCCCAGAAAGTAATCCCTAGAAAGTAATTTATGATAATTTTATTAATGCATTAGTAAGAAACATTAATACTGTTTTGCTTTACTGTTTCCAGAATATTGAGCTCACACCACTTGTACCAATTAAGAATACTTTCAGCTGCAGGAAACCTAACAGTGCCTTAAGGAAAAATTATATCTCATTAACTTGTATTATAAGAATTCTGGTGGGCAGGCCAGAGCTGGTGCAGAGGCTTACCAATGTCATCAAAGACCCAGGCTGTTTCTATTCCATCCTTATCACGGTGGCTAGTTATCTCCTAAACACAGGATGGCTGCTGCAGTTCCAGATGACACATTTGTGTTCAAAGAATGAAAAGGGAAGAGTGGAGCCAGACACATCTCCCCTTTTAGGAAAGTGAAAGCTTTCCCAGAAGACTTGCACTTACATCCATTAGCTAGACCCCTGTCACATGGCCATCCAGGTGGAGTGAGAGACTGGGAAAGCAAGTAATTTGTCAGTTACATACTTTATCAATCATAGTGAAGGCAGGCAAGGGAAAGGGGATTGGCAATGGTTATTGGGCTAGCCAGCTAATAATAATAATTTTCACATTATTCAACATCTTTTCCCTCCTCGTTACTTCAGCCTGTTTATAAAATACATATTTTTTTCCTCAGGTAACACGTTGAGAGAACCATGTACAAAAAATATATATTAACATAAAATTATTTACTAAAAATGCCACCATTTGGAGAACTCCTGAAGATGTACTTGTAGACTCCCTCAATACTGTATCTAAGATGATAGCAATAATAATACCAGTGCTTTTTTGTCTGTACAAAATATATTCTGATTCAATCATAATAATTACATTAGGTCTGTATGGATGAGGGGGCTGATCCTGCCATGGATGCTGGCTGGCCTGAATCTTTTTTTTTTTTTTTTTTTTTGAGACGGAGTCTCGCTGTCGCCCAGGTTGGAGTGCAGTGGTGCGATCTCGGCTCACTGCAGGCTCCGCCCCCCGGGGTTCACGCCATTCTCCTGCCTCAGCCTCCCGAGTAGCTGGGACTACAGGCGCCCGCCTCCTCGCCTGGCTAATTTTTTGTATTTTTAGTAGAGACGGGGTTTCACCGTGTTAGCCAGGATGGTCTCAATCTCCTGACCTCGTGATCCGCCCGCCTCGGCCTCCCAAAGTGCTGAGATTACAGGGGTGAGCCACCGCGCCCGGCCCTGAATCATATTTTTTAACTTCTTTTCTTTTTATGAGATGGAGTCTCACTCTTGTCACCCAGGCTGGAGTGCAATGGCGCGATCTCGGCTCGCTGCAACTTTCGCTTCCTGGGTTCCGGCAGTTCTCCTGCCTCAGCCTCTGGAGTAGCTGGGATTGCAGGCGCCCACCACCACACCTGGCTAATTTTTGTATTTTTAATAGAGACAGGGTTTCACCATGTTGGCCAGGCTGGTCTTGAACTCCTGACTTCGTGATCCGCCCGCCTCGGCCTCCCAAAGTGCTGGGATTACAGGTGTGAGCCACTACACCCGACCTTAACTTCCTTATTGAGATGTAATTCACATATAATAAAATTCACCCATTTAAAGTACACAATTTGGAGCTAGAGCAGTGAGCATGCACCTGTGGTCCCTGCTACTCGCTACTCGGGAGACTGAGAAAGGAAGATCACTTGAGCCCAGGAGTTCGAGGCTGCAGTGAGCTATGATCACACCTTTAAACATCTGCCGCACTCCAGCCTGAGCAACACAGCAAGGCCCCATCTCTAAAAAAAATTAAAGGGCATAATTCAGTGGCGTTTGTTCACAGAGTTATGCAGCCATCACCATAATCTAACTTTAGAACATTTCATCACCCTGAAAAAAAGACCCTCTACCCCTTTTAGAAGAAGTCACTAATCCCTCAGCCCTAGACGACTGCTAATCTCTGTGTCTATAGATTTGCCTGTTCTGGGCTGTTTTACGTATATGGAGTAAAACAATGTATGCTATTTTGTGACTGGCTTCTTTCACTTAGCATAATGTTTTAAAAGTTCATCCATATGTGGCATGTACCAGTTCTTGATGTTCCTTTTTTTTTTTTTTTTTTTGAAACGGAGTCTCGCTCTGTCACCCAGGCTGGAGTGCAGTGGCACAATCTCGGCTCACTGCAACCTCCGCCTCCTTAGTTCAAGCCATTCTCCTGCCTCAGCCTCCCGAGTAGCTGGGACTACAGGCACACGCCCCCACGCCCGGCAAATTTTTGTATATTTAGTAGAGACGGGGTTTCACCATGGTGGCCAGGATGGTCTCGATCTCTTGACTTTGTGATCTGCCCGCCTTAACCTCCCAAAGTGCTGGGATTACAGGTGTGAGCCACGGCGCCCAGCCTGATGTTCCTTTTATGGATGCATAGTATTCTACTGTGCAGATAGAGATCAAATTTTGTTCATCAGTTGATGGACATTTAGGTTATTTCTTTTTGCTATTATGAATAATGCTGCAATGAACATTTGTGTAGTTTTTGTGTGGGCATATTTTTCATTTCTCTTGGGTATATACCTGGTCATATGGTAATTCTACACTTTTTGAGGAACTACCAGGCTTTCCCAAAGCAGCTGTACCATTTTACATTCCAACCAGCAATGTACATGGGTTCTAATTTCTCCACATCCTCACCAACACTAATTGTATGTTTTATTTATTATAAACATCCTAGTGAATCTGAATTATAAGTTTTAACCATGATATTCTACCAAGACCAAAATATGAACTAGCACTGTAATGTTTAAAGATTTAAAGATAACCACTAGTGTAAAACAAAAATAAAACACAACTCTACATGCATGTAATTATGTACTTGTTATTTATAATGAGATGAATATTTTCAAGTACTGATTCTTGTATATCGAGGATTATTCTCCCCAGCTGTTTCTTCACACACTAGCAAGCTCTGAGAAAGAAAGGCTGTGTTTTAATTATTTCTTACATCCCAAGCAACTAGCATATTGCCTAAAACACAGTAGGTCCTTAGTCAAAATTAGCTGAGTGATAGTGGTATAAACATGAAAATACAACTTTGTGAGCTGGCGCTTATTTTGAAAAGTTCATTTTAAGCATATCATGGAATTTTTTTCTAGTTTCCCTCTCATGTTTCTGTTTATTGTCATTATCGAAAATTTATCCCAAGTCTTCTCTATATAGAGCATTGTATTCAGCACTAGGGATGAAAATAGATACAGTTTTCTCTTTTCTTTTTTTTCGCCAGGGGTGGGGTGGGGTGGGGGGTGGGTGGGGGAGAAGCCTCAAACATTTTTTACACTTTGAACCCAATAAATAAACACACTCCCCCGCCCCCCGACCGAGACAGGGTCTTGCTCTGTCGCCCAGGCTGGAGTGCAATGGCGAGATCTCGGCTCACTGCAACCTCCGTCTCCTGAGTTCAAGTGATTTTCCTGCCTCAGCCTCCTGAGTAGCTGGGATTACAGTCATGCGCCTCCACACTCGGCTAATTTTTTGTATTTTTAGTAGAGATGGGGGTTTCACCATGTTGGCCAGGCTGGTCTCGAACTCCTGACCTTATGATCCGCCCACCTTGGCCTCTCAAAGTGCTGGGATTACAGGCGTGAGCCACCACTCCCGGCCAATAAACACACATTTTATAGAACAATACTCGTATTACGTGCAATACATTCTCATATTTTCTAGCCCATCCTAGTCTAGTCTGGTCTATTTTTTTTACTTGAACATCACTGTTTTTTCTTTTTAAGACACTGTCTCACTCTGTTGCACATGCTGGAGTGCAGTGGTGCAATCTCAGCTCACTGCAACCTCCACCTCCCGGGTTCCAGCGATTCTCCTGCCTCAGCCTCCTGAGTAGCTGGGATTACAGGCATCCGCCAACAGGCCAGGCTAATTTTTGTATTTTTAGTAGAGACAGGGTTTCACCATGTTGCACAGCTGGTCTCAAACTCCTGACCTCAGGTGGTCTGCCCACCTCAGCCTCCCAGAGTGCTGGGATTACAGGCATGAGCCATCGCAACCGGCCCATTTTTATTTTTAAAATGAAAGTGAGGCCGGGCGTGGTGGCTCACGCCTGTAATCCCAGCACTCTGGGAGGCCAAGGCTGGGGGATCACCTAAGGTCAGGAGTTCGAGACCAGACTAGCCAACATGGGGAAACCTGTCTCTACTAAAAATACAAAAACTAGCTGGGCATGGTGGCACACACCTCTAATTCCAGCTACTTGGGAGGCTGAGGCACGAGAATCGCTTGAACCCTGGAGGGAGGTGGAGGCTGCAGTGAGCAGAGATCGCACCACTGCATTCCAGCCTGGGTAAGGGAGTGAGACTCTGTAAATAAATAAATAAATAAAAATTACTGTAAAAATGTATTTTTTGAGACATACCAATGGGTTGCAACCTGCAGTTTGAAAAACACTGGGATTCTAGAAGTTACTAGAAGTTAAGGAAATCACTATTCTCTAGCAGTTATCACACTTACTGATAGCTTCTTTATTTACCTGCTTTCTCCAGCAGACTATAAGCACAGTGAGGATAGGAAACATGTCTTTTTTGCTCTCCTTTTTTTCCCCGGGGCCAGTATAGTGTCTGGCTCATTCAAAATTCTTAATAATTATTTGTTAATAATAATAATACTTGAATGTTAGGCCACGACACTGATGGAAAGGTAAGACTTGCAAATCAGGAGTGGGGAGAGGAGGGATTTTTGCAACCTGTCTCTGAAGCAGAGCATCTGTTAAAGCATTCTGTTTCCCCTGCAGACTTCAGAATCAACATGGTAATTTTTAAAATCTCACAGTTACTCCGAACCTAATATAGCACTGGTTGGTCACAAGGTAAGCACTCAACATTTTAGAACTTAATTTGGAGTTGATGAGGACAATTTGCAAGGTCAGGTGATAAAGAATACCTAAGAAATGTGCTATTTTAACTCGAGGCCTCACTTAAAAGACAGTATTTTGACTCTCACCTTTTTTTTTTTTTTTTTTGAGACGGAGTCTCGCTGTGTCGCCCAGGCTGGAGTGCAGTGGCACAGTCTCAGCTCACTACACCCTCCACCTCCCAGGTTCAAGCTATTCTCGTGCCTCAGTCTCCTAAGTAGCTAGAACTACAGACACGCACCTCCATACCTGGCCAATTTTTGTATTTTTAGTAGAGATGGGGTTTCACAATGTTGGCCAGGCTGTTCTCAAACCTGGCCTCCAGTGACCCTCCTGCCTTGGCCTCCCAAAGTGTTGGGATTACAGGCGAGAGCCACCGTGCCTGACCCTGAACATCTTTTAAATAAAAATATTTACTTGGATCAAATAAGAAAGACTTCTTGTTACTGTTAAGACTGTGACTCAGTATTAATTTATAACTCGACAATTTGTCTATTTGTGCCTTCTATAAATAGTTATCTTCCCCCTAGAGTTAGATACTGGTACCCAAATCTTGCAAACAGTACAATAATCATATCTATTCTATATATACTTCAGGTTTGTTGATCATATTACCAAGAACTAAATACCAGCTGGATATTGGTAGACAAGCTAGCAATACATTAACAGATCTGAATGATCCCAAAAGAGCATTATTCAGCAGGACGTGGTGACTCACGCCTGTAATCCCAGCACTTTGGGAGGCTGAGGCGGGTGGGTCGCCTGAGGTCAGGAGTTCGAGACCAGCCTGGCCAACATAGTGAAACCCCGTCTCTACTAAAAATAGAAAAATTAGCCGGGCATGGTGGTGCATGCCTGTAATCCTAGTTACTCAGGAGGCTAAGGCAGGAGAATCACTTGAACCTGGGGAGCAGAGGTTGCAGTGAGCTGAGATCATGCCACTGCACTCCATCCTGGGCATAAGAGTGATACTCCATCTTTGGGGGCAGTGGGGGTGGGGGGAAGAGCATTATTCTCTGCTTGAAACTGTTAACCCACTAATTAGTATCTGTAAATTTTAAATATACTGTTTATCTATTTTACTTTACCTATGGGCAGATGCAAGGATTTCAGGCCTCTATTTTTCCAAGCTCTGTACTTAACTCCTGGTCCCTGAATATAGTTTATTTTTCCTAATGCTATACAGAAGTGTTCCAATATGACATTTGAAACTTCCAGGTTTTCTTAGAGTTGAAGTAATGCTTGGAGAAACATGATGTAGAATAAACTAGTATATATATTTTCATGACACATATTTAGAAATAGATTTTTACACACAAAAAATGCCTAATATTCTATATATATACCTAGAGCTCTTTATAATCATTAATCATTGATCCTAGTATTTGTAAGTTCTTTTCTTGGGTAAGAAATTTGGACTTGAATTCAGAGCACTTGAATTTGGTTCTTAGCTCTGCTGCTGATCTGCCATTTGACCTGAAGCAAATCATTTACCCTTGCTAGACCTCAGTTTCTTCATCTATAAAATGCAGATAGTAATATCAGTTTTAGAGTTTGTATGAGGATTAGAAAGATAACATAAAAATGCTTGAACTATTGAGTACTATTAAAATATAAGAAGTTGATGGCCGGGTGCAGTGCCTCACATCTGTAATCCCAGCACTTTGGGAGGCCGAGGCGGGTGGATCACAAGGTCAGGAGTTCGAGACCAGCCTGGCCAACATGGTGAAACCCCATCTCTACTAAAAATACAAAAAGTAGCCAGGCGTGGTGGTGTGTGCCTGTCAAAGAAAAGAAGTGAAAACATTAAGAAATACCAGAAAATGAGAGGCAGAGAAAAGGTATGGGAATAGTTAATCTAAAATAGTTATATTTATACTCTCATTTTCTTTTTTAGTTCTTTTTGTTGTTGTTGTTATTGTTGTTGTTTAAGCTTCTGGAAAGATAAATGGTATCTGCTATGGTTTGAATGTGCCCTTCAAAGCACATGTTGAAATTTAATCCTCCACGTGGCAATTTTGAGAGGTAGGGCCTTTAAGAGGTGATTGGCTCATGAGGGCTTAGCGCTTATGTATGGATTAATCTATTCATGGATTAATGGATTAATGGGTTATCATGGGAGGGTACTGGGTAGCTTTATCCGAAAAGAGAGACCAGAGCTAGCATGCTCGGCCTCCTGGCCATCTGATACCCCGCACTGCCTCGGGACTCTTCAGAGTCCCCGCCATAAGACAGCTCTCACCAAATGTAGCTCTTGACTTTTGACTTCTCAGCTTCCATAACTGTAAGAAATAAATTTCTTTTCTTATAAATGACCCAATCTCAGATATTTGTTATTAGGAGCAGAAAACAGACTAAGGCAGTATTAATCTAATTAAGTAATAAACAAAAGTTACTCTGCATAAAAAGATAAGAAAATTGAGTAAATGGTTCAAATAACTGACACATTCAACAAAAGCAGGAGCGCTAAATTTGACCCCATTTTCTCTTTTCCCTAACTTCTCACACCAGGATTTTTCTCCGACAGAAGGTAAGTAACAGGTGACACCTTCTCTATGCACACCTTGTCTCCAGCTTTAGCAAAAAAAACAAAAACCTCATACTTTGAGAGGGAGAGGCCCACTGTCTTAGTCCCTTCAGGCTACTATAGCAGAATACCATAAACGGAGTGGCTTTACACAGCAGACATAAAGGTCTCACAGTTCTAAGAACTCCCTCCATCCAGCCTCTTTTATAAGGACATTAATGTCACTCTGGTTCTGCCCTCATGATCTAATCACCTCCCAAAGGCTCTCTTTTTCTTTGAATTGCATTTTCCAATTAAAAAAAAATTGTTGTTTTGTTTTTGTTTTTGTTTTTTTTTTGAGACAGAGTCTTGCTCTGTCGCCCAGGCTGGAGTGCCATGGCGTGATCTCGGCTCACTGCAACCTCCGCCTCCTGGGTTCAAGCAATTCTGCCTCAGCCTCCTGAGTAGCTGGGATTACAGGCTCGCAACACCACACCCGGCTAAAAATTGTTTATTTTTTAGAGATGGGGTCTTGCTATGTTGCCTGTGCTGAAGTTCAGTAGCTATTCACAGATACAATCATCAAGCACTAAAGTTTTGCACTCCTGGACTCAAGCAATTTTCCTGCCTTGGCCTCCTAAGTAGCTAGGACGCCAATTTTTTTTTACTGATATACAATACCTGTATCATACAATTAACTCATTTAAAATGTAGAATCCAGTGGTTTTTAGTTTCGTCACAGAGTTATGCAATCATCTCCACAATTTTAGAACATTTTTATTATCCTCCAAAAAGCTCAATAACCATTAGTAGTCATTCCCCATTTCTCTCCCCTCGCCTCTTAATACCATCACTTTGTTGCTGTTTTTTACTTTTATTACTTTTTTATTCCTTTTTTTCTTTTTTGTATTTTCTGTAGAGACGGGGGTCTCACTATGTTGCCCAAGCTGGTCTCAAATTCCTGAGATCAATCCATCCTCCCACCTCGGCCTCCCAAAGTGTGGAGATTACAGGCATGAGCCACCACGCCTAGCCATACCATCACTTTGGGGGTGATAATTTCAACATATAAATTTTGGGGAAACACAAACATTCTGATCATAGCACCCACCATGAATTCAGTCTGTATGTTATTAAATGAAAGTAAAAATACTCAAAGTGTTAAAAACAAAAGTAGTATACTACTCTTCAAAAACAGGCAAATATGGGCCAAGTGCAGTGATTCATGCCTGTCATCCTAGCTATCTGTGAAGCTGGGGCAGGGGGATTCTTGAGCTCAGGAGTTTAAGACTGCAGTGAGCTATTTTTGTTTGTTTGTTCATTTGTTTGTTTTGGAGACAGGGTCTTGTCCTGTTACCCAGGCTGGAGTGCAGTAGCGCCATCTCAGCTCACTGCTGCAGCCTCTACCTCCCAGGCTCAATTGATCCTCCCACCTCAGCCTCCTGAATACCTGGGACTACCGGCACAGGCCACCATGCCTGGCTAATTTTAGGGTTTTTTTTTTTTTAGAGATGGGGATCTCACCATGTTGCCCAGGATGGTCTCAAACTCCTGAGCTCAAGCCATCTTCCCACCTTAGCCTCCCAAAGTTCTGGGATTAGACTCGTGAGCCACCATACCCAGCTCCTACAGTGAGCTCTGATCATGCCACTGCACTCCAGTCTGGGCGACAGGGAGACACTGTCTCTAAAATCAAACAAAACCCCAACTGATAATAATAATTCATAATAATAACTAACATCTACTGATCTTAAACTTTATGCCAAATACTATTCAAAGTACTTTACATGTATTTATTATTTTAATCCACCCAATGCACCTTTCAGGTTTGATGGATGAGGAAAACGAGGCACAGAAAATTTAGATAGCCTGTCCAAGGTCACTCAAATAATTGAAGGGCAGAGCCAGTACTCAAATTCAGAGTCTGGCTCCAGGAATCCCCTCTTTCATCAATATGTTACACTGTATAAGAAAATTTAGCCTGGTGCGGTGGTTCACGCCTGTAATCCCAGCACTTTGGGAGGCCGAGGCGGGCGGATCACTTGAGGTCAGGAGTTCCAGACCAGCCTGACCAACATGGAGAAACCCCGTCTCTACTAAAAATATAAAATCAGCCAGGCATGGTGGCGCATGCCTGTAATCCCAGCTACTCAGGAGGCTGAGGCAGGAGAATCTCTTGAACCCGGGAGGAGGAGGTTGTGGTGAGCCGAGACCGCACGATTGCACTCCAGCCTGGGCAACAAGAGTGAAACTCCGACTCAAAAAAGAAAAGAAAAGAAAATGTAAATAACACAAGAATGAAATACAGTATGGTAACGGAGGGCGTCAAATAATCGACAAAAGGAAAAACCAAAAAAAATTAAAAATGATAAACAGTATGAATGCCAGGTATGAAGTATTCTTGACAAAAACATTTTCTTCTCTTTTTTTCTCCCAGCGCCTTCAGATGGAGACAAAAAAACTAAACTTGAAGAGTTATCAGTCCAACTAGATCAAACCTCCAGTTTAGGAGACATTCAGGGGACAGAGGAGCATGTTAAAAGATAAGCTGGGGGCCGGGCGCGGTGGCTCAGGCCTGTAATCCCAGCACTTTGGGAGACCGAGGAGGGTGGATCACGAGGTCAGGAGATCGAGACCATCCTGGCTAACACAGTGAAACCCCATCTCTACTAAAAATATAAAAAATTAGCCGGGCGTGGTGGCGGGTACCTGTAGTCCCAGCTATTCAGGAGGCTGAGTCAGGAGAATGGCGTGAACCTGGGAGGTGGAGCTTGTAGTGAGCCAAGATCGCGCCACTGCACTCTCCAGCCTGGGTGACAGAGCGAGACTCTGTCTAAAAAAAAAAAAAAAAAAAAAAAAAAAAAAAAGATAAGCTGGGGATGCAATCTTGCAATCTGCAAAATACAGAATTTGGAAAACTTTATTAATTGTAAGGGAAGACCTAAAATGGAGTAAGAAAACAAACAGGGCCAGGCTTGGTGACTCACACCTGTAATCCCAGCACTTTGGGAAGCTGAGGTGAGCGGATTGAGCCCAGGAGTTTGAGACCAGCTTGGGCAACATAGAGACATCATCTTTACAGAAAAAAAAAAAAATCAGGTGGGTGTGGTGGCATGCACCTGTAATTCTAGCTACTCAGGAGGCTGAGATGGAGGATTGCTTAAGCCCAGGAGTTTGAGGCTACAATGAGCTATGATCATGCCACTGCATTCCAGCCTATGTGACAGAATAAGACTCCATCTCTAAAAAAATAATTAAATTTTAAAAAAGCACAGAAGGATAGATAAAATGTATGCATGTATGTCACAAATATGCATCAGCAATAAGCAGTCAAATTCATTTTGGATCCTATCTGTATATATATTGTAAAGTTTTGGGGTTTCAAAAGTACCAATTAACTACACTCTCCATCTCCAGATTTTGAATTAAATTGAGAAAACAGATGGGGGCTATCTGCTTTATTAATGGTAAAGCTAGATTTAAAACATAGATTGGATTGGAAGATAAAGTGAAATGCCCTCCTTCCCCCAAGGCACAACTCAGGATGAGTTTATAGGGAGAGCTGAATGCACACAGCACATTTACCCCAAGTGTGGGTCACGCACAGAAAAGAAAGCTATATAGTGTGGAGCTCCTCCAGGCCTGCCTTTTGGTGGATGCCCCCAGGGAATGCCAGCAGAACACAGACTCCCTTGCTGAGGGAGGGAAACAAAATGGTCAACCCTCTTCTACCCTCAATATTTTATGAGCTGTATTCTATTTTATAGGCTCAGGCAGGAATATAGAAAGAGGAAGAAATGTGTTGCCCTTATACAAAAGATAATTTAGCCAGACACGATGGCTCATGCCTGTAATCTCAGCACTTTGGGAGACCGAGAAGGGTGGATCACCTGAGGCTAGGAGTTTGAGAACAGCCTGCCCAAAGTGGTGAAACCCTGTCTCTACTAAAAATGCAAAAAATTAGCCGGGCATGGTGGCAGGCGCCTGTAATCCCAGCTACTCGGGAGGCTGAGGCAGGAGAATCACTTGAACCTAGGAGGTGAACGTTGCAGTGGGCTGAGATCGCACCACTGCACTCCAGCCTGGGCAACAAGACCGAAACTCCATCTCAAAAAAAAAATAAATAAATAAAGGTAATTTATAGGTTAAAATTTTCATAAATATTCCCTGAGAGGTGTCATTTTATGAGAACATTTAATAAAGGCTAGAACCTGTTAAGTGTGATTAGGAAACTCAAGCACATTATTTCTTACTGAAATATAATCCACAAAAAATAAATCCATAATAAATTCAAAATTATAACTCCAAAGAGACCTTGGCCTAATAAACATGCTTCTCACTGAACTACAATATGTTCTTAATAGAACATTTGCTTCTTCTAAGTTGGATGCCAACAAAACATCCACATAAACAGACATTGTCAATGTGTAAATATAGAAGAAAAATATTACACAAAGTGTAAATATAGAAGATACATGCAGAAAGGCAAGGTTGCAGTTTAGTGGGTGGGAAAAACTAGGTTAAAGGTGAAAGTGACCGGGCACAGTGGCTCACGCCTGTAATCCTAGCACTTTGGGAGGCTGAGGCAGGCAAATCATGAGGTCAGGAGTTCGAGACCACCCTGGCCAACATAGTGAAACCCCATCTCTACTAAAAGTTCAAAAAATTAGTTGGGCATGATGGTGGGTGCCTGTAATCCTAGCTACTCAGGAGGCTGAGGCAGGAGAATTGCTTGAACCTGGAACGCAGAGGTTGCAGTGAGCCAAGATTGCACCACTGCACTCCAGCCCAGGTAACAGTGTGAGATTCTGTCTCAAAAAAAAAAAAAAGTGAAAGTGACTAATGGTGAGTAGATATGCAAATGAGGTGATGATCAGGAGAGAAGATGTGAAGAATTGGGCTCTGTGATGGTTAGTTTTATTGTGTAAACTTGACTAGGCCACAGGGTGTCCAAATATTTGGTTAAACATTATTTCTGGGCGTGTCTGTGAGAGTGTTTCTGGATGAGATGAGCATTTGAATCAACAGATTGAGTAAAGAAGATTGCCCTTCCAAATGTGGGTGAGCCTCATCCAACCCATTGAGAGCTTGAACAAAACAAAAAGGAATTTGTTCTCTCCACCTGTCTGAGCTGAGACATTGGTTTTCTGCCCTTACACTGGAATTCACACCATCAGTGCTCATGGTTATCAGGCACTGGGACTCACCCTGAACTATGCTACTGACTTGTCTTAGTCTCAGCCTCCATAATCATAGCCAATTCCTTACAATAAATTTCTTTCTGTATCTCTCCAATCGGTTCTGTTTCTCTGGGGAATCCTAATACAGTCCCCCCAAATAGTTGATTGGTTTTCTTTAATCTATTAATGTCCTGGCCCGGTGCATTGGCTCACACCTGTAATCCCAGCACTTTGGGTGGTAGAGACAGGCGCATCACCTGAGGTCAGAAGTTCGAGACAAGCCTGGGCAAGATGGCAAAACCCTGTCTCTACTAAAAATACAGAAATTAGCCTGGCATGGTGGTACACACCTGTAATCCCAGCTACTCTGGAGGCTGAGGCATAAGAATCACTTCAACCCAGGAGGCGGAGGTTGCAGTGAGCAAAGATCATCACACCACTGCACTCCAGCCTGGGCAACAGAATGAGACTGTCTCAAAAAAAAAAAAGAAAGAAAAACAAAATTTCAACATGAGATTTGGAGGGGACAAACACCCAAACTATAGCAACCTGTATATTTAGATGCATGCTAGCCAAATCCCTCAGATGATGTAATCTTTCTAGCAAGCACAAAAAATAATTATCAAATGCTCTAATCGTGCACAGTTAAGGGGAAGTACTCAATAAAAACAAATGCTAGGCCTCTGACTCAAATCTTTTTTTTTTTTTTTTTTTTTGAGACAGAGTCTCGCTCTGTCGCCCAGGCTGGAGTGCAGTGGCGTGATTTCGGCTCACTGCAAGCTCTGCCTCCCAGGTTCACTCCATTCTCCTGCCTCAGCCTCCCAAGTAGCTGGGACTACAGGCACCTGCCACCATGCCCAGCTAATGTTTTTGTATTTTTAGTAGAGATGGGGATTCACCGTGTTAGCCAGGATGGTCTCGATCTCCTGACCTCGTGATCCACCCGCCTCAGCCTCCCAAAGTGCTGGGATTACAGCCACTGTGCCCATTTTTCTTTTTGTTTTTTAATTGAGACAGAGTTTCACTCTTGTTGCCCAGGCTGTAGTGCAGTGGAATGATCTCAGCTCACTGCAACCTCCGCCTCCCGAGTTCAAGCAATTCTCCTCCCTCAGCCTCCTGAGTACCTGGAATTACAGGTGTGTTCCACCACGCTCAGCTAATTTTTGTATTTTTAGTCGAGACGAGGTTTCAACATGTTGGCCAGATTAATCTCGAATTTCTGACCTCAGGTGATCTGCCCGCCTCGGCCTCTCAAAAGTGCTGGGATTACAAGTGTGAGCCACCACGCCCAGCCCTCTGACTCAAATCTTAAAACTTCAGAATAGAAGTCGGATTCAGATTGTGCAGAAATATACATCAGCCTGTGACAAGGAGCAGACATGGAAGTGACTCTTAATTGGAAACATCCTGCTGGAACCTGAATCTTTCTTTTTTTTTTTTTTTTTGAAACGGAGTCTTGCTCTGTCGCCCAGGCTGCAGTAGTACGATCTCGGCTCACTGCAAGCTCTGCCTCCCAGGTTCACGCCATTCTCCTGCCTCAGCCTCCCGAGTAGCTGGGACTACAGGCTCCCGCCACCACGCCCGGATAATTTTTTTATTTTTAGTAGAGATGGGGTTTCACTGTGTTAGCCAGGATGGTCTCGATCTCCTGACCTCGTGATCCGCCTGCCTCAGCCTCCCAAAGTGCTGGGATTAAAATCTCATCCCTGATTTAGAAGGCTCTTACTGGGGAAAAAAAAGTAGCCATTGAATGGCTACTCAACCAACCATGGATTAAGACAAATGAAACCGAAGCTCTAGTCTTGGAAGTTTTCATCAGTTGCCTTTCCATATTTTATTTTAGCTTCTAGAATTCCATGGCTGATTTTCATCCCCAGATGCATCAGACTTACCCGAGAGGTTCCCCAGAGTGGAAGGCTCCGGGTCAGGTCTGTCCTCAAATGGCCAGCTCTGTCACTGTGAAGCCTGCTTAATAGTAAACACAGGACAATCGTGGCCTTAGCTGCCTTGCAGTTTCCCTCCTCCAGGACCTAGTGCTCCCCTGCAGCCAGCAGACAAGAGCCAATTATTATGAGATATGCAGTGATTTGGAACGAGAATTGATAGAGAGGTTTTGTTTCCAGAGCATGTAGCTTATTGGAACCCTATTTCAGTCAAGAGATATTGGATGGTTTCTTACCTCCTCTCCTAAAGACAGGCTGACCCAGTGTGGTGTGTTCCTCACTGTAATTCTAGGGTACACTCGGGTAAAAATATAATTGTTGCTTAATTTTCCTGAGCATCACTATAGAAAGATGGAAATAGTCATGATTATAGTGGTTTTAATATGATTGTCATGTTTTATTTTCGAGTCCATCAACTTTTATCTTTAATTACCCAAAGGTCAGTCTGTACTGACCTTTGTATGAAGCCATAATGGAGCCAGGCGTGGTGGCTCACACCTATAATCCCAGTACTTTGGGAGGCCAAGGTGGGCGAGGTCAGGTGTTCCAGACCAGCCTGGCCAAGATGGTGAAACCTCGTCTCTACTAAAAGTACAAAAATTGGCCGGGCGCAGTGGCTCACACCTGTAATCCCAGCACTTTGGAAGGCCAAGGTGGGCGGATCACGAGGTCAGGAGATCGAGACCATCCTGGCTAACATGGTGAAACCCCATCTTTACTAAAAATACAAAAAACTAGCCGGGTATGGTGACAGGTGCCTGTAGTCCCAGCTACTCGGGAGGCTGAGGCAGGAGAATGGCGTGAACCCGGGATGCAGAGCTTGCAGTGAGCCAAGATCGCACCACTGCACTCCAGCCTGGGCAACAGAGTGAGACTCCGTCTCGGAAAAAAAAAAAAAAAGTACAAAATTAGCAGGGCATGTGACACACACTTGTAGTCCCAGCTACTAGGGAGGCTGAAATGGGAGAACTGCTTGAACCCGGGAGGCAGAGATTGCAGTGAGCTGAGATCATGCCATTGCACTCCAGCCTAGGCAACAGAGTGAGACTCCGTCTAAAAAAAAAAAGAAAAAAAGAAAAAAAAAAAAAGAGAGAGGAAGAGGAAGGAAGGGAGGGAGGGAGGGAGACACATAATGGAGAATACAAAAGGAAGAAAAGAAGAAAAGATTTCTACCCTAAAAATATTAAAATCGGCTGGAGACAAACTGAACAAGACAGCAAGACTTAAGGATATATGCTGAATAGCATTTGAGTAGTACAGAACAGCTTAGCACAGAGAAAACCCACACAAAGGGAAGCCATCAGTGACTGTGACAGGGAGTGAAGGAGGGCAACTGGGGAATACATCCTAGGAGGTAGGAAAAGCACAGAGCCCGTGCATCCTCCAGACACCAGTGGCTTATTGTGGCCCTTGGGCAAATAAGTTCCACCTCTGTCAGCTTCAGTTTGCTCAACTTGAAAACAGAAGGCAAGGACTAGATGGTCTGTAATGTCTTTCAGCTATAATGATACAGGATTCTTAAGGACAAACACAGAGAACTTGGGAAGGTGAGGATGTTACAGGAAGAGGAAAGACAAGCACAAAGCCACAGAAGTAGGAAAACACTAGTTGTGCATAGGCAGCGTGTGTTGTGGGATGGCAAAGACCCTAAACAAGCCTGTTTAACTGTTCTTTTTTTTTTTGAGACATTTAAAATGGCCCCCAGGTTTAGTGCTGTCGTGTTCCTAAATTCAAGAAGGCTATGATGTGCCTTTTTGAGAAAATAAGTGTTAGATAAGCTTTGTTCATGGATGAGTTAGTGCTGCTAGCCATGAATTAACAAATCAGTAGTATATATGTATTACATATACTACTATATATGTCTCTAAACAGAAACACTCATAAAACAAGGTTATGTATTGGTTGGTTGATGAAAATGTGACTAGAGGCTTGCAGGAACTTAACCCTATATTTTCCCTAGAAGTAGTGGTTTAGTATTAACAGCAACTTTACACAACTACTGAAAATTCCAAGAATTGACTGCACTGGGTATCTACAGCCTTGCTATTATTACTATTTTCTTCATAAACTGAATCTCACTGTATATTAACATTTCTCAAAATATATGGAATACGTAAACAAAACCCTAAAACTTCACTGAGAAGAAAAGCTGGTTCAGATAGAGAACACTACTATGTTCCCACACAGAAAGAACTTAGTATTACAAAGTTTATCAGCCGGGTGTGGTGGCTCACGCCTGTAATCCCAGCACTTTGGGAGGCTGAGGCAGACGGATCACGAGGTCAGGAGATCGAGACCATCCTGGCTAACACGGTGAAACCCCGTCTCTACTAAAACTACAAAAAATTAGCCAGGCGTGGTGGTGGGTGCCTGTAGTCCCAGCTACTCGGGAGGCTGAGGCAGGAGAATGGCATGAACCCGGGAGGTGGAGCTTGCAGTGGACTGAGATTGCACCACTACACTCCAGCCTGGGTGACAGAGCAAGACTACGTCTCAAAAAAAAAAAATTTATCTTCCTTTTCAAAAGTACTCCTATTGGCTGGGCGCAGTGGCTCACACCTGTAATCTCAGCACTTTGGAAGCCTGAGGCAGGCAGATCGCTTGAGGTCTGGCATTAGAGACCAGCCTGGCCAAAATGGTGAAACCCTGTCTCTACTAAAAATACAAAGATTAGCTGGGTGTGGTGGTGCATGCCTGTAATCCCAGCTACTCGGGAGGCTGAGGCACGAGAATTGCTTGAACCCGGGACACAGAGGTTGCAGTGAGCCAAGATCGCACCACTGTACTCCAGCCTTGATGAAGGAGTGAGACTGTCTCAAAAAAAAAGAAAAGAAAAAAAAACGAAAAGAAAGTACTCCTCTTTATTTCACAGATCCACAAGAATTTCACATTAATAAAGGCCAGTATCAGATATACTTTTAATGCCTTTAGAAAATGTCTGCTGTTGGTTTATTATGACAGAGATTCTTCTTGTTATGGAGTTATTTTCTAGGTTAAGTCTTCAGGAACAAGAACTGTATGTTATTAAATGTTATATGTATGATATCTATTATAGGTAATACATGAATTGTTTGCTGACTACATTAATCTATTTCAAAATACTAAGTTATGCTCACATAATTATGATAGATTAAAAGAAACTGATATTTCATTTTCTATTCCTTCACTTTGGGTTTTCTATCTATATTCATAATACATTTCTTTAAAAACTAATGTTCGGCCGGACGCGGTGGCTCACGCCTGTAATCCCAGCACTTTGGGAGGCCGAGGCGGGCGAATCACGAGGTCAGGAGATTCAGACCATCCTGGCTAACACAGTGAAACCCCGTCTCTACTAAAAGTACAAAACATTAGCCGGGCATAGTGGTGGGCACCTGTAGTCTCAGCTACTCAGGAGGCTGAGGCAGGAGAATGGCGTGAACCCGGGAGGCAGAGTTTGCAGTGAGCCGAGATTGCACCACTGCACTCCAGCCTGGGTGACAGAGCTAGACTCTGTCTCAAAAAAAAAAAAAGAAAAGAAAAGAAAAGAAAAGAAAAGAAAAAAAACTAAAGTTCATATGTAACATCTCATTAAATATCAGATGTGTACAAAATGCTGCAGTCCTAAGATCCCATCTGCCTTTTAGGGGGTGGTGAAGAGGGGTCAAGAGAAGCATGTTAAACTCTAGTCTGTTTTCTATTCATACTATAATGCTTCCTTTATAGCAAATGATGGTAATCAGTTCAAATAGCTTTTTCTTCACCCAATTTTAGCCCTTTCACATGGAAATGAAATAATGACCTCTAGTGGAATAAACTCAATCTAGTACCCACTGTGATTTATTATTACATTTAAACTGTTACTAGACTGGCTTCACACTGCAAACATCCTAGACACAAAAACTCTCAAAACAAATTTTTTTTTTTTTTTTGAAACAGTCTCGCTCTGTCACTCAGGCTGAAGTGCAGTGGTGTGATCTCAGCTCACTGCAACCTCTGCCTCCAGGGTTCAAGTGATTCTCCTGCCTAAGCCTCCTGAGTAACTGAGATTACAGGCACCCGCCACCACACCAAGCTAATTTTTGTATTTTCAGTAGACAGGGTTTCACCATGTTACCCAGGCTGGTCTCGAACTCCTGACCTCAAGTGATTCGCCCATCTCGGCCTCCCAAAGTGCTGAGGTCACAGGCATGAGCCACCATGCCAGGACAAAACGTAATTTTAGATCTCTTATGCTAAGTGGCCATTTTCATTTAAATTTTAAATTTAAGAGCCAGGTCTCACTAGGTTACCCAGGCTGCTTGCAATCATAGCACGCTACAGCTTCAAATTCCCAGGCTATAGCGATCCTCTTGCCTTAGCCTCCCCAGTAGCAGGGACTACAAGTGTGCACCACGGCACTAAGCTCCAATTTTTATTTGTTATCTGCTTCTGTCTATAAGCTCCACGAGGACAGGAGCCAACTGTTTATTTCCTACTCTTGCAGGGTTTTGTTTGACCCCTTCAACAAATCTCTCCACTTGCTGCATTACAGGGGTCTCTTGCCTTTTGCCTTCTACTTGGATACAAGCAATAGGAGCACCAACAGGTCAGAAGATGGAAAAGAATGAAATCCAGTTATTTATTCCCCCAGCTTATTAATTAATGAAAGGTATAGGCCGGGGACGCACGGTGGCTCACGCCTGTAATCCCAGCACATTGGGAGGCCTCGTGCAGATCATGAGGTCAGGAGAACGAGACCATCCTAACACAGTGAAACCCCGTCTCTACTAAAAAGACAAAAAATTAGCTGGGTGTGGTGGCAGGCACCTGTAGTCCCAGCTACTCGGGAGGCTGAGGCAGGAGAATGGCCTGAACCCGGGAGGCAGAGCTTGCAGTGAGCCAAGATCGCGCCACTGTACTCCAGCCTGGGCAACAGAGCAAGACTGTCTCCAGAAAAAAAAAAAAAAAAAAAAAAAAAACGTGTGGAGAAAAATTACATATTGGTTGTATCTTGTCAAGCCAACTCACCTTTAATATATTTACTATTAAAGAATTGTCTTAAGTCTGGCCAACATGGTGAAACCCCGTCTCTACTAAAAATACAAAAAAATTAGCTGGGTGTGGTGGCGCACGCTTATAATCCCAGCTACTCTGGAGGCTGAGGCACAATAATCTCTTGAACCCGGGACGCAGAGGTTGCAGTGAGCCAAGATCGCACCACTGCACTCCAGCCTGGGTGACACAGCAAGACTCTGTCTCAAAAGAAAGAAAGAAAAAATTGTCTTAATCATCATGAATTTCATACATCCCTTTTTGGATCATAGAACCTGTAATACAACTGGGTGACCACTGCCAATAATTTGTGGGGGAAAAAACGCTAATTACTATATAACTTCAATGACTTACAAAAAAAAATTATCAACTGTGGAAAAATCAAAAAGCATTTGAATTTACTTGATGAGGTAAGATACTTAAAAAAATATATATCTAGTATTTATTTATACCAATATATACATTTATATATCTAATATATATGACAGGTACATTCTACATGTATACTAATATATCTATTAGTATATATTTATATATTAGTATAAATACATATATATATAAATACATATATATATCTCTCTCTCGATTTTTTTTTGAGACGTAGTCTCACTCCATCGCCCAGGCTGGAGTGCAGTGGCACAATCTCGGCTCACTGCAACCTCCGCCTCCTGGGTTCAAGCAATTCTCCTGCCTCGGCCTCATGAGTAGCTGGGATTACAGGCGCCTGTCACTGCACCTGGCTAACTTTTGTATTTTTAGTAGAAATGGGGTTTCACCCTCTTGGCCAAGCTGGTCTTCAACTCCTGACCTCGTGATCCACCTGCCTCGGCCTCCCAAAGTGCTGGGATTACAGGCGTGAGCCACCACACCCAGGCTAAACTTTTTTAAGGTAACGATCTTTGCAGAAAATTTCTTTACTTAAAAAAAAAAAAACTCACATACATGATGAAAATACAGATTTAAGCCACCCACATCCTCAGTTGTTTTCCTTAGCATATAAATACTTCGTAGTAAGCTTTACAAAGAACTGATGCACTGAGAGACATTTTTTCTGAGCTTAGCAAATCAAAAACAATTTTTAAAAGTCCTTATTAACAATTAGAACAGTTTTGCTGTCAAATAAAGTAGGTCTTTTCTCTTTTATTCTCAAAGAACCCCTTAATAAAGGAGGCACTGACAGGTACATTACACATTAATAGGAGATTTTAACACTGCTCATAACTGATAATCTAGTGACCATTAACTCCAAGTTATAACTTGGAAAACATAAAACTATATCCTATTAAGAACTGATTAAAAAGCAAAAGAAACAAAAGTAAGACATTAGCAGCTAGACAACAAAGCAATGACCCTTAATTTAGAAGACAACTTTTTACCAGGTACCTAAGACTCCGTGGAGTAAAACTCAGGAAAGGAGAATCAATTCTAGACCCCATCCCATAAGGACTTTAGTTTCCGAAATACCAAAACAAACTTCTTACTTCCCCTGTGGGTAGGTGCCACAGAATGAAGAGTAAAGCAATAAAATGCATATTCAGTGCATGTGAAGTAGAAGGGTATATATCCTATATATATTGTTAAGTTTAGCCTAAAGTCTCTTTACATATCTCAAGTTCAGCTTAAAGGTTTCTCAGTACATAGAACTGTAGCCTAACTGGACGTGTAAACAGACGGTACCCTACTCTTGTGGCAATCACTAAGTTTCAGCCAACCAAAGACAGCGAACTGTTCAAACCATATTCAAATAAGGCAAACGCTGAACTGTAACTAATCCGGCTGTTGCTGTATCTCACTTCCATTTTCCATACATCACTTTCCTTCTGTCCATAAATCTTCAACTATGCAGCTGGGCTGAAGCCTCTGAGCCTATTATGGTTCAGGGGCTACCTGATTTGTGAATTGTCCTTTGCTCAATTAAACTCTGCCAAATTTAATTTGTCTAAGGCTTTTATTTTAACCTTATTCATCATAAAAAGAAAAAGAAAAATTTTAGTTCAAAAACTTAAAACCTGATCAACTAAAAATGAAACTGCCCAGTAGAAATGCTTAGCTCTCACTGTGGTAATTTCGTGAATGTGGAGGAAACTACTAAAACTTTGATATACTAAATAGACAGCTCTGTCCCACATTTATGTTTATTAAAAACTGACATAAACAAACACAACCTGTACAAAAAATATCCCAAATCTCATATGACTTTGAAATCTTGAGAGACATTATCGCCTAGGACCCCCTCTTCCTCTGCCACGGCCACGTCCTCTTCCTCTTCCTCTTCCTCTGCCTCTTCCTGCAACTGAAGGAAAAGAAAAACAAACCAAGTTCAATTCTCTCCTGCACCAATGTTACCTAGACACCACAAACAACATTTACACACACACCTTTCCCTGTTTATAGCTCTTTATTAGTAGCTACAGTAAATAAAGTTTAACTAGCTTCTGTTAAATGTGTTAGACTTCAGATTCCCTCCACCCCCCAACACATTATCATGCAGAACCAATAACTAAAGGCCTAGGGAGATTATTATTTGTTTCATTTCAATTTATTTACTAAGAAATGTGTCAAATTTAAAAATACTTTTTCTTTATATCATGTCTCAAATTCACCATAAAATGATTTGAACCTCACAAAAAAAGGGAAGATATATATCACAGAATAAAACATGATCACCTTGATGCCAGAGTTTTGGTAACTGAATAAAATCCAAGCAAGTTAATTCAAAACCAGGAAAGTTTAAATGTATTACATCAAATCACAATCTTATTAACTCTTCAGAAAATTAAAACTCATTTGACCTACACATAATCTAGTGCTTTAATCCAAATAGTAATATCCCTACTGGGTCATCCTAACTCTAGTTGAGTATCATGGTGATAGGGAATTCATGACCCAAATAAACTTATTTCATCTTCAGACAGCTAAGAATATTAGAAAATCTTGACATAGAAGTCAGTCACATTCTAAATGTTTTTGTTTTTGTTTTTTAAATACAGGGTCTCACTCTGTAGTCCCATCTGGAGTGTAATTACACCTCACTGCAGCCTTGAACTCCTGGGCTCAAGTGATCCTCCCATCTAAGCCTCCTGAGTAGCTGGGACTACAGGTACAAACCATCATGTCTGGCTAATTTTTAAAATTTTTGTAGAGATGAGGTCTCCCTTTGTTGCCCAAGCTGCTCTCAAACTCTTGGGCCAAAGCAATCCTCCAGCCTCAGCCTCCCAAAGTGGTGGGATTACAGGTGTGAGCCACCGCACCTGGCCACATTAGAAATTTGTACACACTGATTCTAGTCTTACCATTCTAAGCAATAAATAGTAAGTTTAAGATGCTAATTAAGGGACATTTCACAAAATAACTGGCCCGTACTCTTACAAAGTATCAAGGTCACAAAAGGAAAACTGAGGAGAACCAGCTGATACGCATTAAAGGAAACTAAGGAAACGTACAAGTAAATGCAACCTGTTGTACTGGATTGGATCTTGGACCAGGAAAAGGACATTAAAGGGACAATCAGAGAAATGTGAGAAAGGTCTCTAGATAATACAGTAGTGACACATCAATGTAAAATTTCTAATTTTTTGTAGTTATATGACATTTTAACATTTAGACAATCTTGGTGAAAAGTGTATGGGAATTCCTTGTACTATTTTTGCAACTTTTTGTGTCTAAAATTATTTCAAAATGAAGTGTTTAAAAAAATAAAGAAAATGGGAAAAACAGAGTTGGAGGGGTGTTGTAAAACAACAACAACAACAACAACAAAAGGGCTGGGCACCTGTAATCCCAGCTACTTGGGAGGTTGAGGCAGGAGAACTGCTTGAACCTGGGAGGCAGAGGTTGTAATGAGTGGAGATCGCGCCATGGCACTCCAGCCTGGGCAACAGAGCATGACTCTGTCTCAAAAAAAAAAAAAAAAAAAAAAACCCAAGAAAAGAAAATGGACCAGGTATGATGGTGGCTCACACCTATAATCCCAGCACTTTGGGAGGCCACAGCAGGAGGATTGTTTGAGACCAAGAGTTCAAGACTATCCTGGACAACATAGGGAGACCCTGTCTTTACAAAAAAATAAAAAATAAAAAATTAGCCAGGTTTGGTGGTGCATATCTGTAAAAAAGAAAGATAAATTAAGAAAACAACTGCTCACTGCAATCTCCGCCTCTCGGGTTCAAGCGATTCTCCTGCCTCAGCCTCCCGAGTAGCTGGGACTGCAGGCGCCCACCACCACGCCCAGCTACTTTTTTGTATTTTTAGTAGAGATGGGGTTTTACTCTGTTGGCCAGGCTGGTGATCCACCTGCCTCGGCCTTCCAAAGTGCTGGGGTTACAGGCGTGAGCCACCGCGCCCAGCTGCTGCTTCTTTTTTTTTTTTTTAAAGAAAGAAAATAAATGTTTATTCAAAAAAAAAAAAAATCCAAACATTTGGGAGGCCAACGCAGAAGACAGCCTGAAGCCAGGGGTTTGAGGCTGCAGTGAGCTATGATCATGCCACTTCACTGCAGCCTGAGCAACACAGTGAGATCTTGTCTCTTACCAAACAAACAACAAACAAAACAATTTTTTTTTTTTTTTTGAGACCAAGTCTCTCTCTGTTGTCCAGGCTGGAGTGCAGTAGTGCGATCTCGGGTCACTACAACCTCTGCCTCCCAGGTTCGAGCAATTCCCTGCCTTAGCCTCCCGAGTAGCTGGGATTATAGGTGACCGCCACCACACCTGGCTAATTTTTGTATTTTCAGTAGAAATGGGGTTTCACCATTGGCCAGGCTGGTGTTGAACTCCTGACCTTGTGATCCAGCTGCCTCAGCCTCTGAAAGTGCTGGGATTACAGGCGTGAGCCACCACACCTGGCCCAAACCAATAATTTTTAAATAACTCCCTAACACTAGACTATGACAAACTTGAAACGAAGACTCATTTTCATTATTTAATTTGTTGTAGTTTCCTTTTTTTTTTTTTTTTTTTTTGGCGACAGGGTTTTACTCTGTCACCCAGGCTGGAGTGCAGTGGCGTAATCTCGGCTCACCGGAGCCTCCATTTTCTGGGTTCAAGAAATTCTCCTGCCTCAGCCACCCGAGTAGCTGGGATTACAGGCATCTGCCACCATGCCTGGTTAATTTTTGTATTTTTAGTAGAGACAAAGTTCATGCCATGTTGCCCGGGCTGGTCTCGAACTTCCGAGTTCAGGCGATCTGCCCGCCTCTGCCTCCCAAAGTACTGGGATTACAGGCATGAGCCACCGCACCTGGCCAATTTCAGTTATTTTAAACCGTACTATTTTAAATGTGTACACACAAAAACTGTAAGTCTAGAACACGTTAAAATGGGCCAAATTGACCACACTTACCTTCAATTTCTTCTGAAATAGTATTTATGATAGAAAAGGAACAAAAATGATAACTACCCAGAGGAACAAAGAAAAGCAGAGAAAACACAGTAGATAAAAGATTTTGGGCCAGGCACCGTGGCTCACGCCTGTAATCCCAGCACTTAGGGAGGCCCAGGCAGGCGGATCATGAGGTCAGGAGATCGAGACCGCTTGGCTAACACGGTGAAACCCCGTCTCTACTAAAAATACAAAAAATTAGCCGGGCGTGGTTGCAGGCGCCTGTGGTCCCAGCTACTGGAGAGGCAGAGGCAGGACAATGGTGTGAACCCGGGAAGCGGAGCTTGCAGTGAGCCGAGATCGCGCCACTGCACTCCAGCCTGGGCGACAGAGTGAGAGTCCATCTCAAAAAAAGATTTCGGCTGGGCGCGGTGGTTCCTGCCTGTAATCCCAGCACTTTGGAAGGCCGAGGCGGGTGGATCACTTGAGGTCAGGGGTATGAGACCAGCCTGACCAACAGGATGAAACCCCACCTCTACTAAAAATACAAAATTAGCTGGGTGTGGTGGCACACACCTATAATCCCAGCTACTTGGGAGGCTGAAACAGAAGAATCGCTTGAACCCAGGAGGCAGAGGTTGCAGTGAGCTGAGATCCTGCCACTGCACTCCAGCTTGGCTAACAAGAGCGAAACTCCATCTCAAAAAAAAAAAAAAAAATTTTTTTCAACAAAATTTTAAATAGAAAGTAGACTGGGAACTGTAACATTTAGTAAAGGAAGAATAACTTCTGAAAAATCTAAGATTCAGAAGCGTGGAGTAAGATGATATGAGGCGGGGGGCTTTCAATCATCAATTCCCCGACAGGTAGGTAGGTAGTAAAAAAAAAAATGTAGAATAACCCTAACGACATTAAAGCAAAACATCCTCAGATTTGAAAATACAGCCAGCCTTCAATATCCATGGGTTGCACATCCATGGATTTAACCAACTGAGGATCAAAAATGTAGTTTAGGCCTATGATGGTTGTATCTGTACTAAACACATACAGACTTTTTCTTGTCATTAACGCCTAAACAATACAGTATAACTATCTACAGAGCATTTACATTATACTAGGTATTACAAGTAATCTAGAGATGATTTAAAGGGTACAAAAGGATGTGCACTGAAACACTACTACCATTTTATGAAAAGGGACTTAAGAATCTGTAGATTTTGGTACCCACAGGGGGTTTTTTTAAAGTGGAAAGCAGCATGAGATAAAGGACCGAGAGAGAGATTAAATCATTGTTTTTCAAGCTATGGATTACAATCATATATATATATATATATTTTTTTTTTTTGAGACAAAGTCTCACTCTGTAGCCCAGGCTGGAGTGCAGTGGCGTGATCTTGGCTCACAGCAACCTCCACCTCCCAGGTTCAAGTGATTCGTCTGCCTCAACCTCCCGAGTAACTGGGACTAAAGGCACGCACCACCACGCCTGATTTTTTTTGCATTTTTAGTAGAGAGGGGGTTTCGCCATGTTGACCAGGCTGGTCTGGAACTCCTGGCCTCAGGTGATCTGCCCACCTTGGCCTCCCAAAGTGCTGGGATTACAGGTGTGAGCCACCCTGCCCGACCACATCGATATTTGTTGTTTGGTTTTTTTTTTTTTTGAGACAGTGGCTCTGTCACCCAGGCTGGAGTGCAGTGGTGAGATCTCGGCTCACTGCAACCTCCGCCTACTGGGTTCAAGCGATTCTCCTGCCTCAGCCTCCCGAGTAGCTGGGATTACAGGCACCCGCCACCATGCCCAGCTAAGTTTTATATTTTTAGTAGAGATGAGGCTTCACCATGTTGGCCAGGCTGGTCTTGAACTCCTGACCTCGTGATCCACCCGCCTTGGCCTCCCAAAGTGCTGGGATTATAGGCGTGAGCCACTGCGTCCGGTTGCTCAATGTTTTTAATAGCAACACCAAGAATTACTATACATACTATAGGAAATATTAAACAACAAAGACACTTGTGTTGTTTGCAAATAATATCTATATTATGAATAGTGTGGATTAGGATTAGCATTCACAAAAATGTTTATAATCCTTCAAACTTACCAGCTTCCCTTTTCTTAGATTTCACCTTAGGTTCAACATCCACAAGTAGTGTATCCAGAGGTAAACTGTCTGGTAGAATAAAATACCGAATGTTATTTCCTCGAATACTCAGCGTTTCCAGCTGTACAGGTTCTCTGTTCTTCAGGGTCATTTTCACAGCTTTAAGATGTGTATTCATGCTGACATCCACACCTAAAGAGGAAAATAATTGTGCAGTTATTAGTATGATACAAGTTAAGGCAACTAATTAATCTACTGAGCCACAGTAAATACTGGACTACAAAAGATTACTGTTCTTCTACAAAGTGCAAGTTTTCTATGACACAATTTAGCACATGTGCAACTGGTAAATGGGGGAATGTCAGCAGTGTTTCCTTCCTAGAGATTTTTCCTAGCACACTAATGTTTTGCTTACAGAAGTGAATGCAGCAAGCCATGGAAGAACCCTGACTGGGCTTTAGGCTCACTACTGATGTGACAGGTATTTCTTTCATGTTTCTCCCACTGTCTTTGTAACTTCCTCATAATCCCCATTCCACCAAACTATCCTCACCTTTGTTTCTGCTTCTCTCTGTATATAAGAATTGTTACTGCTTTTGTTAAGATGGATCATGAGGTCAGGAGTTCGAGACCAACCTGGCCAACATGATGAAACCCCGTCTCTACCAAAAATATAAAAAATTAGCTGGGTGTGGTGGCACGCACCCATAACCCCAGCTACTTGGGAGGCTGAGGCAGGAGAATTGCTTCAACCCGGACCCGGGAGGCAGAGGTTGTAGTGACCTGAGATTGTGCCACTGCACTCCAGCCTGGGTAACAGAGTGAGAATCCGTCTAAAAAAAAAATTTACCCGGGCATGGTGGCAGGCACCTGTAGTCCCAGCTACTTGGGAGGCTGAGACAGGAGAATTGCTTGACCCCAGGCGGCGGATGTTGCAGTGAGCTGAGATCGTGCCACTGCACTCCGGCCCAGGTGACAGAGCAAAACTGTTTAAAAAAAAAAAAAAAAAATTACATAATTCAGACAAAAAAAATAAGGATTTGTACTACAATAATGTTCATTAAGCAATAAAAAAATAAACTCTGGCTAGGTAAAAGAGAAGAAAAAAAATGTTATAAAAGCAGTCCAACCTCCGTACCTGTGATTGTTCCATGGACCTGTGTTCCGTTCTTCAATTCAATGGTTACAGTTTCATGACTCAATTTCATCAAAAATCTATAAATAGGAATAAAACCATTTTTACCTGTAACACTTTAAAATCACATTTATTAAGGTGAAAGGGTGAAACAACTCGATGTTGAAAATTTGCTAGATGCTATCTGCATCAATTCCTATCAATAATCTGCATAACAATTTCAGCTTTCCTGAATTATATCCTCAACCTTTATGAAGGAACACAACAATACTAACATAAACTGTCATTTGGACGTTTCTAATTCTCAAACCTGAAATCCAGACATACAAGATCTTAGACTCATTATAAACCATGAAAAAGAAATAGGCCAGGCGTGGTGGCTCACGCCTATAATTCCAGCAGTTTGGGAGGCCAAGGCGGGCGGATCACGAGGTCAGGAGATCGAGATCATCCTGGCTAACATGGTGAAACCCCGTCTCTACTAAAAAATACAAAAAATTAGCTGGGCATGGTGGCGGGCACCTGTAGTCCCAGCTACTCGGGAGGCTGAGGCAGGAGAATGGGGTGAACCTGGGAAGCAGAGCTCTCAGTGAGCCGAGATCACGCCACTGCACTCCAGCCTGGGCAACAGAGCGAGACTCCGTCTCAAAAAAAAAAAAAGAAATAAAGAATTACAGTCGGTAAAAAGATTACAAGCTTATTATAATGCCTATAAAGTAAAAATCTCCCTTCCTAACCCCCTGCACTGTGGGTATGTAGGAATATTATTCCAGATCACTTTATATGCATTCAGAAGGATATATACAGATTTCTTTTGACATAAATTGGGTCATATTTTATTCACGTCTATAACTTGTAGTCCTCGTTTAGCAGTTTATATTGGACATATTTCCATTTCAACATACAAAACATTCTAAGAACTGAGGCTGGGCGTGATGGCTCATGCCTATTTATAATCCCAGCACTTTGGGAGGCCGAGGAGGGCGGATCATCTGAGGTCAGGAATTCAAGACCAGCCTGGCCAACATGGTGAAACTCCATCTCTACAAAAACACAAAAATTAGCTGGGCAGGATGGCGTACGCCTGTAATCCTAGCTACTCAGAAGGCTGAGGCAGGAGAATCGCTTAAACCTGGGAGGCAGAGATTGCAGTCAGCCAAGATCGCACCACTGCACTCCAACCTGGGGACAGAGCAAGACTCCATCTCAAAAAAAATTAAAAAAAAATAAAAATAAATTAGCGAGGCAAGGTGGCGCACGCCTGTAATCCCAGCTACTTGGAAGGCTGGGGCATGAGAATCGCTTGAACCCGGGAGGCAGCATTTGCAGTGAGGTGAGATTGTTCCACTGTACCCCAGCCTGAGTGACAGGGCAAGACTCCATCTCACAAAAAGCCAAAATAACAAAATAACATTCTAAGAACTGGAAAGTATTCCACTATATGGAAATGTCAAAATTTATTACCGCCTGTTGACGGACATTACTTTGGTTCAATTTTTTCCCATTACAAACCCAATTATGCAAACCCTCACCAACACAAGTTGCTATAAGTCTTTCAAATTTTTGTCAATTTGATGGGGAAAAAATTTGCTTTTCCTTAATTACCTGTGAGATTGAATATCTTATCTTTTTTTTTTGACACAGAGTCTCGCTCTGTCACCCAGGCTGGAGTGTAGTGGCACAATCTCGGCTCACTGCAACCTCCGCCTCCTAGGTTCACGCCATTCTCCTGCCTCAGCCTCCCGAGTAGCTGGGATTACAGGCGCTCGCCACCACACCTGGCTAATTTTTTGTATTTTTTTTTTAGTAGAGACGGGGTTTCACCATGTTAACCACGATGGCCTTGATCTTCTGACCTCGTGATCCACCCGCCTCGGCCTCCCAAAGTGCTGGGATTACAGGCATGAGCCACCGCGCCCTGCCTGAATATCTTTTCATTAACATGGGAAAACTATTTCTTCCGTGAATTACCTGTTCACATTATTGACATTCTCAATTAGGTTGAGTTTTTCTTTTATTTTCTACTGGTTTGCCAGTCATTCAAGTTTGTTGTTTATGGTTTCTTTAGTCACACAAACTTTTTTCACTTTTATGTTTTGAATTTGTTCACCCTCCTGGGATACATAATTTACCTAAGAAAGGGTTTTTTCTATGCCAAGATTGTAAAAAAATAGTGTCTTATTTTCTTCTACTTTTAGAGTTCTAATCTACTTGGAATTGATCTTTTTTATGCAGTGTAAGGCACAAATCTGTCTTTATTACTTTCCCCAACTGAATAGCCAGTTGCCTTGATAATATATAATGAACAATCTATCCACTTCTCACTTCATCTAAATTTCCGTTCTCCCCTTTTTATAAAATTTTGCAGAGGATGAAAAGTTAAAGGGTTTACAAATATTGTCAATTGCCAGTGCAGTGGCTCATGCCTGTAATTTCACCACTTTGAGAGGCCAAGGTGGGATGATCACTTGAGGCCAGGAGTTCGAGACCTGCCTGGTCAACAAAGCAAGATCCTGTCTCTACAAAAATAAAAATAAAAAAAAAATTAGTTGGCCGGGTGCGGTAGCTCATGCCTGTAACCCCAGCACTTTGGGAGGCCAAGGTGGGCGGGTCACAATGTCAGGAGTTGGAGACCAGCTTGGCCAATATGGTGAAATCCCATCTCTACTAAAAATACAAAAAATTAGCCAGGTGTGGTGGTGCAGGTCTGTAATCCCAGCTACTCAGGAGGCTGAGGCAGCAGAATCGCTTGAACCTGGGAGGCAGAGGTTGCAGTGAGCCAAGATCATGCCATTGCACTGCAGCCTGGGTGACAGAGCAAGACTCCATCTCGAAAAAAATACAAATAAAAAAATTAGCTGGGCCTGTTGGCTCATGCCTGTAGTCTCAGCTCCTCGGAGTCTGAGGTGGGAGGATCGCTAGAGCCCAGGACTTTGAGGCTGCAATGAGCCATGACTGTGTCACTGCCCTGGAGCCTGTGTGGCAGAGCAAGACTCCGTCTTTTTTTAAAATTCTATTTTTTTTTGAGACGGAGTCTCGCTCTGTCACCCAGGCTGGAGTGCAGTGGCATGATCTTGGCTCAATGCAACCTCCACCTCTTGGGTTCAAGCAATTCTCCTGCCTCAGCCTCCCAAGTAGCTGGGACTACAGGCGCCTGCCACCACACCTGGCTGATTTTTGTATTTTTAGTAGAGACAGGGTTTCACCCGTTGGGCTGGTCTCGAACTTCTGACCTCAGGTGATCTGCCCACCTTGGCCTCCCAAAGTGCTGGGATTACAGGCGTAAGCCACCAGGCCTGGCCCTTTTTTTTAAAGACAGTCTTCGCCAGGTGTGGTGGCTCATCCCTGTAATCCCAGCACTTTGGGAGGGCGAGGCAGGCGGATCACCTGAGGTCAGAAGTTCGAGACCAGCCTGGCCAACATGGCGAAACCCCGTCTCTGCTAAAAATACAAAAAAATTAGCCAGACTTGGTGGCACTTGACTGTAATCCCAGCTACTGGGGAGGCTGAGGCAGGAGAATTGCTTGAGCCTGGGAGGCAGAGGTTGCAGTGAGCCAAGACTGCACCACTAAACTCCAGCCTGGACAATAGAGTGAGACTTTGTCAAAAAAACAAACGAAAAAAAATTGATCACACCATCTCAAAGTAAGTTGTAGGCATTACGACACTTCAGCATGCATTTTCTAATGACATTCTCCTATATAACCATAATCTCACAATCACATCTAAGAAAATGAACCCCACACTATCATACAATACACAGTTCATATAAAAACTTTTAGTCTATAATATATACTTTGAATTAACAGATCCTATCATCACACTAAATGGTACACATAAGATAACCTATTATCCTCCCGCACTAGACTATTCTTGAGGGTAGGGATCGTAAGCTCTATATCTAATCCTAGACTGTAATAGGCACTGAATAATGTTGGCTGAAATGTTTTAATGAATAAAGGGAAACCAACCTTAAAATGCCTTTTTTTAATTTCTTTTTTTTTAGTGGTATAGACAGCCATCACAAAAAAGAAATTACTTGGTCTGGGATATAACAAGCCTCAAACTTTAAGAAGACTCATGAGTTGAATCTCTTTTTATATATGACATCAAGAAAACGTTTTTCTCAACGAATTGGTAACACTTTATTTCACCAGAGAGTTATTCAGCTCCAAATTTAACAATCAATTATAACTAGAAAAGCCTAGAATTCTGAACTAATGGTTTCCTCCCATTATCAAGTTTTTGTTTTTATCTTTTACACGAATTTACTATCCCAGTTAGTAAGAACTTTTACTATAAAAGTTCTTCAAATCATTTTTGGAAGCAAAGAAGATAAATAAAAGGAAAAAAAAAACCTTATGTGGCCAGGCGCGGTGGCTCAGATACATAAAAGATACGTAAAAATAACTAAGTTGTAGAAAGCAATAAAGATATACAGAGGTTTTTTTTGTGTTTTTTTTTAAACAGAGGTTTTTAGTTTAGGTTTTTTCTGAGACTATGCCACCATGCCCGGCTAATATTTTTTAAATTTTTAAATTTTTTGTAGAGATGTGGTTTTGCCATGTTGCCTAGACTAGTCTTAAACTCCTGAGCTCAAGCAATCAGCCTGCCTTGGCCTCCCAAAGTGCTGGGATTACAAGCGTGAGCCACTGCACCCAGCTACACACAGGTTTTTTACTAAGAATATATTGTAGCATGTGGAGAGGGGAGTCAGGTATTAGGGGACTCCTAGTAAGAAGCCTGAAAAGTTGGAAATATGCAGCAAGAAGAAACAAAAGAAAAAATACAGCATAAGACACAGAGTAATTATAGATACAAAGATGGAGTCTTGTTCTGTTGCCCAGGCTGGAGTGCAATAGCGCAATCTCAATCTGAGCTCATTGCAACCTCCGTCTCCCGGGTTCAAGAGATTCTTGTGCCTCAGCCTCCCAAGTAGCTGAGACTACAGGCGCATGCCACCACACCCAGCTAATTTTTGTATTTTTAGTAGAGACGGGGTTTTACCATGTTGGCCCAAGTGATCTGCCTGCCTCGGCCTCACAAAGTGCTACGATGACAAGCATGAACCACCACGCCTGGCCGATGAAATGTTAAGTTCAATATTTTAGGTCCTATGAGTAGAGAGGAGTTAGGCAGGTTCCTTTCATGGAAAGCCTAAGCTCTGTTAAAGAATTCCTCTAGGAGAGCTACTGAAGGATTTTCATCAATGAAGTGGAGTACCAGGCTCATATTCACATTTAAAAGAGAACCTAGGGCCAATGTTCAGAAACAGATTTTAGAAAGACAAGAGACCAAAGTATAATCTCTAGGAAGACAAATTATGTGACTAGAGCAGTACATATACAAGTTAAAACTACAGTAATCGAGACATAAGGAACAACAAATAGATCAATGAAACAATACAAGCAAACAGATCTATTTCTGGTCCCACATTTACATGGTTGATTTAGCTGGGATTACAGGCACTCGCCACCACAACCAGCTAATTTTTGTATTTCTTTTTGTTTTAGTAGAGCCGGGGTTTCACCATGTTGGTCAGGCTGGTCTCGAACTCCTGACCTCAGGTGATCTGCCTGCCTTGGATTCCGAAAAGTGCTGGGATTACAGGCATGAGCCACCAAGCCTGGCCTTATATGGTTGATTTTTTACAAAGGTGCCAAAGACGTGTAACAGGCAAAGGAAAGTGTTTTCAACAAATGATGCTGGAATAACTGGAAATCCATACAGAAAAAAAACGAACCTGGACCACTAACACCATTTTCCAAAAGTAATCCAAGATGGATGATAGTCACTTGAGCCCAAGAGTTCCAGATATAGGCTGGGCACAGTGGCTCACGCCTGTAATCCCAGCACTTTGGGAGGCCAAGGCAGGCAGATCACAAGGTCAGGAGATCGAGACCAGCCTGGCCAAAGTGGTGAAATCCCATCTCTACTAAAATACAAAAAAAATAAGCCAGGCATAGTGGCACATGCCTGTAGTCCCAGCTACTCGGGAGGCTGAGGCAGGGGAATCACTTGAACCTGGGAGGTGGAGGTCGCAGTGAGCCGAGAGTGCGCCACTGCACTCCAGTCTGGCAACAGAGCAAGACTCCATCTCAAAAAAAAAAAAAAAGACTTAAAGAGTTCCAGATACATAAAAATCGATCAGTCAGGCATGGTGGCTCACGCCTGTAATCCCAGTACTTTGGGAGGCCAAGGCGGGTGGATCACAAGGTCAGGAGTTCGAGACCAGCCTGACCAACATGGTGAAACCCTGTCTCTACTAAAAATACAAAAATTAGCCAGGCGTGGTGGCAGGCGCCTGTAATCCCAGCTACTTGGGAGGCTGAGGTAGGAGAATCGCTTGAACCTGGAAGGCAGAGGTTGCAGTGAGCTGAGATCGCACAATTGTACTCCAGCCTGAGCTACAAGAAGAGAGACACTATTAAGGAAATGAACATGTAAACCACACACTGAGAGAAAACACATCTGACAAAGAACTGGTATCCAGGACACAGATCTAATTTCTACAACTCTGGGCTGGGCGCAGTGGCTCACGCCAGTAATCCCAGCACTTTGGGAGGCCAAGGCGGGCGGATCACGAGGTCAGGAGATTGAGAACATCCTGGCTAACACGGTGAAATCCCGTCTCTACTAAAAATACAAAAAATTAGCCGGGCGTGGTGGCAGGCGCCTGTAGTCCCAGCTACTCGGGAGGCTGAGGCAGGAGAATGGCGTGAACCCAGGAGGCGGAGCTTGCAGTGAACCAAGATCATGCCACTGCACTCCAGCCTGGGTGACAGAGTGAGACTCCGCCTCAAAAACAAACAAATAAGCAAAAAACCGACTAAACCCTAAGGAGATACCACTACATACCCACTAAAATGGCTAAAATTAAAGACTGAGCAAACAACACCACATACTGGTGAGGATGTGGACCAATTGTTATTCTAATATATTGTTAATGGAAGTGTAAAATGGTACAACCACTTTGGAAAATGGTCTGGAAATTTCTTAAAAAGCTAAACACATAACTATGTTACAGTCCATCAACTCCACTCGAGTATTTACCCACGAAAATTTGTTTCCCTCCAAAAACCTGAAGAATATTCAACGTAGTTGTAAACAAAATACATAACTTTTTATTTTATTTTCTTGTAATTTTTTAAAATACGGAGCTTTTTTTTTCTTTTTTCTTTTTTTTTGAGACGGAGTCTCGCTCTGTTGCCCAAGCTGGAGTGCAATGGCGTGATCTCAGCTCACTGCAATCTCCACCTCCTGGGTTCAAGGGATTCTCCTGCCTCAGCCTCCCTTGTAGCTGGGATTACAGGCACCTGCCACCATGCCCAGCTACTTTTTTGGTATTTTTAGTAGAGATGGGGTTTCACCATGTTGGTCAGGCTGGTTTCAAACTCCTGACCTCAGGTGATCTACCCGCCTCGGCCTCCCAAAGTGCTGGGATTACAGACGTGAGCCACTGCGCCCGGCCTAAAATACAGAACTTCCAAACACACAATGCACTAATATCCAGTAATAAAAATGAACACATTACTGATACACTTCACAATGTGGATGAATCTCAAAAACATGTAACTAAAAGAAGTTTTACGCAAAAATACTTTGTGATTCCAAATATATGAAATTCTAGCGCAGGCAAAATTCATTTCTGGTGGAAGAAACTGGTTGCATCTAGGGGTATGGAGCCAGAGGTTGCCTGGGAAAGGCTTGAGGAAACTGTCTGAGGTTTTGGTAATGTTACTTCTGTTGATATGGGTTTAGGTTACAAAAGTGTTTACATTTTTCAATAGCAGGAAATATACACTGCATTTCATTGTATAAGATATTTACCTTAAAGAAGGAAAACAAAAATCCATGAGTGGGATAAAAAGGGCCTGAACTTAATGGTGGTGACTGGAATGAAAGGCTACTATGGGCAGGACAAATACACAATTATCCCTCCCTAACTGAGCCCAGGAACCAAATGGATTCAAATTATTTTCAGATGAATCTTTCACTGTCTGAATTCTTTCCACTTAGTGAAACTTGGATATCAAATAGTAACACAGTGTCCCTCAGTATAAAACACACTATTTGAACCCAAAAACCAAACAGGATAATGTGGGTCACTTTTATGAAGTAGGTAAAACTGGCAAAATTGGCAATGTATCAAATGTCAAGGACATCAGGAGAGAAAAAGTCAAGCTCACCTCCCAGGTTTTTGGTTAGGGTGACAGTGAGAATAAGGATGACAATGCTGCCAACTGAGATACAGAAATAAATCTACTGAAAATGCAAACCAGTTAGTCAAACAATCATTTTCTGGAGGAAAAATACATTCTCTGGTAAGAAAAAAAATTTGTTTCTATATTTTACCTAAGACACAAAACAGGATTCAGTACAGGTATTAAAAATTACTGGAAAATTGTCATAACATGCAGTATCTTTAAAGGGAACAAATGGAATCCAAGGTGTATTACACAAAATTGAACTATGAGTGGATTAAGATTCAGATTGGCAGGTATGGAGAAATTTCAAAAAATGTAATTTTCTTTTTTTGAGACCGAGTCTCACTCTGTTGCCCAGGCTGGAGTGCAGTGGTGCGATCTCAGCTCACTGCAACCTCCCAGGATCAAGTGATCCTCTTACCTCAGCCTCCTGAGTAGCTGGGATTACAGGCGCCCGCCACCATGCCCGGCTAATTTTTGTATTTTTTCGAAAGAATGGGTTTCACCACGTTGGCCAGGCAGGTCCTGAACTCCTGACCTCAGGCGATCCGCCTGCCTCAGCCTCCCAAAGTGTTGGGATTACAGGCGTGAGCCACCACGTCCAGCCTAAAAAATGCACTTTAAATTCTATGACTTCCTATCCAAAGTTATAGTTCAAATAAAAATATACCAAAAATTAACCTTAAATGTCTTTTGTACCAACTCCTCCCTGAATATAATTTTTTTTTTTTTTTTTTTTTTTTGAGATGGAGTCTCGCTCTGTCGCCCAGGCTGGAGCGTAGTGCCACGATATCGGCTCACTGCAACCTCTGCCGCCTGGGTTCAAGCGATTCTCCTGCCTCAGCCTCCTGAGTAGCTGGGATTAAAGGCGCGCGCCACCACGCCCCACTAACTTTTGTAATTTTCGTAGAGACGGGGTTTCACCATGTTGGTCAGGCTGGTCTCGAACTCCTGACCTAGTGATCCACCCGCCTTGGCCTCCCAAAGTGCTGGGATTACAGACGTGAGCCACTGCGCCTGGCCTCCTCCCTGAGTGTTGAAGGCTTTTATGTGTTATTTAAAACGTTTCAAACAAACGTTACTTCAGACGTTATCTACTTGTCTGTCATCCCCACTAACCAGAAAACTCCAACAAGGCAGGTACTCTGCCTTTTAAAAAATCCTATTACCAGCGCCTAGTATGTAACAGGTGCCCAATAACTATTTAGCGGATATTGACAATCCTTGACTCAACAGGAAAAAAACAAGCTAAATATTTATAATTGCTGGCTTAGCTATTAGAAACGTCTGCCTCTGTTCCAGGCTTAGTCTCAAGGAAAAACACCAAAACCAAATCTACTTGCAGGTAGTTTAGAATTATTCACATCAGCAAACAAGTTTTCAGAAGACTCACCTAACTGACAGGGTCTATTTATTTCTTAAGAAATAAAACAGGAGAACTATATATTATCTGAGTAATCAGCCACAATTACGTTGTGATAATTTCTGCCCTATATTGGGAGATTTTCCTAAATAAAAAGCCTACCTTAAAGGGAAATAGAGGTGGAATAATCAATCACAAATCTAAGGAGGATAAAAAGGTAAACTTAAAAATCGGCCGGGCACGGTGGCTCAAACCTGTAATCTCAGCCCTTTGGAAGGGCGAGGCGGGCAGAAAGCTTGAGCCCAGGAGTTCGAGACCAGCCTGGTCAACAAAGTGAGACACCATCTTTATTTAAAAAAACAAAAACTTGTGAAGCCGGAAGTCCTTCTCTGATTTAAAATATTTTGCAAACAGGTTTGTTTCCAGATAAGCTCATACAGCTTTCTAAGTACTGTTAAGCAGGACTGGGGAGTTCCACTCAAAAAGAAAATGAGTAACTGTAAGAGGGAGATGTGTCCCAGGAGGCGCTGCATCTTTAAAGCCTCTAAGTCACTAGGCAGGAAGAAAAGGCTCGGCCTTTATACCAATCTCTTGGAAGACACGCGGGATCCGCGAGCGACCCAGGCGGAAGCCCAGGCCCGAGCACGAGCTGCGGGCGCAGTAAGGCCGGCCGTTAGCAGGCCGCGCACACGCGGCTTTCCCGCCTCCTGCAAATGGGAGAGCCCAGCCTTCCGGACTCCGGGCCAAGCCCTCCCTTCACAGCCCCCAGAGCTGCTTGGTCACTCCCTCACCTCACGAGCTTCATCCTAGCGGCGCCGTCACCCTCTGGGTCCGACAGCACACAGAATCCTTCAACCGAACACTGACCGACTGCAGTATGAATGGCCGGAAGCGCCTACTCCAGGGGCTCCGGACGTCAAGAGCGCGCGGAGCACTGCAGGCGCATGGCGGAAACGCCGAGGCTGCGCTGGGCCGCACTCTCTTCCGGCCGCGAGGAGCGCGACTGCGGCCCCTGGCGGCTGGAGGTTGCCTTGCGACGGCTGAGGGTATCGAGGGCTGGTCTTGGAGAAAAATGTCCTACAAGAGAGGGAGATTCGAAGAGATTAAATCCAATTAATAGGACTGTCGCATTTTGGGAGGCCGAAGCGGGGGTATCACCTGAGGTCAGGAGTTCAAGACCAGCCTGGCCAACAGGGTGAAACCCCCGTCTCTACTAAAAAGACAAAAAATTAGCTGGGCGTGGTGGCGGGCGCATGTAATCCCAGCTACTCGGAAGGCTGAGGCAGGGGAATCGCTTGAACCCGGGAGGCGGAGGCTGCAGTGAGCGGAGATCGCACCACTACACTCCTGCCTGGGCAACAAGAACGAAACTCCGTCTCCCAAAAAAAAAAAAAAAAAAAAAAAGTACTGTCACCATCACGTTTCTGAACAGCAGGGCACTGTGAGTGCAGCACCTAATACAAATTCCTCACTGAACGGAAAGAAGGTCTTAGAGAAGCCCAAAGTCTTATGCTGATTCTGTTCCAACACCAGGAACCTAGCATTGCTTACTGTACCTGAAGCAAATCACACAATGGGCCAGGCGCTGTGGCTCAAGCCTGTAATTCCAGCACTTTGGGAGGCCGAGGCGGGCAGATAGCGAGGTCAAGAGATCGAGACCATTCTGGCCAACATGGTGAAACCCCGCCTCTACTAAAAATACAAAAATTAGCGGGGCGTGGTGATGCGCGCCTGTAGTCCCAGCTATTCGGGAGGCTGAGGCAGGAGAATCGCTTGAACCCAGGAGGTGGAGGTTGCAGTGAGCTGAGATCGTGCCACTGCACTCCAGCCTGGCAACAGAGCGAGACTCCGTCTCAAAAAATAATAATAATAAAAATAAAATCCACAATGTAGCAGATTATTTTCACTTTAAGTTCCAATCTATAAGACAAACTTTTCAGTCTTCATCTTTCTCAACATCTCATCAAAATATATATATTTTTTATTTTTTTGAGATGGAGTCTCACTCTGTCGCCCAGGCCGGAGTGCAGTAGCGCGATCTCAGCTCACTGCAACCCTTGCCTCCCGGTTTCAAGCCATTCTCGTGCCTCAGCCTCTCCAGTAACTGAGATTACAGGCGCGCATCACCATGGCCCGCTAATTATCGTCTTTTTATGTATGTATGTATGTACGTACGTATGTATGTATTTTGAGACAGAGTCTCCCTCTGTCGCCCAGGCTGTAGTGCAGTGGCGCGATCTCGGCTCACTGCAAGCTCCGCCTTCCGGGTTCACGCTATTCTCCTGCCTCGGCCTCCCAAGTAGCTGGGACTACAGGCGCCAGCCACCACGCCCGGCTAATTTTTTTGTATTTTTAGTAGAGACGGGGTTAGCCAGGATGGTTTCGATCTCCTGACCTCGTGATCCGCCCGCCTCGGCCTCCCAAAGTGCTGGGATTATAGGCGTGAGCCACCGCGCCCGGCATTATTGTCTCTTTAGTATGTGAGCTTCATCAAAATTTAACACAAACACTCCCCTTCCCTCTTTCGGGTTTCAGGATGCCAAGCTCACCTGGCCTTTTTCCTTATCCTACTAACTACTCTTGCTTTGTTTTGTTTTGTTTATAGACAGGGTTTCTCGCTCTGTTGCCCAGGCAGGAGTGCAATGGCACAATCAGGGCTCACTGCAGCCTTGACCGTCTGGGCTCAAGCTATCCTCCTGCCTCAGCCTTCTCAGTAGCTGGGACCACAAGTGCGTGCCACCATGCCCAGCTAATATTTTATTTTTTATTTCGTAGAGAAGAGGTCTTACTATGTTGCCCAGGCTAGTATCCAACTCCTGGGCTCAAGAGATTCCACTGCCGTGGCCTCCCAAAGTACTGGGTTTACAGGCCCAGAGCCTCCATGCCCAGCCTCTAACTACTCTTTCTAAATCTCCTTAGCTGGTTCCTCCTTCCCTATGGAGCCAATACATGTCACAGTGTTTCCCGGCTTGTGGCTGTAGTCTTTTTATGTATACTTTTTCTTTTAACCTGGTAATCTCCTCCAAAACCATGACTTTGATTTGTATCTCTAGCCTAGACTTCATCGCTGATCAACAGAACTCTTAGATATTGTAAGACAATACTTATCGGCTGGGCATGGTGGCTCATGCCTGTAATCTCAGCACTTTGGGAGGCCGAGATGGGCAGATCATGAGGTCAAGAGATCGAGACCATCCTGGCCAACATGGTGAAACCTCGTCTCCACTAAAAATACAAAAATTAGCTGGGCGTGGTGGCGCATGCCTGTAGTCCCAGCTACTTGGGAGGCTGAGTCCCAGCTACTCGGGAGGCTGAGGCAGAAGAATTGCTTGAACCCGGGAGGCGGAGGTTGCAGTGAGTGGAGATTGTGCCACTGCGCTCCAGCCTGGGCGACAGAGCAAGACTCCGTCTCAAAAAATAATAATAATAATAAAAATTAAAAAAAATAAAGTTTCCCCAGGTGAGTCCTACACACATTAAACTTTGATAAATATTGCCCTTTTTTTGTTGTTTGAGACTGACTTGCCACGCCTGGCCAAAACTTTATATTTATTTATTTATTTATTTATTTATTTTTGAGATGGAGTTTCACTCTTGTTGCCCAAGCCGGAGTGCAATGGCACGATCTCAGCTCACTGCAACCTCTGCCTCCTGGGTTCAAATGATTCTCCTGCCTAAGTCTCCTGAGTAGATGGGATTACAGGCACTCACTACTGCGCCCAGCTAATTTTTTGTATTTTTAGTAGAAATGGGGTTTCACCATGTTAGCTCGGCTGGTCTCGAACTCCTGACCTCAGATGATCCATCCACCTTGGCCTCCCAAAGTGCTGGGATTTCAGGCTTGAGCCACCACGCCCAGCCTGGAAACTTTAAAATGAAAATCTGATTCAATCGTTGTGGGGCCTGAAATTCTGCAGTTCTAACAAGCCTTCAGTTGATGAAGCTGCCCCTACTCTATACACATCAATTTGAGTAGCAAGGCTAAAACGGATATTTGTGTGTTGCCTTCTCAACATCTATTCCCTTGTCTTTCCAAATGTTTCTAATATTCTTCTTGTGATCCTTGTGGTCCTAAGAAAGCTGACTCTACCCTTTTAATACTCCATTCCATTACTTGTTCACAGTAGGTTTGGGATCTAAGTTGATCCAATTGGACCTTTAGAGGGAATGTTCTTTTCTTTTGTTGTGAATGGAAAGGGAGTAACCCCTGGAGCTGTTGGGAACTTCCTTACAACCAGGAGAAGAACCAATTTCAGGACATAGTGTTGTTTGTTTCTTTGTTTGTTTGTTCATTTAGACAGGATCTTGCTCTGTTGCCCAGGCTGGGGTGCAGTGGTGTGATCCTAGCTCACTGTAGCCTTAGGCTCCTGGGAATAAATTGATCCTCCCACCTCAGCCTCCCAAAGTGCTGGGATTACAGGGAGCCACTGTGCCCAGCCAAGGACAGAGTTTATAAAAAACTAAAACCTGTGATGACATCAATGAGCCCCTAGATAATGAATACTGCCTGAATGTTGCTATTTAGAATTAAATAGCCAGCCCTGCAGTGCATGCCTATAGTCTCAGCTACTTGGAAGGCTGAGGCAGGAGAATCACTGGAGCCCAGGAGTTTGAGGCCAGCCAGGGCAGCACAGGAAGACCCTATCTCAAAAATGAAAAAAATTAAATAAAATTTAAAAATTCAGCTCCTCAGGCCAGGTGTAGTGGCTCATGCCTGTAATCCCAGCACTTTGGGAGGCCGAGGCAGGTGGATCATGAATGAGGTCAAGAGATCAAGACAATCCTGGCCACCATGGTGAAACCCCATCTCTACTAAAAATACAAAAAAATTAGCCGGGCATGGTGGTGCATGCCTGTAGTCTCAGCTATTCGGGAAGCTGAGGCAGAAGAATTGCTGAAACTTGGGAGGTGGAGTTTGCAGGGAGCCGAGATCACGCCTCTGCACTCCAGCCTGGGCGATGAGCAAGGGTCCATCTCAAAAAAAAAAAAAAAAAAAATTCAGCTCCTCAATTTTGGTAACTGCATTTCTTTTTTTTTTTTTCGAGATGGAGTCTTGCTCCATCACCCAGGCTGGAGTGCGGTGGCTCCATCTCAGCTCACTGCAACCTCCACCTCCTGGGTTCCAGCAATTCTCTGCCTCAGTCTCCCAAGTAGCTGGGATTACAGGGGCCCGCCACCTCATCCGGCTAATTTTTGTATTTTTAGTAGAGACAGGGTTTCACCACCTTGGCCAGGCTGGCCTTGAACTCCTGACCTTGTGATCCACCCTCCTCGGCCTCCTCAAGTGCTGGGATTACAGGCGTGAGCCACCATGCCTGGCCTAGTAACTACATTTCAAATACTCATATGTGTCTATGGCTACCCTTTTGAACAATGCAGATATATGAATATTTCCATCATCATAGAAAGTGTGATTGCACAGTGTTTTTTGAGGACCATATTTGTTTCCTTCTTAGCATTTAATTATTTACTTATTTATTGTCAGATACAAGATTGCAAACTGAAAGCAGGGAATTATGTCTTTTCTGTTGACTGCAGCACCTCCAGCATCTAAAATAATGCTTTGTTGATATGTCCTCAATAAATATTTGTGAAATAACTAAATGCCTCGGCTGGGCGTAGTGGCTCACACCTGTAATCCCAGCATTTAGGGAGGCCCAGGTGGGCGGATCACCTGAGGTCAGGAGTTCGAGACAGGCCTGGCCAACATGGTGAAACCCTGTCTCTACTAAAAATACAAAAATTAGCCGAGTGTGGTGGCGGGCGTCTGTAATTCCAGCTATTCAGGAGGCTGAGGCAGGAGAATGGCTTGAACCTGGGAGGCAGAGGTTGCAGTGAGCCAAGATCGTGCTACTGCACTCCAGCCTGGGCAACAAGGTGAGACTCTGTCTCAAAAAAAAAAAAATAATAGGCCGGGCGCGGTGGCTCATGCCTGTAATCCCAGCACTTTGGGAGGCCGAGGCGGGCAGATCACGAGGTCAGGAGATCGAGACCATACTAGCTAACATGGTGAAACCCCATCTCTACTGAAAATACAAAAAAATTAGCCGGGCGTGCGCCTGTAGTCTCAGCTACTCGGGAGGCTGAGGCAGGAGAATGGTGTGAACCCCGGAGGCGGAGCTTGCAGTGAGCCGAGATGGCGCCACTGCACTCCAGCCTGGGCAACAGAGCGAGACTCCATCTGGAAAAAAAAAAAAAAAAAAGAAAAAAAAATAATAACTGAATGCCTCTTCTATTAGGATGCATGCTCCATGAGGAAGGAGACTTGAATGTATTGTTCTCTGCAGTATCCCCAGTACTGAGCATGGGGTACTCCTCTCTATTATCTTGAAGGCCCCTCCTACTTTGGGCTGATAAAAGAAAATAACTTGTATTTGATGAATCAGAGTTTTTTAACTTTATCAAGCCCAGAGAAACATTAAAATGAGACACACGTCTCATTCATCTATTGAAACTGTTTGTGGCCGGGCCTGGTGGCTCACACCTGTAATTCCAGCACTTTGGGAGGCCAAGATGGGAGCCTCCCTTGAGCTCAGAAGTCCAAGACCAGCCTGGGCAATATGTTGAGACCCCAAGTTTCTACTAAAAATACAAAAAAAAAAAAAATAGCTGGGCATGGTGGTGCACGTCTGTGGTCCCAGCTACTCGGGAGGCTGAGGCAGGTGGAGGCTGCAATGAGCTGAGATGGTGCTACTGCACTCCAGCCTGGGCGACAAAGCCAGACCCGGTCACACACACACACACACAAAACTGTTCACTATTATTACAAGTAGCTATAAATTACCTACTAATGCCACACCAGACACTAAACCCCATACTCTATAGCTTAACAATGCATAGTCAATCACTAATCAATGTTATTTCTGTAAGCCAATGATAATTCTTGAAAAACAACTTTCTATCAGCTCACTCCCTGTCCAGGTTTTTTGCCTTTAAAAACCTGCTTGTAACAAAGGCCAAAAGGAGCTCGTATTCAAATTTACTTGTGTCTGAGTCTTCCGGGCAGCTGTCCTCACTTTGGCTCAAGTAAACTCTTTAAATCACATTTTGTGTTTCAGCCTCTTCCTTTTAGGTTGACAGGGGCCTGCCTACTTCTTAAGCCATCCCCTTTCCCCTCAATAGTATAAGAATATTTGGGGCTGGGCGTGGTGGCTCACGCCTGTAATCCCAGCACTTTGGGAGGCTGAGGCAGACAGATCATGGGAGGTCAGGAGTTTGAGACCAGCCTGGACAACATGGTGAACCCCCGTCTCTACTAAAAATACAAAAAATTAGCTGCGTGTGGTCGTGGGTGCCTGTAGTCCCAGCTACTTGGGAGGCTGAGGCAGGAGAATCACTTGCACCCAGGAGGTGGAGGTTCCAGTGAGCCGAGATCGCACCACTGCACTCCAGCCTGGGTGACAGAGTGCGACTCCATCTCAGAAAAAAAGAAAAACAAAAATGGAGTTCTTGCAATTCATCAAGCTTACTTCCTCTCCAGTCTTTCATACATACAGTTCTTTAATCTGGCTAACACCTACTCATCCCCTCTCAAGTATGTGGGGCCAGCATTATTATTTGTATGGTAGTGATGTGTCTCCCAGATGGCAAATTGAAATGTCATTGTCAGTTGATTTATCCTAAATTGCTGTACTTTTTATTTTCTAGCTCAAAAATTTTTTAGGATTTTTACTTTCTCATAGCATAAAACCATCAAAGAGTCCTGAAATAAAGTCAACAAGAGTGGGGCAACAAATAATGCCTTAATTTCCTGCTAGCAGGAGGATTAATCTGAAAGTGAGATTGTCCTGTCCTCTGTGATTTGGCAGAGGCTTTATCTATTGCAGGCATTTAGATTGGTCACAAGACAGAAAAGGAACAAGGAAATGGGAAAATAATACATGGAGCAATGCAACTATTCCATTATTAGTTTTCAGAAGTAGACATCCTACTGATAAGCAAAGGCAGAAAAGTATATACTGCAATTTAGAGTCAGTAAGGAAACAAGCAATTTAAACAAGTCCAGGAAATTACATTCATGGTTTTGAGTTCAGCAGGAGAACATGGTCTTTTAATTCTTGCTGTAGGGGGTGTGAAAAAGACCTTCACCACTTATGTAACTATAATGTTGAGCACCACGATGTGTCATCTAGGTTATAGCGTTTATTTCTAGCACTGGTACACATCAAAGCTGAAACAATCAAAGATGTCCCCAGGACTTTCTTGGGAGATCTCAGAACGGGGGCCACTCTTTTCACTGAAACCAGTTTGCTGTGAACTTATGTAATCTCTGCCGAGTTGTCAGGAAAGCATACTTGAGAATGAAACTAATACAGATGAAAGAAGAGCTGGGCATTGTAGAGTGTCCTGCTGACATCATCTGACATCCTCAGGTTTTAGGATGACCTGAGGTCAGCAGTTCCCCTATAGCTCCTGGTTATGGTAGCAATACTTTTTTTTGTTTTTTTTTTTAAATGTTGCTCACATGAGTTTGAGCTGGATTTCAGTCATTTTCTAACTAAAGAGACCTGACTAACATTTTGTTTGGATTATCAAACACTACTTTCTTTTTCTAAGTTGAATGTCTTCCTACAGTTATCTGAAAAAATATTTTCTTGCTAGTCTTAGACCCCCTTTGAACTAAAACTTGTGATTCTTTCAGTTGTGATCTATAATTCTCTACCTGTTCAATGCTAGGCTTCTCACTAATTGTAAAACTTTTAACATTTAAAAATATTTATTCATTCATTAATAAAAATGCTTTAGATGTAGACATAAGTAACAGTTATATTTCCAAATTATAAGTTATATTTTTATTTTTCTTTTTTACAAAATTTTTAACTTTTATTTTAGGTTTGAGGGTACATGTGAAGGTTTGTTACACAGGTAAACACGTGTCATGGGGGTTTGTGGTACCCATTATTTCATCACCCAGGTATTAAACCCAGTACCCAACAGTTATCTTTTCTGCTCCTCTCCCTCCTCCCACTCTTCCTCAAAAAACTTTAATTCTTTTTTTGTTTGTTTGTTTTGAGATGAAGTCTTTGCCCAAGTGGCACGGTCTCAGCTCACTGCAACCTCTGCCTCCAGGGTTCAAGTGATTCTCCTGCCTCAGCCTCCTGAGTAGCTGGGATTACAGGCAGGTGCCACCATGCCCGGCTAATTTTTGTATTTTTAGTAGAGACGAGGTTTCACCATGTTGGTCAGGCTTGTCTTGAACTCCTGACCTCAGATGATCTGCCCGCCTCGGCCTCCCAAAGTGCTGGGATTACAGGCATGAGCCACTGTGTCCGGCCAACTTTAATTCTTTACTCTTTCCTGAAAGAGACTGTAATCTCAAAGACATTTAAATAATAATGGATTATTATTTAATCAGATTATTATTGTTTCTTAGTAGACAACCAAATTAAATGAACCAAATTCCAAAGCTCATAGATAGAATGCTCTAAAAGAAAACTACCGATAGAAGGAAAAACAAATATGATATAATAGTTCAGAGGAAGATTTAATCAATTACACTACAAATTGAGACTACTGGTATTCATGAATCGGAAGTGAAAAATATCCTTCAAAATGATAAAGAATAATGCTCAAGAAAGTTTATTTTTTCCCATGAACGCAAACTATTTATTCTTTTCACAGAAACTGATTATATATAGTTTTAGAAAAGAAAATAAGGCCAGGCACGGTGGCTCATGCCTGTAATCCCAGCACTTTGGGAGGCCGAGGAGGGTGGATCACCTGAGGTCCGGTGTTCCAGATCAGCTTGACTGACATGGTGGAACCCTGTCTCTACTAAAAATACAAAAAAATTAGCTGAGCGTCATGGCGGGCACCTGTAATCCCAGCTAATTTGGAGGCTGAGGCAGAATTGCTTGAACCAGGGAGACGGAGGTTGCAGTGAGCCAAGATCACGCCACAACACTCCAACCTGGGCAACAGAGCAAGACTCTGTCTCAAAAAAAAAAAAAAAAAAAAGAAAATACAGCATAAATTGCAGGCATGAATTATGTATCGAAAATACATGATTTATTTCGTTTCTTGTTTTTTTAAGGCCACTGGCTGGGATCAGACACCAGGGTCAGCAGAGCAACAAGCTGCTATGGCCTAGGCTCCTGGCCGGAGGGCTATGATTTCATATGGTCTGATATTTGCACGAATTCCTATGCTCCTGATTGAGGCCAATTTAGCACATAGAGTGGAATAGACTACTCAGAAGCAGAGGCCTATTTTGTGAGAATCGACACTCATAAATATGGTTTCTTTGTATGCCAGAATTTGAATTACTATAGACAAAGTAGTTTATCCAACCAAAAGAAGTCCCACCAGTTGTCTGGCAATCAGAAGACGAAGATGAAGGGAAACATAGGTCAGGTCTCCTGATAAATAACCAGCTTTTAACCAGACCAGTAGTTTACTCCTGTTCCCCCGCCCCACCCCCCGCCCCCAATTTGAGCTGTTTGGCATATGTCATTAAAGTGTGTATCAGGGACTGGAGCTGAAGGTGGAAGCAGCGGACAGGTCTTTGCCAAGTAACACAACTATGGTAATGTGAAGAATGGCCTCACCCATCAATACCTCCCAAACAGCTGGGATTACAAACGTGAGCCACTGCGCCCAGCCTCGTTTTTGTTTTTAAGCCATAACATCTCCCTGCGCAAACTGACAGGCAGCTCACTATTCGTGGAAGATGAATTGTCAGAAAAACATCAGGTTTGACAAACTTAGAGCACATTTTGGTTGTACTTGGCTTCAAAGAAGGAGGGCAGGAAGGGGAAAACCCATTTATGATCACCTCTTCCCATTCTGAAATGCAGAAGTACCGAACTAGCCTCACAGTTCCGCAAATAAGCAAAGGGTAGCACAGAACATATGTTCAAAAGCAGTCTAGTAGCCGGAGCAGTGGCTTAGGCCTGTAGTCCCAGCGCTTTGGGAAGCCAAGGAGAGAAGAGAGGATCACTTGAGGCCAGGAGTTCGAGATCAGCCTGGGCTGGTCTCAGTGAGACCTTATCCCTACAAAATATAAAAAAATTAGCCTGGCGGCCGGGCGCGGTGGCTTACGCCTGTAATCCCAGCACTTTGGGAGGCCGAGGCAGGTGGGATCACAAGGTCAGAAGTTCGAGACCAGCCTGGCCAAGATGGTGAAACCCCGTCTCTACTAAAAATAAAAAATTAGCCGGGCATGGTGGCAGGCACCTGTAGTCCCAGCTACTCAGGAGGCTGAGGCAGGAGAATTCCTTGAACCTGGGAGGCGGAGGTTGCAGTGAGCCGAGATCGTGCCATTGCACTCTAGCCTGGGTGACAAGAGTGAGACTCCATCTCAAAAAAAAAAAAAAAAATTAGCCTGGCATGGTGTCGTGGGCTTCATACATGCAGTTCTCAGGGAGGCTGAGGCAGGTGGGATCGCTTGAGCCCAAGTCGAGGCTGCAGTGAGCCGTTACTGTGCCACTGCACACCAGCCAGGGCTACACAGCAAGATCCTTCCTGTCACAAAAGAAAGAAGTGTGGGAACCATGAATCCTAGTGATAGAATCTTGGATTCTATCTCTAGAGGCGTCCAAGAGCGAGCCAAAGCTTTGTCTGAACACTCAGTCTGACTAAGTCTAGCAGAATATTTTACAATTTCTGATGATTCTTGCACTCTGATACACAGGAAGAAAGTGTGCAAGGAGAGGGCGAAGCCCTGCATTTTTTGGAGGTGCTGGAGGGCAGTGTAGGGACTGCACCCTCCTTTTTTTTTTATTTGAGACAGGGTCTCACTCGTCCAGACTAGAGTGCAGTGGCCCAGTCTCAGCTCACCACAACCTCCGCCTCCCAGGCTCAAGGGATTCTCCCGCCTCAGCCTCTCGAGTAGCTGGGATTACAGTCGCACGCCACTACCACCCGGCTAATTTTTGTATTTCTAGTAGAGACGGGGTTTCACCATGTTGGCCATGTTGGCCAGGCTGGTCTCGAACTCCTAACCTCAAATGATCCACCCGCCTCTGCTTCCCAAAGTGCTGGGATTACAGGCGTGAACCACCGCGCCCGGCCCCACCCTCCTTCTTTACATTGGCTCATATGGAAGACCAAAGGCACTTGGATTATACATCGCAGACAGAAGCAGCCAAAACCTACATGGCAACCAGTTGCGACAAATTTCCAAGGTAAACCACAACCGCTGGGGGCCTGGGTGGTTTTCAGCTCAAAGCGATGACCCCAGGAACGACAAGCGGCCGCCGCTAGGGGGCGCCGCCACTTCCCTGCCAGGCGACCACCCGCGGAGGCGCGCGCGCTAGGCCTCCCACCGCGCCTGCGCTGAGGATGGACACTAGCTCGCCTTTCCTCGACGCCCAGCCGTCCGGGCCGGGGTGAAAAACTGCGTGACACGCAGTGAGCGTGGCGGCCATCTTCGTCTTCTGGGCACGTCAGCTGAGCCGGTTAGGGCTGAAGAGGAGCGTTGCGCAAGCGCACCCAAGACGGTCACAGGTAACTCCCATCTGACGAGCGAGGCGTCGCCGTCGTCGCCGGAAGTTTGGTGTTTGCGCCGCGGGGGAGGCGGCGGCCGCAGCAGAAGCAGCTGAGTGTCTCCTGATACCCGGATGTGAGGCGATCCGCTGGCGCTAGTCTGACCCTCCGCCAGGCAAAAGGAAGGTACGCGAGCGTCCCTGACGGTCCCCGCCGCCTGTGTCTTCACCTCTCTTTTGCCAGCCCCTTCAGGGAGCGGACAGTTCTCCCTCTTCCTGTTCCACCCTCGGTGGCGTGTTGCCTCGCACGCCCCTTCCTACTGCTCCGGTCCCAGCTCTTCGCGCCCCTGGGAGGGAGGTGGGAGGCTCTAGGCTCCAAGACGCCGTCGCTTGAGGTAGGCAGCTAACGTGCTCGCGTGTCCGCGCACCACCTGCCGCTGTTTGCTGGGCGGTCGAAGTTCATAAGGGGTCGTGACCGCCGACGGGGCAGGGCCGGAGTTCCCAGCACTGCCGCGAGGGCTCCGGGAGCCCCGAGGTGGCGCGCAGCCATTGCTAGCACCGGGGCAGCGCCAGTGCTGGTCCCGCAGGTAGCTCCGGGCCCCGTCTCCGCCCCCTGCGTTTTCTCTTCCCGGCGCTTCACCGGAGCCAGTCCCTCGCCGCCTCCTGGCGCAACCCGCTGACCCGGCCTGAGCCTGGAGGCCTCTGCAGTTTGCGGGGCGCGATGTGGGGTCTTGGTTTTACAGCCTTCAGTTTGGGAGGGGAGCGGGCCCAAGGTCATAGAGTAACTCATGCTGCAAATGGGGGTCTCGGCACAGGTAGGGCGGCTCTGGAGTAGAAATGAGTGCATTGAGGGCCGCAGTGAAGTTTATAGCGATGGAGAGAGGCGAACCAAAGAGAATTGGGTCCTCGATTTTTATCACGGGTTAAGATTATTTTACTATGGGGGTTTATTTTGCACAGGCAGAATGGGATAGCAAGTCCAACAATTCGAAGACTACCTCCTCTCCCTCCGCCTCTCAATGATGCGTCCGAAAATCCGGCGTGTGCTTTATTTTCCGGGGCGATGGGGACGCAGCGGGGACCAGGGGAGGGAGGAAGAGGAGGAGGAAGGAGCTCAAGCTTTGCGATTTGAGAAGTACTATGAACCATGTTTTCTGTAGTCTTAGCTGCAATGAGATTCCTTTAAACAGGAATCGCAGCACACAGTATCTAGATAGTATTACAAAACGATATCTCAATAAATAAGCTTCGCAGGAAACAAAAGCGCTACTTGGTGGCATAAGGTGTGGTTAGTCCCCCCACCAGCATTGGCTTTTTTAAAAAAGTGGATAAAACATAGATTTCAGTTGAAAACATCCAGGTTGCAGTGAACTATGCTATATTCACTTTGTCTTCTGGTCAAGTACTTAGTTTCTGCTTTACACAGGACACCAACACGAATAAAGTTTTAAGTTATTATTTTATTTTGAGACGGGGTCTCGCTCTGTCGCCCAGACTGGATTGCAGTGGTGTAATCACTGTTCACTGCAGCCTTGACCTCCCTCCCCGGCCCCAAGCAATCCTCCCACCTCCGCCTCCCTGAGTGGCTGAGACTACAGGCGTCCGCTACCATGTTAGGCTAAGTTTTCTATTTGTTGTTGAGACGGCGTTTCGCCATGTTGCCCAGGCTGGTCTCGAACTCCTGGGATCAAGTGATCACCTGGGCCTCCAAAAGTGCTGGGATTACAGGCCTGAGCCACTGTGCCTGGTGAATTTTTTTTTTTTTTTGAAAAGCAAAAAATCTAATCAATGGAATTAGACATGGGAGTAGGATGAGAAGTGCTTTAAAACGTGCTTAATTTGGAAGTCGCAAATTCAGGCCTAGAGCATGTGAGGAAATGAGGAAACTAGGACTGTAATAGAGCCACTTTTTCCCTTTTAGGCAGAATGCAGAGTATCACTGTTGGGTCAGATATGTGACTTTGGAAGCACAATTCCAAAATTTGTCCTGGCTTACGAGCTAGAACTCCTTTATCATTGCTAACTGAGGAAAATATGCTATTGTCTCACCTTTCTCAATCAATATTATAATCCTGTAGTGAACAAGTAATTGTTTGTTTTTTTTTTTTGAGATGGAGTCTCACTCTGTCGTCCGGGCTGGAGGGCAGTGGCGAGATCTCGGCTCACTGCAATCTCCGCCTCCTGGGTTCAAGTGATTCTCCTGCCTCGGCCTCCCGAGTAGCTGGGATTACAGACAAGTGCCACCATGCCCGGCTAATTTTTTTGTATTTTTAGTAGAGATAGGGTTTCACCGTGTTGGCCAGGCTGGTCTTGAACTCCTGACCTCAGGTGATCCGCCTGCCTCGGCCTCCCAAAGTGCTGGGATTACAGGCGTGAGCCACCATGCCCGGCCAAGTAATTTTTTTAATGTCCGTCCCATACAAGGTGCTGGCATTTAAATTGATAAATTATGCTTCACAGAATAACTAAAAAAGTACCCTAATTAATGAATGCCATTAACTTCTTTTGCCAGATAGTCCTTTTTAGCTTGGTAATTTATTATGCAGAGCTGATTGTATTTATTCTGTTAATGAACGTGACCAGCGCTGCACAGTTCGAATAATGGATTTTTTTGTAATAGTTAAATATTTTTTCATGACTTTTATTGGCAGATTTTTGTACCACATAGAGTTCTTGGAATACCTTCTATTGAAGGTGATTAAAATTTAGGTACTAGAAACCAACTCCAGTAAAATTGTTACTGTAGATAATTAAGGACTATATTACCCCTTTTGTAACCCTGACTTTCATATTTTTCTGTGGATCATTCAATGAAAATCCTTTGGTTCTGTTTTTCCTGTATAAGTTCTGTATTATAGCTGTATTATAATACTGTAGTTACTTTTGGCAAATAAGAGCATTCTGTTAACCCAGCCATCATGTCTTGTCTTTTCCTGAGGGGAAGGGGCATATACATCTTATGCTTGATTGCATTACAATGCTTAAAGGAAGATTTATATCCTCTGCTCTGTTCAGCTTCCTTTAGACATTTATGGCAGCACGTGTAAGATTCACACAAAAACTCAGAGGGTAAATTAAAAGGTGGTATTAAGTATTACTTTAATGTAGTGGTTCTCAAACTTTTTGGTCTTAGGATCCCCTTACACTCTTAAAAATTATGTAGGACTCCAAGTAGCTTTTGTTTATATAGGTTTATATCTATTGATAGTTACTGTATTAGGAATTAATTTCATATATATTAATTCATTTGAAATAATTAAACTACAGCTTAATATAAATAACATTTTAATTTTAATTAAATTTTTTTTTTTTTTTAGTAACAGTGGCTCACTGTGTTGCCCAGGCTGGCCTTGAGCTCTTGGGCTGAAGTGATCCTCTTGCCTCAGCCTCCCAAATAGGTGGGACTACAGGTGTGCATACCCAGCTTAATATATTTAATAAATAACATTTTAATGAAAAACTATATTCCAAAATAAGTTAGTGAAGGAATGGTGATGGTATTACATTTTTGTAAATCTCCTTAATGTTTGGCCTTGATAGAAGACAGCTGGATTTTCCTATCAATCTGTTGCTATATATGTTTCTGGTTGAAGTTTATGACCAGTATGTTGGGTGGGGTATTTTAGCTTTTTCAGATAGTTGTAATACTCTGATTCTGCAACAAAACTTAACAAGTGGTAATTTCTTAAAGGTTAGTTGTGATGTAGAATCTGAAACCATGTCTACATGTGTTTTGCATTCTGTTGCATTAGAATTCATTGGTCTGTTTTGTACTTTTAATCTTTTGCTCTCGTATGATTTTGATCTCAGGAATCCTGAGAGTCCCCATATCACATTTTGAGCACTACTGCTTTAAGGTAAATAATTGAATGTTTAGAATTAATGTAGTTGTTGAAACTGAAGGGGATAATGATAATATGGAAATTGAGTTGGCAAGTAGTTAAGCGAAGCCAGGAGTAACTAAGTAAATTTTTTTTTATTTTTTTGAGACGGAGTCTTGCTCTGTTGCCCAGGCTGTGCTATCTCGGCTCACTGCAACCTCTGCCTCCAGGCTTCAAGCGATTCTCCTGCCTCAGCCTCCCGAGTAGCTGGGATTACAGGCACCTGCCATCATGCCTAGCTAGTTTTTTTTATATTTTTGTGGAGACGGGGTTTTACCATGTTGGCCAGGCTAGTCTTGAACTCCTGACCTCAGGTGATCCCCCTACCTCGGCCTCCCAAAGTGCTGGGATTACAGGCGTGAGACACCATGCCTGGCCAATATTTTCTATCTTTTCATAAAAACATTTTCCCTGTAATATTATTATAGCTAATTATTAATATTATTATAGCTAACACTTAAGCACTGGTGATATATCAGGAGCTTTTCTAAGAACTTTAAACATTTATGGCAGCATACGTAAGATTCTCACAGATAAAAACTCAGAGGGTAAATTAAAAGGAGGCATTAAGTATTACTTTAATGCAGTGTTTCTCAAACTTTTTGGTCTTAGGATCCCCTTATACTCTTAAAAATTATGTAGGACTCCAAGTAGCTTTATATTAGGAAAGGTTTCTTTCTGTTTTTTTTTGTTTTGTTTTTTTGAAGAGACGGGATTTCACTATGTTGCCCAGGCTGGTCTCAAATTCCTGGGCCCAAGTTATCTGCCCACCTTGGCCTCCCAAAGTGCTGGTATTATGGGTCTGAGCCACCACCCCTGGCCCAGGAAAGGTTTCTATTATGGCATCGTTGGAGAGGATTAAATTTAACTTACTTTTATCCCCCATAAATAGTATAGTCTTTGTGACAAGTATTATTCTTTTTATTTATTTATTTTTATTTTATTTATTTATTTATTTATTTTTTGAGATGGAGTCTCGCTCTGTCGCCCAGGGTGGAGTGCAGTGGCGTGATCTCCGCTCACTGCAAGCTCCGCCTCCTGGGTTCATGCCATTGTCCTGCCTCAGCCTCCCGAGTAGCTGGGAGTACAGGCGCCCGCCACCATGCCCGGCTAATTTTTTGTATTTTTTAGTAGAGACGAGGTTTCACTGTGTTAGCCAGGATGGTCTCGATCTCCTGACCTCGTGATCCCCCCTCCTTGGCCTCCCAAAGTGCTGGGATTACAGGCGTGAGCCACCGCACCCCGCCTATTTTTTTTTTTGGAGTCGGAGTCTCGCTCTGTTGCCCCTGCTAGAGTGCAGCGGCGCAATCTTGGCTCACTGCAAGCTCTGCCTCCCGGGTTCAGCCATTCTCATGCCTCAGCCTCCCGAGTAGCTGGAACTACAGGCACCTGCCACCATGCCTGGCTAATTTTTTGTATTTTTAGTAGAGACGGGGTTTCACTGTGTTAGCCAGGATGGTCTCGACCTCCTGACCTCGTGATCCACCCGCCTCGGCCTCCCAAAGTGCTGGGATTACAGGCGTGAACCACAGCGCCGGCCCCTTTTTTTTTTTTTTTTTTTTTTGAGACGGAGTTTTGCTCTTACAGCCCAGGCTGGAGTGCAGTGGCGTGATCTCGGCTCACCATGCCCGGCCAAGTATTATTCTTTGTAACACAGATACTGTTCAGTTTTAGAAGATATACGCCACTTAGATAATTTCTCCATAAGCTATTTGAGGGTGGGAATATGCCTATACCCAGCATCTATCATAATATATGTTTAAAATATATACCATAGGCTAGGCATGGTGGTTCACATTCAAGCCTGTGATCCTAGCACCTTGGGAGGCCGAGGCAGGTGGATCGCTTGAACCCAGGAGTTCGAGACCAGCCTGGGCAACATGGCGAAACCCCGTCTCTACAAAAAAAACACTAGCCAGACATGGTGGTGCTCTCCTGTAGTTTTTCATATATAAAAAAGATACACACACACACACACACACACACACACACACACACACACAGTAGTTGTAGACTATTTTAGCCCATCAGAAAATCGAGTTGTTAAATTAAACAAATACTTGTTGCTTTTAAGAAGTTAAAGTTGCTCCCATGGAAATTTGAAATTTACTGTTGTGTTTTGTTCAACTAGTGTTTGAAAGTTTGTTGTTATCACAAGACACTGGATTAAATTTTTCTTCAAAAATAGATAATTTTCAGAAGATAAATTTAGTCTTTTTTTTTTTGAGATGGAGTCTCGCTCAGTTGCACAGGCTGGAGTTCAGTGGTGCGATCTCAGCTCACTGCAAGCTCCGCCTCCTGGGTTCACACCATTCTCCTGCCTCAGCCTCCCGAGTAGCTGGGACTACAGGCGCCCACCACCACGCCTGGCTAATTTTTGTATTTTTAGTAGAGATGGGGTTTCGCCATGTTGGCCAGGCTGGTCTCGAACTCCTGACCTCAAGTGATCTATTAGGCATTTTAGAATGTGAGAAATACTTGGGTTACCTTAAATAATAGTAGTTCATTGGGAGGATATGTAGAAATAAGAGAAGACTGTTTACAGAGCTACATCTTGTAGAAGAAAACAGGAATCACCAAACACTAGGCTTTGCTGAAGAACAATTCACCAGCTCTTACAGAAACCTGAATATATTTCAGGACTCAGAAGGTGGCTGAGAATAGTACAGCTCTAGCAGTAGGCTTGCCTTGTTTTAATTCCTCAAGCAGCAGGTATCCTGTAATTCCTAATTTAGTTCTTTGCTGTTATAGTAGTAGGTCTCAACCCAGGGTGATTTTGCCTCTGAGGAGACATTTTGTAGTGTCTAGAGATATTTTGATTGTGAGGACTAGGGGAAGGGTTGCTACTGGCATCTAGTGGATGGAGGTCGGGGCTGCTGCTGCTCTTGCTAAACAGGCTGCTGCTCCTCCATGCACGGGACAGCCCACCCATAACAAAGACTCTATGTGGTTCAAAATGTTAATAGTGGTGAGTTGGAAAACCCTGCTTTATAGTGACTAGATATTGGCACCTCTTGGGTCACAAACCCACACTTGATCTAGTTAGCTATGGGAAGCGTAGCAGGGTCAGGACTTTCAGGATATAACTGAATTGTCTAAGGTTTTTTTTTTTTTTTTAAAGGAGGTGCCTGTGGCCATGGCAGGTTTTTCAGAAAGGAGTTATGAATTTGACAAGCCACTAGACTCAGATTTGTAGTCAGTACTTCTCTCTTGTTCCTTTGATGTGGTTAAAAGGTTGTATAGTTGAAATGCATTAAGAATTGGTAAATAATTAAGGAGATTAAGAATCTGTGGTGGCCCTCTCCCTCTCCCTCTCCCTCTCCCTCTCCCTACGGTCTCCCTCTCTTTCCACGGTCTCCCTCTGATGCCGAGCCGAAGCTGGACTGTACTGCTGCCATCTCGGCTCACTGCAACCTCCCTGCCTGATTCTCCTGCCTCAGCCTGCCGAGTGCCTGCGATTGCAGGCGCGCGCCGCCACGCCTGACTGGTTTTCGTATTTTTTTGGTGGAGACGGGGTTTCGCTGTGTTGGCTGGGCTGGTCTCCAGCTCCTAACCGCGAGTGATCCACCAGCCTCGCCTCCAGAGGTGCCGGGATTGCAGACGGTGTCTGGTTCACTCAGTGCTCAATGGTGCCCAGGCTGGAGTGCAGTGGCGTGATCTCGGCTCGCTACAACCTCCACCTCCCAGCCGCCTGCCTTGGCCTCCCAAAGTGCCCAGAGTGCAGCCTCTGCCCGGCTGCCACCCCGTCTAGGAAGTGAGGAGCGTCTCTGCCTGGCCACCCATCGTCTGGGATGTGAGGAGCCCCTCTGCCTGGCTGCCCAGTCTGGAAAGTGAGGAGCGTCTCTGCCCGGCCGCCATCCCATCTAGGAAGTGAGGAGCGCCTCTTCCCGGCCGCCATCCCATCTAGGAAGTGAGGAGCGTCTCTGCCCGGCCGCCCATCGTCTGAGATGTGGGGAGCGCCTCTGCCCTGCCGCCCCGTCTGGGATGTGAGGAGCGCCTCTTCCCAGCCGCGACCCCGTCTGGGAGGTGAGGAGCGTCTCTGCCCAGCCGCCCCATCTGAGAAGGGAGGAGACCCTCTGCCCGGCAACCGCCCCGTCTGAGAAGTGAGGAGCCCCTCCGCCCGGCAGCCGCCCCGTCTGAGAAGTGAGGAGCCCCTCCGCCCGGCAGCCGCCCCGTCTGAGAAGTGAGGAGCCCCTCCGCCCGGCAGCCACCCCGTCTGGGAAGTGAGGAGCGTCTCCGCCCGGCAGCTGCCCCGTCCGGGAGGGAGGTGGGGGTCAGCCCGCGCCAGGCCAGCCGCCCCGTCCGGGAGGGAGGTGGGGGGGTCAGCCTCCCGCCCCACCAGCCGCCCCGTCCGGGAGGGAGGTGGGGGGTCAGCCCCCCGCCCGGCCAGCCGCCCTGTCCAGGAGGTGAGGGGCGCCTCTGCCCGGCCGCCCCTACTGGGAAGTGAGGAGCCTCTCTGCCCGGCCAGCCGCCCCATCCGGGAGGGAGGTGGGGGGGTCAGCCCCCCGCCCGGCCAGCCGCCCCATCTGGGAGGGAGGTGGGGGGGGTCAGTCCCCCGCCCGGCCAGCCGCCTCGTCCGGGAGGTGAGGGGCGCCTCTGCCCGGCCGCCCCTACTGGGAAGTGAGGAGCCCCTCTGCCCGGCCAGCTGCCCCGTCCAGGAGGTGAGGGGCGCCTCTGCCCGGCCGCCCCTACTGGGAAGTGAGGAGCCCCTCTGCCCGGCCACCACCCCGTCTGGGAGGTGTGCCCAACAGCTTATTGAGAACGGGCCATGATGACAATGGTGGTTTTGTGGAATAGAAAGCCGGGAAAGGTGGGGAAAAGATTGAGAAATCGGATGGTTGCCATGTCTGTGTGGAAAGAAGTAGACATGGGAGACTTTTCATTTTGTTCTTTACTAAGAAAAATTCTTCTGCCTTGGGATCCTGTTGATCTGTGACCTTACCCCCCAACCCTGTGCTCTCTGAAACATGTGCTGTGTCCACTCAGGGTTAAATGGATTAAGGGCAGTGCAAGATGTGCTTTGTTAAACAGATGCTTGAAGGCAGCATGCTCGTTAAGAGTCATCACCACTCCCTAATCTCAAGTACCCAGGGACACAAACACTGCGGAAGGCCGCAGGGCCCTCTGCCTAGGAAAACCAGAGACCTTTGTTCACTTGTTTATCTGCTGACCTTCCCTCCACTATTGTCCTATGACCCTGCCAAATCCCCCTCTGTGAGAAACACCCAAGAATGATCAATAAAAATAAAAATTAAAAAAAAAAAAAAAGCATCTGTGGTGATCCATGTGAACTTTGGAGTTGATGATAACAGTGTGATTGGAGAAGAAAATTATGATTGAAGAATTTCTGGTGATCAGTAGGAATACAACAATGAAGAAAGAAAGTTTGATAGCAGAATGGCATAAACCTTAAAAGAGATGTGTAAAGAATTTTGTGTAAGATAAAAAATGGTTGTGCTGGGAAAACTGTAGGCTTCTTGATGTGATATATATAGCCTGCTTAGGAGAGACCAGTTTCCTATGTCTGCTTTAATAAATTATCAGAAACCTGATGGCTTAAAACAATAGAAATTTATTATCTTAAATTTGTTCCTTGCCTCATCTAGCTTCTGTTGGTTGCCCTGGCATTCCTGGGCCTATGACCACATTACTCCAATCTCTGCCATCATTTTCATATTATTTTCTCTTGTCTGTGTCTGTCTCCTTCTCTTACAAGGATATCTGTGCCACTCTCTTACAAGGATATTTGTTATTGGATTTAGGGCCTACCTGGATAATCCAGGATGATCACATCTCAAGATCCTTAATTTGATTATGTCTGCAAAGACCTTTTTTCCCCAAATAAGATACATTCACAATCCCTAATTCAGGGATTAGGACACAGGTGTATTTTTTGGGGGGCCCACCATTTAGCCACTACTGGAGAGTTTTAGAGAAAAGGGTATAATTTCAAGAGAGTGGATTTTTTTCTTTTTTTTTTTTCTTTTGAGACAGTCTCGCTCTGTCGTGAGGCTGGAGTGCAGTAATGAGATCTTGGCTCACTGCAACCTCTGCCTCCTGGGTTCAAGCAGTTCTGCCTCAGCCTCCTGAGTAGCTGGGACTATAGGCACGTGCCACCACGCCCAGCTAACTTTTTTGTATTTTTAGTAGAGATGGTTTCTTCACATTGGCCAGGATGGTCTCGATCTGTTGACCTCGTGATCTGCCCACCTCGGCCTCCCAAAGTGCTGGGATTACAGGTATGAGCCTCTTGCCTGGCCGAGAGTGAATTTTCAATTAAGGGTAATTAAATTAAATTTAAATTAAATACAAATTCAATTAAAATTGAAATACAAATTCAATTAAAGTAAAATTTGTATTGTGAAGAGATTGAATATAGGAAGCTGCTTTTCATAGAAAAAGGGTTCATGACTGGGTGCGGTGGCTCATGCCTGTATTCCCAGCACTTTGGGAGGCTGAGGCGGGCGGATCACGAGGTCAGGAGTTCATGATCAGCCTGGCCAATATGGTGAAACCCCATCTCTACTAAAAATACAATAATTAGCTGGGTGTGGTGGCGCGTGCCTGTAGTCCCAGCTACTGAGGAGGCTGAGGCAAGAGAATTGCTTGAACCGGGGAGGCGGAGGTTGCAGTGAGCTGAGATCATGCCACTGCACTCCAGCCTGGGCGACAGAGTGAGAGGCAGTCTCAAAAAAAAAAAAAGAAAAAGGGTTCATGTGGGTGAGTTTAAGAAAGGAAGTGATCAGCAGTATAAGGAGAGTTGGAAGGTAGTAAGGGAAAATAACTGACATGATGGACTTGCGGCCGGACGCAGTGGCTCATGCCTGTAATCCCAGCACTTTGGGAGGCCGACACGGGTGGATCACGAGGTCAGGAGATCGAGACGATCCTGGCTAACATGGTGAAACCCCGTCTCTACTAAAAATACAAAAAATTAGCCCGGTGTGGTGGCGGGTGCCTGTAGTCCCAGCTACTCGGGAGGCTAAGGCAGGAGAATGGCATGAACCCGGGAGGCGGAGCTTGCAGTGAGCCGAGATGGCACCACTGCACTCCAGCCTGGGTGACAGAGCGAGAAAAAAAAAGAGAGGAAAAAAAAGACGGACTTGCATTTGACTGGTGGGAATGGATCTGTGCAAATTGAAGGCCTTAAGTGTGAGAGGTCTGATGTTCTCGGTAGACTTTGCCGTCTTTGCTTTGTGCCATCTTCGAGCTAAGTATTGCTGAGAACTTACTCTCTACTCTGTTGTCCCAGAAGAGAAATCTTTCCCAGCTGTTTAGATGGCTTTCTGAATTTGCACCAGTGTTTTATGGAACTGAAGAGGCTTTCATAGCAGCTTGGGGAAAAAGTCCTTCAGTAAATTATGTTGGGATTGAGAGGTATACGGGGTTTGATTCTGCAGTAAATCTGATGGAATTACTGTACCTTGAGATAGCTAGAAGTTTCCAGTGGTGTGTTGAAATACAAGACGATTGGATAGGAGACTATTTAAGGGCAATAAATAAATAAATAACAAAGAAAAAAGTAAAAAAAACCATCAAGATGAGGTTGGGCAAAATAGTCCTAGGGTTGTGTAGGAAAAAGGCTGATTAATTTTAAGAAGTGACTTGGAGGGGGAAAGTGGCTACATTGAAGTAATAGGGTAATTGTTTTTATTTGACTTGTTGATGTTATCTATTTTTTTTTTTTTTTGAGACGGAGTCTTGCTCTGTTGCCCAGGCTGGAGTGCAGTGGTGCAATCTTGGCTCACTGTATCCTCTACCTCCCAGGTTCAAATGATTCTCCTGCCCCAGCCTCCTGAGTAGCTGGGATTACAGATGCGCACCATGCCTGGGTAATTTTTGTATTTTTAGTAGAGATGTGGTTTCACCATGTTGGCCAGGCTGGTCTCAAACTCCTGACCTCAGGTGACCTGCCCACCTCGGCCTCCCAAAGCGCTGGGCTTACAGGCGTGAGCCACCGCGCCCAGCCGATGTTATCTATTATTAACATTTCTAAAATTAAATCATCTCTGTATCCTATTTATTTATTTATTTATTTGACACAGAGTCTCACTCTGTTGCCCAGCTTGGAGTGGAGTGGTGCGATCAAGGCTCACTGCAGTCTCCCGCCTCAGCCTCCCAAGTAGATGGGACTATAGGTGAACGCCACCATGCCCGGCTATTTTTGTATTTTTTGTAGAGATAGGGTTTTGCCATGTTGTCCAGGCTAGTCTCAAACTCCTGTGCTCAAGAGATTTGCACGCCTCAGCCTCCCATAGTGTTAGTATTACAGGCGTGAGCCACCATACCTGGCCCATTTTTCTCTTTGGTTGGCTGTTTTATTAATTTGTAGGATATCTTATACATATTGTATAATCTGTGCATACCAATCCTTTGTAAGTTACTATTTTCACCTTTCACATTTTAGGTCTGTAGTCAGTCCATTTGGCATTGACTTTAGTATTGTATGAGGTAGGGATACAATTTCTTTTTCTTTTTTTTTTTTAGAGTAAAGTAAAAGCAAGTTTATTAACAAAGTAAAGGAATAAAAAATGGCTACTCCTTAGGCAGAGCAGCCTAAGGATCCAATTTCATTTTTCCCCCATGTGATATCCAGTTATCCCAGTACTATTTCTTTAAGGTGACAGTGCTGTCTCTTAAAAACCAAATGATCATATATGTTAAATACTTGGTTTGATTCTGGTCTATTTTGTGTCATTGATCTTTTCCATTGGTCTGTTTGTTTATCCTTGAAACAATATCACACATTAACGTGGTTTTATAGTAAATCTTGATATCTGATAGGACAAATCCACCCACCTTGTGGGTTTTGCTTTTTTTTTTTTTTTTGAGATGGATCCTTGCTGGGTTGCCCGGGCTGGAGTGCAGTGGCTGTTCGTAGGCAGGATCATAGCACAGTCTAGGCTCAAACTTCTGGACTCAAGTGATCCTCTCACATGAGCCTCCTGAGTAGCTGGGACTATCGGCATGTGTCACCAGACCCAGGGGCACCTTGTGTTTTATTTTGTTGTTGTTTGTTTGTTTTTTGTTTTGACGTTTTGCTGTGTTGCCCAGGCTGGAGTAGAACTCCTGGCCTCAAGTGATCCTCCCGCCTCAGCCTCCAAAGTTGCTGAGATCATAGGTGTGTGCCACCACACCTGGCTAATTTATTTTTTGTAGAGATAGGGTCTTGCTGTGTTGCCCAAACTGGTCTTGAACACCTGGGCTCAGGCAATTCTCCCACCTTGGCCTCCCAAAGTGCTGGGTTAATAGGCATGAGCTACTACACCTGGCTACTTTTATCTTTTTTAAAAAAGTTTTTAATGAGAGAGGACTCAAATTACCAAAATAAGGAATGAGAGAAATTACTAAAATAAGGAATGAGAGATATTACTAAAATAAAAAGGGTTAAAAGGGAATATGAACAATGGTATGCTAACCATTTCGATAACCTAGATAAAATAGACAAGTTCTTATAAACTGACTCAAGAAGAAATAGAAAATCTGAATAGACCTATAACAAAGAGATTGAATAAAAATACCTCCAAAAATGAAAAGCCCAGGCTCAGATGGCTTCACTGATGCAATCTACCAAACATTTAAAGAAGAATTAACACCAATCCTTCATAGACTTTTCAAAAAATAGAAAAGGAGGGATCTCTTAGTTCATTTTATGAGGCTGGTATTGCCTTAGTACTAAAAAGACATCACAGTGCTAAAAAGACCTTAGTACTAGGCAAAGACATCACAAGAAAACTACAGATTAATATTTCTTATGAATATGTCCACACAAATCCTCAACTAAATATTTGCAGACTGAGTCCAGCAACTTATAAAAATGATAACACACAATGACCAAGTTGCATTTATCCCTGCAGTGCACAGTTGGTTCAGCATATAAAAATCAGTATGACACACCATGTTGATAGAATAAAGGAAAGAAACGGACATGATTACCTCAATAGATGCAGAAAAAAAATCTGACAAAATGAAATATCCTTTCATGATAAAACTGCTCAACAAACTAGAAATAGAAGGGCATCTGTGAAAAATCCACATCTAACATCATACCTAACAGTATGCAAGACTGAGAGCTTTCCCCCTAAACTTAGGAATAAGATGAAGATACCTGCTCTTACCACTTCTTTCAACAGTGGAAAGGAGGAGGTTTCCACTGGAGGTTCTAGCCAAGGTAGACTGGCAAAAGGGAAAGAAATAAAAGGCGTCCAGATTGGAAAGGAAGCAGTAAAACTCTCTCTCTTTGCAGATGACATGATCTTACCTGTAGGAAATCCTAAGAAATTCACACAAAAAAACCTATTAGAACTCATTAAATTTAACAACGTTACAGGACACAAGATCAATGTACAAAAATTAGTTTTGTGTACACTGTGATGAATCATCCAAAAAGGAAATTAAGAAAATAATTGCTTTAATAAATCAGTATATGGAAGAGATACCTGCATTCCCATGTTCATTGTGGCACTGTTCACAATAGGCAAGACATGGAATCAATCTAAGTAAGTGTTCATCAGCAGATGAATGGATAAAATGTGGTATGGAATGGAATATTATTCAGCCATAAAAATATGAAATCTTGTCTGCAGCAACATGGATAAAACTGGAAGACATTATGTTCAGTGAAATAGCTAGGCATGGAAAGATTTACTGCATATTCTCGTTCTTATGTGGGAGCCACAAAAAAGTTGATCCCATGGAGGTAGAGAGTAGCATAGTGGTTACCAGAGGCTAAGAAGGGTGTGGGGAGGAGAGGATAGAGAGAAAGTGATTAATGGTTATAAAAATACAGTTAGAAGGAATAAGTTCTAGTGTTTGGTAGCTCACTAGGGTGACTGTATTTAATAATTTGTTGCGTATTTCAAAATAACTAGAAGAGATATGAAATGTTCCTGATACAAGTAATAAGTGTTTGAGGTGATGAATTATCCCAGTTATCATGATTTGATTATTACGTGGTTGTATGTCTGTATCAAAATGTCACATGTACCCCAGAAATATGTGTAATCATTATGTATCAATAAAAAAATTCTTTTAGGCTGGGCTCAGTGGCTCAAACACCTGTAATCCTAGCATTTTGGGAGGCCGAGGTGGGAGAATGGCTTGAGCCCGGGGGTTTGAGACCAGCTTGGGCAACACAGGGAGACCCCATCTCTACAAAAAATAAAAAAATTAGCCAGGTAAGGTGGCATGTACCTGTGGTCTCAGCTACTCAGGAGGCTGAGATGGGATGATCACTTGGGGCCAGGAGTTTGAGACTTGCCTGGGCAACATAGAGAGACATAGTCTCTAAAAAAAAGAAAAAGAGTAGCAAAGTTTTGGGCTCACACTTCATCTTTTAAAAACTGACTAGAAAGCTACAGTAATCAAGATTGTGTAGTCCTGGTATAAGATCATAAAGACCAATGGGATAGAATTGAGAGTCCAGAAATAAAACCATACATTTACGGCAATGGATCTTATAAAAGGGGCCAGGACAATTCAATGGGTAAAGAATACTATTTTTTAACAAATGATACTGGTACAACTTGATAACTATAGGCTGGCATCTGGTTGGCCAAAGTAAGTCAGGTGGCCAAGACGATCAGGTCAGGGAAGTATAGATACTCTGTCCCCACCGAGGCCAAAATAAGGCATGTGACCAAGCCTGGTATCTTTTCAGAAGGAAAGTATAATTCTCTCATGGAGGTGGGATAAGAAGTAGTGATTATATTTTAAGAAAAACTGTATTATATGGTATAAGATTGAGATGGTGACCATGCAGTTGTGTAAGTTTTTTTTTTTTTTTTTTGAGATGGAGTCCTGCTCTGTAGCCTAGGTTGGAATGCAGTGGCTCGATCTCGGCTCACTGCACCCTCTGCCTCCCGGGTTCAAGCAGTTCTCTGCCTCAGCCTCACGAGTAGCTGGGATTACAGGCACCCGCCACCACACCTGGCTAATTTTTGTATTTTTTTAGTAGAGACGGGGCTTCACCATCTTGGCCATGCTGGTCTTGAACTGACCTCGTTATCCACCCGCCTCGGCCTCCCAAAGTTCTGGGATTACAGCAGTTGTGTAATGTTTTGCATATAATTGTGAAAAATCATCACAGGCTTTTTGTTGTTGTTGTTGAGATGGGGGTGTCACTGTGTCACCCAGGCTGGAATGCAGTGGCATGATCACAGCCCACTGCCAGCCTCTATCTCCTTGGGCTCAGGTGATACGCCCACCTCAGCCTCCGAAGTAGCTGGGACTTACAGACGTGCCAGCACCCCAGGCTAATTTTTGTATTTTCGAAGAGACAGAGTTTCATCATGTTGCCCAGTCTGGTCTCAAACTCCTGGGCTCAAGCGATCCTTGATCCTTGATCCTTCCACCTCTGCCTCCCAAAGTGCTACAATTACAGGGATGAGCCACTGCACCTGACTGGGCCATTTTTTAGTCTAGGTTTGTCTAAGTTGTTTTAATGTATCAGTTAATAGTGATATTTTTGTATTTTTTTTTTTCAATAGATTGTCTTTGGCTATAGAGTTTTTTTTTTTAAAGATTACTAAACATACAGGAAGTGATAAGAAGTATCATTCATCAGAAGCATCATTCATCAATCAACTTGAAGAAAAAGGTGATATATTATTTCTTTAAGGTAAGTGGCATATAATTTTATGATTTAGTATCTTCCAAGATGATTAATCAGTGTACCAAATATATTTTATATTTTCAGAGAATTTTAACTTACATTTTTATTTTTCAACAAGGTTATATGTCTACATGATAAAACATTTCAGTGGGTATATAGTGAAAAGTAAGCTTTTCTCCTACTCCTGGTACTTGGTCTAGTAGTTCTCTTGTTTAGAAATCATCACTATTATTAGTTAGTGTCTCCTTCCAGATATATTTTATGCATAAAAGGCATATGATTCTGTATATTCTCTTCCTTCCACCATCTCCTTTTTCTCTCTTTACACAAAGGGAGACATGCTACATTCTCTCTTCTGCACTTTGCTTTTTTGGTTTAATAATGTTTCTTCGTCATGGTTCCATATAACTTACATCTCTATTTGTTGGACAGCTTTATTAAAGCATAATTTATGTATAATAAACTGTACTCTCTTAAAATTACAATTTGGTAGCTTTTGACAGATTTAAATATTCATGGAATCACCACTACAGTCAAGATAAAGAACATTTCTGTCACCTCCAAAAGTTAATCTCCCTCTCTCCACTCTTCATCCCAGGCAATGACTGAGCTGCTTTTTGTCACTGTAGATTAGTTTGCTTTCTCTAGAATGTCTTTTCTTTTTTTTTTTTTGAGACAGTCTCTCACTCTGTTGCCCAGCCTGGAGTGCAGTGGCATGATCTCGGCTCACCATGACCTCTGCCTCCTGGGTTCAAGCGGTTCTCCTGCCTCAGCCTCCTGAATAGCTGGGACTACAGGCACATGCCACCACACCTGGCTAATTTTTGTATTTTTAGTAGAGATGGGGTTTCACCGTGTTGCCCAGGCTGGTGTCAGGCCCCTGACCTCACGTGATCTGCCCGCCTTGGCCCCTCAAAGTGCTGGGATTACAGGTGTGAGCCACCCTGCCTGGCCTAGAATTTTTTTTTTCTTTTTTTTATTAGTGCCTTTGTAAAAGACAGAATTTCTTGAAAAGTGGAATCATACAGTATGTACTCTTTTGTGTCTAGCTTTTTTATTCAGAATGATTGCAAGGTTCATCCATATTGTTTACTATTAGTAGTTTGTTTCTGTTGATTTTTTTGTTTTGTTTTTGAGACAGAGTCTCGCTCTGTCACCCAGGCTGGAGTACAGTGGCACGATTTCGGCTCACTGCAACCTCTGCCTCTTGGGTTCTAGCAGTTCTCCTGCCTCAGCCTCCTGAGTAGCTGGGATTACAGGTGCCTGCCCGCTAATTTTTGTATATTTGTAGAGACGGGGTTTTGCCGTGTTGGCCAGCCTGGTCTCGAACTCCTGACCTCAGGTGATTCGCACACCTTGGCCCCCCCAAAGTGCTGGGATTACAGGTGTGAGCCATCACGCCAGGCGTGAAATTAAACTGTTTGAAAATTAGCACTTAAAATTTTGATAGGTGGATTGTCCTGCATAGACATTGAATCATTTGTAGTAATGTAAGGTACCTGACACAAACATTTACCAAGAGTGTATTGTTAAACTTCTTGATCTTTGGCCAGTTTGATAGGTGAAAAATGATATTTTGTGTTGGTTTTAATTTGTATTATTATCTTGTTATCTATTATACCAGCCATTTGTAGTTGTTTCCCTGTAAATATATTTTGGTTATTAGCTTTTGCTATTTCTTGCCAGTATTTTTCCCCAGTTTTGCCCTTCAAACTTGGCTTCTCAATTTTGTGACAAGGCTTAAAAGTTAAGCCTTTCTCACGTGAAAACAAATATTTAAGGATTTCCTGGCTGGACATGGTAATGCCTGTAATGTCAGCACTTTCAGAGGCCGAGGCGGGCATATCACCTGAGGCCAGGAGTTCAAGACCAGCCTGGCTAACATGGTGAAACCCCATTTCTATTAAAAATACAAAAAATTACCTGTGCATGGTGGTGTGCACCTGTAATCCTAGCTACTCGGGAGGCTGAGGCGGGAGACTCGCTTGAACCCAGGAGGCGGAGGATGCAGTGAGCCAAGATTGCACCATTGCACTCCAGCTTGGACAACAGGAGCGAAACTCCATCTCAAAAAAAAAAAAAAGATTTCCCATACTTTAATCTGTGTTTTAATGTTTTTATTTTAATGATTAACATTTTTCTTGAACATTTTCTTACTCATAAACTAGAATAGGTTACCTAGATGGTTACCCAGTTTTTCTAACACCAATTAATTAACTAATTAATTTATTGGAGATGGGGTCTCTGTCGCCCAGGCTGGTGTGTAGTGGCATAATCACGGCTCACTGAAGCCTTGATCTCCCAGGCTCAAGTGATCCACCCACCTCAGCTTCCTGAATAGCTGGGACTATAGGTATGCACCACACCTGGCTGATTTTTTTTTTCTTTTTTTTTTTTTAGTATAGATGAGATTTCACTGTGTTGCCCAGTCTGGTCTCAAACTCTGATTAATAAATTTTTCTTTGAGATGGAATCTTGCTATGTTGACCAGGCTGGTGTCAAACTCCTGGGCTCAAGCAATCCTCCTGCTTCATCTCTGAAGTAGCTGTTATTACAGGTGTGTGTGCCCAGCTAGCAGCAATTGTTGAGTAATCTATTTTCATTAATTTGAAATGAATGAAATCAATACCACCTTTATATGTACTAAATTCCCTGATGGATTAGGGCCTATTTTTATTTTTATTTTATTTATTTATTTGTTTTTTGAGATGGAGTCTTGCTCTGTCGTCCAGGCTGGAGTGCAATGGCGCCATCTCACCTCATTGCAACCTCTGCCTCCCGGGTTCCAACGATTCTCCTGCCTCAGCCTCACAAGTATCTGGCATTACAGGTGCCCATGACCATGCCCAGCTAATTTTGTATTTCAGGCCTATTTTAGAGTCTATTTTGTTCTGTTAATCTCTACAAATTCATATGTTGGAACTAAACTGTTAAATATTACAGCTAAGTGTATTTTAATATTAGTGTAAATCTACCCTGTTTTTTTTTTTCTTTTGAGATGGATTCTCGCTGTGTTGCCCAGGCTGGAGTGCAGTGGTGCAGTCTCGGCTCACTGCAAGCTCTGCCTCCTGAGTTCACGCCATTCTCCTGCCTCACTGCCTCAGCCTCCTGAGCAGCTGGGACTACAGGCACCCGCCACCACGCCCAGATAATTTTTTTGTATTTTTAGTAGATACCGGGTTTCACCATGTTAGCCAGGATGGTCTCTTATCTCCTGACCTCGTGATGAGCCCGCCTCGGCCTCCCAAAGTGCTGGGATTACAGGTGTGAGCCTCCGCACCCGGCCTACCCTGTTATTTTTTAAGTGACAGAATGAGACTCCGTTTCGATGGAGTTTTGCTCTTGTTGCCCAGGCTGGAGTGCAATGGCGCGATCTCAGCTTACCGCAACCTCCGCCTCCTGGGTTCAAGAGATTTTTCTGCCTCAGCTTCCCAAGTAGCTGGGATTACAGACATGCACCACCATGCCTGGCTAATTTTGTATTTTTAGTAGAGACGGGGGTTCCTCCTTGTTGGTCAGGCTGGTCTCGAACTCCTGACCTCAGGAGATCCGCCTGCCTTGGCCTCCCAAGTTGCTGGGATTACAGGTATGAGCCACCGTGCCTGGCCAATAGTAATTCTTTTTAAAAAATTCCTTTAAACTAACTTATTTATACTTATATTTATTCATATAAACTTCAGTAAGCACACACATGTGCAGTCTCATTTTTTTGTTTGGTTTCTAAACTCCCTCCTCTTTTCTTCATTTTAACATGCTTATTTTTTGGTGCACATTCTCTTGTAGACCCTAGAGGAAGATGTTTGGGAGTTAAATTTTTTGACACCCTGCACATCTGAAAAATATTCTAGACTCCACACTTAATTGGGCATTGAATTCTACTTGGGACATAATTTTTCTTCAGCATTTTGAATAATTTTCCCATTATCTTGCTTCCAGTGTTGCTATGGAAGGTTTGTTGTAATTCTGATCTTAATCATCTGTATGTAGTCAGGATTTTTCCCCCCTCTAGAAGTTTGAGAGTCATCTTTTTATCCTTATGATAGGTTTTTTAAAAATTAAAAAGTTTTTTTCCTCATTGCCAGCAGAAACATAGAAAGGCTGAAAAAAAATTTTTGGGGGCTGGGCGCGGTGATTCATGCCTGTAATCCCAGCACTTTGGGAAGCCGAGGCGGTTGGATTACCTAAAGTCAGGAGTTCGAGACCAGCCTGACCAATACACCGAAAACCCGTCTCTACTAAAAATACAAAAAACATTGGCTGGGTGTGGTGGTGCGTGCCTGTAATCCCAGCTACTCAGGAGGCTGAGGCAGGAGAATTGCTTGAACCCGGGAGACGGAGGTTGCAGTGAGCCAAGATTGCGCCACTGCACTCCAGCCTGAGCAATAGAGGGAGACTCCATCTCAAAAAAAAAAAATTAAAAATAGATAATTTTTTTCATCCATTATTCTAGATACTCTTAGGTCCCCTCCCTGCTGTGTGTGTGTGTGTGTGTGTGTGTGTGTGTGTGTGTGTGTGTGTGTGCGCGCGCGCGTGTGTGTGTGTGTCAGAATCTCGCTCTGTTGCCCAGGCTGGAGTACAGTGAGTGGCGTGATGTCGGCTCACTGCAACCTCCACCTCCTTGGTTCAAGCAATTCTCCTGCCTCAGCCTCCCGAGTAGCTGGGATTACAGGTGCCTGCCTCCATGCCCAGCTAATTTTTTTGTATTTTTAGTAGAGACAGGGTTTCACCATGTTGGCCAGGCTGGTCTTGAATTCCTGACCTCGTGATTCACCTGCCTTGGCCTCCCAAAGTGCTGGGATTACAGGCGTGAGCCACTGTGCCTGGCCCCATTTTTTTGTTTTTTTGTTTTTTAAAGAGATGGGGTCTTGCTTTGTCACTCAGTCTGGAGTGCAGTGGTATGATCGTAGTTCACTGCAGCCTCAGACTCCTGAGCTCATGTCATCCTCCTGCCTCAGCCTCCCGAGTAGCTGGGCCTGTCTACAGGCGCGTGCCACCATGCTCAGCTTATTAGAAAATTTTTTTGGCCAGGTGCAGTGGCTCATGCCTATAATCCTAGCACTTTGGGAGGCCAAAGTGGGTGGATCACTTGAGGCCAGGAGTTTGGGACCAGCTTGGCCAACATGGTGAAACTCTGTCTCTACTAAAAGTACAAAAAAGGCCAGGCGCAGTGGCTCATGCCTGTAATTGCAGCACTTTGGGAGGCCGAGGCAGGCAGTTCATGAGGTCAGGAGTTCGGGACCCGCCTGGCCAACATGGTGAAACCTGATCTCTACTAAAAATACAAAAAAATTAGCCGGTGTAGTGGTGCGTGCCTGTAATCCCAGCTACTCAGGAGGTTGAGGGAGGAGAATCACTTGAACCCAGGAGGTGGAGGTTGCAGTGAGCCGAGATGGTGCCACTGCACTCCAGCCTGGGCAACAGAGTGAGACTACATCTTGGGGGAAGAAAAAAATAGCCAGGCGTGGTGGTGCATGCCTGTAGTTCCAGCTACTTGGGAGGCTAAGGCACGAGAATCGCTTGAACTTGGGAGGTGGAGGTTGCAGTGAGCTGAAATTGTGCCACTGCATTCTAGCCTGGACAACAAAGCGAGACTTTGTCTCAAAAAAAATTTTTTTTTTCTTTTTTTTCGTGGTAGATCTTGCTCTGTTACTCAGTCTGGTCTGGAACTCTTGGCTTCAAGTGATCCTCCTGCCTCAGCTTCCCAGAGTAGCTGGGATTATAGACATGCCACTGTACCTGGCAGTCTTGGCCCTTTTAATCAGGAAACTCATGTCATTCAGGTCTAGGAAAATTTCTTGAATTCTTGATTTTTTTTCCCCCAGTGCTTTTTTTCTATTCTCTGAAAGGTCCAGTTAATGGCCAGTTGGACCTCATGGCTCGTCCTCTAATTTTCTTACTTTTTTTTCTCCCATGTGCCATCTTAGTCATTTTGATCTACTTTATAGGAGAGCTCCTTGTCTTTACCTTCTGATGGCATCTGTTGACTTTTTCACTTTTTTCTGTAGTGTTTTTAATTTTCAGGAGTTCTTTTTTGTATGCTGTTCTTGTATATCTGTTTCATGACAAATTAGCTTATTTTTAGTTTTTGTCTCTAATTTTGTCTTCAAAGCTACTTTTTTCCTGTTTTTTCTTCATATTAAGGCTTTTCTTGTATTTGTGGTGATTCTTGTTTAACTGCTTATGGTTAAAAGTGATTGGAAATTGTATGTATTTGGATGGTGGAGTGGCTGGTAGACTCCCGATTATAGGGTGTGTGTTTGTGTGTGTGTCTTAGCGATTATAGGTAGACCTTATCAGTATTTTTAGGTATTTTCTCTAGGGCTTGCCAAATTCAGTAGTACTCATCTTCAGAACGATCAGTAGAACACAATCTTTCCACTTCCTTAGTAGAAGGTATAGGCTTGGCTGCTATCCTCTAGGAACCTTTGAGTAGGCAAAGAGGGTTTTGAATGAACAGAGTGGGTTTCAGCAATCAGTGTGTATATTCCTATTTATTCCTTCTGTTGTCAGTATGATACTTCCATCCTCAACTGTGCCTGTTAAGCCTGTAGACCTCCTGTTTCACTCCTTCTAGAGATTTATACCTCTAGTCTTCTGAGTGCTAGTAATGGGAATGGCAATCTGGGAGAATATCTGCTTTTTTTTTTTTTTTTTTTGAGACGGAGTCTCGCTCTGTCGGCCAGGCTAGAGTGCAGTGGTGCAATCTTGGCTCACTGCAAGCTCCGCCTCCTGGATTCAAGCAATTCTCCTGCCTCAGCCTCCCCAGTAGCTGGTACTACAGGCACCTGCCACCACACCCAGCTAATTTTTTGTATTTTTAGTAGAGACGGGGTTTCACCATGTTAGCCAGGATGGTCTCGACCTCCTGACCTCGTGAATCTGCCCGCCTCGGCCTCCCAAAGTGCTGGGATTACAGGTGTGAGCCCAGCCTTTTTTTTTTTTTTTTTTTTTTTTAAAAAAGATGGAGTCTCACTCTTGTTGCCCAGGGTGGAGTGCAATGGCATGATCTCAGTTCACTGCAACCTCCGCCTCCCAGGTTCAAGTGATTCTCCTGCCTCAGCCTCCTGAGCAGCTGGGATTACAGGCATGCACCACCATGCCCAGCTAATTTTTTTGTATTTTTAGTAGAGATAGGGTTTCACCATGTTGGCCAGGCTAGTCTTGAGCTCCTGGCCACAAGTGATTCGCCTGCCTCGACCTCCCAAAGTGTTGGGATTACAGGCCTGAGCCATTGTGCCCGGCCCTATCTGCTTTTTTGAGTCCCATTTTCTTTTTTTTTTTTGAGACAAGAGTCTCGCTCTGTCGCCTAGGCTGGAGTGCAGTGGCACAATCTCAGCTCACTGCAACCTCCACCTCCTGAGTTCAAGCGATTCTCCTGCTTCAGCCTCCCGAGTAGCTGGGATTACAGGCGCCTGCCACCACGCCTGGTTAATTTTTGTGTTTTTAGTAGAGACGGGGTTTCATCATCTTGGCCAGGCTGGTCTTGAACTCCTGACTTCGTGATCCACCTGCTTTGGCCTCCCAAAGTGCTGGGATTACAGGTGTGAGCCACCGCACCCGGCCTTTTGAGTCCTATTTTCATCCGCATCTCTATGGAGTCTGATACTGCCAATTCCTGAGTCTCGGGTATAAATAGATCTTCTCAGCTTTCCACATTTCTACCTGAAGATTCAGATTTTCTTGAGCCTACTAAGTCAATTATTTGTCCTTCTCTGTAGCATCTGTACTTCTAAATTTTTATCTTCTACTGTCTTGTTCTTTATCCTTTGGGTTTATGGCATTGTCTTGGTTTTTTATTTACTTACTTATTTTTAGATATGGGTCTCACTCTTTTGTCCAGGTTGGAGTGTACTGGCATGATTATAGCTTACTGCAACCTTCAACTCCTAGGCTCAAACAATCCTCCTGTCTCAGTCTCCCAAGTAACCTGGACTGTGGGTGCATGCCACAATGCCTGGCTAATTTTTAATTTTTGTAGAGACAGAATCTTGCTATATTCTCCAGGCTGGTCACAAACTCTTGGCTTTAACCTTCTGCCTCAGCCTCTGGAGTTTCTAGAATTACAGGTGTGAGCCACCACAACTGGGTCTTGTTTTGTTTTAGTCCCTCTATTGCTTTTTTTTTCCAGTAGGGTTTGAATCGGAATAGAGGTAAATGTGTTTGCTTAAATCTTCCTTCTTTAACTGTATTTCAGTCTTTTTCTATGTATATAGTTATCTATGTGCTTTGTTTTTTCCCCAAAATAGGATTTTACTTTATTGGTTTAACCAATTTTATGCTTATATTATGAATTGTTTTTCATATTTTAAAACTTTTTTTCACAACATGAATGAATGCCTACTAGTCCATTGGCTGCATATAGTTGAGTGCAAATTAGAAATACTAAAATACTGTACGTGTAATATGAGCTTTGAGGAAATAATGACTAATGGTAGGACAGGATGAAATTATGGAGCGTTATATTTGATGAGAGCCGAATGGATGATTACATCTTTCCTTTGTCCTTTTGAACATTAAAAAAAACCCTTTTTCTTTCAGGTGCTGTGTGATGTGTTAAGAGCATATTAGAAGGAATGGTTTTGTCTAATTTTCTTCATGAGTTATGGTGGCTGAGACATCGAGTCTATATTTTGGGGCAAAAACTGTAAGTAAACCTCAAGGAATACACTGATTTTCAACTATTCTATGCTTATGTAAGACAAGTTATTGATTATTCATAGGAATATACTTGGGATACTTCGTTCTGTTAGCCTTAAGTGTACTGATTAGATACTTCAAAAGGAGGAGTTAGATTTTCCTTAAATCAAGGTTATTTCTGTGTAGTATTAGCATTGACATATTTCATGGATTGTACAAAACTTTATTTTTGTTTTTTAATTTTTCAGAAACGGCAGCACAAAAGGAAATCTATATTAATAGAATATTTTGTTGAACAAAGGAGGTTAGATAAGAACTGCAAACCAACAGACTCAGCAAACAAGGAAAGAAACGTGTTAGCCATAAGACATGTTTCAAGTGAATCGAAGTCCAATAACTGTAGACTTCAGAAGAAAAAAGTTTTCAAAAATTTTATCAAAACAGGTCACTGATAAATAACTCCTCCAGTAATAGAGCTAGGCCTGAAACCAAAATTAATTAAAAAATTAACAAAACAGATTGAACCTGAATTAAATTTCTTTTGATAAAAAAACTTATTAAAAATAATCAAAATTTTCCTCAAATTTTTATTACCTTGTCCAAAGTAAAGCAAGTGTCTTTTAGCATTCATGCCAGCTTTTCTCATGTTCTAGGAATGACAGAAACCTTACTTGAAGCAAACTAGTATTTTTGTTGAAAATGTATATCAGCATCAGTTAAAGTTGATTTTTCAGACCTGCTCCTCAGTAATAATACTAGCTAGTCAGCATTCACGCCTACCAGGACACAAAAATCCTCTTCAAAACTACTCAGAAAAGAAAGTCATTACTCAGGAATGATGTCCATTCAGGAGAAATCAAAAGAGAATTCCTCCAAAGTTACTAAAAAAAGTGACGATAAGAATTCAGAAACAGAAATTCAGGATTCTCAAAAGAATCTAGCAAAAAAATCAGGTCCAAAGGAGACTATAAAATCACAGGCTAAATCTTCCAGTGAAAGTAAAATAAATCAGCCAGAATTGGAAACACGCATGAGTACAAGGTCATCAAAGGCAGCATCTAATGATAAAGCTACTAAATCCATTAATAAAAATACGGTGACTGTGAGGGGATATTCACAAGAATCTACAAAAAAGAAATTATCTCAGAAAAAATTAGTACATGAAAACCCTAAAGCAAATGAACAGCTTAACCGGAGATCACAAAGGCTACAACAATTAACAGAGGTTTCAAGAAGGTCGTTACGCAGTAGAGAAATTCAGGGTCAAGTTCAAGCAGTTAAACAGAGTTTGCCACCAACTAAAAAAGAGCAGTGTAGCAGTACTCAGAGTAAATCTAATAAAACAAGTCAAAAACATGTGAAGAGAAAAGTACTGGAAGTAAAGTCTGACTCTAAAGAAGATGAAAATCTAGTAATTAATGAAGTAATAAATTCTCCCAAAGGGAAAAAACGCAAGGTAGAACATCAGACAGCTTGTGCTTGTAGTTCTCAATGCACGCAAGGATCTGAAAAGTGTCCTCAGAAGACTACTAGAAGAGACGAAACGAAACCTGTGCCTGTAACTTCTGAGGTGAAAAGATCAAAAATGGCTACTTCAGTGGTCCCGAAAAAGAATGAGATGAAGAAGTCGGTTCATACACAAGTGAATACTAACACAACACTCCCAAAAAGTCCACAGCCATCAGTGCCTGAACAAAGTGATAATGAGCTGGAGCAAGCAGGAAAGAGCAAACGAGGTAGTATTCTCCAGCTCTGTGAAGAAATTGCTGGTGAAATTGAGTCAGATAATGTAGAGGTAAAAAAGGAATCTTCACAAATGGAAAGTGTAAAGGAAGAAAAGCCCACAGAAATAAAATTGGAAGAGACCAGTGTTGAAAGACAAATACTTCATCAGAAGGAAACAAATCAGGATGTGCAATGTAATCGTTTTTTCCCAAGTAGAAAAACAAAGCCTGTGAAATGTATACTAAATGGAATAAACAGCTCAGCCAAGAAGAACTCCAACTGGACTAAAATTAAACTCTCAAAATTTAACTCTGTGCAGCACAATAAGTTGGACTCTCAAGTTTCCCCTAAATTAGGCTTATTACGAACCAGTTTTTCACCACCAGCTTTAGAAATGCATCATCCAGTGACTCAAAGTACGTTTTTAGGGACAAAGCTACATGATAGAAATATAACTTGCCAGCAGGAAAAAATGAAAGAAATTAATTCTGAAGAAGTGAAAATTAATGATATTACAGTAGAAATTAATAAAACCACAGAAAGGGCTCCTGAAAATTGTCATTTGGCCAATGAGATAAAACCTTCTGACCCACCATTGGATAATCAGATGAAACATTCTTTTGATTCAGCATCAAATAAGGTAATCTGTTTTTATTATGCACAATAGAGGTGCCGAAATATTTTCTGTAAGAAATGTCTTTATAACATTTTAGCATAAGAATGAAGTCATAAAAGATTGAAGAGTTGTTTAAGTTCTCCTGTTAAGTTGTTAGCGAGAGTTTTATTAACCCAGTCTTGTGATAGAACTTCAGATGTCTCACATTTACTTGGGGTGCTTCTCATTGTTTCCTCATTTTTACTCTTCATTTTTATTTTATGTAAGCATAAGCCGGTTGAATTCCAGCTTTTCTTTTAAATTTAACACACTGATTTTCTGTTAATTATAACCATAGAAAGTACGTTTCTTAGGGACTACTTTTTTTTTTTTTGAGATGGAGTTTCGCCCTTGTTCCCCAAGCTGGCATGCAATGGCACAATCTCAGCTCACTGCATCCTCCGCCTCCCAGGTTCAAGCCATTCTCTAGCCTCAGCCTCCCGAGTAGCTGGGATTACAGGCATGCATCACCATGCCTGGCTGATTTTGTATTTTTAGTAGAGACGGGGTTTCTCCATGTTGATCAGGCTGGTCTCGAACTCCCGACCTCAGGTAATCCATCCACCTCGGCCTCCCAAAGTGCTGGGATTACAGGCGTGAGCCACTGCACCTGGCCTTTAGGGACTACTTTTGACCTAAATATTAAAATTAATTTCAACTAGGACTAATCAGCCTTTTTTCCTACTGGATATAATTTAAAAGTTAAACATTTTTAAGGAGATGACCTTTGTGGCCATTTTGAATAGTTGGCAAGTAGAATGTCTGTCTGAGAGGTATAAATAATTCAGTCTTCAGCCTAAGAATAAAATTGTAGTGGCCAAGACTCTGAAATGGAAAAGTAAACTGAAAACCAGAATCTTGTATCTGGAATAAATTTTGATTACCTAAGAAAGTAGTTTTAAATTTTATGAAAGCAGCTGAGCCCTTTTCTTTCTAAAGTAAATTATATGTAGACTACTAATATATAAAACCAATAAGCAGAAATTTTATATGCATAGAACCCTGGAACTCTAACATAGATCAAACTGATTTATTTGTACTGTTTAATTTTATAATAAGAAAACTTGGAGTGGAATGTGATTTAGGCAACACGTTTGGTGGCACAAATAGAATTAGAATCCAGGTGTTCTAATTCTTAGCCCAGCATTCTTTCTAAAACAACATACTCTGAACATTAGAAATCATTTGAGCAAAAAAAGTAATCATGAATAGAGAAAAAAGTCAAGTCATTTCAAAGTTTTGCAAGTGATTTAAAGTTCTCTTTTGAGACATTTTGTCTAGGAGCAAATGTGAGTGCATTAGGAGTCTGGGCTTTATTCCAGAAGCCATGAAAATAGATCAGTGTCTATTATTTTTCTTAAAGGGAGAAGACACCATATTGTACTCTCAGATTTTATTTTCTATATAGACAGGAATGCAAGCATCAATTAAAAGATGATTGTTCAGAGAGATTTTACCAGTCAGTGATAGTAATTAGAAATAAGTAGTGAGTTGTAGTATGAGTAATAAGTTGTGGCTTTGTGCAGAGATGTAGTGGCTTTTTATTCAGGATTGTGTCTCCAGATGTAGTTGGAGAGTGTGTCTTCTAATTGCTTGCTGCATAAATGCCTGTCAAAACTCAGAAGGCAGTTTATGGAGAGTATATTGATGGATATGAAATCTAATTCATTCCTTTGTACTAAACTGTACTTGAATGAAGATGTTTATGTAGACCACATTATTTTGACCTTTGATAACATTGCTTTTACTGAAAGATACTTTGAATTTATGCAGCCCCTCTGTTTGGAGGAACATTATAAGAAACCATCCTGCCAGGCGTGGTGGCTCATGCCTTTAATCCCAGGACTTTTGGGAGGCTGAGGCAGTTGGATCACCTGAGGTCAGGAGTTCGAGACCAGCTTGGACAGCATGGTGAAACCCCATCTCTTCTAAAAATACAAGAAATTAGCTGGGTGTGGTGGTGCACACCTGTAATCCCAGCTACTCAGGAGGCTGAGGTGGAAGAATCATTTGAACCTGGGAGGCGGAGGCTGCAGTGAGCCAAGATCACGCCACTGTACTCCAGCCTGGGTGACAGAGTGAAAGTCTGTCTTCAAAAAAAAAATATCCTAAGAAACTTGTTGCTATGTTAAAAATCTTACGGTTTGAAATTCTGGAATATTGCAAACATTTAGAATATAGCAGAGATGAACATTACTCTCATATGTCTACCACCCAGATTTGACAAAAGTTAACATTTAAAAAAAATTACTGAAAATCCTTTAAAGTTACAAAAGGTACATTACAGGTGTAGATGAAGACTGCAACTCTTTTTTTTTTTTTTGAGATGAAGTCTCACTCTGTCACCCCGGCTGGAGTGCAGTGGTGCATCTCGGCTCACTGCAGGCTCCGCCTCCTGGGTTCACGCCATTCTCCTGCCTCAGCCTCCTGAGTAGCTGAGACTACAGGCGCCTGCCACCACGCCCGGCTAATTTTTTGTGTTTTTAGTAGAGACGGGGTTTCACCCGTTGGCCAGGATGGTCTCGATCTCCTGACCTCCTGATCCTCCCAACTCGGCCTCCCAAAGTGCTGGGATTACAGGTGTGAGCCACCACGCCTGGCCGAAGACTGCAACTCTTTATTCCATTTACCCATCTCCCTATAGTTAAAATGTGCTCCTAAAGTGGATGTGGATCTTTTCAGTTTTTATTTCTGTGATTTTATGTGTATATAAATTCATAAAGAATACTTAGCTTTGTTTGTGTTTCAGTGTTTTACAAAAATACTAGCACATATATTTTTGTAACTTGGCTTTGTGTAATCAACATTATATTTGATACTTATTGATACCTGAGTATTTTTAAAACTATGGGAATATACAACAAGTTTATCTTTTCTTCTATGAAAAGACTTTCACCTTGGGCCAGGCACAGTGGCTCATGCCTGTAATCCCAGCATTTTGTGAGGTTGAGGTGGGAGGATCTCTTGAGCCCAGGAGTTTTAGACAAGTTTGAGCAACATAGTGAGACTCCCTCTCTACAAAATAATTTAAAAATTAGCTAGGAGTGGTAATGTGTGCCTGTGGTCCCAGCTACTTGGGAGGCTGAGGCGGGAGGACCTCTTGAGCCCAGGAGGTTGAGGCTGCAGTGAGCTGTGATCATTTCACTGCATTCCAGCCTGGGTGACAGAGTGAGACTCTATCTCAAAAGAAAAAGAAGACTTTCACCTTTCAGATTGTTTCCAATTATTTTTCACTAATCTCAACATTTTGACCACTGTCACAGAGTGATCAGGAAATGTGGTGGTGACCATATTGGTTCAGGACATATTTGAGTGCCTGCTGTATTCAAGGTGCTGTGCTGTGCTAGGACCATAGAACATGGATAGGTTTCCTGCCCTTAAGAAGTTTCCATTTCCATTTCCCTGAGATAGCCACTGTTGATGGAGTTTGGAGTATTTTTTTCTTTTTTGAGACGGAGTCTTGCTCTGTCGCCAGGCTGGAGTGCAGTGGTGTGATCTTGGCTCACTGCAACCTCCGCCTCCCGGGTTCAAGTGATTTCTCCTGCCTTAGCCTCGTGAGTAACTGGGACCGCCACCACACCCAGCTAAGTGCAATGGCATGATCTCGATCACTGCAACCTCTGCCTCTTGGGTTCAAGTGATTCTCTTGCCTCTGCCTCCCAAGTAGCTGGGATTACAGGTGCCTGCCACCACACCCAGCTAATTTTTGTTTTTTAGTAGAGACGGGGTTTCACCATCTTGGTGAGGCTGGCCTGGAACTCCTGACCTCAGGTGATCGGCCTGCTTGGGCCTCCCAAAGTGCTGGGATTACAGGCGTGAGCCACCATGCCCGGCCTCACGCCCAGCTAATTTTTTTGTATTTTTGGTAGAGACAGGGTTTCACTGTGTTGGCCAGGATGGTCTTGATCCCTTGACCTCATGATCCACCCGCCTCAGCCTCCCAAAAGTTCTGGGATTACAGGCGTGAGCCACCACGCCCCGCCTGAAGTATTTTCTTTTGTTATTTACTAATTGAGTATCTGCTTTGGCAAGGTTCTGAATTAGAGGCTATTAGGAATAAAAAGGTAAATATAATATGGTTGTTGCTTTTAAGCTTTATAGGTAAGTCAGACACAAATAACTGATTGAAAATAAAAAGTGATAAGCACACGAAAGAGATTTAGACAAAGTAGATGAAGAACAGCTAGAGAAGATTGGGAAAGGCTTTATGGAAGAGGAGCAATGAGTGGAATTTATATAGGGGGAAAGGTATTCTGGATCAGCACTATCCAGTAGGAATATAAGTGAGCCACATATGTGATTTAAAATTACCTGGTAGCCACATTAATGGAGTAAAGAGAAATAGATAAAATTAATTTTAATATCTTTTATTTAACCTGTCTTTTTTTTTTTTTTTGAGATGGAGTCTAGCTTTGTCACCTAGGCTGGAGTGCAGTGGCACTATCCTGGCTCACTGCAACCTCCGCCTCCCAGGTTTAAGTGATTCTCCTGCCTCAGCCTCCCGAGTAGCTGGGATTACAGGTGCTTGCCATCACGCCCAGCTAATTTTTGTATTTTTAGTAGAGACGAGGTTTCACTGTGTTGGTCAGGCTGGTCTTGAACTCCTGACCTCAAGTGATCCGCCCGTCTCGGCCTCCCAAAGTGCTGGGATTACAGGCATTAGCCACTGTGCCCGGCTGGGTGCTTAAGTTCAAAATCTGGTGTGATTTATGCTTTCAACACATTTCAAGTGATACCACATTTTAAGTGCACTCACTAGTTAGATGTGGGAGTGATGACCATATTGGACATTATAGTCTAGACAGACGAAACTTGGAAAAAAGGTATAGAGCCAGGAAACTATTGAATATATCTGTGGAAGAGATATTTCCTTTTTTTTGAGATAGGGTGTCACTATGTTGTCCAGGCTGGCTTCAAACCCCTGGGCTTAAGTGATCCTCCCCTTTTAGTGAGGCTTCTGAGTAGCTGAGACAACAGGCATGCACTGCTGTACCCTGCTTGTTTTTAAATTTAGCATGAAGGGTAATAATGGGCCCTGATGGTGAGAGGGTAGCTTGTAGCAAGATCATGGGGAGACTTCATGTCTGTATTAATTGCTCCAAATAAAAAGTATGTTAAATTTTTTTAGTATGCTAAAATTTACTGAAAGTTTATTTAGATAAAACCCAAAGTTGATGTAAAAATTTTGAATTATATGTGTTCAGAATTTCAGCCAATGTTTGGAATCCAAGCTAGAAAACAGTCCAGTGGAAAATGTTACTGCTGCTTCGACTCTGCTCAGTCAAGCAAAAATTGATACAGGAGAGAATAAATTTCCAGGTAATACTTTGGAAATATTATTTGGATTTCATAGTCTTCAGTGACATTTTTGTCAGTATTACAGAAAATGTTATATACCAAATAGGGTTGTTAAATTCTTTTTAACCATTGCTGTATTTTTCAAATATGTGATTATCATGACTATCACCCATGCTTTCAGAATTACTTCTGTTGATTGGTTTGTTTAAAGTACCTAAGTACTACCCTTTGACTCCCTACCAAAAGTTCTTTTGTTTTTTAAACAACTTTTATTTGTGACTTACTTTCTTGAGAAGTGTTCTTAATGAATTGCATAAAATAGTGGTAGCAGCTTATTTCTTAAGTACTTTATTATTTGTGCTTTACCATTTCAGGTTCTTATCTTTAACCCTTATTTACTCAGTTTTCCATCTGAATGATCCTATCTCTAAATTAAGGATTTAATAAATGCTGCAAATTGTCCACTTTGCAAATTGTCCAAAAGCTTTAGTTTTGGAACCTTGTGAACTTTTTTTTTTTTAATAACACATTATTTGGGCCGGTCGTGGTGGCTCAAGCCTGTAATCGCAGCACTTTGGAATGCCTAGGCAGACAGATCACTTAAGGCCTGGAGTTCGAGACCAGCCTGGCCAATGTGGTGAGACCTCCGTTTCTATTTACTAAAAATACTAAAAAAATTAGCAAGGCATGGTGGTGCACGCCTGTAATCTCAGCTACTTGAGAGGCAGAGTCAGGAGAATTGCTTGAACCTGGGAGGCAGAGATGAGCCAAGATTGCACCACTGCATTCCACCCTGGGTGACAGAGTGAGAATCTGTCTCAAAAACCAAAAAACCAAAAGAAAAAAAAATTATTTGAACTGTTGGATGAGGATTTGGTCACTTATATTGGATGAGACAGCAGAGGGTATAGAAAAGAAATCTCTTAATTCCTGTTGTTTCTCTGCTAAAGGAAAGGTATACATGGAGCAAAATGTTGAGTTCGGATAATCATTGACATGATTTAACTTTTTCTCTGAGTTGGGGAAGAGAGAATGTAATATAAATATGAGAAATGCATTTATTCATTAGAAAATAAAATGAATTGCTTATTGCCTTTATTATTCTGACTAAAATTCCAGAGACCATTTTTTTTTTTTTTTTGAGGCAGAGCCTTGCTCTGTCCTCCAGGCTGGGGTGCAGTGGCGCGATCTCAGCTCACTGCCACCTCTGCCTCCCAGGTTCGAGCAGTTCTCCTGCCTCAGCCTCCTGGGCAGCTGGGATTACAGGCACACATCACCACACCCGGCTTATTTTGTATTTTTAGTAGAGACAGGGTTTCCCTATGTTGGCCAGGCTGGTCTCGAACTCCTGACCTCAGGTGATCCGCCTGCCTTGCCCTCCCAAAGTGCTGGGATTACAGATGTGAGGCCACCATGCCCGGCGTCTTTTATTTTTATTTTTTTAAACAAGAAAATGTTTTCATTTGTTTCTACTTAGAGATTATATAATTATGCAGGCATTGAAACAATTTCCTTATTATTCAGTCCTAATAATTGCTGGTTAAATTAGAGGCAAGCTAATCTACCATTACAGCTCTTTGCAGCTTTGTAGTCTGAGTATGAGACAGCCTTTCTGCCTTTTGTCTGAAGAATGGTATCTAGGAAGAAGGTTCTAATTTTATCAGATGGTCTTTATTAAAAATAAGTCATTTAATGCATTGAAGGTTTTTTTCTTTATGTATAATGATTTTATCCATTAGATGGAAAACTAGTATAAAACTCAATATATAACCCACCTTCTTGATTAAATTACAGGTTCAGCTCCCCAACAGCATAGTATTCTCAGTAACCAGACATCTAAAAGCAGTGATAACAGGTAAGCTATTAATTAAATTTTAGAGCTTAAGGATTTTAACTTACAAGTTTTGAGTTTAGGGGATTCTTCCCTAAAAAGTTATGCTAGTAACCCTCAGTTTACCTACAGATTCTCTTTTCATTACAGCTTTTTCTATGCCTATACATACTGTTTACTATGGACATTTTTTCTACCCTACTACCTCATTCTTTATTTCTTTATTTATTTATTTTTTAGAGTTGAGGTCTTGCTCACTTACCCAGGCTGGAGTGCAGTGGCACAATCACTGCAGCCTTGAACTCCTGGGCTCAAGTGATCCTTCTGCCTCAGCCTCCCATGTAGCTAGGACTATAGTGTGGCACCATACCTGGATAATTAAAAAAAATTCTTTTTTTAGAGAGAAGGTCTTGCTATGCTGCTCAGGCTGGTCTCGAACTCCTGGCCTCAAGTGATTCTCCCACCTCGGCCTCTCAAATCTCTGGGATTATAGGTGTGAGCCACAGTATCTGGCAGCTACCTTATTCTTCTAAATTCTGCATTAAATTTCATTGTGTGACTTTACCGTGGTTTAACAGTTCTATGCTTTATGAACATTTTGGATATTTCTGGTTCATTTCTATCCAGAAAAGACAAATCCTATGTTAAACACATGTATCTTTGCTTACTTGTGTGTCTGTATCTCATAGCTATAGAACTTATCCCGCATTGTCAGACTTTCCTCCAAAGTGGTTGGCCTGTCTCAATAGTGTTTGAGAATGCCCTTTTCCCTAGACTTCTAGAAATACTAGGTATTAGCAACATGTAAGAGTGTTTAAGTAAGATTAAAAGCTTTTTGTTTTCTTTTTAATGTCAGAATTAAATAGATCTGACTTATTTTGCCTTTTGGATTAACAACAAACAGTATTTAGTACAAATTGGAATGACTTAGATAGCTAAAACTATAAAACTTAAAAGCATATTCAAACTGTGGTAAGTGTTGCCTTTTTTTTACTGAAAATTAGTTTTTGTTTTTTTACTGAAAATTAGTTTTTGTTTTTTTACTGAAAATTAGTAATTTTCTTTCCCCCTTTATTTTTATTATTATTATTTTTTGAGACGGAGTCTCGCTCTGTCGCCAGGCTGGAGTGCAGTGGCGTGATTTCGGCTCACCGCAACCTCCGCCTCCCAGGTTCAAGCAATTCTCCTGCCTCAGCCTCCTGAGTAGCTAGGACTACAGGCACACGCTGCCACACCTGGCTAATTTTTATTTTATTTATTTATTTTTATTTTAGTAGAAACGGGGTTTCACCGTGTTGCCCAGGCTGGTCGCGATCTCCTGAGCTCAGGCAATCTGCCTGCCTTGGCCTCTCAAAGTGCTGGGATTTTATAGGCATGAGCCACCATGCCAGGCCTGCTCCTTGATTTTTAAAAGGTTTTTCTCCCTCTCTTGAAGCTGAAATTTATCAGCGTTGTGTAGAAAATAAGTTATTTTTGCCGGGCGCGGTGGCTCACGCCTGTAATCCCAGCACTTTGGGAGGCTGAGGCAGGCGGATCACGAGGTCAGGAGATCGAGACCATCCTGGCTAACATGGTGAAACCCCGTCTCTACTAAAAATACAAAAAAAAAAAATTAGCTGGGCGTGGTGGCTGGCACCTGTAGTCCCAGCTACTCAGGAGGCTGAGGCAGGAGAATGGCATGAACCCAGGAGGCAAAGTTTGCAGTGAGCCAAGATTGCGCCACTGCACTCCAGCCTGGGCGACAGAGTGAGACTTCGTCTCAAAAAAAAAAAGAAAATAAGTTATTTTTTCCCCTTCAAATGATGTGAAATGACTTGGATCTGTAACATTTAGTAATTTTATTTTTTTTAAGGGAGACACCACGAAATCATTCTTTGCCTAAGTGTAATTCCCATTTGGAGATAACAATTCCAAAGGACTTGAAACTAAAAGAAGCAGAGAAAACTGATGAAAAACAGTTGATTATAGTAAGTACACAACTTGACCATTTTGGTGAATTGTTGTTAGAACCATCTTAGTATATTTCATGTTGCTATAATACGATATCTGAGGTTGGTAATTTTTATAGAAAAGAGGTTTATTTGGCTTGTGGTTCTATGGCCTGACATCTGCATCTGGTGAGGGTGGCAGATTGCTTCAACTTATGGAGGAAAGCAGAAAGGGAGTGAGCTCATGTGCAGAGAGACCACGTGGTAAGGGAGGAAGCAAGAGAGAGAAACCAAGGAAGCCAGACTCTTTTTTTTTTTTTTTAACCCTGCTCACCCCAGCAGGAGGGCATTTGAGGGCATTAACCTATTTGTGCGGGATTCACCTCTAAGACGCAAACATATCTCACTAAGCCCCACCTCCAAACACTGTCACATTGGACATCAAATTTCCCCATAAATTTTGGTGGAGACAAATCAAATCATATCAAAATCATAGCAGCATTGTATTTATGCAAGGTTTTAAAGAATAAATTCATTCACTTTTGCCAAAGAGCCTTTTTGTCATAATAAATTTTAGTATGAAAAATGTTCCCAGGCCAGGTGCAGTGGCTCATGCCTATAATCCCAGCACTTTGGGAGGCCAAGGTGGGTGGATCACCTGAGGTCGGGAGTTTGAGACCAGCCTGGCCAGCATGGTGAAATCCTGTCTCTACTAAAAATGCAAAAATTAGCCAGGCGTGGTGGCAGATGCCTGTAATCCCAGCTACTTAGGAATCTGAGGCAGGAGAGTCGCATGAACCTGGCAGGCAGAGGTTGCAGTGAGCTGAGATGGTGCCATTGCACTCCAGCCTGGGCAACAGAGCGAGACTCTGTCTCAGAAAAATATTCCTGGTGTTATTACAACCCCCTTCTTAAATAGTGACTTTGTCTTGTAACAGTAATTGTTTTCATACTTCTAGTTTTATAACAAATTGTGATACTTTATTTCACATCTGTTACTTTCTTAGATTTGTCATTTGATCACTACCTCCTTTCAGTAGTTGATTTAAATGTTAAAATAACATGGAACTTGTCCAGGTGCAGTGGCTCACGCCTGTAATTCCAGCACTTTGGGAGGCCGAAATGGGCGGATCACCTGAGGGTGGGAGTTCAAGACCAGCCTGACCAACACCGAGAAAGCCCATCTCTACTAAAAATACAAAATTAGCTGGGCGTGGTGATTCGTTCCTATAATCCCAGCTGCTCGGGAGGCTAAAACAGGAGAATCCCTTGAACTCGGAAGGTGGAGGTTTCGGTGAGCTGAGATCATGCCATTGCACTCCAGCCTGGACAACAAGAGCGATACTCCATCTCAAAAAAAAAAAAAATAATAACATGGAACTTAATGTATAAAATGATTTTGAATATCTATATTGCAGAATACATTATTATTTTAAAGTTACATTTTAAATTACAGGAAGATAAATTGGAAAACAGGAGATATTTTGATTGATTAAAAATCTAACTTGAATGAGTGAATATAAAAAAATTAAGGCACCCAAAGTACTAGGAACATTTATGTAGTTACAGTCAACATAATCAGTAGGATTTTTTTTTTTTTAAGATAGGGTCTCATGCTGTCACCCAGGCTAGAGTGCAATGGTGTGATCACAGCTCACTTGCAGCCTCAACCTCCCAGCCTCAAGTGATCCTCTCACCTCAGCCTGCTGAATAGCTGGGACTAACAGACATGCGTCACCACACACAGCTAATTGTTAATTTTTTTTTTTTTTTTGTAAGACGGAGTCACCCAGGCTGGAGTGCAGTGGCACAATCTTGGCTCACTGCAACCTCTGCTTCCCAGGTTCAAGTGATTCTCCTGCCTCAGCCTCCCTAGTAGCTGGGTTTACAGGCACGCACCACCGTGCCTGGCTATTTGTTGTATTTTTAGTAGAGATGGGGTTTCACCATGTTGGCTAGGCTGGTCTTGAACTCCTGACCTCGTGATCCAGAGTGCTGGGATTACAAGCGTGAGCCACCTCAGGTGGCCCCCCAGACTTTTAAGACATTAAAAAATGGAATGGATTGGGTGCGGTGGCTCATGCCTGTAATCCTAGCACTTTGGGAGGCCGAGGCAGGTGGATCACCTGATGTCAGGAGTTTGAGACCAGCCTGGCCAACATGGCAAAACCCGGTCTCTATTAAAAGATATAAAAATTAGCTGGGCATGTTGGTGGGTGCCTGTAATCCCGTCTACTCAGGAGGCTGAGGCAGGAGAATCGCTTGAACCCAGGAGTGGGAGGTTGCAGTGAGCCAAGATGGCGCCACTGCACTCCAGCCTCGGTGACAGAGCAAGACTCTGTCTCAAATTAAATATAAAAATAAAAAAGAGTCTACCTGGGTGCAGTGGCTCACACCTGTAATCCTAGCACTTTAGGAGGCCGAGGCAGGAGGATCGCTTGAGCTCAGTTCTAGACCAGCCTGGGCAACATGGTAAAATTCTCTCTCTGCAAAAAATATAAAAATTAGCCAGGTGGCGAGGCGTGGTGGCTCATGCCTGTAATCCTAGCACTTTAGGAGGCCAAGGCAGGTGGATCACCTGAGGTCAGGAGTTCAAGACCAACCTGGTCAACATGGTGAAACCCCATCTTTACTAAAAATACAAAGAATTAGTCCAGTGCAATGGCACGCTCTTGTAATCCCAGCTACTTGGGAGGCTGAGGCAGGAGAATTGCTTGAACCTGGGAGGCAGAGGTTGCAGGAGCCAAGATCATGCCACTGCACTCCAGCCTGGGTGACAGAGCGGGACCTTGTCTCAAAACAAAAACAAACAAAAATTAGCCAGACATGGTGGCACATCCCTGTAGTCCCAGCCTGGGTGACACAGTGAGACCGTGAGACCCTGTATCAAAAAAACTTTTTCCTCTACACACTAGTAGTATAATTATTGCAAATACGAAATATATATTAGTTCTCATTCATAGAGTATTTCCTATTTGGGGCTTTAGGACTAAGTTTGTAATATTAAAGCTATTTGTCAGTTTTTAAAAAATTGTTATATGCCGTGGATCAGGTTACTAAAATGGAAACATTTCCTAGTAAAATTACATGCAGATTTCAGATTAACGTGTTATTTTTAGTAATTAACATTGAATGTTATTCATGTAGATTAAACAATTCTTACTTTATGCTCACACTATAGCCTTAGAGGCTGATATTCTGAAATAATTCTTTTGGGAGGAAAAAAACTTTTGTGTGTTTTTTGTAAATAGGATGCAGGACAAAAAAGATTTGGAGCAGTTTCTTGTAATGTTTGTGGAATGCTGTATACAGCTTCAAATCCAGAAGATGAAACACAGCATCTGCTTTTCCACAACCAGTTTATAAGTGCTGTTAAATATGTGGTAAGTGGAATTTGTGAATTCTAAAATGCAAAAATCAGATAATTAGGTCGGTCTCTTAATGAGATGAGTTGCCAAATTTAAATCACTGAAAAATTTATGTTTTTAAGAGATAATAATATGTACAAAGCACGTGTAGTATGTATACTGGCTTTTTAAAAACAAAGCCAAACATAAAAACCAGCTAATTTATTCTGACTGGTTTATGTTGTGGGATTTTGAATTTAAATTTTACTTTTCTAAAGTAGTGATTGTACTTGTCAGAAGTAATGCTATTTAACTTGTATGTTTTTTAATAAAATTCCTTTGATTTCAATAATTATTTACTATTGATAAATCTATTTAATATTTACATTTCTTGGCACAGTTTTATATTGGAGATTGATCGTGATAGGTATTATACCAAGTAGGTTGTTTGGAGATTTCCTTTACCTTCTCTTTGTTATCATGAGGGTTTTTCTTTATAAGATTAAAAAAGAAAAATTCTAGAAAATTAAGACCTCAGAATTTGTAGTATACTAAAAAAAAAAAAAAAATTCCCACAGAGTAAATCTGTTTTAGTACAAAATATATTTTTTAATGGAAGTGCATTTTAGGCATAATGGGTATTATTTAATATTTGTGGAAATAGCAAAATTTTTTTAGCAATATTGAACCATTTCAGATATCTTGTGAAAATAGTAATTTAATTGAATTGCTGTTTACCCATATCTGAAATGGAATCTCTTTTTATTGTATACATGTTACCTTCAGTACTGTACACTCACGTTAATAAGACCTCCAGGATATCTGAACTGAGATCACCAATTCATTTCATATAAATCTTTATATAGGTACCAGATACTAGATTATTTAAAGGTCTTTATTGGCCTCCGTTAAATTCATATGCTTGTATTAATACTTACCTTCGGTTGAAGGGTTTGTATTCATTGTTTCATTCATCCAGCTACTTCTACCCAGGATAGGGTGAGTTTTTACTTTTTTGGTTCTCTACCTGTGGTCATCCTTTATATTTCTTATTTCATCTGACTTCTCCACACACTCTCTCCTACCACTTCACCAAATATAAGGTGCGTGGACATAGAATATCTATAGCTGGATATTGTTTTATCATTTGAAATTTGTACTTTTTCAATTTGACTATGTTAATATCCTTGCATTGTGAAAAGAAAAATAGTTCTCTCAGGTAGCTAAATTATAGAATACTTCTAGGACAAAAATAGTTCAGTATATTTTATATACAAACCTCGTAGAGGAAGTTAGTTCAAGTAAATTCTACTCAGTGTACATTATTCAATTCTGGTGATCATTTAGTTTCCTAAAATTATAAAAACATTTTATTTCAAAGTCTTAATTCTTCACCTTAAGGAAAATTCTTAATTTCTGAGAGGAAAAGTAAATAAATCAATCAGGAAATATCTGCTCTACTCTTCCAAGATGTCAAGGGAAGTTGATTTATGGAACAAGGTGGAGTCATCATCTTCCAAACACATTCTGGCTCTCTTGCAAAGCTGCAAAGCAATGTAGCAACCTAGGGAAGATTATTTCCTGCCCCAGCCAGACCCCTCCTCCAACCCCCCCTTGATGGGACAGAGCCATGGGTTATTTTTTTCATTTTTGAAATAAGCTCAAGAGAAGGAATTGAGTTTAGCAGTTGGCCATTCTTTGCTGTTATCAAGGTCGACATTCTTATCTTTTGCTGTTTTCAAATGTAGGTATACACAGAGTCTAAGGAAGAGACTCTTCCAAAACATTGTGGTATTCTATAGTGTATGGAGAGAAGAAGAAAACGTACCTATCTTAAAGCTGTTCTGCTATGATCACTGTTCTAGATTTTGGGTTGTGACTTTAAAACATTTATTGGGCTTTTCATTTTATGCCTTTCATAGACATTAAGTACTCACAAATGCTTGACAAAATATCTTAATTTTATTTAATGCCAATTTTATCTGTTAGGTTTGTCTGTTGGTGAGAAGTATATAGAAGAAGTCATATGGTACTCTGGTGTTAATTCATGTTAAATGGACAGTATCAGGAAGTGGAAATAAAGTTTTGTTCTACTTAAGACTAAAAATAGAATAAATTAGAAACAACTAGTTTTACTTAAAACAAGTTTTTTTTTTTTTTTTTTTTTTGAGGCAGAGTCTTGCTGTGTCACCCAGGCTGGAGTGCAGTGGTGCAATCTTGGCTCACTGCCTCCTCCACCTCCTGGGTTCAAGCAGTTCTCCTGTCAGCCTCCCAAGTAGCTGAGACTACAGGTGCATGCCACCACTCCCAGCTAATTTTTGTATTTTTAGTAGAGATGGAGTTTCACTGTATTGGTCAGGCTGGTCTTGAACTCCTGACCTCAGGTGATCCACCCACCTTGGCCTCCCAAAATGTTGGGATTACAGGCATGAACTACTACGCTTGGCCAAAATTTTAATCAAACATTCTGTAGAAAATATGATAAATACCTTTTTCTTTGGGTAAAAATTTTTTCTAGGCAGATTAATAATCTGATAACAATTGGAAATGGCTAAAAGTCGTATTTTCAAAAGGTTAAAATAAAAGGTAGAAAATACAGTAAGAAAATTTTTTCTTACTGTATTCTTTCATTTTACCCCATCTGCTTGGCTGACACCATTTGGGGAAATGAATTTTATTTGACTTATTAGAAACTAGGAAGCAGCTGAGGCAACATGTGGAACCCCATCTGTACAAAAAAAGTTAGCTGGGCGTGGTGGCATGCGCCTGTAGTCCCAGTTTCTTGGTGGGGCTGAGGTGGGAGGATCGCTTGAGCTCAGGAGGTTGGCTTGAGCCCAGGAGGTTAAGGTGAGCCAAGATTGCATCACTGCCTGCGTGACAGAGCAGGACCCTGTTTCAAAAAAAAAAAAAACCCCAAAAAACAAAAAAGCCAAAAAACTATTTAGGAAGAAACCTCTTAATGCTTTCAGGTGGAGCCTGGACTCTGGTTTAGACCTAGGAAACTACTTCAGTTTCCTTCCAGAACTAAGGTACTGTTCCCTAAAGATGTGAAGAGAAAGCACGAGTTCTCTCCCCTGGCATACATATTGAGCCACGTTGCAAGGCCAGGAAACTGCCAGAAACCTATCAGGAACCTATCAGGAACTCAGCTATATTTTGAGCTTTTAGTAATGCCAAAGAACAATGTATGTGTTCTTGGCTGAGAAAAACTCAATCCTTTTTTCCTGTATTATCCTTCTTAACTCCTTTGAATTAATTCACATCTGAGTGAATGTTGTGTGGAGAGCACTACTCTCAGGGCTATGCCCTTTCCTTCAAGTTTAGGAACAAAGGCTGAAAGAAATGAAAAGTTAATAAAAGATCTAAGAAACTATTAAAGCAATAAATCAATATTAAATATTTAAATAAATCATACATTAGCTTTGCAACTTAGAAGTGGTCAGAATGGTTTGTTTTCATAGACAGGAAAGAGTTAAGATTTGATTTTTAAAATGAACATAGATAGTCATCTATGATTGGTAACAGTACAACTAAAGAGAAAGCTTAACATTTTTGTGAGGAATAATGAGTAGATCCTTTTTATTGAATCAGGATTTTTGTGGATAATGAGACTAGAAAAATACAATCAAGTCAAATTGTGATACTTTGATTTTGAAAGCTATATGGACTTTATTCTTTCTGTTCTTTTAAGTTTTGAAGAATCTCGAATATTTTGAATGATAAAAATTTAAATAACATTAAAACAATATTTTGATGAAGTGTAGGGAGAGAAGTAATATTTCAATGGCATATATAGACAGTAGTATACATATTAGGCATGTATAGTGCTGAATTACTATGACGTTGGTAGAAATAGGAAAGAACATTGATGAGAAACTTTGAAGAAAGAGTCGACAATACCGGTCAGTGGCTCATGCCTGTAATCCCAGCACTTTGGGATGCCGAGGGGGTGGATCACTTGAGATCAGGAGATCAAGACTAACCTGACCGACATGGTGAAACCCCATCACTAGTAAAAATACAAAAATCAGTTGGGTGTGGTGGCACGCGCCTGTAATCCCAGCTACTCAGGAGGCTGAGGCAGGAGAATCGCTTGAGCCTGGGAGGCGGAGGTTGCAGTGAGCCGAGATCGTGCCACTGTACTGCAGCCTGGGCAGCATAGCGAGACTCCATCTCAAGGGGAAAAAAAAAAAGAGTTGACAGATCTCTGATTGGCTACAGAGCTGTGCTGTCCTGTGAAGTAGCCACTAGGCTACATGAAATTAAAAATACTGTTCTTCGGTCGTACTATCCAGTGCTTAAAAGCCACACATTGCTAGATGCTACTGTGTTAGGTGGTATATAGAATGTTTGCATCATCACACAGAACGTTCTCTTGGATAGTGCTGCTACAGAAAGTTGAGGAAAGAAGTTACATGTGATTAAATTTTTGATTTAGGGAAACCATGTTCCAGTAACTCTTGCTTAATCTTTATTTTTTTATGTGAAATTTGAGTGCATATAATTTAATTATGTATACTTTATTCCTTTTCAAGATTGTTAGGAAAAAGAGGAAACTGGGCATTAGAGAAAAGAGAAGTGAATAGTAGTAGAGCAGGATTAGAGATTTTTTTTCTGATTTTTAAATTTTATTTTTATTTTGAGTCAGGATCTTACTCTGTTGTTCAGACCAGAGTGCAGTGGCACAGTTATAGCTCACTGTAGCCTCAAACTCCTGGGCTCCAGCAATCCTCCCACCTCAGCCTCCTGAGTATCTGGCACTAAGTTGTGTGCCACCATGCCTGGCTAATTTTTGTATTTTTTGTAGAGACAGAGTTTCACCATGTTGCCCAGACTGGTCTTGAACTCCTGAGCTCAAGCTATCTGCCTACCTTGAGTTCCCAAAGTGCTGGGATTATAGGTGTGATCCACTGCGCCCACCCTGTTTTATTTTTTGAGACAGGGTTTTGCTGTGTTGCCCAGGCTGGAATGCAGTGGCGCAATCATAGCTCATTGTAACCTCAAACTCCTGGGCTCAATCTTTCTTAGCCTCCTGTGTAGCTAGAACTATAGGCACAGGCCACCAGGCCTGGCTAATTTTTCTTTTTCCTTTTGGGACAGTGTCTCGCTCTGTCACCTAGGGTGTAGTGCAGTGGCACAATCATGGCTTACTGCAGTCTCAACCTCCTGGGCTCAAGCTATCTTCCTGCCTCACCATCCTGAGCAGCTGCCACTACAGGCGAGTGCCACCACACCTGGCTAATTTTTAAGTTTTTTGTAGAGATGGGGTTTTGTTTTGTTGCCCAGGGTGCTGACTTTATGGGTGTAAGCCACCATGCCTGGCCTAGACCTGTTTTAGATCCACAACAAAATTGAGCAGGTAGTACAGAGAGTTCCCATATACTCCTTAATTCCACACGTGTATAGCCTCCCTCACTGTCAACATCCCTTATCATAGTTGTACATTTGTTATAACTGGTGAACCTACACTGACACATCATTATTTCCCAGAATCCATGTTTCATATTAGGATTTTCTTGTATATTCTGTGGGTTTTGAGAAATGTATAATGACATGTATTCACCATTATGATATCATATAGAATAGTTGCACTGTGCTAAAAATTCTGCTTTGCTTATTTATCCCTTCTTCCTACCTTAACCCCTGCCAACCACTGTTCTTTTTAATGTCTCCATAGTTTTACCTTTTCTAGAATGTCAGAGTTGGAATAATATAGTATGTAGCCTTTTCTGATGGGCTTTTTTCACTTAGTAATATGCACTTAAACATCTCCCATGTCTTTATTTAGTTAGTTAGTTTGAGACGAAGTCTTGCTCTGTCACACAGGCTGGAGTGCAGTGGCGTGATCTCTGCTCACTGCAACCTCCGTTTCCCGGGTTCAAGCAATTCTCCTGCCTCAACCTCCGGAGTAGCTGGGACTACAGGCGTGTGTCGCCACACCTGGCTAATTTTTTTATTTTTTATTTTATTTTATTTATTTATTTTTTGAGACGGAGCCTCACTCTGTCCCCCAGGCCAGAGTGCAGTGGCATGATCTCTGCTCACTGAAACCTCCGCCTCTCGGGTTCAAGCGATTCTCTGCCTCAGCCTCCTAAGTAGCTGTGACTGCAGTTGTGCACCACCACTCCTGGCTAAGTTTTGTATTTTTAGTAGAGATGGGGTTTCACTGTGTTGGCCAGACTAGTTTTGAACTTCTGACCTCAAATGATCTGCCCCCTCCGTCTCCCAAAGTGCCGAGATTCCAGGTGTGAGCCACCACGCCTTGCCTAATTTTTTATTTTTATTTTTTTAGTAGAGATGGAGTTTCACCATGGTGGCCAGGCTGGTCTTGAACTCCTGACCTCAAGTGATCCACCCGCCTCGGGCTCCCAAAGTGTTGGCATTATAGGCATGAGCCACTGAGCTGGGCTCCCATGTCTTTTTATGGCTTTGAAAGCCCGTTTCTTTTTAGCGCTGTGTGATATTCCATTGTCTGGATGTTTCACAGTTTATCCATTCACCTACTGCAGGATGTCTTGGTTGCTTCAAAGTTTGGCAATTATGAGTAAAGCTGCTGTGTATAGGTTTTTGTGAGGACGTGTTTTCAGCTCTTTTTGGTAAATACCAAGACGCTTGATTGCTGGATCGTATGGTAAGAGTGTGTTTAGTTTTGTAAGAAACTGCCAGACTCTATTCCAAAGTTGCTGTATTCTTTTGCATTTCTATCTGCAATTAATGACAGTTTGCCTTGCTTCATGTCCTCACCAGCATTTGGTGTTATCAGTGTTCTGGATTTTGGCCTTTCTAATAGGCTTGTAGTGGTATGTTACTGTTTTAATTTGCATTTCCCTATTAATACATGATATGGAATATCTTTTCATGTGTTTATTTTCCATTTGTATATCTTCTTAGGTGAGGTCCTTTGCCCATTTTTTATTTTATTTATTTTAATTTTAATTTTTCAATCAGGCTGTTTTCTTATTGAGTTTTAAGAGTTCTTTGTATATTTTGGGTAACGGTTTTTTTTGTGTGTTTGTGTTTTTTTTTTTTTTTGACAGAGTTTCCTTCTTGTTGCCCAGGCTGGAGTGCAGTGAGTGGCGCAACAATCTCGGCTCACTGCAACCTCCACCTCTCGGGTTCAAGCGATTTTCCTGCCTCAGCCTCCCGAGTAGCTGGGATTGCCGGCATGCGCCACCATGCCCAGCTAATTTTGTATTTTTAGTAGAGACAGGGTTTCTCCATGTTGGTCAGGCTGGTCTCGAACTCCCGACCTCAGGTGATCCGCCCGCCTCAGCCTTCCAAAGTGCTGGGATTACAGGCATAAGCCACTGTGTCCAGCCAGGTAACAGTTTTTTAATCATTTACTTCTTTTGTAAGTATTTTTTTCCAGCCTGTGGCTTGTCTTCTCATTCTCTTAACAGTATCTTTTTCAAAAAAAATTTTTTTTTTTTTTTTTTTTTTTTTTTAATAAAAATAGAAATGGAGTGTTGCGGTGTCATCTTAGCTTATTTCGAACTCTGGGTGCAAGTGATCCACCTGCCTTGGCATCCCAAAGTGCTGGATTACAAGCAAGAGCCACCGTGCCCAGTCCAAAAAATACTTTTAATTATACACTTTTTCTTTTGTGAGACAAGGTTGTGCTCTGTCACTCAGGCTGGAGTGCAGTGGTGTGATCACTGCTCACTCTATCCTTGACCTCCTGGGCTCAAGCAATCCTCCTATCTTAGCCTTCCTAGTAGCTGGGACCACAGGGGTACACCACCGTGCTTGACTAATTTTTTAATTTTTTGTAGAGTTGAGGTTTCCCTATATTGCCCAGCTTGGTCACAAACTCCTGAGCTCAATCAGTTCTCTTGCCTCTGCCTCCCAATGTGTTGGGATTACAGGTGGGAGCCACCATGCCTGGCCAACAGTATCTTTTAAAAAGCAGACATTTTAAATTTTAATGAAGTCCAGTTGATCAGTTATTTCTTTCATGAATTGTGCCTTTGGTATACTTAAAATGTCATTGCCATACCCAAGGTCATCTAGTTTTTCTCCTATGTTACTTATATTTCTGCATTTTATGTTTAGATCCATTTTGAGTTAATTTTTGTGAGAGATGCAAGGTCTGTGTTTAGATTACTTTTACATGTAGATGTCCAGTTCAGCACCATTTGTTGAAAGGCTGTCTTTTCTCCATTATATTGCCTTTTCTCTTATATCAAAGATCAGTTGACTTTTTATATGAGTCTGTTTCCGGGTTCTCTGTCCTGTTTCATTGATCTGTTGTTTCACCAGTACCACTGTATTAGTCCGTTCTCACGCTGCTATAAAGAACTGCCTGAGACTGGGTAATTTATAAAGGAGAGAGGTTTAATTAACTCACAGTTCTGCATGGCTAGGAAGGCCTTAGGAAACTTACAATTGTTGCAGAAAGGGAAGCAGATTTGTCCTTCTTCACATGGTGTCAGGAGAGAGAAGTGCCGAGCAAACGGGGAAAACCCCCTTATAAAACCATCAGATTTTGTGAGAACTCACTGTCACAAGAACAGCAGCATGGGGGTAACTACCCCCATGAGTCAATTACCTCCCACTGGGTTGCTCCCATGACACGTGGGGATTATGGAAACTATAATTCAAGATGAGATTTGGGTGGGGACACAGCCAAACCATATCAACCACACTGTCTTGATAACTAGCCTTATAGTAAGTTTTGAAATTGGGTAGTGTCAGTCCTCCAACTTTGTTGTTCTTCAATTTTGTGTTGGCTATTCTAAGTCTTTTCCCTCTCAATACAAACTTTATAACTAGTTTGTCAATATCTACAAAATAGCTTGCTGGGATCTTTATTAGGATTGCATTGAATCTGTAGATTAAATCAGGAAGAACTGACCTTTTGACAATATTGAGTCTTCCTATCTGGTTTTGTAAATTTTTATTGTACACTGGAGATTGTGTGTAAAGGAAAAGTAGAGACTGAAGTAGATAGTATCCTTTCCCTTACCCATGAGTGCTTTCTCTTTTCTTTTGTCTTAACTGTGGTGAGGGGCTGATTGCTTTGATCTAATTAGAAATTGAATTGGGTCAGGTCAGAGTTGGGTTTGAAACTGTAGTTTTCTGTTCTGGTATTAGGTGTCTCTCTCCAGCTGAGATTGGGGATCTAAGCTCCACACGACACTAGAACTCTCTATACCTTCCAGCCCAACTGCAGTTGTCCCATGGGAGAGAATTGGTAGATAATTATTGCTGTATTTGGAGTTTCTTCAGATTTCAGACTGCCATGTCAGGCCACGTAATTCTGGTTGGTTTCTCTTTGTTCCAGCAAGAGACTCTTCTCCTTGTCCTCTGTCTGTGGCAGGCTTGCTTGTTCACTCATGCTTCCAGACTTGGTCAACATCTTATGGTTAAAAATGGCTACTTGTGTCTGCTCACTTAGGAAGGGCTGGTTCATCTCTGAAGATCAGTTCATTTAGACATTGAGTTTCTTTTTTTTTTCTTTTTTTGAGACGGAGTCTCGCTCTGTTGCCCAGGCTGGAGTGCAGTGGCACAATCTCGGCTCACTACAAGCTCCGCCTCCCAGGTTCCTACAGGTGCCGCCACTACGCCTGGCTAATTTTTTGTATTTTTAGTAGAGACAGGGTTTCTCTGTGTTAGCCAGGATGGTATCGATCTCCTGACCTCGTGATCTGTCCGCCTCGGCCTCCCAAAGTGCTGGGATTACAGGCATGAGCCACTGCGCCCGGCCTGGACATTGTGTTTCTATACATTTTCAGTGTCTTTTAAAAAAACATGCTTTTTGTTTTCTTTTTTTTTTTTTTTTTGAGACAGAGTTTTGCTCTTGCAGCCCAGGCTGGAGTGCAGTGGCGTGATCTCGGCTCACTGCAAGCTCTACCTCCCGGGTTCATGCCATTCTCCTGCCTCAGCCTCCCAAGTAGCTGGGACTACAGGCTCCTGCCACCATGCCCGGCTAATTTTTTGTATTTTTAGTAGAGGCGGGGTTTCACCATGTTAGCCAGGATGGTCTTGATTTCCTGACCTCGTGATCCGCCCATCTCGGCCTCCGAAAGTACTGGGATTACAGGCGTGAGCCACCACGCCCGGCCAACACGTGCTTTTTCATTTATTGGGTGTTTTCTTATTACAACAGTTACAGTGATCTTTTGTGACCTCCTTTATCCTAAATGGGAGCAGAACTCCCAGAGATGTACATTGTGATAACATTTTTCAGTAATAGACTTGTTGGCTTTGTTTAATTTTGGCTGTAGAGGTGGAGTGGAATTTGGACCATGAGTCTTTTAAAGTCATAAGCAATACCGATGAACTCAATGTGTTTGCTAAGTCCAAATGACCTTTGAGATGAGATTTACATCAAATAAAGTATTTCTTACATACTGGGATATTGTTGCTACCTATTGAAAAGTGCTTAAAATGTGAATCCTAATAAAGAGATTTTTAGGATTCTTTAATATTTGAAGACAGAAGAGAAAAAAGTATCATAATTCTTCCCATTTGACTTTTTATTGGGTCTGACCCAGGCATATCTTATGAGAAATATTCATATAGTCGTAAGGTTTAGATGTTATAGTAGAAGTTCACTTAATCAACGTAATTGGGAAAATTGGATCAGTTAACTAAATAATAACTGAATATCTAAAAAGTTGATGACTGTTGGTTATTAACTGACCCAGTTCTCCCAATTACGTTAAGTTGATGAGACTCTTCTTGTTCTCTGTTGCAGGCTTGCTTGTTCACTCATGCTTCCAGACATAATCAACATCTTAGGGTTAAAAATGGCTACTGGTCTCTGCTCACTTAGGAAGGGCTGGTTCATTTCTGAAAATCAGTTCATTTAGACATTTTGTTTCTATGCCTTTTCAGTGTCTTTAAAAACACATGGATTTTCATTTATTGGGTGTTTTCTTACTACAGTAGGTACAGTGATCTTTTGTGACCTTCTTTTTTTTTTTTTTGGAGATGGAGTCTTTGTTGCCCAGGCTGGAGTGCAGTGGCGTGATCTTGGCTCACTGCCACCTCTGTCTCCTGGGTTCAAGCAGTTCTCGTGCCTCAGCCTCCCAAGTAGCTGGGATTACAGGCATGTGCCACCACACCCAGCTAATTTTTGTATTTTTAGTAGAGACAGGGTTTCAGCACATTGGCCAGGCTGGCCTTGAACTCCTGACCTCAGGTAATCCACCCGCCTCGGCCTCCCAAAGTGCTGAGATCACAGGTGTGAGCCACTGTGCCTGGCCTTTGACCTTCTGTATCCTAATTGGGAGCAAAACTCCCAAATACATACATTGAAACCAACCGGACCAACATGGTAAAACCCCGTCTCTACTAAAAATGCAAAAATTAGCTGGGCGTGATGGTGTCTGCCTGTAATCCCAGCTACTTGGGAGACTGAGGCATGAGAATCGCTTGACCCCTGGAGGCGGAGATTGCAGGGAGCTGAGATCGTGCCACTGCATTCCAGCCTGGGCAACAGAGCGAGACTCCGTCTCCAAAAAAAAAACAAGGAAGTCTGGAGGTGTGTCATGTCAGGGTGGTTCCATCTAGCAGTTCAATAGTGTCATCATGAATGCTGGCCATTTCTCATTCAGCACTCTGCTGTCCTTAGTGTGTTGACTCTTGTGCTTCACAGTTGTAACATCATGGTCCTAAAGTAGATTTCTGTAGTCCAGATACCATATTCAGGTTCAAAGCAGGAATGTTGGGTGAGATGGATACTCAAATGGCATTTTGGGGTTTGTTTTCTTTTTAGAGACAGGGTCTCAAAAATTAGAGCAGGGTTTTATATTAAGAAACAGCCTTTACAAGCAAGTTGTATCAAATGATTCTACTTCTAGGACCCTATCTTATGGAAATGCAGTTTTTGAGATCAAAATACTGGAGCTAATGGTTAAAAGACCCAGACACATTGATACTTCAGAAAACTCTGTAGCTGTTAATAAGGAGGGAATAGATTTATATTTCTTGCCTCTTTTTTTTTTTTTTAAGAGACAGGGTCTTGCTCTATTGGCCAGGCTGAAGTGCGGTGGTGCGATGAGCTCACTGTTGCCTTGAACTCCTGGGCTCAGGGGATCCTCCTGCCTGAGTCTCCCAAGTAGCTGGGACTACAAGCATGTGTCACCATGCCCAGCTGATTATTTTACTTTTTGTAGAGATAAGATCTTGCTTTGTTGCCCAGGCTTGTCTCAAACTTCTGGGCTTAAGCAACCTGCCTGCCTTGGCCTCCCAAAGTGCTGGGATTACAGGGGTGAGCTACCATGCCTGGCCAATTTTTAAATTTAAAAATTTTTTTTGAGATGGATATTGCTATGTTGGCCTGCTGATCTTGAAACTCCAGCCTCAAGCAGCCCTCTCACCTCGGCCTCCCAAAGTGCTGGGATTACAGGCATGATCCACCACCCCCCTGGCCTTTTTATTTTTGCTTTTTTTGAGACAGGGTCTTAACTTTGTTGCCCAGGCTGGAGTGCAGTGGCGCAATCATGGCTCATTGCAGCCTCAACCTCTCAGGCTCAAGCGATCCTCTTGCCTCAGCCTGCTGAGTAGCTGAGACTACAGGCATGTGCCATCACACTCAGCTAATTTTTCTATTTTTTTTGTAGAGACAGGGTCCTACTGTGTAGCCCAGGCTGGTCTCAAACTCCTGGGCTCAAGCAATTGTCCTGCCTTGGCCTCCCAAAGTGTTGAGATTACAGGTGTGAATCACTGTACCTGGCCTTCCTATATTTTTTAGTTCATAGCATTCCCACCACCAAGAATGCCATCCCATTTTTATCTGTGCCTTTCAAGCCCAGGGAAATAACTTTTCTTTTTCTTTTTTCTTTTTGAGACGGAGTCTTGCTCTGTTGGCCTGGCTGGAGTGCAGTGGCGCCATCTCAGCTCACTGCAAGCTCCACCTCCTGGGTTCACGCCATTCTCCTGCCTCAGCCTCTTGAGTAGCTGGGACTACAGGCACTCTCCACCATGCCCGACTAATTTTTGTATTTTTAGTAGAGACAGGGTTTCACCTTGTTAGCCAGGATGGTCTCGATCTCCTGACCTCGTGATCTGCCCACCTCAGCCTCCCAAAGTGCTGGGATTACAGGTGTGAGCCACTGCGCCTGGCCGGAAATACTCTTTTCTATGAATATTTTTCTTTTATTCCTCTCTTATCCCAATAAGCATTTTCTCTATCTTCCTAAAACTATTTTAACACTTTGCTTATATTATTTTGCCTTTTCTTGTAGGTTCCTGCTTCAGTTTGATAGCTGTTTTTTTGAGAATTAAGAAATATATTAAATATACATATTGGTAGACTGATTTTGGATTCAGAAACATTGAAGTATAATAAATAAAGCTTATTTTAGAATCAAGGAAAATTTCCTTTCAAGCATATACTTTATTGCACCTTGTATTAAAGACATTTGTATACTATATGTTTCTCCTATTAGATTTATAAGATTCTTGAGGTCAGTGTGGCATAGTAGAAAAGAAAGTGAGCTTAACTATAGAGATGTGGTTTCCTAATGAGCCACTTTCTAGTTGTATGACCCTAGCAAATTAACTCTTTTTCTCTTTAGTTTTTTTTTTTTTTTCAAATCTGTAAGCAATGACAGTAATCTCTTATGTGATAATTTTTTCGTAGGCTTATTTATTTCTTAAACATTTATTAACTGTCGACCTTGTTTTTAAAAATTATTATAAAGATCTTTTATGTAAGTTCACAGATCAGTGCGAGGGACGATGGATAAACATTTAAATAGTGTGGAAAATGCTACAGTAGTATTTTAGGATATACAGGGTATTATATAGAGCATAGAGCAAGGACATATGACAAAGATTGGAAAAGTCGGGTTAGCACTTAATAAATTCAGAAAGGATAAGTAGGAGTCCCTTGAGCTCAGAAGGGTATAGAGCAAAGGCATATCAGGCCAAGAGAGCAGTATGTGAAAGGCCAGGCAAATAAAAGTATTCCATTATGACTTGTGACTGTGTTGTATTGGAAAAGCTGCAAGAGATAAGGCTGAAAGAGGTAAATGGGGGACCGGATCATGAATGACCTTGTAAGGCAGGAAGGCATTGAAGGTTTAAAAACCTAAACCAGCCAGGCACGGTGGCTCACACCTTTAATCCCAGCACTTTGGGAGGCCAGGGCGGGAGGATCACTTGAGCTCAGGAGTTTGAGACCAGCCTGGGGAACATGGCAAAACCCTGTCTCTACAAAAAATAGAAAAATCACCTGGGTGTTGGGCTGCATGCCTGTGGTCCCATCTACTCGGGAGGCTGAGTTGGGAGAGTTGCTTGAGCCTAGGAGGCTGAGGCTGCAGTGAGCCATGATTGCACCACGGCACTCCAGCCAGGGCAACAGAGTGAGACCCTGTCTCAAAACAAAAACCAAAACCTACTAAAACAATTAAAATGCTTAGTTGCTGTAATAATCGGAACTGTTATTTATTGAGTACATATTATTGTGCTAGGCCCTATGGTCAACATTTTATAGTGTTTTCTCATTTAGCTTCTCAGTCGTTTTCTGTTGTTTTTTTGTTTTTATTTGTTTTTGGTGGAGGCAGGGTTTCACCATGCTGCTCTAACAGGCTGGTCTAGAACTCCTGGGCTCAAGTGATCCTCCTTCCTCTACCTCTCAAAGTATGGATTATAGGTGTGAGCCACTGCACCAGGCCTGTTTTTGTATCTGTTTTATAGGTGAGGAAACCAAGTTTTAGAGAGGTTAAGTAATTTGCCCAAAGCAGGGCAGCTAGTGAGTAGCAGAGTTTGCATTCGAATTTTAGGTTTTTCTGATTTTTGAAATCCTCCTTACCACTATGCTATACTGCCAAGATAATGGTTTGTATACATGGTAGGTAGTCAGTACAAATTTACTGAATTGAGAGAATTTTTCCATGTGTATGTCACTTTCAAACTAGTAGTAATATCTAAGACTTTTAAACACTTTGAAGTTCAATATGGCCATATGGATTAGACACACATCTTTACCAGTATTGGGTTTTTTTTGTTTTTGAGATGGAGTTTCGCTCTTGTCACCCAGGCTGGAGTGCAGTGACATGATCTCTGCTCACTGCAGCCTCCGCCTCCTGGGTTCAGGTGATCCTCCTGCCTCAGCCCCCCCGAGTAGCTGGGATTACAGGCGTGCGCCACATGCTCAGCTAATTTTTTGTATTTTTAGTAGACATGGGGTTTCGCCATGTTGGCCAGGCTGGTCTCGAACTCCTGACCTCAGGAGATCCACCCGCCTCAGCCTCCCAAAGTGCTGGGATTACAAGTGTGAGCCACTGCGCCCGGCCTCAACTTAACTTTTTAAATTACTATTGAAATGCCTATTTTTCTAATTCCTTTAGTAAATTTTTTTTTTTTTTTTGAGACGGTGTCTTGCTCTGTTAACCGGGCTGGAGTGCAATGGTGTGATCTCGGCTCGCTGCAGCCTCTGCCTCCCAGGTTCAGGGGATTCTCCTGCCTCAGCCTCCTGAGTAGCTGGGATTACAGGTGCCCGCCACCAAGCCTGGCTAATTTTTGTATTTTTAGTAGAGACGGGGTTTGCCATGTTGGCCAGTTTGATCTCGAACTCCTGACCTCAGGCGATCTTCCCACCTTGGCCTCCCAAAGTGCTGGGATTACAGGCATGAGCCACCGCACCTGTCCAGTAATTGTTTTTAAGTAAAATTTTTACTGACTTATAACATGTAAAGAAAGTACACAGGCTAGACATGGTGTCTCACATCTGTAATCCCAATTCTTAAGGAGGCTGAGGTGGGAGGATGGCTTGAGCCCAGCACTTTGAGACCAGCCTTGGCAACATAGTGAGACCCCATCTGAACCAAAAAAAGAAAAAGAAAGTACACAGCGAGTACACAGCTTAATAATGGTGTATTTTCACAAAGTGAACACACCCATGTAAGAAGAAGCAACATTACTGGCACCTCCAAAACTCCTTTGTGATCCTATTACAGTCACTGCTTTATCACACTTCAGGTCTAGCTGCTCCTGTTACAGTCACTACTTTACTGCACTTCGGGTCTGGCTGCAACGCTGACTAGATTAGTTTTGCATTTATTTTTTACTTCTAAATACTTGAACAAACCTTGGGCCATTGGTACAGTTTTGACAATAGGCAATTTGAATTTTCCAAAACAAGTTTAATACAGCACACACACACAGAGTAATGAACCCCTTTGTACTGATCACCTACCTTCAACAATTCATGGATAATCATCTAACTTTCCCAATTATTTTGAAGTAAACTTAGGCATCATGTTATTACTTTAGTAGATATTTCTAAGTATGTACTTCTTTTTTTTTTTTTTGAGATGGAGTTTCACTCTTGTTGCCCAAGCTGCAGTGCAATGGCATGATCTTGGCTCACTGCAACCTCCACCTCCTGGGTTCAAGTGATTCTCCTGCCTCAGCCTCCCAAGTAGCTGGGATTACAGGTGCATGCCACCACGCTTGTCTAGTTTTTGTTTTTTTTTTGTTTTTTTTTTGTATTTTTAGTAGAAACGAGGTTTCACCAGGTTAGCCAGGCTGGTCTCGAACTTCTGACCTCAGGTAATCCGCCTGCCTTGGCCCCCAAAAGTGCTGGGATTACAGGTGTGAGCCACCATGCCCCACCTCTAAATATGTATTGCTTAAAGATGAAGATTACTCCTTTTTTGTTTGTTTTGAGTTGGAGTCTCGCTCTGTCGCCCAGGCTGGAGTGCAGTGGCGCGATCTCGGCTCACTGCAACCTCTGTCCCCTGGGTTCAAGCAATTCTCCTGCCTCAGCCTCCCAAGTAGCTGGGACTACAGGCGTGCACCACCACACCCAGCTAATTTTTTTGTATTTTTAGTAGAGACAGGGTTTCACCGTGTTAGCCAGGATGGTCTCGATCTCCTGACCTTGTGATCCGCCTTCCTCAGCCTCTCAAAGTGCTGGGATTGCAGGTGTGAGCCACTGCGCTTGGCCAAAGATTATTCCTTTTTTAAACATAAAAGTACCTTAAAGAATATAACTACACCTTCAATAAATGAATTAATTGTTGAAATCAAGTTTTCTATCAGAGTTCAAAGCTTCCCAAATAGCTCATGATTTCCTATGTTGCTTATTTGTTTGAATTAGGGTTTATATATTACATTGGTTGTTATGTCCCTTTAGTATCTTTTAATCCCAAAGTTCTCCCTGGTTCTGTTTTTTTCCCTTGTAATATTTGTTTATTTTTTGAAAAGCTGGTTGTTGGTTTTATTTCTTCAAATATTCCTTCAAATGTATATTCTCATTCAACCTTTTCATGAAATTGTGATTAATGTGAACTTTTAAAGTCGGGGTATTATTTATACAATTAAATCTACACATCTTAAGTGTTTGGTTTGAATTTTGATCATTGTATATACTCAGTGTATTTACCACTCAGTGTATTTTGTTTCCAATTGTAATCCTTTTTTTGATGGAAAAAGGAGAAATCCATTCTTTAGACTGTACAGTTTAGAGTAACTCCAATAGCAAGGAGAAAAGAGTAATAATTTCTTAATCCCAACACTTTGGAAGGCCAAGGCTGGCGGATCACCTGAGGTCGGGAGTTCGAAACCAGCCTGACCAACATGGAGAAACCCTGTTTCTACTAAAAATACAAAAAAAATCAGCTCGGCGTGGTGGCACATGCCTGTGATCCCAACTACTCGGGAGGCTGAGGCAGGAGAATTGCTTGAACCCGGGAGGCGGAGGTTGCAGTGAGCCGAGATTGCGCCATTGCACTCCAGCCTGGGCAACAAGATTGAAACTGTCTCAAAAAAAAAAATAAATAAAATAATAATAATTTCTTGCTGTTAGAAATACAAATTAGGAATATAAAGTTTTCTGCTTTTCATGAAGCAGAAATGGATGAAGTAAGAAAAAATGGGTTTTGGAAAATACTACTTGTTAGCAGAGGGTTATGTGTAACATACTAGTCCTGAAATATGTTGGAGCTAAAGGTCAGAAGTGTAAGTGCACTGCATTGGAATTTATTTCTTTGCAAAAACGTTGTGGCTATTTGATTATTCTTCTAAATTGCATGCACTCTTTCCTGAACCCTGCTTCTCCTCTGCCTTAATTTTAAGCATTGGATGGACTTTATCGCCTCTAAGTTTCTCTGAAGTAAGGAGGGTCATGTGGTTATTGTGACTAGCAGTTAACTGTAGTTGAGGCATAGATATGTCTTGAGTATGTTATTTGAACAAATATTAGCTAACTTGTTTCTTTCATCTTTTATTTGCCTATGATTTGAATTTATTGCTGTATTTACCCTTGGGAACATTTATTGATTGACTGTTTTGTTAGATTAGTGCATTGATCTTAGTTTGATACTAGTAAGAAGGGAGAATGGAAGTTGCTAAGAGTTACTTAGTGGCTACTCTTTGAGCAGTCATCTTAAATACAGCACCCTCGTACCTACCCAAGTGATGGAGGTGATGATAGCCATTTTTTAGAATGCTAAGATCAGGAAACAGAATCAGAGTTCCAGTGATTTGCCTAAGGCCATGCATCTAGTAACTACCAAGAACAAGGATCTAAACCCTGAACTTTTACTCTAGAGTTACTTAAAAGTTTTCACTGAAATATGCTTTCTTAGCTTGGCATGGTGGTGCACGCCTGTAGTCCCAGCTACTTGGGAGGCTGAAGCAAGAGGATTGCTTGAGCCCCAGGAGTTTGAAGCTGCTGTGAGCTGTGATCTTGCCACTGCACTCCAGCCTGGGTGACAGAGTGAGACTCTGTCTCAAATAAGTAAATTACATTAATAAATAAAACTTGCTGTTTTCATGAACATTAGAAATCTAAGCAATACTAAGTATCCTTTTGCAGCCTTTGCTTCTTAAAGGGCTTTTATTTAGTACATGAAAAAAAGGTACTATTTAAAACATAAAATTATATCAAATGGAATTGTGATAAAAATTTCGGCATGAACATACAAGTCTGAAGTTGTTTCAAGAGAAAGTTTTGCACTCAAAAATTAGTAAAGCAAAATAATTTGTCTAATGTCTATAATGCAATATAATGACATGAAACCAGTATTACTGTTTTCAAAGGCATTTAATAGGAAAATAGTTTATGGAACTGTCTTTAGATGATTCAGTTCAGGAAGAATGGTTTTCTTATAACTTGAGGTTACTTACATTTTTAGGTCTTTTCGATGTTTTAAAGTGAAAATCTCTTTTCATTTTATTAAAAATAGGTTCATAAATTTAAAAGCTTTTTCATAAAGTAACATTAGTAATAGAAATTTGTTTTTAAAGAGGTGATGTCTTGTAAATCTTCTAAAAATTGTTTACCTATATTCAGATCTCTATATGATTCAGATTTACTTTCTTTCTTTTTTTTTTTTTTTTTTTGGGACAGTGTCTCGCTCTGTCACCCAGGCTGGAGTGCAATGGCGCGAACTCAGCTCACTGCAACCTCCACCTCCCGAGTTCAAGCAATTCTCCTGCCTCAGCCTCCTGAGTAGCCAGAACTACAGGCGCGTGCCACCACACCCGCCTAAAAATACAATAATTTTTTGTATTTTAGTAGATTCGGGGTTTCCAGGATGGTCTCAATCTCCTGACCTTGTGATCTGCCCTCCTCCCAAAGTGCTGGGATTACAGGCGTGAGCCACTGCACCCGGCCTTAAGTTTCTTTTTTAAAACCTTATTTACGTTGAAGAACTACAGATTTAGTTTCTTAGATGAAAAAAGGACTTCTGTGGCTATTGTTTCTGCTCCTTTCTTTTCAAATCTTGAGAACATTTTACCAATCATAATTTTAATCATCTGAATTTTAACTTGGGTACTCTATTATGTAAACAAATTTTGGATTTTAAATATTTTAATTTAAATTGTTACATATACCAAGCTTATTACCTAGAATTTTTGTTCCCAACTATGATCTTTCTACCTTCCCCCTCCAAAAAATTCCTGATGGTTTAAGAAAACGAATCTGCTTTCACACTTGCCATAGTATATTTTTAAAGAAATCTAGTTGCCATTTTCTTGGTTTCATTGAGCTTTTTGTGTTCTTAGAAGAAACATCAGAAAAAATATGGTGGTTTTCTCTACTAGAAGTATAAATGGCTTCTGGAAAGGCCTTTTTATGTAAAGTTGGTTGGGTTAAGACAACTGGAACAACTAGTTAAGCTCATTCCTTCTGTACTTATTTTGAACTTCAAAGCTCCTAGTTTTAACCTCTGGTTCAGTCCCATCTTACTAGATTTAAGTGGCTTTTGTTTTGTTTTGTTTTTTTATGCAGGTTCTGCTCATTAATCACCACGAGTGTGGATCTGAAGAAGAGTTTATTACCTCTCTTTTTTTGAGTATGTTTAACTTCAGATACACACAACGTAGCTTCTCCTTCCCTATTAGATTCTTAGAAGGTAGTTATATTTTTTATAGTCTCCTTCTTGTGGCTTTGGTAGTTGTGATCAATAAGCATAAGACTATTCCTTTCATACTGGGCTACTGCATGCAAATCAGTTCATTTAAAACCTCCTGGAGGTCTTTGGCATGCCAGACATAAAACTTGGAGTGTTTGTTTGTGGAGGTAACCATGTTCCAATGAAATATAAGAGTTTAATTCTTTTATCAAGAATCTGGGAGAGTTATAGTTTCTGGGAATTACTGACTTTAAGGGGCTTGCTTTTGGTGTGTGGCTTTCAAAATTAATTTAAAACGGGAAATGATAAATTAGAAATACTCTTGTGGTATTAGATATATCTCTGAATGAGTAGTAGAGAGAAATTAGCTTGCCTTGTACCTATTGTATGCTTAACAAAATAGCCGATTTATCATGCTTTATTAAGCATTAATGAGCATATATTTTTCATGTTTGCAATTTTTAGACAAATTGATGTACTTTTTATCTTGTACGTGGATATAATGAATAGAATATACATAAAATTCATACTTTACATATGTGTGTATATATATATATATATATCTAGGGCTGGAAGAAAGAAAGAATTCTGGCTGAATACCCTGATGGCAGGATAATAATGGTTCTTCCTGAAGACCCAAAGTATGCCCTGAAAAAGGTAAATTTCCAGTGAAACTTCATGTAGAGTGGATAATATCATTTTGCAGTTAATTTTTTTTTTTTTTACCCTGAGACAGGGTCTTGCTCTGTCGCTCAGGCTGGAGTGCAGTGGCACGATCTCGGCTCACTGCAACCTCTGTCTCCCGGGTTCAAGGGATTCTCCTGCCTCCACCTCCCGAGTAGGTGGGACTACAGATGTGTGCCACCACACCTGGCTAACTTGTATTTTTAGTAGAGACAGGGTTTCACCATATTGGCCAGGCTGGCCTCGAACTCCTGACCTCATGATCTGCCTGTCTTGGCCTCCCAGAGTGCTGGGATTACAGGCTTGAACCACTGCGCCTGGCCCATTTCGCAGTTAATTTTAAGAGGATAACAGATTGCTGGCATAGTATATTGAAACACCTATTCTGAAAACAAGAAATAAGCGTTTAAAGGGTATAACCCAATTCAAAAATTATGTTAAACTTTGTAGTGTGTCCAGTATATGAATTCTAAATGAACTGAGTACTGTCCAGTATTATTACTAAATTGTCCTGTATTAGTAGTAGTTAATAATTTGAGTGCCAAAGTAGATATGCTTATCTTCTGTTAAGTGAATAATGCCAACTAAAAGATTTCACGATCAGAAATAAAAGCTGAATTATAATAATTTGGATAATTAATAAAATGTAAAGTTTCATTCTAAGGGAAAATTTCTAAATAAAAGCTTATTGCAGAAGGGGATTGCTAAGTAGGTCATAGTAAACCTGAAATTAAACATGACTTAATCTTATAATATTTTTAAGATATAAGGATATATTCCAGTTTATAAATATAATGCGGAAACATAAAAGTTTATTTTATCTAGTGTGAGGCAGGTGTTAGTCTAACTTAGAGTTCCATACTTCAAGTGTTCAGAGAGTTTATTGTGTTGAGAAGTGAACCAGATAATGAATCCTGGAACCATTTTATTATATAGGTTATTTTAAAAATCAGGAACCAAAAGGTAAACTTATTTTTAAATAAGTTTAATATGTTCATTACACTTTCAAATAATATACTCAGTATGTTTTTCTTCAACCTCTGGATGCTTTTTCAGAAGAAATACCTCATAATGTTAGCAATGGGTTCAGTTAAGTTTATCTGAAACACTTTAGTAATTATACTAGAGTGTGTCCCAAATGTCTGGAAACAGGAGGAAAACAGTTTATTATACTTTTTTTTAGGTTAACAATTGGACTTCTTTAAACTTAAGAATACTTCACCTGAAAAGTTGGTTGAAGGAAAATACTTTGCGCCTGTTATTTGAAAGTTTAGCTAATAATCTATTTAAAATATGTAAGTTTATTTTCTGATTCTTAACTTTAGATACTCTGTTTATCCGAATGGACAATCTTAGATACCCAAATAAGCTTTCATATTACTGCTGCCTAACAGAATAGACAACAGTATTTACAGTGACATGTAAACATGCCCAACCTGTCTTGTATTTGAAACATTGATTCTTGCACAATAGTAAATTCTTGTTGAATTAATGTTGGATCAGTGATTAACCACAGCTGACCCACGAACAGTGTAGTAGTTATGGGTGCTGGCTTCTCATGCAGCCAAAAATCCAATTATAACTTTTTTTTTTTTTTTTTTTTTTAAGAGACAGGGTCTCACCGTGTTGCCCAGGCTTGTCTTGAACTCCTGGTCTCAAGGGATCCTCCTGCCTCAGCCTCCAAAAGTGCTGGGATTATAGGCGTGAGCCACCCTGCCCAGCCCAAGTACAACTTTTGATTCCCCCAAAACTTAACTGCTAATAGCCTACTGTTGACTGGTAACCTTATTGATAACATAAATAATTGATTAATCCCATACTTAAACTAGTATCTACATATATTCTATGCATTCATGACATACCTAACCTTTTCTTGATTTTTTTTTTTTTATGTTTCTAGGCTACATGGTTCATCTGCTAGTTTTTTCATATTGTCACAATTCCCAAAAAAATTTTCCAATATGTTTATTGAAAAAAGCCCTACATATAAGTGGACCCACACAGTTCAAACTTTTGTTGTTCGAGGGTCAACTGAAATGAAAATTAAATTAATGAATTTTTGGAATTCCAGCTATTCACATTTGGAAATGCACATGGGAACTTTTGCTACACTACCATATATGGCAACCAGACTTTTCTTAGAAGGAACCCTCAGTAGATGCTAATTTCCTCATTTTAGTTTATCGGAACAAAATCTTAGTAACCCATAATAGGTTAAAAATTAAAATCTAGGGAATTGTGAATCACTTGTCTTTAGGAATTAGGAGTTGTAGGATGCTGTGTCAGGATTAGGAGGACTTAATAACATAAATGAGTGTTATTGGACTCTATTTTTAGTTTTTTGTTTTGTTTTGTTTTTTAAGAGAATTCCACTCTGTCACCCAGGCTGGAGTGCAGTGGTGTGATCATAGCTCACTGTAACCTCAAACTCCTGAGCCCAAGTGACCCTCCTGCCCCAGTCTCCTGAGTAGCTGGGACTACTGGCAAGTGCCACCACATCTGGCTAATAAAACAATTTTGTAAAGATGGGTTCTGCTGTGTTGCCCAGGCTGGCCTTGAACTCCTCTAGCCTCAGCCTCCCAAAGTGCTGGGATTATAGGCATCAGCCACTGCTCTCTGGCTTTTGTTGGCAGTATCTTTTAACTGGGGAAGGAACTAATGGTTGAGTACCTACAGAGGTCTTAATTTTGGTTGCCTGCAAACAGTTTGAGCTTACCATGTTTGACTTTGGTCAGTTAGGAGCTAAACTGCAAGAAGCATGGTTTGATGCCATAGTAACATTTTGGGTTCACATGTGACTCTGCTGCTTGATTTTCTAGATGTCTAATATCTGACATGGGAAAGTTCTTTAACTTTTGAGTATTATTTCTTCCATATGTAAAGTGAAGAACCATAAACCTCCAAGAAATGTGGGATTTAAGTGAAATATTTGTAAAGTGCTTTGAATAATGTCTGGCCTATAAGTGGTTGATAGGAAGTAAACATGAGTTCCTTTTCTCTATACTCACTTTTGTTTTACCGATGAGAGTACTAATTAAGGGTTGGGAAGAAGAGTGGCTTGCCTGGCTAAGATTGCAGTGAAGTTCTCTTCAATTCACAGATTAGATGCTTCTAATAGGAAGTCTTAATGTTCCTAATAATCTATTGTAGGAGCTCTCACCCCATCCCTCTTGTTCTCTAGACTGTTGGGTTTGGCATCCCCCTCCAGTTCTTCCTTCATTTTGCAAAGTGTTCCAAAGGGGTTAAAAAACAGTTATTGATCAGTACAGTCATTCAAAAGAACTTTTTTTTTTTTTTTTTTTGAGATGGAGTCTCACTCTGTCACCCAGGCTGGAGTGCAACGGCGCAATCTCGGCTCACTGCAACCTCCACCTTCCAGGTTCAAGGGATTCTCCTGTCTCAGCCTCCAGAGTAGCTGGGATTACAGGCGCACACTGCGGCACCTGGCTAATTTTTTAATATTTTAGTAGAGACAGGGTTTCACCATGTTGCCCAGGCTGGTCGTGAACTCCTGAGCTCAGGCAATCCACCCGCCTTGGCCTCCTAAAGTGGTAGGATTACAGGTGTGAACCACCACACCCAGCCCAAAAGAACTCTTTAGAGGATGCCCTGCTTGGAATAAAGTTGATCTACTGAACTGAAATAGTGTGTTTTTACATGTATATAATATTTTCATTTAAAAATAA